>NC_000021.9:23595730-24225652 GCF_000001405.40 Homo sapiens
CAGTCACCTGGATATAATTGACATCTATAGACTACTTCATTCAATAACAGCAAAATACACAATCTTTTCAAGCTCACATAGAAATTCACCAAAATAGACCGCAATTCTGTGACAAAAATACACGTTAAGTATTTTTTTTAAATGGAAATGATGCAATGTTGGCTCTCAAGCAAGAGTGGTATTAAACTAGAAATTAAAAAAAAAAAAAAACAGACAGCTGAGAAATCCCCCAAAAATTCAGAGACTAAACAATGTATGTCTAAAGAAGAAATCTCTGGGCATATTTAAAATTATTTTGAACTTAAACAAAATACAATTTATTGCAATTTGTGAGGTGTAGTGAAAGCAGTGCTTAGAGGAAAATGTATAGCACTGAAGGCAAATATTATAAAAGAAGAAAGATTTAAAATAAATAATCAAACTTCCAAGTTAGGAAAAACAGAGAAAAAGAGCGAATTAAATCCAAAGTGAGATGAAAAAGTAAATAGTAAAAATTAGAGCAGAAATCAATAAAATTGAAAATAGTAAATCAATGTAGAAAGTTAATATTTAAAGCTTGTTCTTTGAACAGATCGCTAAAGTTGATAGCCAAGCTAAGGAACAAAAAAAAAGCAAGAGAGAGAGAAACACAAATTACTGATAATCAGAAATGAAAGAGGAAGCATCACTACACATTCCATGAACATGAAAAGGATAATAATGGAATACTTTGAACAATTTTATGCCTACAAATGTGACAACCTAGATGAAATGAACCAACTTCTAGAAAGATACAATCTGCCAAAACTCACACAAGAAGAAATAAGAAATCTAAGTGGCCATGTATCTACTAAAGAAATTTAATCTACAATTAATAAAATTCAAAAACAGAAAGCAACAGGCCCAAAGGGGTTCACTAGTGAATTTTCCCAATTATTTAAAAATCATGATACCATTTATCTACAATCTTCTCCAAGAAGTAGCCTGAAGGAATACTTCCTAGCCTATTTTATGGGCATTATACTAATATCAAAGCTAGACAAAGACATTACAAGAAAATAAAACTACAGACCTATATCTCCCATGAACTTAGATGAAAACATTCTCAAGAACATATTAACAAATTGAATCCAACAATACATAAAAATATTAATATACCACAACGAAGACCCAGTGACATTTATCTCAGTTATGCAGGCCTGGTTCAGCATTTGAACATTAATTAATGTAATTCATCACATCAACATGCTAAAGAAGAAAAATTACATGATTATATATCTATATACCACTTAATCATGATGAAAAGTCTCAGCAAACAAGAAATGGAGGCTAGCTTCCTCAGTGTAATAAAGAATTCTTATAAAAATCCCAAAAGCAAACATCATACTTAGCTTTCCTGTTAAGATCAGAAACAATCCAAGGATGTCTCTTCTCACCACTGTTTTCCAACATTGTACTGAGTGTCCTTGCTAATGCAATGAGAGGAGAAAATGAAATAAAAAGCCTACAGATTGGGAAGGAAGAAATAAAGCTGGCTTTGTTCAAAGCTAATATATTCCTCTCTGTAGAAACTTATATATTCCTCTCTGTAGAAACTTCTAAAGAATGGAGAAAAACAACTAAAAAACTTCTGGCACTAATAAGTAATTATAGCAAGGTCAGATAATACAAGGTTAATAGAAGATCAAATGTTTTCATATATAGCAGCAATGAAGAAATGGGATTTGAGATTAAAAACACATTACTATTTACATGAGCACCATCAAAAATGAAATACTTATGTATAAATCTAACTACCTATGTATATCTATATGAGGAGTACTATGGAACTCTGATGAAATAAATCAAATAAAAACTAAAGAGAGTTGTTTTATGTTCATGGGTATGAAGGTTCCATATTATCAGGATGTCAGTTCTTCCTAACTTGAACCATAGAATCAATGTAATCCCAATCAAAATCCCAGGAGGTTATTTCTATTCTTGGATATCAACAAACTGATTGTAAAGTTTATATTGAGAATCAAATGATCCAGGATAACCCATAGATCATAGACCTAAATGTAAAACACAAAACGATAAAGCTCCTAGAAGATAACTTAGGAGAAAGCCTGATGACCTTGGGGATGATGATAATTTTTTAGATGAAAAACTAAAGGCACAATCCATGAAAGTAAGAATTGATAAGCTGAACTTCATTACAACTAATAACTCCTGCTCTCCAAGAGACATGGTCAAGAAAGTTAGTAAAATACCCACAGACTTCAAGAAACTATTTGCAAAAAACACATCTGATAAAGGATTGTTATCCAAAATAATGAAATAACTTTTTAAAATCAACAGTAAGAAAATAAATAACATACTTTTAAAATGGTCAAAGAGACCTGAAGAGACACCCGAACAAAGAAGGTAAATAAACCATTAAGGAATTGCAAGTTAAAACAACAAGATACCACTATGTAGATACTTATTAGAATGACCAAAATCCAAATAATGATGACACCAAATGCTGACAAGGATGTGGAGCAAAAGGAACTCTCATTCATTGCTGGTAGAAATGCTAGATCCTACAGCGACTTTGGAAGACCTTAGTTTGGCAGTTTCTTACAAAATTGATCATACTCTCACCATAAGATTCACCAATTGTGCCTTGATATTTACCCAGAAGAATTAAAAATTTATGCACACATGAAAACCTGTGCATGGATGTTTATAGAAGCTTTACCTATAATCACCAAATGCAATCAAGATGTCCTTCAGTAATTAAACAGATAATTATACTCTGACACATCCAGACAATATAATATTATTTAGCACTAAAAATAAATGAGTTATCAGGCCTTGAAAAGACAGGGAAGAATATTATATGCATATGGTTAAGTTAAAGAAGCCAATCAGAAAAGTCTGCATTTGTTATGATTCCAATTTATAATATTGTGAAAAAAGCAAAACTGTGGAGACTTAAAAAATCAATGGTTACCTGGGATTGAGAGGAAGAGGAGATGACTTGGTGGAGGACAAAGAATTTTTAGCACATTGAAACTATATTGTATGATACTACTATAATGGTGAATACAAGTCATTACACATTTGTCCAAACCCATAGAATATATAACACCAAGAGTGAATCTTAATGCAAACTGTTGGCTTCAGATGGTAATGTGTCAGCAGGTTCATAGGTTGTAATAAATGTGCCATGGGTGCCAATAGTGGGGTAGGTGTGTGTATGAGGTGGGGGACAGGGGATATTTGGGAATTCTGCTCTTTTTGCTCAACTTTGCTATAAAGCTAAAACTTTCCCCCAAAATAAAAAAGAAGTATATTTTAAAAAAATTCAGTGCCAATACTGTAAAAATAATAAAGTATGAAAGTATATTATTTATGTTTTGCATTGTTAATGCTCTAACTGAAAATGTTCTTAATATTGGTTCTAATTGCTGAAGACTAGGCTATGATTACCAAGAAACTTGTCCTGTGACAATCTATGCATATTAGCAGAAGAGGCTTGCCTATGGAAAGAGAGAAATACAGCTAACTACATTACTGCTTCATACATTACTGCTTCATTTCATTCGCCACATATCTGATTTGGTTTTTGAAAGATATCCACTCTCTTCTTCATTCTGGATCATTGATTGTCAGTGGAATCTTTACCCACCCATTTAGATCCTGTAAGAAGAACCATAAGAGAAGTTTCCTGATATGTAAAGCATACTCTCCTTGTATATTCATAATCAATACATTTAATGTGATTTTTTTATTCTACGGATGGATAATTTTTGAATAAAATGCGTAGAACATAGTTGTATAAGTGTCACGACACACTTGGAGGTCATTTCCAGAGCTCACTAAATTTAAGATTTTATTTAGTCTGTGTGACAATACCAAATCAACATTAGAAAAATACCCTTAGGACCACAGTCGTTTTAACCCAATTACCTCTCTGAATCTATTCAATTTATTTACAGCCATAGTAGCTGTTCTATTTGGCATTTCTATTTTTCATTGTCACTTCTCATTAATGGACTGGTTCAGTTCATGTCATTTGATGACTTCTGCATTGTCATTTTACTTCATTAACTGATTATTTTCTAATTGCTATTTTATGCCACTGTTTGATTCATCAGCTTTTAATATTCTGCTTAATTGACTTCTTTGTCTAAATGATGTGAGGGATAATGTGGCCGAATTTATTATTTAGCTTCCAAATTATGACATAGTGAAAGCTCAGTTTTGTTGTTCCATTTTCTAGATAGTAAAAATAAGGAAATATATTTGCATTCCAAATAAACACCTTTCATTAAAATATTCTTACTTCCTGCCTTTTTCAATTCCTTGTCAAAGATAAATAGCTTCAGAGACATCTAAGTATCATTTCTCATTTTTTGTAAGATTACATTTCATGAGATTTTTAAATCACAACTCAGATAACATTTTACATTATTTAGTAAAAAATTTTAAATCATTAACCTGGGAATAAAAGAAATTGGTGATTACAGCAAGAGTGTGTTTGGACTTTTATCAGCAGAGGTAGCATTATCAAATAGTAATTTTACTAACAAAAAAATTATAAAGTGCTGAAGCTCAATTTATTTTTACATGTTTAATATTTTCTTATTGTAACTCTCACTGAGGAGGAATCTAGGCCACAAACAGTTTAACCTGACCAATTTCATGTAGCAATTAAGTGACAGAGCTGAGATTCAAAGCCAACTTTGCGTAACATAAAAGCCTGAGTTCTAGCTATACTCTTACGTAATGGATCATGTGGAGTCCGAAGTCAGGGGATACATATAGTGCTGAGAAACAAAGATAAAAGCTCTTATTCTCAACCCATGACAGTTATCTCCGATATCTTCATTGACAAAGCTCTTCAAAGTCCTAATCTTTCTGCTTACTTGTTAGCCATGATGCATAAGAATCTCATTCAAAGCTAGAAATTTGGTCCATAGAGCACAAAATCTTGGGTATAGCATAAATACCTCACCTGGATTGTTACCATTTCCTTAGGATACTCCACTTTCCCCTATTCTCACATGAAATACAAAAACAGGCCAGGCGCGGTGGCTCACGCCTGTAATCCCAGCACTTTGGGTGGCCGAGGCAGGCGGATCACAAGGTCAGGAGATCGAGACCATCCTGGCTAACAAGGTGAAACCCCGTCTCTACTAAAAATTAAAAAAAAATTAGCCGGGCATGGTGGCGGGAGCCTGTAGTCCCAGCTACTCGGGAGGCTGAGGCAGGAGAATGGCGTGAACCCGGGAGGCGGAGCTTGCAGTGAGCCGAGATTGCGCCACTGCACTCCAGCCTGGGCGATAGAGCGAGACTCCGTCTCAAAACAAAAACAAAAACAAAAACAAACAAACAAACAAACAAACAAACAAAAAATACAAAAACAGCCTTCCTTTATCAAAGTGGGAGAAATTTTCACGTCTTTGATCTCAAACGGTGTCTCTTCCTCTTTTTCCGTTTGAGGACATGTCTGAAATTAGCTTAAGCATCTAAATGTCTGATGCAAAAACATCAGAAAATGCAGACATTGGACAATTTGATTCAGTGTGCCTAGAAAAGAGGAGAATACTGTGAGCAATTCTAATGATTCAATACATGATTCTCCCACTTAAGAAAACAAATAATGTTCATACAGTGTCATAAATGCTTTAATGGATAATTACACAACAGGTCCTTGAAACTTGAGACCAAGTTATCTGGGGAGAGGGCATCATGATATTTAAGCTGGATTATAAAGAATGAACAGGAATATATTGAAGCAATGAAATGAGAAGCTATGTGCTAGGAAGCAGTCTGTGAAAGGCAGGGAAAACAGGACCTGTGACACATTTGCAAAGGCTCAACTTGCTAATTATGACAAAGTAAGTGATTTGAAAGTCAGCAGTGGGAAGATGTGCTGGGCGGGAGACGGCAACCACAAGGTCATGAATGGTCTTACCAAGCACAGGTATTTAGGCTTTTCATCTTGGCCTGAGGAGCGCTCCAACTTCTTCAAGCAGAAAATAATTACATGGTTGGAAAATGTGGGACAAAAGAGGTGTGAGTCATCAGACAAGGATATACTTCAAGGGGTGCAACAAAGGCTATGATTACTATCTGTCTTACCTCATTCAAGTCTGTTTATCGTAGAGGAATTACAAGGACTCTGCAAGGGACTGACATGCTAAGTGTTCAATAGCTATTGACTCTATAGTGCCACTTATGAAGCATATTGAACTAGATAACTAGATGTTTCTCTTTTCTCATATGTTGGAGCTTCCCTAACTTTTTTTTTTTTTTTTTTTTTTGAGACCGAGTCTCGCTCTGTCGCCCAGGCTGGAGTGCGGTGGCGCGATCTCGGCTCACTGCAAGCTCCGCCTCCCGGGTTCACGCCATTCTCCTGCCTCAGCCTCCCGAGTAGCTGGGACTACAAGTGCCCGCCACCGCGCCCGGCTAATTTTTTTTATTTTTAGTAGAGATGGGGTTTCACCTTGTTAGCCAGGATGGTCTCGATCTCCTGACCTTGCGATCCGTCTGCCTCGGCCACCCAAAGTGCTGGGATTACAGGTGTGAGCAACCGCGCCCGGCCTGAGCTTGGCTAACTTTTGATGCTCTCTCATCCTGCTTATGACTGAGGAAATGGATGATTTATAACAGGGGAAATGGGTAATTTTTTTAGAACTTAATTTTCTTAACTATTTTAAGTACGAGGGACTGAACACCTTTATCACTGCAGTGCCAGTGCAGAGGAATCATAGTCAGCTTCTCTAAATACAGGGTTTTCCTCTGTAAAACTACCTACCAGTTGGCCAGAGTATGATCAGAAATGACACGGTAGTTGGCAAAACAGCCTCTTCACTATCCATATGTGTTGCCCGATCTCTTAAGTCATTTTAAGGTTCAGTCAAGAGTCAAGGCAAGAATTTTAAAGAAGTTATGAGACTAAGACCTATTATTAATTTAACAGGAAATATTTTTAGTAGATTTAGAAAACTGGCCTGGAAAAATGTGACTCAGTTTTAAATGGATTCAAATTGTGATTTCGCTTAGGAAAATTTTGTTTCAAGAATGGCTCAAATAAAGGTTAAAAAACTACTTTTCACAAGAAGAACATTTTATATAGTTTTGTTGTTGTTGTGCTATAATATATAAAGGCATCATCTTAATATTTTCTTGGTCATTGCAAATCCTAAAGAACATAAAAAATTTCTGGAAGAATGTGGGGAAAATAGCAACACAGATTTCTCAGCAATATTTTTTTAAAATCTTAATGAGGAATGTAGTTTTCAGTTTTTCACAATATCCAGTTAGCTTATAACTAGCAATAACCGTTGTTCTGATACTCATTTAGTTTAACATTCAGTGTTATAGCTTCATTTTATAGTTGAGGTTAAGTGCACACATCTTGAGAAAAAAAATACAGAAAATACAGCTAATACACTGATTTTTTTTTTTGCAAAGCAAATATCTTGCCTTGCTTTCTCTCTTAAACACACTGAAGTTCTAGAAGAGATTTGAAAGCATTTTATTCCATTCATAGGAGATCAAAAATAAAAGAGAGTTATACCTTTTGGAAATGTAATGAAGCACTACGTTGTTCATTGTTCCAGTATGTTGAAATACTTAAGTAGCTTTTAATAATTATAAACAATTAGACATTTTTTTTTGTTTTTCATTTAACACTTCTGAGATGGCTGATATTTAGAAAATACATGCTAGGAATGATCCTATGCAATTTCAGGTATTTCTCTGATAGATAACTCAGTCCATAACCTAGTAACACTCAGTCTAATACATTGAGGTAGAAGAAATAAGAAAACAGCTCAATAGAGCAAGATAATAATAGATTTAGCCTTGGATTTCCAGCCTAATTTTTGGAAACAGATGCTCTAGCATATTTTTGTGTGTTTTTTCCCATGCCAAGCTGATCATAGCCCCTAATGGTATGACACATAAAGCACTTAAAATACAAACACATTGTAACCCTAAATGGAAGAAGGGGATCTGATGAAAACAATCATTGTTTAGATGTTTCTCAGAAAAAGAGCTTAACATTTTTTTCAAAATATATTGCTATTGCTTCACTAGCAAAGAAGGTGCTAAAAATGACAACTGCAAAATTTTCTTGAACATTCTGTATCATAAAACACAATCATTTTTCCACTCTCAACTTTTTAGGAACTAAAACAAAGATCCTTGCCATCAGTTAGAATAACAGGAAATAGCAGTGCTTACAGACAGATGGCTCAATAACCTTCCTAATGAAGGTCGTCTTCTCCTTCTGGATCCTTCCCTGGACTGACTCAATAGAAAGCAAAACAATTTTCACAAGATTACAATATCCACACAATAAAATTTCCAACAAAGAACTCCAAACCTTTGACAGATATTTAATAATATAGTTTAAGTTTAAGTTCTGACTATCATTCCACTAATACCACACTGATACAGGCAACCATTGCCTCACATATTGATCATCATAATAGGCTTCAGGCATTTTCTCACTCCAAAATATTGTTTAAATTATTTTTGACTAATTTTCATTAAATATTGTATTCAATACATAATTTCTTTATGTTCTTGATATGGTTAAGGTCTGTATCTCCACCCAGTTCTCATCTTGAATTGTCTCCCGTAAATCTCATGTGTTGTTGGAGAGACCCCGTGGGAGATCATTGAATCATGGGGGCAGTTTTTCCATACTGTTCTCATGATAGTGAATAAGTCTCACGAGATCTGATGGTTTCACCAGGGGTTTCTGCTTTTGCATCTTCCTCATTCTCTCTTTGCCTGCTGCCATCCATGTAAGACAGAACTCGCTCCCCACAGTAAATTGGTGCCAGAAGTGGGGTGTTGCTTAAAAGATAACCAAAAATGTGGAAGCGACTTTGGAACTGAGTAACACGCAGAGGTTGGAACAGTTTGGAGGGCTCAGAAGAAGACAGAAAAATATGGGAAAGTTTGAAATTTCCTAGAGACTTGTTGAATGGCTTTTCTCAAAATTGCTGATAGCAATGTGGACAATAAGGTTGAGGCTGAGGTGGTCTCAGATGGAGATGAGAAAATTGTTGGGAGCTAGAGCAAAGGTGACTCTTGTTTTAGCTAAGAGACTTGTGGCATTTTATTCCTGCCCTAGAGATCTGTGGAACTTTGAACTTGAGAGAGACGATTTAGGGTACCTGGCAGAAGAAATTTCTAAGCAGCAAAGCATTCAAGAGGTGACTGGTGTGCTGTTAAAGGCATTCCATTTTATTAGAGAGGAAACATAAAAGTTCAGAAAATTTACAGCCTGATCATGTGATAGAAAAGTAAATCTCTCTTACTGAGGAGAAATTTAAGCCAACTGCAGAAATTTGCACAAGTAACGAGGAGCCAAATGTTAATCCCCAAGACAATGAGAAAAATGTCTTTAGGGCATGTCAGAGGTCTTCACACATATCATTATATAATAATAAGGGGATCAATTCAGCATGAGAATACAACAATTGTAAATATGTATCCATCCAACACTGGAGTACCCAGATTCATAAAGCAAATATTATTAGATCAAAAAGAGAGATCAAATGCAATACAGTAATAGTGGGGAACTTCAACATCCCACTCTCAGCATTAGGCAGATCATTTAGATAGAAAATCAACAAAGAAACACGGGATTTAAATTGGACTTCAGACCAAATGGATTTAACAGACAATTACAGAACATTCTATACAAGTACTGAATACACATTCTTCTTGTCAGCACATGGAGCATTATCCAGGATAGGCCATATATTAAACCACAAAACAAGGCTCAACAAATTTAAAAAAAAAAAGAAATAATATCAAGTACTTCTCAGACCTCAATGAAATAAAAACTAAAAATCCATATCAAGAAAAACTTTGGAAATTACACAAATACGAGAACATTAAACAACATGCTCCTGAATAACCACTGGGTCAATTGATAAGACGGAAACCAGAAAAAAATTATTTTAACAAATGAAACTGAAAACACAACATACAAAAACCTGCATAATACAGCAAAAGTAGTGGTAAGTGAGACATTTATAACAATAAACACCCATATCAGAAAATTTAAAGATTACAAACAAACACTCTAACAGCACACCTTAAGAAAAGTAAGAACAAACCAAATCCCGAATTAGTCAAAGCAAAGGAATAATAAAGATCAGAGCAGAAATAAATGTAATAAAGACTAATAAACCCCTCCAACGATACAATGAAAAATTGTTTCTTTGAAAAGAAAACAAATCGATAAACCACTACTTAGACTAACCAAGAAAAGATGAGAGACGACCCAAATAAACAAAATCAGCAATGCACAAGGAGACAACACAACTGATACCAAAAAAATACAAAAGATTATTGAGACCATTATGAAAAACTATATGCTTATAACCTGGAAAACCTAGAAGAAATGGATAAATTCCTGGAAACATACCCCATGACAAGATTGAATCTGGAAGAAACAGAAAACCTGAACAGACCAATAATGAGTAATGAGATTGAATCAGTAATAAAAAGTCTCCCAACAACAAGAAAAAAGCCCAGGACTGAAGGAATTCATAGCTAAATTCTACTGAATGTGCAAAGAAAAATGAATACCAATGCTCCTGAAACTATTCCAAAAAATTGGAGAGGAGGAAATCCTCCCTAAGTCATTCTATAATGCCAGAATCACCCTGATGTCAAACCAGACACAGGCACAACATAAAAAGAAACCTACAGCCCAGTATTCCTAAACACAGATGCAAAAGTGCTCAACAAAATGCTAGTAAACTGAATCCAATAGCATATCAAAAAGATAATACACCATAACCAAATGGGATTTATACCAGGGCTGCAAGGGTGTTTCAACATATGCAAAGCAACAAAGGTGATGCATCGCACCAACAGAATGGAAGATAAAAAATATCTAATCATCACAATAGTTGCAGAAGAAAGGTTGTTCTAAAATTGAACATCTCTTCATGGTGAAAACCTCAATAAACTAGTCATGGAAGGAACACATCTCAAAATAATAAAGGCTGTCTACAACAAACCGGCAGCTAACATCACACTGAATAGGGAAAAGTTGAGATCTTTCCTCTAAGAACTGGAACAAGATGAGGATGCTGCTTTCACCACTCCTGTTTGACACAGTACTGGAAGTTCTAGCCAGAGCACTCAGGCAAGAGAAGGAGATGAAAACGTGAAAATTGGGAAAAAACAGTCAAATCATGCCTCTTTGGTGATAATATGATCTTATATATAGCACAATCTAAAGACTCCAAAAAGAAACTCTTAGATTTGATAAATATCAGTAAGTTGTAGAATACAAATTCAATTTACAAGATAGGTAGTATTTTATGCACCAATAATAATCTATTTGGGAAAGAAAGTAGGAAGGCAATTTCATTTATAGAACTACAAATAAAATACCTATGAATAAATTTAACCAAAGAGATGAAAAATCTTTACAAGAACTATAAAACAGGGATCAAATAAATTGAAGATGACAAAAACAAAAGGAAAAGCATGAAATGCTCATGGATCAAAAGAATTAATATAATTAAAATGATTATGTTGCCCCAAATGATCTACAGATTCAATGCAATCTCTATCAAAATGCCAATGTCATTCTTCACTGAATTAGCAAAAACTATCCTAAACTTCATTTGGTACCCCAAAACTGCTTGAATAGCCAAAGCAACACCTATCAAAAGAGCAAAACTGGAGGCATCACATTATCTGACTTCAAAATATATTACAAAGCTAAAGTAGCAAAAACTGCCTGATACAAAACTTATCAGTCTACTAAAAAAGAGCTGTCTCTTCTCTTTCTTAAGGCCAGTAATTTTACTTATGCCATGTTCTCAATCACTAATCTTTTCAGCTATAAATCATCACATTTATCTTTTAATATTCATCCTTTCTGCAAGTGAAGAACTTTCACTAATAGAAAATAAAATCCCTACTTCTAGACTGCAGGGTTTTGAAAGAAATATAGTCTTCCCTAGAGTCTTTGGTTTTGGTTTGCATCTGAGTATTAAATATTTCCAAAAAATATCCCAACCAGATTTATTTGATGAGCATAAGACAACATATCGAGTGGCTTATTGAAGTAATCTGCACTTGCATGACTCAGACACTTCCAAAACCAGACCAATAATTTTCATTCAAAGCCTTATCCTCTCTCAGAGAATGTTAACACTATTACAGCAGAAATCTAGAAGCCATCTGTGACTATCTTCTTGTCCTTTACCTCCCAAAGAATGTGGATGATAAAATCTAGTCATTTTTTAACTTCTAAATACCATTTAAAGCTGTCTGCTTCACTTCTATCTCCATCCTGCTTCCACTCATTTCTCCATAAATTCTAATCAGGTTTTTGCTTGCCACATTCAAAAAAACCTCTCATCAATTACTGTCATGTTTCTTAGTGGATGAAAATGACCTTCTTTCTCTTATTTGACCTTCCAGCAGATTCAGTAATTCCTTCTTTAATAATCCTCTTCTTTAGAAATACTCTCCCTTATTGGATTACACGGCATAACTACCTTCCATTCATTATTTTTCTATCCCATTTTCTGGCTCATCAATCTTAATTGAACTATTAAATATTTGAGTTTCATGAGGCTCTGTCATAGACATCCTTGTCTTCTTTTTCTCAGCGTGTGGCCGTATTAATGCTTGAAGCTTCCATCTCTGCATTCATGTCTTCTCTGCCATCCTAGCTTAATTTTACCAACCTTCCTGTTTAAGTCCCATATTTAATGTTCTCATACTCTATGTAGCTTTCCTTCATTGCTCTTATCCCTGGCTTAATTCACACATAATTATGTTACTCTTTTTTCAATTTCTTTCTCTATAATTGCCCCCTTAGACATAAGATCAAAAATAACATTTTTAATTTTAATTTACTTCTATTGTCTTACTTGTCATATGGAGGTGATTAATAGATATTTGGTCAATGAACAAATTATGATTAGAATGACTCCATTATTACAATTTTGTGGCACCATTTTGAGAATAAATGATGACTCAAATATGTCTGAAACTATTTTCACAATTTCACCCCAATCCTGGTCTTCTCCCAGTGTTCCCTCACTCAGTGAACGTTATCAGCAACAAGGTAGAAAGGAAGTCTTTTCTTACTTTCGTTATGTCTAGAGAATGATTCAGTAGTTATTCAGCAGTATATTTTATTCCTTTTTAGACATGCCAATTTTGCGTTTCTGTTTATGAACCAAGCTTTACTATAACTGGTCTATTTTTTTCAGATTTAATAACCAATGAAAATCGTCACAACAGACTCATTTGAGATGTTTTCTGATCTTAAAAATTAAAGACATAAACTGAATAATTATAATACTACTGTATGGTTTGCTCAATAAGAATCTGTCTGCTTTAAAGCAAACAAGCAAACAAAAACCTATACTTTCCTCTTTTTCTCCATAGGGAAGCATACTGATTGCAATCTTTGAGTCTTATTTGAAAACTAAATTCAGTGAGCTTTTTCCTCCAAGGCTGAGAGAAAAGGATCATTTTCTTGTGACACTAAGAGAATTTAACTGGCACATTAAGCCTTCCACTCAATTCAGTGATTCTCCTCTTATATTTAGATTCTGTATGAGAATATGCCCTATATGCATTTATGATAGAATATCATATGATATTTTCATTTTAAAGCACCTTCCATCTGTTAAATCATTCAGCCTCTGGAAGTTTTAATGAATCAAATATCACATTAGCATCCTGAATGTGTATATTTTATACAGAAGTAAATTCATTTCTATTTGATGCTGAGAGAGATATTCTGTCAGAACATTTCTTTCCAAAGACAGTTTCTTTCTTTTTTATTCTTAAAACTTCACTATATGAAATATAAAATTATTTAATAAGTCTTGTCATGTCATAGCGTAGTAACACAATACAGGACTGATGGCAAACAACGGATATTCTGTAGCCATTCAGAAAAAAAAAACAACAAAAGATACAATTTAACTCCTTTTAAAATGCAGTCACTTAAGATAATGGCATTAATCAATATATTACCCCCTGACAAAATAAAATTTACTCAAAGAAAAATTATGTGACAATTTTTTAAATCAAGTTCTGACTTGATAATTTATTGTGTTATACACCATTGAAAACTTCTATAATAAAGCACACAGATTTTAATTTAAGATGTAGCACATTATTAAATACTATTTTAAGTATAATACTCGGTTTATTATTCTATGACTACATATGATTTCCTGAAATCAAATTGGTTAGATTATCACTAATATAGTTTGAAATATAAATGACAGCTAAGCATACTAAGAACTACGTGGCCAATAAGAGTTTAAAAGCACATAGACAATAAGCCTGCCCATCTTGAATTATTTTGATAATTTATTTTCAATAATACCATACTGACTTATATAAGTTGAATTGTGTACTCCTCAAAAGATATATTGATGTCCCTACTCCCAGTACCTCAGAATGTGACCTTATTTGAAAATAGAGTCCTTACAGAGGTGATCAGTTGAAGTGAATTTGTACTAAAAAGAATGGGGTGAGCACCTAATCTTATACGACTGGTGTCCTTATAAAGATATGAATATGTGAAGACACAGAGACACTGGAAGAATGACATGCAAGAACGGAGGCAGAGATTGGAGTAAGGCATCTACAAGCCAAGGAATGCCAAGGAATGCTGGCTGTCACCAGAAGCTAAGAGAGAGGCATGCAACAGATTCTCTTTCCAAATTCTCAGAAGGAACCAACTCGCTGATACCTTGATATTGAACTTCTAGCCTCCGGAACTGTGAGACAATAAATTTATGTTGCTTTAAGCCATCCATCATGTAGTACTCATACCCTCTTTTTTTTTTTTTTTTTTTTTTTTTTTTTGGTGGGGGGGCGGAGTCTCGCTCTGTCGCCCAGGCTGGAGTGCAGTGGCACCGTCTCGGCTCACTGCAAGCTCCGCCTCCCGGGTTCACGCCATTCTCCTGCCTCAGCTTCCAGAGTAGCTGGGACTACAGGCGCCCGCCACCACGCCCGGCTAATTTTTTGTATTCTTAGTAGAGACGGGGTTTCACCGTGTTAGCCAGGATGGTCTCAATCTCCTGACCTCATGATCCACCAGCCTTGGCCTCCCAAAGTGCTGAGATTACAGGCGTGAGCCACCAGCACCTGGCCCAGACCATGAAGCAGTTTTTGTTTGCTGAATATATCACTTCTGTTACTTTTAGAGCCTATTTCTATACCTTGAAATAAATGTTCACTCAAGAAAATAAGACATATTATAAGGTAAGACTCTTTATCATTATAAATAAATCATAGGCAACCAGAATTATCCAAATCAGTAGCTGTACATAGGACTCTACAATAATCAAGTGTCATAAATCATTCTGAAGAGTGAAGAATAAATTTCTTGCTAGATGGTTTACATGCTGTTTTGCTGTTTATGTATTGTGTGGTGTGTCTTTATAATATCATAGGCAATACACATATAGAATAAACACTTTCATAATTAAAAATAATAGAAATTCTGGCCGAGCCCGGTGGCTCACTGCCTGTAATCCCAGCACTTTGGGAGGCCGAGGCCAGTGGATCACTGAGGTCAAGAGATCGAGACCATCCTGGCCAACATGGTGAAATTCCGTCTCTACTAAAAAAAATACAAAAATTAGCTGGGTGTGGTGGCGCATCCCTGTAGTCCCAGCTACTTGGGAGGCTGAGGCAGGGGAATCCCTTGAACAGGGAGGCGGAGGTTGCAGTGAGCCAAGATCACGCCACTACACTCCAGCCTGGCTACAGAGTGAGACTGTCTCAAATAATAATAATAATAATAACAACAACAACAACAGAAATTCTAATGTTCATCTAATTAATAAGTGACCAATTTAAAAATATACATTAATGCAAAACGCATTTATGTGAAGCAAGACAAAGCCTGTAAACACATTTTTTATTAGTTAGAAGTGTGGCGGCCAGGCGCGGTGGCTCATGCCTGTAATCCCAGCACTGTGGGAGGCCGAGGCGGGCGGATCAGGAGGTGAAGAGATCAAGACATGGTGAAACCCTATCTCTACTAAAAATGCAAAAAAAAAAATTAGCTGTGTGTGGTGGCAGGCGCCTGTAGTCCCTCCCAGCTACTCGGGAGACTGAGGCAGGAGAATTGCTTGAACCCAGGAGGTGGAGGTTGCAGTGAGCCGGGATCATGCCACTGTATTCCAGCCTGAGCAACAGAGCAAGACTCTGTCTCAAAAAAAAAAAAAAAAAAAAAAGGTGTGGCAGAAATGTTGGTTGGACGATAGCTGGGAGTCATCTATGGTCCCTAGGAATTATTAATTAGTCTAATCTAGTAAAGCCTTCAAATACTCCTTGACATACTTCTATTATTTAAAAACACAGTTTATATATTTACTTCTTTATTAAAAATATATTAATGCCTGTGGTGACATGTATTGGGCAAATTAACTCAAAATTTAGAGACTAATTCCTCTAACTCAATAATTTTCCCAGTAGCACAGATAATACATGATTTACCATTGTGTAATGAAAGTTCATCTCAAAACACCAACATTATCACTCTAACGCCACTGCTGTCTAATTAGAGCACAACCTGCATTGTTATTGCTTTAACTGAAAATCAATTTCTCAATCATTGAATTACATAAAGCCCTGAGAGGGATCATACTTATTATCTCTGTCTTCAATTTGCTAGACTTTCCTGGGCTGTCAGTACATCTAGATTTAGAGTAAATGTTAAATGCAGTAGTTAATCTTTAAACTGTAAGGAGATCTGGCTGCTGAGATACCATCAGACATAATTCCTTTTTCCTATCACCATTGTTTTAAAGTGGGGAAGGGGAGTAATTATTGGTTGGTGTAGAGCCAATTTGTCTTTATTTTGACAAAAGAAATGAAAGCAGAGTTTCTATATCACTGTCGTAATGTAAATATATGAACAAAATAGTAAAGGTCTAATGAATTTTCAAAATACTATGTGTAAACCTCCTTCCTTATGATGGACAGCACACCAAGGCAGATACGGAATTTCCAGTTGATTTACTGTGGGCCACCTTTTGGTCCATGTTTCACCCAACCAATGAAACTATTAGAGCATTTTCTAACTCCCTGAGATACAATGTTCAATCTAGAATCTGCTTATGGTCCCACGTCAGTTTCATCCTGATCCAAATTTATGCCCCTTCCATCATTGCCTCAAACCCTTCATATCCATTCCCATACATATTCTCCAGATATGTGTCTTCATTAATTAAAATTATCAAATATTTCTTTTGGAGTGCAGCACTCTTCCTTCATAACTCACACTTCGTAACTTACCTTTAGGGGTCTGCTGAGATTTGAGTATACCTAAGGATCTATAGGTCATCTTTAGGAGCCTTAACTCGAGACTCAAGTTAAGTTACAGGTCTAAAAGTGGTAGGAGTGGGGCACGAAGAAAATCAGCACCATCTTGCTAGGTAATTGCCTCAGAAGAGACCATTACAAGGCTACTTCTCCTGGCAAAGCTGACTCATCAGAATTTAGGGGCTCGATGCCCACAATTTTATCAAAATATACCCATGCGCCTCCATTGCAATTTGAATTATCCCATTCCTTCCCAATCAGAGCCTTCACTTTAGTAGTAGACATCCTTTGTGGTTGGGAATTTGTGTTGTAATTAAGCCACTTGCAGACTGAGATTCTAGGTTTGTTTTTCAGCAACTTCAGCTGCGGCTACAGGAGATAAGAAAAATTTTCACGGCAGACAGAGACATTTTCAAGTCATATATGCTGTGCTTGAACTGAAAATTTGAATTCCTGAACTCATCTTTTTCTTTTGCCACTTTATTGAGTGACATTAAGACCAGCTATCCAACCTCATTATACTTATTAATTTGGCAAACGTATCGTATACAAACATAGAATCTGACCTCTTTTTTATATTTGATTTTGGGTATCCAATGGTTAAATTTTTTGCATTTCTAATGGCTGTTGCTACATCACACTACGGGCCATTGGTACTCTCTTTACTACTGGAAATACAGTCATTGGTGCCATTCAATCTAATCAGGTAGAGAAGCAATTTGGAAACCCCAGAAGTAATCTAGAAAACTCATCCTTCAGATTCTGTTTCTCTAGAACCACTCTCAGTACTGAAATTTACATATCTATATTAGTCAGTAAGGATTCTCCAGAAAAATAAAACCAAAAGCTGGGTGTGTGTGCGTGTGTGTGTGCGTGTGCATGTGCACATGTGTGTGCAGAGAGAGAGAGACAGACAGATGTTAAAGTATTGGCTTTCATATGTGTGCAGGCTTGACAAGTGTAAAATTTGCAGGGTAGACTGTCAGACTGGAGACTCAGAAAAGAGTTATGTTTTGAGTCCCAAAGAAGTTGCTTGGCAGAATTTCTCCTTGCTTAAAAAGGTCAGATTTTTCTATTAAGACCTTCAACTGATTGGATGAGGCCCACTCACATTGTGGAGGATAATCTGTACTCAAAATCTAATGATTTAAACATTGATCACATTTTAAAATATCTGCGTGAAAACATCTAGAATAATGTTTGACAAAACACCTGTGTATACCATGACCTAGGCATGTTGATGCATAAAATTAAGCATAACATCAGCTTGTAGTGCTTTGTTGATCCTTTCTCATATCATCATGATCGTCTTATCCATGAACTTATTTCTTTCTGTCAAAAAATTAATTCAGCTTTCTCAATCTCTTGGGAATTTTCTTTCTTTGCTTCAAGAACATCTCATTTGGGTTAATGTTCCTAAATAAATTAATTTCCAAACTTATAAAATATATAATCTACTTTCACAGCGTCTAATTTCTCATGACATGGTCATTTCTCTTTCAGTTGCAGTTTAGCTTTTATCCCAAATCAGTGCCGACATTGTTTTCCCAGGTATAGAATGTGATCTATGCGACAAAAGAAAGACCATTTTTGGTATTTATTTGCATTTATTCTCTCTACAGAACTGCCATTGTTAGTGTTTTCCTGTTTTTCACATTTCATTTTATTTTTAACTTTTATAGCCACCTAGTAGGCTTATATGTTTATGGGGTTCATGAGATATTTTGACACAAACATAAAATTTTGTTTGTTTTTAAATCTGTTCTCTTCCTTGGCACCGTATTATTTTCCTCTCCTTTCCCTGTGTTATTCAGGATAAGCTAGCTATTATATAGTAATAAGCAAACCTAGAAATATACACAATGACTTTTCTTTCAGAAACATGTTAATGCTAGTTGGGCAGCTCTCTATAGCAGTTCTCCATTGTGGAAAAACTCAGAGATCCATGTTACTTTCATGTTAGGCTCTGTCATTTTAACAAATGACCTCAATAGTCATCACCAAAGAGAAAGTAAAAAATGGAGGAGGTGCACTGATCTGTATTGGAGAGTCATGTGACACTTCTGCTTGTAATCTGTTGGTTAGAAATGGTCACTTCAAGGGTTTTGCAAGGGAGTTTGAGAAGGATAAGCCACGGTATAAGAATATTCTGGTAACTAAATAGTCCCTTTGCTTCATCCTTCAAAATAAAACCTGCTCAGTTATGCCCCAAAATATATATAAATAGGAGTTCCATTTAGTCATTAGCATCACTTGCAAATTCAGAATTTTTGAGAATTCAGTTGCTTCAGCTCCTTCGTCAAGTCTAACTATAGCTCCTCTTTTTCTGGAAAGCTATGCCCTAAACAACTCTCTCATACCCAATTTTTAATGATGAAAGAGGGATCAGGTTATCATAATAAGCACCACTAATTAAAGAAAATAAAGTGAAGAATGAGAAATACAATCTTCTCTTGTCTGTAGTATTTCAAAAATCCTATTGAATAAACATTGTGAAGCCTTTTATCATAGAGGTGAGGAAATTTCCTTGAGCATCAGAGTCTCCTCCAATGGGACAACTCTCTTACCTGAATCTCTGGGGCCATTAGTTTGTTCTCCAGGAAGCTTTCCTCATTTCATTATTTTTGGCTACTTCTGAAGTGATCATTGGGAAATAAGCCCCTCTTTACCTTTAAGTATTGCAGTATAATAAAATATTATAAGAATTAGTGTATCCAAAAAACTCCACAATTTATCATTACTATTTAAAAGAAATAAAAATTTACATTCCAATCTTAACGTTTTGGCCAAGTCATTTTGATTAGCTGACTATTATAGTGCATGTGTTTCTCAAAGACTTTTGAAACTCCAAATATTAATGCTTGGAGAATAGAATCAATTGGTTTTTCCAACATACAAAAGATTCTAATTCCTGAGCTGTGTCAATTTCCTTTCACTGCTCTTTGCAAATAAGCACCGTGATGCATAAATACATGTCTTTCTGATAACATTTTGCCAAACAAAGTTAAAATTATACAGAAATATACACCAATATCTTATTTTACATCCTCCTCCCCCAGAGCTGCAACTCATTAGATCACCTTTTTAATTGTCTTAGGTGATAGATTATAAATAATTATCTACTGCATAAAGTGGTTGTTCACCTGTACAGCTTTTGGTATCAGTTTTCTCCCCATCCTCTGTCTGTCTACATAGCCAACACCAGATATTTTAGGTTCTGTTATACTCGCATAACATTTCCCCTACTGATATTCAGAGAAGATAATTTGGAGAATGCTCAACAATTATTTGCTTCAAGCTGTAAGTGAGTTACACATTCCCATTTTTGAGAACTACTACCTAACTGAGGAAACTTGAGAGTTTATTCATTCTACATGAGAAGAAAGAAAATCCAGTGCAGAAAACAACATTATCTTTACTGACTCTACAATTTTATTTTTTATCTAATTTCCCTTAGATAATCTCTATGCTGAATATTTTTCAAAAATATTATATTGACAATTTTGTACTATATCTTGTCTCTTCATATACTTTCCTTTCAAGTGAAGGTAACATTTACTATACACATAGTATAGACATATGTCATTTACTTTACATCCATTGTAAATGATCATAATCATGGATATTATAACTCTCCTACCACAGATCTTTACCTAATTATATAAAATAGAAACTCTATTATATTAATAAAGAAGGGAGACAATTTGTTCAAACTCACAAAAACTGTGTATGCTAAGGGCAGAATTAAAAGCCAGCTTTGTCTGATTCATACATAAATGCTCTGTGCATTACATGATGCTGCTTTAAATATGCCCATTTCAGCTGGGACGATGGCTCACATCTGTAATCCCAGCACTTTGGGAGGCTGAGGCAGGCGGATCGCCTGAAGTCAGGAGTTTGAGACCAGTCTGGCCTACATTGTGAAACCACGCCTCTAATAAAAATACAAAAAAATTACTCGGGTGTGGTGGCAGGCGCCTGCAATCCCAGCTCCTTGGGAGGCTGAGGCAGGAGAATCGTTTGAACCCGGGAGGCGGAGGTTGCAGTGAGCCAAGATTGCACCATTGCGCTCCAGCCTGGGTGACAAGAGTGAGACTCTGTCTCAAAAAAAAACAACAACAAATAATGCCCATTTCTATGTCTTCATCTCTTGCATTAATAGAGTCTCAATCTACACAATGAGCTCATATTTTTCTCCAAACTTTATAACCACAATCCTAAACTGGCTCATCAGCCTGCCATAATTCTAAGTCACTTGATGATCTCAACCTCAGCATGTTTCCAACCCAAGTATACTGCTTTCACTTTTTTTCAAAGAACGTCTCCTTTACTCTGCCTTTAATCACACAAGCCCAGAGCCCTAGACATTTTGGTGGCCCCTGGAAAAAGGAAGGTGGATTATTACAATCAGAATTACAACAAAACTCATCCAGGATGAAATGTGAAAATAAATTCTGACATGCAATTGCATCAAGGGTCAAGCATATGTGCTGGAGATACCAGCCACAGCAAGCAGGTTATACAGTAAGTGATAGAAAGCAGAGCCTTGAAAGTCTGTGTTCTGCCCTGGAGTTTAGCAGCTGCAGAAGCTACAGAAGGATATTTGGCCTGAGTTTTAAGAGAAGAAGAGTCTACTGAGCTGGCCCAGGTGCTGATTCCTTTATTTCAGTTAAAGGCACTAACAAATTCTTTTTGTTACTCAGGATTATATTCTTAGAATTGATTCAGATCCTTAAATCTCTCTTGTTTTCCAGAACCAATCATGCAGTTCACATGCAATTCTACTTCTGTTAGGATTTTGTTATCTCTCTTATATTCGGCGTTACTTTTTCACCCTGGCTCAGATATGTCATTATGTTTACTTGACTTATTGCAATAACCTTTTCGTTGATCTTTAGTTTATTTGTTCAATAATTGTTAATTTTCTGTTTTACAGCCTTCCCTGCTCCCAATTTTTTTCCCTCGGTAGCAAACACATCTTATAAACTTTAAGCTGGAATCCAAGGAACTTTATGCTTATGCTTATAAATAAAGCAGGTACTTGTACCCCAATCCTTTTTAATGAAAGATAAAGATGGGGCATCATGAGTTCCCAGGAAAATTACCCTTTAAATGTGTGCACACACAGATACAAACATACAAAACAAATCGTTATTTTCTTCTTCATTGGAAGTGGTTAATTGTGTTTGTATATAGCACTTGGGGGTAGTTTAAATAAGCTCTGTCTCTCAGAAGAATTTGCTGACAAAAAGAGGATGACAGAACAAAAATGGGAAAAACTCCTACATGTTTGATAATGATGAACGACTGAATCAACTCTGGAAACTTTTGCCTTCCTAATCTTCTAAAAGTATACATAATTAATTTTCTTATTTGTGAAGCCACCAGTGGCTAGGTGTTCTGTTTCTTGTATCAGAAAGTGCTATAATCAATGAATCCATGAGTCTTCTGAATTTATTTTACCTTTCACAGTCAGGCTGGTCAGTGGTGCTCAGACTTAACACACACATTTTCACTTTTCCTACTCCTGCGATGACAGGCCATTCCACATATGACTTAGCCAAAATCATTTCCATGCTCCAAGATTCACTTTAAACAAAGTACATTATTAGCAAGCTTCTCTTTATTGGCCTATCCTGATGTGTCTTTTTTTTCTATTTTACATATGCTATTTTCAAGGCACATTTGATTATATATTTCATAATACAGTAATTGCCAAAGTGTGTTTAACATATGATTTCCTCAGGATCCCTTCCCTTTCTGAATTCCAAATGGAAGAACAGAAAGTGCAATGCAAAGAATGATGATCCATATTTTATTTTTGGCAAGCTTGTAGAAGCACTATTGTAAATGTAAAAGGAAAAAGAACTGTAACCTAGAAACTTCTTCAGTATATGAGACACCATTCAGGACTGCTGCTGTTTGAGTGTTTTCTTCTTTAAGGTACTAATTTTTTCTCCTCCTGGAGTACGTTGTAGCTTAGAAATTTCATCCCCAGAAGCACGAGTTTCACCATTCATTGCTGTTCTGAAGGACCATGCCCTCCTTTGATTAAAATCCCACACATTCAGAATTTTGAATTCCTGAGACATCTGTCAGTGTGGGCAGAATGCAGTTTGAAGTTTTCACAGACATGAGTTTGCAATGTTACTATCCTTCTTAGGAGTGTATGATTTTAAGAGATTTATTTAGTCTTTCTACTCTCAGATTGCTGATTTTAAAAAATGGGCATAACATCAACTTTTCTGCTGGTTTCTTATAAGGATTAAATCCCAATTCTGCCTTTACAAGCTGTGCAATTTTAAGAAAATCCAACTAAAATTTCTACCTTATAAAATGTGGATAATAGTACTTACCCAATACCACTTGTCCCTGATTAAATGGTTTAACACAGGTAAAAGACTTAGAGTAATGTTTGACACATAGGCAACACTGTCTATAATTTTGCTATTAACAATAGTATATTGCCTGACACTTAATATGTCCTTGATAAATTGTAACTATTATTATGAATTCAATTATGTCTTTATTATTTATCTTTTTAACATGTTTATTTGTTTACTTACCTAGAAAACATTTCTTTTTTTCACCATAAATACCTTGAATTTAGAAGCTATCATACAAACTGTTGTGTCATGTAGACCCCAGAACTATGCCCATAGAAAGATCTCAGTAGATATTTATTTTATTTTATTTTATTTTATTTTTTTTTTTTTTTGAGACGGAGTCTCGCTCTGTCACCCAGGCTGTAGTGCAGTGGCGAGATCTCAGCTCACTGCAAGCTCTGCCTCCCGGGTTCACGCCATTCTCCTGCTTCAGCCTCCCGAGTAGCTGGGACTACAGGCGCCCGCCACCAAGCCCGGCTAATTTTTTGTATTTTTAGTAGAGACGGGGTTTCACCGTGTTAGCCAGGATGGTCTCGATCTCCTGACCTCGTGATCAGCCCGCCTCGGCCTCCCAAAGTGCTGGAATTACAGGCGTGAGCCATCAGTAGTTATTTTAAAATTAATTTTATTTCTCAAGCAGTATCTAAGACAAAGTGAAATATAATTCTAAGAATAAATCTTTAAGATTTATGGTTTCTCATATTAAGATAAATGAAAGCCATCATTGAAGTGTTTACAAACATAACAACAAAATTGACTCAATATAATTTTCCATTGATAAATGATTGGCCAAATAAATCATGGTACATTTACCAAAAAAACACAAAACAGTTATTAAGTGGAAAAGTGCTTTAAAATACAGGTTTTATCATAAGTTAAGTACAGCAAGGCCAACAGATCAGAAGATGATTGTTATTGAAAAGATAGCTTGTGGCCAGGCGCAGTGGCTCACATTTGTAACCCCAGCACTTTGGGAGGCCGGGGCGGGAAAATGACGAGGTCAGGAGTTCAAGACCAGCCTGGCCAATATGGTGAAACCCCATCTCTAATAAAAACACAAAAAATTAACTGGGCATAGTGGCAGGCGCCTGTAATCCCAGCTACTCGGGAGGCTGAGGCAGGAGAATCCCTTGAACCCAGGAGGCGGATGTTGTTGCAGTGAGCCAAGATCTTACCACTGCACTCCAGCCCTGGTGACAGAGCGAGACTCTGTCTCAAAACAAATAAATAAATAAATAAATAAGAAAAAGAAAAGAAAAGAAAAGATAGCATGCTATACTCACAGATTTTCAAGAGGAGGGGCATGTCGTGACACTGCGGATCACAGGGAAAAGCATCAGAGTCAGTCAGAGGCAGGGGAAGTGAGGGAAAAACATGGTTGAGAGTTTTCATTAACCAAAACATCAAAGCTGTTTTTGAATGGCTATCACAGTAGAGTGCAGTGGCCTTGGATGCCCACTGTCAGTTCCCTGCAGGCGAGCTTTGCCACTGACCAGCTCTGCCAGTGGTTTGAGAAAATTCACTTCTGTATTAGTTTATTTAGCTGTAAACAAAAAAAGTAACATATATCACAGAATTCTGATAGAGATTAAATGGTATGAATTACATAAGCTTCAAAGAATATTATATATATGTGTGTCTATATATATATGCATATATATGTGCATATGACTGTGTGTTAAAAGTATACTACTTTAGTGTGTGAAAAAGTATAAACGTGTATATATATAAGAACATCTATACTTTTTTAACACTTACCTGTCTGCACCACTAATCTTTAAGTACCATGCAACTGGGTCTGTTTTTGTTCACCATTGTATTTCCATCTCCCAGTGCAGTGCTTGGTGAATAGAAGGCTACCAATGACAACAACAACAGCAGCAAGACAAAAACAAGAGTCTTTATTGTAGTGCCCATGGGAAGGAGTGGATGAGTTAGTGTAGGCAGGTTTAAGATTGGCTAGTTCAAATAATTTCCACATAGTCTGTGGCATCGTGGCTGTCTCTGGTTATCCTGATACCTGGTCCTAGGATGATTAGTGTAGGGAACAGTGGTCCTGAGTGTGAAAGCTTGATAAAGGGAGTGTTTACAGATATGAGCTCTGAACTGGTTGCTTTGTGTATAAAAGCCATTCTTGCAGACAGTTTGTACGCTTAGCTCCTGGAATTAGCTCACACTGGAAGGGGCAGTTCCTTCAGAGTCACCAAGGCCCCTAGATGTCAAAGTATTCAACATAGAAACTAGAAAATGTGGATATGATTTTTAAAAGGCAAATCTGTATGGCATGGGAAGAAGTCCATGGAAGGTTATAATGCACTATTTTATAAGAATAAGGTCAAAATACCATTGATCTGTGGTTGATCTATATTTTTCTACTGGGATGCTGAGAAACATAGTACTGACCCTGCGAGATAGAGATGAAGTGTATTAGCTTGTGATTTATGATGTCATGTTCAGAGTCCAAAATTCACCTTTTGTACCAGCTTGCTTACATTGTTTATTAAATGTGAATAGATGGTGGTGTGCATCTGGTTTCAGCTGAGTGACCAGTGAGATATAAATGAGTCAGGCAAACTTCCACCTTAGCTCACCTGGGACTAAAGCATCTCACATCTATTTTGGTAATTCACAGTCAGGAGATGGAGCACCTGCTGTGTGGCTGGGAAAGGGCTCTGAGAGCTATGCATGGACTTCTCTGATATTTTCTTATGCTTTCTTCTCCTGCTGTACTATCTATCTTCATTAAAGCCTCGTATGACTGACCCCTGTGGAGTCTCCTGAGGCTTCTCAATTATCTGACCTCTAGTAATTGCCATAACAATATATAATATCAGCCCTTTTACTTGTGAAATGTAAATGCTTGTGTGTCTATAAGAATTAAATACAAATAAAATTGATACAGTTTTTATTAGTTTAGTGATATAATAATTAAAGTAAGAGTTAATATACTAACAATAATATTTTGGTCTTTCTCAGATCCTAGTGGAAGATATAATAAAATCAAAAGCTACATAGTATAATTATTACCATTTTAATTGGTAATTTAATATAATAAACATCTAAGTGTATAGAGCTTATGTTTAATAGAGTTCAGTTATGTAATTGAGTAATTATTGAATTGAATAATTATCTAAATAATCAAATTGGATGAGTTAAGACATTTAAATCCTTTGGACATAGCTACCTACTCTATGCTAGTTTTCTTACATCTGGATAGATTCTCTTACAATAACCTAGAATACATTTACTAAGACCACATGGATAACAGTTAAATCCATTTTAAACAGAATGATTTCAAAAAAGGCTATTCCTATCTGGACTTGATTTTCCTATTTGTTCTAGTTGAGGTAGATTAGGGGAAAGCTGCATGTCTCGTTTCCCTTAAGAACTAAGAAAGTCATGGACTCAGAGTTACAGAGAGCTAATTGTAGTTTACTTTACCTATGTACCTCACCAGACTCACTACACAAGCCATAGTGGTACTAGCACACATGTGTATTACAGTTTCACACAATATGAAGCACTTTTCCCCACTTACTATTATGGTGGCCTGTGAAATAGGTTATAAAACTATTAATTATCTTCTCCAAATTGTGCATGATGCTATTCCAAAGCTTCATAGTTTGCAGTGTGGTCTACATTTACTCTTTGAAAGCATATTCAACAACTGACTTTTCCTCTTCATAAAATGAAAATATACTGCTGGATAGAACTATATGTCATTCATATTTCTATCTGTGGCCCTTATAATCATTTGTATAAATATGTATTCAATAAATGATAAATAAATTCAATTGATCCTAATTACCATTTATATCACTAAATAATCTGCCCTTACCTTAGGGTGCATGTAAGAAGGTAGAATTCATAGGAAAAGTAAAATGCACAGATACAAGGTATTCTAGCTAGTGAATGAGCCTCTACAAAAAACTAAAATTTCTTATAATCATAGCAGAAAGAATAGAGGAGTATCTGAGTCTGCAAAACTACGATGCTATTTTATGGTCAAAGAAAAATATGTAGTTTATATACAATCAGGTTTCATATTTTTTTACGACAGATCAAATGAGTAAAAGATCATATGTGTCAAGTGACTCAGTGGTCACATGTCAAGTTATCAGTGGAAGAGTATTAAAACTCAACACTGTGGACCAGATATTTTCTAGTTCTCTATTTCCAAAGTTTCTGCCAGTTTCCTATCTTATCATGCACCAAGAAAGAAGAAGCATCTTAGAGGCAGGTGTGCATAGGCCTGTAGGACATACGATATACATATGGTCATTCTCATGGCACTCGGTTGCCTTCGCTCTATCACGTATTCTTGTGTGTAGAAATCATATGTGTGGCAAAAGTGATGCTCATGCTCTTATTTCACTGCTCGGAGCAGGCAATACATATTTCATGTAACTATGAAAAAGATAGAAAGGCTCAGGAAACATAATTTATCTCTTCATTGGCTAAATGTAGCTAGCATAAGCAGTAGAAATGTAGATCTTGATTTGGAATATGAGAATTCAGCGGAAGAGTGCACATATCCTAATTGTTACTAGAATCAGTGCTACATGAGCTGAGCAAATTAGATCCATGTAGAAAGGAAGAAAAATATGGAAAACCCTGTAGCAACAAGGTAATTTTAGTATAGATCATCCAAGACCATTAGATTCAGTCTGCACCTGCACTATAGGTCAAAGGGTCTATAATTGCTGCAAGCTCTCTCTATGGGAATGTTTTTCCAGCACAGGGAAAGGCAATGGTTTGTCTCCAGTAAAGTGTGTACAAGATCATTGTGACCATCATGGTTCTGAGAGCTGATGAATAAATGGGTGAACAGAAACAACATTCCTTCATGCAGGACTCCAAAAAAATGGATTTCCCTCTAAGAACCTTTTGTTTCGAAAGGATTTCAATGCCTTGCTTCTGCTTAATTACCCTTTGCAGCCTTTACCTCTGCTGCCAGAGTTTGCACCCTGTATGCTGCTTTCCAAGATATTGTTGCCAAGGATGCTCCTATTCCTATTTTTATGCCTTGGCTCCTTGAAAACCTTCCTGGCAATAGCCCAAGGGCACAGATATGCCCTGTCACAATGGTGGCAAGTTTTTTAAATGCCTTTCCCCGAGTGACTTTCCTTTGATATGGTGCAAGCAATGGAGTTCTCACATATAGTTCCAAGTGGATACAGTTCCAATCCAAAGGGTTGTTTCGTTTTTATTGAATTAGGAATCTCTTCCCCTCAAATTTTTGGCCCAAGTGGATCATTTGACTTTAATTTATACCATTGTGTTCTCCATATATATATATGGAGAATATATATATATATACACATATATATGGAGTATATATATATACACATACATATGGAGAATATATATATATATGGAGAATATATATACACATATATATGGAGAATATATATATATCTGGATAATATATATCTATATGGAGAATATATATATGGAGAATATATATATGGAGAACATATATATATATGGTGAATACATATATATGGAGAATATATATATATAATATATGCACATTTAGAATTTCCTAGAGACTGCCTCCAAAAATGTAATTATGTTTACACTACTTTTGGAGAAGCTATCAAATGCTATCTACTATACCTATTTTTTTTATAAATAGGCACATTTGCACAAAATATATTTGACCAATGTTTGAGCTATTTCATTTCTCTGCTTAAAGAAAATAATAGTTAATATGATTTGAAGTCTATTTTTCTAAACACTCTGCTTATGGGTAATCACCCAGGACCTTCAATTTCCAAATTACCTTATCCTTACTTTGACATGTATATGTGACTTTTGTTCAATCTCATTATTCCATTTATACACTTCTATAACATTTTTGTTATAAAAATCAAAATGTAAACTAGTAGGATATTACGTAATTATGAGGTACGTCCTAAGTACTTTGTTGCTAATGACAACACACTTGTGCCAAAGACCACCAGAAATACTCCTGTCATTGAACAAATTGGGTTTATTTCTCATTGCAACAATGGAGACTGCACATAATGTGGAATGATGGAGTATTCCACTAAGAGCATGTTATAAGAAACTTAAGGCTGGGCACGGTGGCTCACGCCTGTAATCCCAGGACTTTGGGAGGCCAAGGTGGGTGGATCACCTGAGGTTGGGAGTTCGAGACCAGCCTGACCAACATGGGGAAACTCCGTCTCTACTAAAAATACAAAATTAGCCAGTGTGGTGGCACATGCCTGTAATCCCAGCTACTCTGGAGGCTGAGGCAGAAGAATCTCTTGAACCTGGGAGGCGGAGGTTGCAGTGAGCCGAGATTGCACCATTGCATTCCAACCTGGTCATCAAGAGCGAAACTCCATCCAAAAAAAAAAAAAAAAAAATTGGATTTTATCTCTTTTTATCTCTAGTTAGGTGATTTGAGAAGAATTTCAGAAAGAATGGCTGTACTGTCTATTGCATGGTGACAGGAAGCAGGAATAATTTTATGATTAATTATCTTTACCTTATCTAAAAAGAAGAGATGACAAAAGCAAAGCTAAACCTGTCATTGCAAATAGCACCCATTTATACTGGCTAGAGGAAAAGAGATATGGGGAATTTTTTGTTGTTTGATGCTTCATAATTTTTCTATATTCAGACAGGACTATGAGGTAGCCTTGTTTCTGTCTTAATCAATTAGCAACAGGATGATCTTGTTTGATATTAATGTTTTGTAAACTTATTTGTGTTTAACAAGAGAACATGAAGGCCTCAATGATATTGTTGAGACAGCTCCCAGATGTTTCGGATCAATTTGTTCTCTCTTAGTAACAATAGGCTCCTTGCAGTTTTAAAAAGAGCTTTATTGGTATATAATATATGTAAAATAAGCTATTATACTTAAAATGTACAATTGGATATTTCAACATAAGTATATGCCTATAACCATCACCACAATCAAAATAGTAATCTAACCAGCCTTCCCTAAGCCTTTCCTCCTGCCCCTTTGAAAACTTCTCTCCATGATCCTTCCTATTCCCCACCCCATCCCCAGGCAGCTATTGATCTATTTTATGTCACTTCACTAGAATTGAATATAAATTGAATTTCCTAGAATTGAATCTAAATTGAATCACACAATATGTTCTCCCTTTCTGGATGTGTGATTGTTAGTTTTCTTGCACTCAATATAATTATTTTGAGATACATCTATACTTTTGCATGTCTCAATACATCATTTATTTTATTCCAGAGAAGTAATCTATCTTAGGTACATACCATAGCTTTTGTATCCATTCACCTATTGATAGGATTTGGAGTTGCCTCTAACTTGGGGTTGTTTTTAAGTAAACCTGCAATAAATATTCATGTACATGTCATGTCTATACATATGCTTTCATTTTCCTATTCTTCAGAAAATACCTAAAACTGGGATGGTTGGGTTATATGGCATTAGTATGCTTAACTTTTGAAAAAGATTGAACTCTTTTCTAAATTAATAGCAGCACTAAACATTTTCACCAATAATGTTTTGTTTCTTTCTTCCTTTGCAATATATAACTGTTATTTTTTCCCGTCTTAGAGCACTAGCTATGATTTTCAATATGAAAAATAGAAATGAGGAGAAACGGTACTCTACTCTTGCCAGGTACCTGATCTTGGCATGGATATTGGGGAAAACCCACAGTTTCTTAATATTAGGTATGGAACTAGCTGTAGGACTTTTAAAAATGTTCTTATTCAAGTTTAGAAATTACCACTAATAGTTTGCTGGAAGTTTTCAATCACAAATGGATGTCAGATTTTGTCAGATAATTTTAGTTCATCAGTTAATATAATTACATAATTTATGTTATTTTTTCATGTATTTCTAAATTGGTTTTGCTAAAATTAACCTGTGAAACCATACTTACCTGGTGCTTTCATTATGTAAAGTCATTTGTTATTGACTTCATTTATTTCAGCGAAACAGGTTTATTCCCATGATCTTTGTCTCTTCATGAAAGTTTTGGTATTTGTGTAGTTCAAGAAACTGGTACATTTTATCAAAGTTACCAAATCAATGTGTATAGAGTTACTCATATTATTATTTTATTACTTTAATCAATGTTTATGAGGTCTGAAGTGATCACTTCTCTTTTATGTGTTCTATTTGAAACTTTTGTCTTCTATTTTTTCTTAGTCTGGTTAAAGTTTTATCAATCGTACTAATCTTTTCAAAAAACAAGGGGATTTTTTAAAAAAATTATCTGTTGACTGGGTGTGGTGGCTCATGCCTGTAATTCCAGCATTTTGGGAGGCCGAGGCAGGCAGATCACCTGAGGTCAGCAGTTCAAGACCAGCCTGGCCAACATGGCAAAATCCCGTCTCTACTGAAAAATACAAAAAAAAAAAAAAAAAAAAAAATTAGCTGGTTGTGGTGGTGTTCACCTGTAGTCCCAGCTACTCAGGAGGCTGATGCGGACTGTCACTTGAACCCAGGAGGCGGAGGTTGCACTGAGCCGAGATCCTGCCACTCTACTCCAGCCTGGGTGACTGAGCGAGACTCTGTCTCTCTCTCTCTCTTTCTCTCTCTCTCTCTTTATATATATATATAACCTATTAATTTTCCATTTCCAATGTCACTGACTTTTGCTCAAATTTTTATTATTTAATTTCTTTTGTTTAAGCTTCAGTTGTTCTTTCGTTCTCTACTTTCTCAAGGAAGAAGCTTTAGTTACTGATTTTTTACCTTCTTTTCTTATATATGAACTTAATGTTACACATTTCTTCTAAGCATTGCTTTTGCTACATCCCATAAATGTTTATATATTGTGTTTACATTTTCATTTTGTTTAAAATATATTATTTTAATTTCTCTTTAAACTTATTTAACTCATTTGTTATTTAAAACTGTGTACTTTAATTTTCAAATATTTAGCAATTTTCCAGCTATATTTCTGTTACTGATACTAATTTAATTTTATTGTCATTTGAGGATATTGGGGGGTTTCTATATTTTAAATTTGTTAAGCTCTGTTTATAGTCTATCTTGGTAAATATTTTATGTGAACTTGCAAAGAGTATAAATTCTACTGTTGCTGGATAAAGTATTCTGTAAATGTCAATTGTATCAAATCAATCAATAACGATGCTCCAGTCAACTATATTCTTACCGATTTTCTGCCTGCGTGTTTTAGCAATCACTGAAAAGGGGATATTGAAGTCTTCAATCCAAATAGAGGATCTGTCATTTCTTGCTGTTTTTATCAGATATTTCCTGATACAGTTTGACACTCTGCTGTTTGATGCATACTAATTAAGAATCATTATGCTTTCTTAGGGAACTGACCCCTTTATCATTGTGCAATGCCCTTCTTTATCTCTGACAATTTTAGTTAGTCTGAGCTTGGCTTTATTTGAAATTAATAGAGAAAGTCCAGCCCTAGTTTTATTAGTGTTCATATGCTATATCTTTCTCCATCTCTTTAATTTTAATTATTTACTTTTAACCAATCTGACTCATATTTAAAGTTGGTTCCTTGTAGATGTAATACAGCATGGTCATTTTAAAAATCCACTCTGATTAAATTTCTGTCTGTGATTAAATGTCTGTGTCTTCTAATTCACCAAATAGAAGGGCACATATGTCTTTGTTAATAAACATAGATACTGATAAAATGTCTATGTCTTCTTTATTATTTTTTTCTTTTTTTGACACAGAATCTCACTGTGTCACCCAGGCTGGAGTGCAGTGGTGTGATCTCGGCTCACTGCCACCTCTGCCTCCCCAGTTCAAGCGATCCTCCTGCCTCAGCCTCCTGAGTAGCTGGGACTACAGGCACGTGCCACCACACACAGCTAATTTTTTGTATTTTTAGTAGAGTCGGGGTTTCGCCATGTTGGCCAGGATGGTCTTGAACTCCTGGCCTCAAGTGATCTGCCCACCTAGGCCTCCCAAAGTGCTGGGATTACAGGCATGAGCCACTGTGCCTGGCCATTAAATGTCTATTTCTTCTAATTGGTGGATACAGTTGCACTCATATCCACTATATACTGTTTCCTATTCCTTGCAGGTGTTCTTTTCTTCTTATTTTTCAATTCTTTTTGAAAGTCTTCTGTGGTTTTAGTTGAACATTTTATATGATTCTGTTTTATCTCTTCTCTTAGCATATCAATTATATTTATTTTTAAGTTATTTTATTATTTCAATTTACTATTTAATGTTTTAAAATTTTAATTTACATATAAATATAATTTGTATTAAAATTATATTATTTAAATGGTTGTCCAAGAGTTTCATATAATGCTACATAATGCTTCATGTGCAGTTCATATATCTTAAAACAAAGCATCCCCAATTATAATCTCCCATCTTTTATGGTATGTTAGTCATTCATTTTATTTAGCTATATATGCTTCAACCATCCAATACATTTTTACTATTATGACTTTAGCAAACACTTACATTTTGATGTATCTCAGCTCATCTGGCTACAAAGAAAAATAAATTTTAGATCTCTTAATAATAGGAGAGATACAATAGTTTAGTTTCATTTGCTTCCTCATCAATGTTTTTTATTTATGTAGATCTAAGTTACTGGTATTTAGCTTCTTCCACCTCTCTAAGTAAATTTTTTTTACTTTATTTGTAGGGAAGATCTGGTGGTGATAAATTATCTTAATTTTTGTCAGGGAATGTCTTCTTTTTACCTACGCTTTTGAGGAATACATTCAGTAGATATATTACTGTATGTTTTTATTTAGCACATTACGTATTTCACTTGACAAGATTATATTTTTTGGATCCTTATTCTGCTTTGTGCTCACTAAACATTTTTGAACTTATGATTGGTATCTGTTATTATGGTGCAAAATTCATAACCATTAATGCCTCAAATAATTTTTATGATAGCTTCTTTTTCCTTCTTTTCCATTTAGAAGTATGTTACACATGTAGCTATTGCTCCACAATTTCTGTATATTCTCTTTTTTTATTTTTAAAAATTTTAGTCCCTGAAATTTCTATTGACATCTCTTCATGTATCTGATTCTTTCACTGGCTGTGTTGAGTATATTGATAAGCCCATCTAAGACAGTCTTCACTTATATTACTGTGCTTTATGTTTAGATTATATGGGGATTATTTTAGATTATATGGGGATTATCGTCAACCTGCTTACCCATCTGCTCTTGCATCTTGTCCATGTTTTTCCATTCAAGCCATTAAAATAGTAATCATAACTATTTTAAATTCCGTGATTGATAATGCAAGCATCTGTTTCATATCTGAGTATGGCTGTGATGTTTGCATTGTCCATTTCAGTTGTGTTTTTTTCTTGTCCTTAGGAATGCTTTGCAATTATCTTTTGAAAATTGGGTGTGATGTATCTGGTAATAGAAATGCATATATAGGCTTTCATTGTAAGCATTTTTAATAACCTGGCTAGGTGTTGGGCAATGATCAATATATGTTTTAACTATAGTCATCAAAGTCCTAACATTTGCCTAATATCCTTGGATTTAATTTTTTGTGTTTTTTTTGTTGTTGTTTTGTTTGTTTGTTTTCTCCTCTCTTGAATTTGGCATTTTTCTGTGTACAACTCAGAGTGGTCTGTCTTGAAATTCTCTCATTTGTAATCCACTGAATCTATAATCCACCTAAAATTAGGTTTCTGAATTGTATTTAGGTAAAGTTATTTTTCCTGTATAGCAGCCCATTATTATAAAGCTGCGGGTGTATTTCACAATTATTATTCTTCCCCTCCACTCTCAGATCTTATAGGGGCTCTTTCTTGGAGACTCACCTTGTGGTCCTACTGGAGTTTCTGGAGGCATAGCGAATTAGTGAACTCCAAAGATTGTGGCCCTAAGATTCTCTAACTTTCATACTAGTCTACACTAGCAACTTATCAAAATTACCACTTGAATGTTTATACCATTTTATGAGTCCAGTTATTTCTGCTTTAGGTAAGCATGTCTTAGATACTGTAGATGCACCTGTCTCCAGATGCAATTGCAGCTTTCTAACAGATCTGAAAAAAGTTGTTGATTTTATATATATTTTATTTTTGTATGGACAGGAATGACAAATGACAATTTCTTTGTTCATTGAATGTTAGAGCTAAAACCTCAATGTTTTATAATATTTTATTTGTTCCTTCATGTATTGAGCCTTTATTTGTTGGGTGTTATTTTAGCTTTATTTTTAAATTCTTTTAAACTTTTTTTTCTGGAAAACATATGAGTTATTTGGACATAGTTTGATGCTTTCTAATTTTGCTTTTAAGATTTGTTGGTCAGGATAGAACCTCAAACTAGGGCTAATTATTTTATACTATGAGGACAAGACTTTCCTGTGTAATCTAACCTGTTTCATTAATCTTACAATTTTTCAGTCAAACTGATGGCAATGGTCACTCTTCTTAGCCCTGTGTGACCACAAGGACCGTTCACCATAACGCTTTTGGATAACTCTTTCACCAGCTTCAGGTAATTTATTTGCATGCATGTGGTGTTCAAGACTCAGATGAATAATAGAGGGTATTCCTCCAAAGATCTCTGGAGTTCTTACTCACAGCAGATCTTTCCTCTCCAGTATCCTGTATGACATATTCTAGCCATTTTTTTCTCCCTAAATACTAAGTACCATCTCAACTCAAAAAGTTTAGAAATTTTACAGGATCTCCTTGGGTTTCCCTTCCTTATCACGTATGAGAAACCATCAAGGCAGTAAGCTGGGACTTTTCTTTTCGTTTCTTTTTTTTATTATTGTTTTTGAAATATAATTTCAGGATGACCTCACTCATTGCTTTATGTTCAGTGTCTTTGAAAGCCTTGGTCAGTTTTTTTTGGTTGTCTCAGGTGTGAGGGTAATTTCCATCTTTTGTGATTTCATCTTGATGGGGCACAGATGTTGGAGAAATGATGGGTATTTTTTTAAAGCTACAATTTCGAAGACAAATTAAATCAATATAAGATACCTGATACTGATTTCTGATACCTGAGTTGAGACTATTATAGCATTTCTATTGAAGGAAAAATGAATAGTTAAATACATTTGGTTTTATACATACTAATGTAAACAGATATTCACACATATGTGTTATGTATATATTTGAATGTTTTAATACCTATTTAATATTTACCTAAAATATTATATTTTTAAGTAAAATCCAACTCAATTTTGTGAGATTCTAGTCAGGCTATCCAATAGGCAGCTCTGTCAGAACTGCTAGACACTCCATTTTCCTGGACACAGTGCGTGATCTGTCAGTGAGCACAAAATGGTAGTTGGATCAACTGGAAGATTCATAGATAGTAGGGCTGGTTTTCCTCATTCCCTAGAATTATGTAGGCCTGGTGAACTGGGCACTGTCTTGAAGAAGATTAAGAAAGAACCCAATTATCAATAAGAACCAGGAGAAGGAGAAGGTGTGAATGATGGAGAAAGAACCCTGATAACATTATTTAAACCACTGGATCCATTTAGGATCCACTGTGCCTAAAAGCAGTCTAATTTCTTGGACTTTTTAGATACATAAGGCAAGAAAATGCCTTATTTTTTCTTTAACCTAGTTTACATTGGGTTTCAGTCACTGCAGTGGCAACAACAATAAAAATCTTCTAACACAATTATTCAATTTTCTATTGGATAGAAAGATGCAAACTTTCCTACTGGGAACACTTTCAAACAGTTTCGGAGAACTTCAGCTATTTTTTGCAAATATAGAAACTTTGAAATAAATTTTACCAGGCAGTTTTCATGTGGGAATTCTCCAGAAGGTGACTATGTGAAAATAAATAGGACATCAAAAAAGCAGTTTTTAAGAAGCTATATCATACACATTGTAGAATACATCATGTTTTATGTACTTTAAAATAATTCAGAACTAATGAAATTTAATGATGAATAATTGAATAAAGGCACATGTCAAAACATTTTAGTGGGGATTTATAGCGTAATAAACATTTATTTCTGATGACAACTTCAATTTCCTTATCCACATTTCTCCATGACTACGTTTATTTTCAATTCCTTGTCATCCTGTTTGATGACCTATTTTTAATACTTTCAACTGCTGAAAACATTTAGAAAATAGTATCAATGAAACATTGGCCTTCTAATATGATATGTAGCAAACGTTTAAGCTTGATCATCACTTATTGCAAAAGTTCTTGCTGGCGTTTTAAGCAGGTGAAGAGGGAAATGAGGACAGAGAATGCATATACATAAGGCGTGGGAAGCCTTCATCACACCCACGTGTCTTCTGAGCCTTCCCAGGTGATCCAGGTGAGCTCATTTCTTACACTTCATTTCTCCAGCTTGTAATTAAATGGATTATGACTCCCAGTGGCTTTTGAATTTAATTACAAATGCCATAGCCTTGATAATTATTACCTGGAGAAATAAAAGCTAAATTATACCACAAGCTTTGTCTTTGCAGTATCTCCATCTTTCTTCATCACTACACATAAAAGTCTCATGCAGAGTTTTAACAACATGTTTCTACCACTCAATTTCGAGTTTCTTTGTTCTAAGACATTTAACAAAATATGCTCATATTTAAAGCAGAAACTTTAACCAAATCACAAAATGTCTCTCAATAAGGTATAAATATCAAGTATGTAGTGATATGGGCTCTTATCCGTTTTCTAATATCATGTTGATGTAGCTGATGGACATGCCTAGGATTTACTGCTTGTTTAAATCAAGAAGTTTATTCATTGTTTTCTACTAAGTTTCTACATTGTTTTCTACTAAGTTTCTACAAAATCAAATGAATTACATCAACTGATGAATTTAATTTAAAATAAAATTGGGGGCTTCCTGGGCTGTTCCAAATATTCAGTACCCATACTTCTCTACAGACCTGTTCAGCTAGAATTCCTTCGGCCATTGGACAGCGTCACTTTCTCTCCCCAGTTGCAGTGTTTTGAAAAACATAAGAGGGAACCTAAGATTAATAAGCTTCTAGTTCTCATGATATTTTTATTATTCTAAATAAGATTAACTTTTTCAAAAGAGGAAAAATAATTAAAGAACACCAGTTACCTAGTAGCATCTTTAATTTCTTTCATTCCTTTTTTTTTTTTTTTTTTTTTGAAACGGAATTTCTCCCTTGTCGCCCAGGCTGGAGTGCAAGGGCGCCATCTCAGCTCACTGCAACCTTTGCCTCCTGGGTTCAAGCGATTCCCTAGCCTCAGCCTCCAGAGTAGCTAGTATTGATTACAGACACTCACCACCACGTCCAGTTAATTTTTGTGTCTGTAGTAGAGACGGGGTTTCGCCATGTTGGTCAGGCTGGTCTCGAACTTCTGACCTCAGGTGATCCACCCAATTAGGCCTCCCAAAGTGCTGAGATTACAAGCGTGAGCCACTATGCCCAGCTCGCATCTTTAATTCTTACATCATAAACTACTTTAATTTTTTAGTGTTTTATTCTATAGACTCACTATAGAAAGTTGTTCAATTAGTTTGAATATATTTGGAATTATACTACGGGACAGGCATCATGCTAGAAGTTAGATATAACACCATTGAAGAAAAAGTATAAACCATCATGAAGTTTGCCTTCTTTTTGAAAGATAGAAAGCAAACTATAGTTTGCTAACTAGTGTCTTATGTTACAAGTTTGCTAATCATCTCTTTCAGTATTTTTCCATGAGTGCAAATTGGCAGCTCTGATAGGCAGGTAGGCCTAAATTTAATGACCTTGGACTTCAGATGTATTACAAGCACAAATTCTATATTTATTGTTTTCTTATGAAAACACTAAACAAATATGAAAGAGCAGAATAATTATTTGATAAAGTTTCTATATTTTTAAATGTCATTAATGTATGTAATTTTAGATTAAATTGACTCCTGTGAATATATTACAGAATGCAAATTTTGCTACATTTTTGCAATACATATTGATTAGATTCATTTCTCATATTCTTTTCAGGGATATCACTGATTTCCTTTTTCAGTTTTCAGTATATTTGAATGATTACTGATTTTGCGTTCTTCATTGATTTTTGTTACACTACTATTTTACTTTCAAATTCTTATTAAGACATTCCAGTTTTTAATAATCTCATTGAATATTAGCATGGTTCATTTTAGTTATGTTTATTTTGGAACTTGGTGATATTATTATGGTTGGATTTTTCCTTATTCATCCTTAAATTACCAATATAATTTTTATGAAGTTATTTTTTTTCAAACAAGTTAATGTCCATATTTCTGATTTTAGTATATACATTACATATATATGTATATATACAAATATTGTGTGTGTGTGTGTCTGTGTGTAAGTGCGTATAGTTGCTTTAATTCCGTTTATATTGAGGGACAGCATGGCCTGCTAAGAACACAGATTCTGATGCCAGATTGCTTGGGTGAAGATCCTGGTTTTGCTACTTAATAGATGTGTGATCTTGGATAAATTCACTAACTTCACTGTCCCTCATTTTCTGTACAGTAATGCTAGCCCATTGGGTTGTAACAAAAATTGAAATATTTACTGCATGTAAAGCAGTGAAACATGATGAGGGTAGAAGGTTTAATTCATCACATAATAGAGCAGTGAAATTTGCCTCCTTGTGAAATATTAACCCCTCCGATCATGAAAATATCCTTCCTAAAATGATTTCATAATCATCTAAAAGAGACATTGTTAAGAAGCCCCAGAAACCGGATGGGAAGTTGAGTCTGCTTTTCTGTAAAATAAGAAAATATTTTAGTTATTTTTTGTTTTTTTGAGAAACCTCCATACTGTTTTCCACAGTTGCCATAGTAATTTACATTTTTTTGGGGGGGCGGGGTGCGGAGTCTTGCCCTGTGGCCCAGGCTGGAGTGCAGTGGCGCGACCTGGGCTCATTGCAAGCTCCGCCTCCCGGGTTCATGCCATTCTCCTGCCTCAGCCTCCAGAGTAGCTGGGACTTCAGGCGCCCGCCACCGCGCCCGGCTAATTTTTAGTTTTTTTTTTTTTGTTTTTTTTTTTTTTAGTAGAAACGGGGTTTCACCGTGTTAGCCAGGATGATCTCGATTTCCTGACCTCGTGATCCGCCCGCCTCGGCCTCCCAAAGTGCTGGGATTACAGGCGTGAGCCACCGTGCCCAGACACTAATTTACATTTCTACAGTGTGCAAGCATTCCCTTTTCTCCCCATCCTTGTTAGAGTCTGTTATTTTCTGTTTATTGGGGTAACAGCCGTTCTATCTGGGGTGAGATATATCATTGTGGTTTTGATATGCATTTCCCTGAAGGTTAGTGATTCTGAACACTATATCTGTTAGCAATTTGCATGTCTTCTTTTGAAAAATGTATATTCAGATATTTCGCCAATTTTTCAATCAAATTATTACTACCATTATTATTTTGCTGTTGAGTTGAGTTCTTCCATATTCTTATTATTCTTCCCTTGCTGGATGCGAATGGATAGTTTGCAAATATTTTCTCCTATTCTGGGGTTGTTTCCTCACTTTATTGAATGCTTTCTTTGCTTTGCATAAACTTTTTACCTTAACATACTCCCATTTGTCAATGTATGCTTTTATGTCTGTGTTTTTTGAATCCTTACTCAAAATAAATCTTTTCCCAGACCAGTGTCCTGAAACATTTCCCCAGTGTTGTCTTCCACTAGTCTCATAGTTTTAGGTCTTACATTTAAGCCTTTAATCCACATTTACTTGATTTTTGTATATGAAAATAGATAAGGGTCTAGATTTATTCTTCTACATATAGATACCCAGTATTCCAAGCACCGATTATTGAAGAGATTGTCCTATCACCAGTGTATATTCTTGGCACCGTTGTCAAAACTGAGTTGGCTGTACAACAACTATGGAAAACAGTATGAAGTGTTCTCAAACACTAAAAGTAGAACTAACATATGATCCAGCAATCCTACTGCTGGGATATATCCAAAAGAAATGAGATTAGTATGTCTATTGAAGCACTATTAATAATGGGCGAGATGCAGAATAAACCTGTGAGATAGATATATATTATATATATATAAAATATATATTATATATAATATGTATAATATATATAATATATTATATATAATATATTATATGTATAATATATATAATATATTATATATAATATACTACATAATAATATATATTATATATAATATATACTATATATAATTATTCATCCGTGTATATTATTCATTCATATAAAAATAACGAAATATTTTCATTTACAACAACCTGGAGAATGGTGGTTACCACAGGTTGGGAAGGGTAGTAGAGATGGGGGAATGAAGAAGATGGTTATTGGGTAGAAAAATACCATTAGATAGAAGGAATAACTTATAGTATTCAGTAGCAGCACAGTAGGACAATTACAATTACTAAGAATTTGTAGTATATTTCAAAATATCTAGAAGAGAAGATTTGGAATGTCCCCAACACAAATAGTGCTAAGTGTATGAGGTTGACAGATATCCCAATTACCTTTATTTGCTCATTAATCATTGTATGCATGTATCAAATATCACATATATCCCACAAATATGTATTAATGCAACTGTTATGTATTCATAATTTTTAAAAGCTACAAATCAAAATTTGAGAAACCTCAAAGCACTGAATAAAATATTTTTAAAATCACTTTCTCTTAAATTTTCAAGAATTTATTAGCTTGGTTTTGCTACTTTACCTTGAAAAACTCATCTTTCTAATATTTGGAAGTAAATATTAAACCAAGAGAGAAGGTCAGAGAGATCTATGATCTGAAAGTCTAAGAACAATGCAGGAAGAAGCAGCTCATAAAAATTAATCTGCAAGTTTGGCTGGTCAGGGGCAGTTTTGAACACAGGCATCTTTGTCTCAAAAGAAAAAGAAAAATCTCTTTTGTAGGAGACTTTATTTTTCTAGTGCTTTTGAATGTACTAAATCATCTTTAGTTATTTATATTGAGTTTATAATCTTACTGACTCAGTGAAAGAGTTCAAAAAATGAAATAGACTTAGCACAACAATGCAACTAGAATCAGCAAAGAAATGAATGTTTTGTTCTGTCAAATCCCATTGCCACAATAGCTCTGCCAATTTGTTTGAAAAATGTACAACCCTGGGGTTTCGGCACCACTTAACAGCTGAGGGGAACAAAGTGTGTGTAGTGAGATACAAATCTTCTATACCATTAGTTCAATATATTTCTGCATAGCAGCTTTTCAAAAATTGGAAGCATATTTTGGCACCATGCTGTTTCAAAACAACAACAATAAAATCTGGGAAATATATGCAGAAAGCTGTCAGCCCTTAAAAGTACTGTTTTTAGTTTCTTTTCCATAGAACTACTGCTTGATTGTCTTAGTTCTTCTTTATCTATTATTCATCCAGATTATATTAACATGGGAACACCAGGTAGACTTAAAGTTTATTAAGTGTGTGTGACTCAAAGAATTTTGAACAGGGTGAATAATTCAGTGCTTAATTAAAAATCTATTGACTAATTAGGGTAGGATATATAGCTTACACAATTTTTGGAAACAAATAAACAACCCCCTCAAAAAAGAACTAGAAAACAGCAATATCACTTCCAGATTACAAAATAAATATCATTGATATTTTGCTCATTTGAACCAAGGAGTTTTCACATAAGCAGATAGGGTGTTAATTAAGAGTTTTATAAAATAAGCATTTAAGATAAAAGTATTACATGGCTCTACTGAATGACACTGTTAGAAAACAATGCTATGATAATATCTTAATAAAATATATCTTTATAATAAGAATGTGTCAATAGGATACTATTGAGTTCAAGAAATTGTGCTAGTTATTTACATACATTCTTATAATCCTCACACTAATCCCACCTGATTTTTTTTGCCTTTGTTCTTCTGACAAAGAAACTGTGACTGAAAGAGAATCGAAAGTCACATCACTTTAAATTTGTTGGACGCAACATAACAAAAAACAAACAAACAAACAAAACTCCCTAAACCTGTTTGATTTCAATAAATTTTTAACATGGGTAGGAATAGTTACTGCTGGTACTTCTGAGTTATATGGAAATATATATATGAGAAACTAAAGAAAAATAAAACACTGAAGAGATAAAGAAGCAAACACACATTCATATACATTCAATTAATAGTTATAAATTGAGAATAAAACAAATATTTGCTTAGTATCATGAGAGAGGAAAAACTACTCTTTTAAAGAGGATCCAGTATAAAATGCTTAATAGTTATATTTGAGATATTTGGTTGTAAAATACTGGATATTAAATATAAGATGAGGCTCCTCATTAAATTATTATAATTCATGTTTTTAAATGTCGAAGCTACAAACACCTAAGCATGTTTGTTGGTGATTATAATGAAATTGTCTACATTTCCAACCGTTTGATTTTGAGATACATCTATTTTCATGAAATGTAAAATACATTTTGGACCAACTTTATGAACATTAGTAAATCATTCATCTACTCATCTGATTTGCAAATGAAGAAAATGTAAGAGAATGAGGATTAATTTCTACTGACTCATATGAAAAGCATGGTGGAACCTCAGTTGTGTAACACTAAAGAGAAGTGATTCATCCAAGGATGAGTAGGACCAGAATTAAAGAGAAGATAATGCAAGTGTATCATTTTCCTCTACAGAGAGTGGGTTAAGGAGGGTATATGACAAATTTGTCCAATCCTATCTAGTTTGGAGGGATGGCATCAGAACTCCCAAAAATAAAGGTGATCATATATGGCAGAGAGCGTATTGTCATGAGAAAGGAGAATATTGGTTCATTTAGAGTATGGCTACGAGAGAAAGAGACCCAGGATCCTCGTTTAAAACAATGGAGCTGACAAAGTCTAGCAAGGTATCATAGATCCCAGCAAGGGATCTTGGTCACAGAAAAGAAAAAAAAATCAAGTTGCAACAAGAAACTGAACTGCAAATCAGGAATCATGGTGATATTTCACTTAGAAGAAAAATGCATGAATTATCTCTTTCCAAAAGACAGTGAGTGAGCGTGCAGATTCCCATGGACACTCCTAGGTATTAAACACTGGACTTAGAATACTTTATCTGTCAGACACAGCAATGATCTGCTAAGGAAATAAATAGATCTGTTTAAAGTCCTTTTTTTCCATGTAGAGGAAAATCTGAAACATCACAAACCCACATAGGATTAAACGTTACCCCCAAAAAACTCAAGAAACTAGGATATATTCCTTCAAAAGGAGGGAAAGTACTTAATTAAGGGTGAGGCTGCCTTTGGAAGACAATGCTAGAGGTATATGACAAAAATGGTTCCCATAGTTGGACTCGAGTTCTTTTGATGTCATTTGTAATGCCTGACCAAAACTACCAGTCACTAAGAAAAGGATGACATTGAAACAAAAATTACTTATATCTGATGAGTATAGGACACTGCTAATAAATGCATTTTTCTTATAATGGTGTATTTATTTAGCAAAGTTATATTGACCATCCAATAGCTGTTAAACCCTAGCTTTAGCCATAGATACATAACCCTAGTACTAGTTTTTGGAGAAAAAAGATGACTATAACTCAATCAATATATCTGAACAATTAACACCATTAATCCATGAGATTAATATGTAAAATTTATATTTTTAAAACTAGGAAGCTAAGAACAAAATTTTGGTGATTTGTGTAGATATTGTGGACTTATCCACAAGTTTGAACTGTATTTTTTTATTATAACATCATTTGGCAACAGTAATTCCACTGTTAAATGGTGGTATCTATCTCCAGCAAGTGTTATGATATTAATATTCATAGCGTCATTATTTGTCAGAGTCAAAAATTAGAAATAATCTGAATGCTCATCTACCCATAAATGGATAAGTAAAATGTGGTTTGTTGATACAATGGACTATTTTTCACCAATAAAAGGGAATGCAGTACTGTACTAACACAGGTAAAATATGGATGAATGTTAATAACAGTAAGATGACTGAAAGAAAACATTTTAAAAAACTGTAAGTTATATGATATCATATACACGAAATGTCCAGAACAGACAAATGCATAGAGTAAATTCATTGTTGCCTAGGGCATGGGGGTTTGGTGGAGAATGAGAGGTGACTGCAAAAGAAAAAGGGATTTCTTTTTGGGATGATGAAAATATCCTAAAATTTATTGTGGTAATATTTGCACAACTTGTGAATCTACTAAAAACATTGAATTCTACAATTTAATTGCGCAAATTCTTTAGCCTGTGGATTACTTCTCCATACAGTTACTGTATATGCACAGCCACGCACATACGCACACACAAATTTACAGGCACCATAGCCACACTGTTTTTCTTTTTTGTCTCAAATATTCAACTTACTGATAGTATGATCTTGATTAAGTTACTTAACCTCCCTCTGCCTCATGCCTATCATCTGAACAATGGGTATACAATTAGTACCTGTTTTGTGGGATTACTGTGAACATTTAAATAAAGTGATACATATATAGACTTTACAGGGATGCCTGGAACAACACCAGAGCTAAATATATGCATTGTCTTGCTGCTGCTGCTACTTCTACTACTACTATCAGTAGCACAATAAGAATATTATTCTCATCATCATTGTAATTATTATTACAAGTCCAACCCTGCTCATTTAATCCATGGAAAAGGTATCTCACCTCCTGTTACTGTAACTACTACATATGTTGATTAAGTTGTAGCTACATTTCTACCTATAACCAGTCAATACTTTTTAAAATCAGTTACAAAAGAAATCCTTGTCCCAGGACTTCGACCCATACTTTTTTGTGAAAAGACTAACATCTTATTCCATATAAAATGGGAAGTTGTATTTTCTCCAACTAATGCAATGTGAATATTATGTGCACACTCTGCTCAATTAAAGCCAACAGTATTGGGCTAGATAATAGCTCTCGTTGCACACCAGCTCACTGTATATTTCCAAGTCGGATGGCAGACTTAGAATATCAGCTTTATGGCAAGAATATGGGATAGTAACACAGCCACCAGGAGACTGACTATAACTACTTAAATTTTTTCACATAAAATCCTCAGGATATAGTATCTCCAAAGAGAAAAAGCAAAATCTTTAACTATTATAGTCTCTACTCTTTTATCTTCACATCTCTGTAAGTCTTGGTTTAGGCTAAATGCATCATTAATCTTTAACATATCCACCTAAGAACACAATTAAAGTCAAATAGAATAATGAGTGGCATTACAAGGAATACAAAGTAGCACACCCAAGAATGCTTTCAACTATTCCATATGCTGCCTAATCACGCACACCCGCTAACTTGCACAGTGCCAGACCTAGAAAAAAAATTAACTCTTTGGTGAATAAGAATCAGAATCTTTGAATTAGCCAATTAATTTTGAAAATAAAGGCAATGACCGGAAATACTAAATATTAAGTATTTTGAGGCACTAATTATTCCATAAGGCTTTATATTCATAACATATTTTTAAATCTCTTATTTTGATTTCAAAAAACATGACTTTAGTCACAAATATACTATTTACTAATTGAGTAACATTGACTGAAATCTTTATCTCTAGGAATCTCAATTTCCCAAACTGTTATATGCAGGAAATGAATTATATCAATGGCTCTCAATCTTTAGTCTGTATCAGAACCACGTGGAACAGAGCCTGAGATCTACACATACAGATGTGTTTTAAAGTCATTGTTCCAATGTACAACCAGAATTGGGAACTACTACTGAGGTAAATAATATTCGATATCTATCCCAGTTCTGTAAGTCTAAGGGTTTTTATCTGTGTAGACAACCTGACTCAGTTCTCAATAATAATACTCTTCAGAGAAGACTAAGTTTAAGTGATTACTAGAACTACCTTGGCAAAGCATTTAAAGAATTGCACTGCTTTTATTTTACTTCCAAAATGAAGGCAAATAAATAAAGGAAAATAGTATTTGGCTTATGTTACCTTAACAAAAACAAAAGGCTGCAATGGAGACAATAAAATAAATAAATAAAAACCTCTAAAATCTACCATTATATGATATCCTTCCCAATACATAAATTAAAAAAAAAAACACTGTAGAGGAAAAAGCAATATTTTGAAATGATATGCTTTTCTTTGTTTGTCTTCAAACAATTACATCTTCATCATAATGGTTGTATTAGTCTGTTTTTACACTGCTATAAAGAATTGCCTGAGACTGAGTAACATATAAAGAAAAAAGTTTTAATTGACCACAGTTTCACAGGCTTAATAGGAAGCATGACTGGGAAACTTAGAATCATGGCAGAAGAGGAAGGGGAAGCAAGGATCTTCTTCACATGGTAGCAGGAGAGAGAGCACAAAGGGGGACACGCTACACACTTTCAAACAACGAGATCTCCTGAGAACTCTATCGGGAGAACAGCAAGAGGGAAGTTCACCCCTATGATTCAATCAGCTCCCACCGGGCTTCTCCCCTGACACATGAGGAATTACAATTGGATGAGAGATTTGGGTGGGGACACACAGACAAACCATATCAACTGTCATGGACTTAAACAATTGTCTTTGAATTGTCTTTTTTCATACTTTTATTTGCATCTTTTCACTAAAAAGATGACACAAAGTAATCCTAGTTTACATTTTTTACCATGTAATTCCATATTACTTTTTCCTGAAAGTTACTTATTTTTAAATCTCAAAGCTCTTCATACTTATGGTTTGATCTGCACTTACAACTGGATCTCAGAAAGATTGAATTCTCCCATCATACCAAGTTCATGTCTCTCACTCTTAATATTTGTTCCCAAGACAACAATTTAACTTCTTTCTCTATTATTATTTCTTCCCTTTATTTTAATGCAAACCAAATGTTAATATTTCCTTCTTTAGATCAATTGAAATCACCTCAAACCTCTGTTTTTCTCTAAAATGTCTCAGGCCTAACAACTACATATGAAGATATGTTTAAAATACAATATAGGGCTTGGGATATCATTTTATATGTTACTCTTGATTGCACTAAGCCAAACAAGTTACAGGAAAAATCAAGGGCCGAATTTTTAATGAAGAGGGATTTGGCTCAGATTCGACTGAGTTTTCCCACATTCCTCCCAACCACATGATTGCAAATAAATGGTATACGAGTTCCCTGACAGTGTCTGCTTAAGACACTACCTTCCTTTCTCTATTTTCTGCCCTCACTCACTTACTACCACACCCTACCCAGCTCAGGAGATGACACCTTATTTTTAATTTGACTTTCCCTAAATATCAGCACGTTGGGTGCAAAGATAAGCTAGTCAGTTCCTTCAGCTAGTCCCTGACAACGCAGCAACTGACCCTTGGCTCTCTCATCCCTTCCTCTGCTTCTGAAAAGATTCAGTACATTTTCTCCAGCTCTGGAAATATCCAGAGGCTTCAAACACCTTTATCTTTAGAAAGCATAGGCTACTGAATAGTATTAACTCATTCTTCCCCAAGCAGATAAAGGCTGTCTTCCAAACTGAGACCTGGCAGTTGACCATGGATGACTTATCCTCAGCAGAACACAAAACTTAGGTTTGAGAGGGAGGACTTTTGCTTTAACTTGAATAGCTCCTTTTACCGGAAACATTTTTCAGTTTCTGTTTTGGCAAAGATCTTTTCTGTCCATGAGACATGCAGAGAAATAGCACACCTGCCTAGGCATAGTAAGTAGCACTTTGCCCACACTGATTGAACATCCTTTGACTTTGTAAGTGTACAGTTGCCTATTAGATAGTGGCAGAAATTGCATCTTGAAAAGCTTAAATAACCTGCCCTCTATCACAGCTAGAAGGCTATGTGGCCAATTATATAGCCTTATTTCACCCCGGTTGTGTACCTGCACCAAATCCTATGGCTTGAAGCAATCTGAATGATTTTGTTTTAATTTGGCTTGTGCTGTTTCTCCTTTCTCCTCAAACAATCATTTGAGATACTCTTTTGTATCAAGTCTGGGAAGTCTTTGTGTCCACTGATTCACTTATGGATAAGAATCTTATGAGGCTCAGGATGACTTGTAGTCCTTTTTATTTATTTCTTTTTTCTATGTTTCTTTTTTCTTTTCCTTTTTTTTTGAGACAGAGTCTCATTCTGTTGCCCAGGCTGGAGTACAATGGCAAGATCATAGCTCACTCTATCCTTGACATCCTGGGTACAAGCAATCCTCACATTTCAGCCTCCTAAGTAGCTGGGACTACAGGCATGTGCCACCATGCCTGGCTACCTTTTGTATTTTTTGTAGAGATGGGTTTTCACCATGTTGCCCATGCTGAGCTCAAACTCCTGAGCTCAAGCAATCCACTTGCCACAGCCTCCCAAAGTGCTGGTGCCACAGGATCCCTGGGGTGTTGCTTTGCCAGTTGGAAACCTTTGTGGTCTCTGACATCTTTGCCCAAGTTTTGCTCAGCCCACTGGGCTCATTCTGCCCACTCAGCCTGGCAGGCTGCACTTGGTTTGCACTACTAGCCTGGATCTTTGCTTGCCAAGGACAAGCCAGATGCAGAGTGGTGAGGGGTGCATCAGTGAGCGACTGTGGGGTTCAGCTGCTGCGCACAGCCAGGCACACCAGCTGCAGCAGGGTGGGCAGCTCCAGACACTGACATGGGTGCCAGCTCCCTGCAACGCTATGGCTGGACCAGGCATACGGCAAGTACCTTCCACTGCTGGCACCAGGGAATGCAATGGTGCCCAGAAGCTTGGAGATCAAGGAACCACAGAGCCCCAAGGAAGGTGTCACAGCCCTGATTCAGGGAGTTTCTAGATCTGGGCTCCCTGAAGGACCACAGCTCTTCTCTTCTTCTCTCTTCTCTCCTTCTTGTCACCTGCAATGTGGTAAGTGAGGGGTGTTTCAGCCCTGTTTATGTTATAGCTCTTTCAGTCCTGCCATTCGGTGTGTCCCAAGTTTTTGTACCACATCCAGGAAGAATGAGGCACATGAACACCTGGAGGGTGAGCAAGGTAAAGAGGTGCTTTACTGAGCCAAGTACATCTCTCAGGAGACCTGAAGTGGGTAGTTCCTTTCCACAGGCAGGTCTTCCAAGGAATGTAGCTCTCAGCTGAGAGGAGACCCACAGTGGGTAACTCCTCTCTGCAAGCAGGTTGTCCCAATGTCTGTCTGAGTCTTGCTGAGTCCAAGGTTTTTATGTGTTTCAGAGGGGAGGAAGTGCATGCTGATTGGTCCATGAGTTGTCATGGGCAGGCCCAGAAAAAGCACCATAAGTTCTCACTCTGGTCCATGGAGCTGGCAGCCCAGCCCCCAGGCTTCAGGCCATCCCTGGCTTGAAAGTGAGGCTTCACAAGGACCTCCCCTTTCCACCCAGGAGCCTGTCTGTCTCCGGCTGCCATCCCTGGTGCCTATGCTGTTCCTGCTGAGGGGCACCTGCAGGCCCGTGCCAAGCTCTCCTCAGATACCCCTCTGGCTCCCTCCTGTGCTCCTCCACACCCAAAGACTGGAGGAAGCCTAGGTGACAGGGGACGGTTGTGTCAGTGGGGCCCCAAGGGCATGCACACTGAGCCGGGTTGTGATAGTGCCCAGGCTTGGCCTCAACTTTGCTCCCAAATAAGAGCAGGTGCTGGGAGTGGGGAGAGGTGCAGAGTGGGGAGAGGCTGGGAAGTGGGAGCAGACATTTCCAAGCCTGCTGGGGCAGATGGAAATTCCTGGGCATGAATGCCCAGGTTCACAGCCAATGCTGGGTCCTGAAGCTGTGCCTTGGAGAATGGAGGTTCTGCAGCCTCTAACTTGGAAGGGGACAGGGCATCTGCCTGTTCCTAGCCCCACTGGCTCTGTGGAGTGCTCAGCCTCAGCTTCGCCATCCCCTCTGCAACCATCATCTTCACAGCAGCCACTCCAGACAGGCCACTGCTGCCAACACTAGGATTATAGGCATCACACTCAGCACTTTTTATTTCTTTTAAGGGGCATTCAAGGCTCCAAAATAAAATAGGATCTATGATTACTTTAATATTGAGTATCTTCAAAGAAGATATGAACATTAAGTTCCAGTATGACACTTGTTGTCTGTGACACAGGCAAGGATGGCCCCATTTTATTTTATCACGAAAGTCATATTTATTTTTAAATTTCTCCATTGATTTCATAATTGTTAAGAATTGTTTTTAAAACAGATTTTATTGAATAAATACTTTCACCTCAATTTTAAAATTAACCAGATTTAAGTAAATAAGAATGATAGCTTGTTTAAATAAAAATCAGATTTCTAGTTGATAAAACGCTTTAATTCCAACCAAAACAAAGGGATACTTATTTTCCATAATCCTTGCATGCTTTGTTTTTGAAACAAATTTAAAAATATATATTTAATTAATTTTTTTTGGAAAATTGAGTCAGACCCTTATCATTGACTGAAGGTGCAAACAATCTGGAATGAACCTGTGGTTGTAATGTTTCCTTACCTAGAGGTTCCTATGGAATGTCTTGTTACTATAAAAATAATTCCTTTTGTTTGACATGATAGGGCCTTTCATTTCCTAAACATAATTTCTCATTAAAAAATTACCCTCTCCATCAATAACAGTGTTTCTCTAGTAATAGGTTTCATGTGTGGTATTTTAAAAAACAATGTCAGAGACTGATTCTGGTTAAACAACTGCTGCTTTGGAAATATCGTACTAAGGAATATATAGAGATGCTCCTCTACTTACCATGGAGTTACATCTGGCAAAATCCATCATAAATTGAAAATGTTCTAAGTCAAAAATGCATTTCATCCACCTAACTTCTTAAACATCATAGCTTAGCCTAGACTACCTTAAATGTACTCAGAACACTTACATTAGCCTACAGTTGGACAACATCATCTAACGCAAAAACCATTTTATAATAAAATATTGAATATCTCATGTTACTTACTGAAGACTATACTGAGCATGAAAAACAGAATGGGTAAATGGGTACTTAAAGTACAATTTTTTATTCAATGTATTATTTTCAGATCATCATAAATTTGAAAAACTGTAAGTGGAAAAATTGTAAGTCAGGGACTATCTGTATATGCATACTATTGTTTAATCCCCTCAATGACCAATAAATATCATTATAATTAAAATTCAAATTAATCATTATGAAACATATTTTACAAGTGAAAAAATATAGCTAAAAATGAGCAAAATATAAAACCAGATACCTTTCATTTTGTAGTTTCAAATTTTTATACAACCACGGTGCAATTCATTATTCTTTTTATTTATACAGTGGTATTTATATAGCATTTATATGAGCCTCTTTTACTAAAAGGCAGTTTTCTATGCTCCTACAATTAGTTGCAAAGGATTTTTCTTTTTTATATCAGGCATTTTAACATACAAAAAAAAACCACCTCATCCTTCAAATCCATCATGGATTATTGATTTCTGTGTCACTGTCACTTTTTAAATTAATGTACTTTCCTTTCCTCTCAAGGCTGATTGAAAATGTGTTTTCATTAACATTTTTGTTATGGTAGTGTTCTGATTAAAGTTAAATGGCAATGTGTAAGAAATTTGTCATTCAAAACTTTAGTCTAATTGCTCCAAATTATTGAGAAAAGACTCTACTAATTGTAATTGCTAGAAAAAAAAAGATTATAACTAATTTGTAAGAAAGGCAGTGTCTCATAAAAATTGCTTCCCCTTTGAGACCTGAGGTTCTGATGGTGATTTGCATCTGTTGGGTGGTCTCACAAATCAAGGTATTTTAAACATTATCTTGTTTATTCAAAATGCCTATGGATATTAGCCTGCAAAAAATATTAGTCACTCTTTTATTCATTTTGAAGTTAAAGTTTCATAGCATTAAGGCAGGGTAATAACTTCTTTTGGAAGCAGATAATTTTCCCATTCCCTAGATACACATTGTTCCTTTTTAAGTCATCAGTAATTTTAAAAAATACAAAAAGGACTTCTCTAGTCTTTATAGCCTTCCTACAATAGCCAGTAAATCAAATTCAAAATTAAGACCTATTCCCATTATTAGGTATTTTCTATCTACTGCATGGCATTTTAAAATGATATCCCCTCTCTTTAAGACAAACTGTAATGTAGGTGAAATTTATCTATGTCCCAGTTTCCACTTTCCACTTGTTCCACAAAGCACGCCTCCTGTCAGTCCCCAGCCAGCCATTTCTCTCTTGCCAAGTCTAGCTGATGGGGGCTCTATTACAGAAGGCTTCTGAACTGGTTATGCAAATTGACTACTAGATCCACACAATTTAACCTAACTGAGTACTCAGGAACTTCAATAAAGAAAATAACCAGAAAAAAAGAGCCTATTCTGGGAATTACTAAAAAAAAGAGAAGGAAAACATTAACTTGAAATCTTCCATTTATCTCTCTATTTTTCACTTTGATTCTAATAAATGATATTCTTTAGAGCTAGTCATTCTGCCATAGGGTGTAGCTGCTCATAAATGAGACTTTGAAATGCCAGTTGTTTGTTATGAAATGTTAGTTATTTAACTTGTTCCTTCACAAAATGCAGATCACCAATGACGAGGACTTTTATTCCGCAATTCAACTCCAGTTCAAGGAGAATATCTAACACATAAAAACATGTACCTATTCAAGTGTATTTAAATTTAAATAAAATTTAAAATAATGCTTATGCTATCCATGCATGTCAGAATATCTCATTTAATTCAACTACTGCTAGCAGTGGTGACAGCAACGTTTGAACCCTGACAATCTATCTCCATTTTCTTAGATATTATTACAACTACAAAAATAAGGCAATAAATAAGTCATTGATACAGGCAACTTTTCTGGAATTTAGATCTCCAGACATACATTGTTATTCTTTCCTCCCAAATGAGTAGGAAACCCATTTCAGGGTGGCCTATCTCTTCCAAAGCATCAGAGAAGACAGAAGTTATTTATTTGGTTAACATTATTTTAATACTCAGAGAAAAGAAATCTCTTACTCTTGTCCCAATTGTTTTATTTGTTGGGGACAGGAAAAAGACTTCTGGTCATGTATTACTAATGACTGTAGAATTCCTTTATTTGTGTTGTAATTTCAACCATCATGGTTACTTTTCACTTACACTGCACTACTGTGTTTGAACTTAAACAGTTATTACAATTTAACTTCCAACATGGTTTTGGTATCAGCATGCCCTATTTTTAATATTTAAGTACAAAAGGAGGCAATACTTTTATGATTTCCACACATGTTCAAAATGGACTCTTACATCTGCAGCTCCAGACCTGACTTCTTTATTTAAATTCATAACTTCTATTCCCAATGGAAGACTTCCACTACTTTTCTCTCAAATGTGAAAGGACCATCTCCATTAAGGTCCAACTTGTTCCCAAGGCCAGAATCATCCTCAGGTTCCAGGAAAACAGTTTTATAATTCGACAGACATTAACTTGAGTATCTTTTAAGTAAAGTGTAATACTTATGAAATTTGATTAACCAGAATAGTAACTAACTAGTCTTATGTATTTTTTAAATGGAAGCTAAAAGTCTGATTCCTTCACCGTGCACTCATTTTTCTTGGGACAATATAACTTGCTTAAATCCCTGACTGATTCTCTAATCCTGGTACAATTTAAAGTAATTGTATTGAAAACAATGGGGAAAAACCTGATCAGAAATATTTGTTTTTTTTTAATAACTTCATGTATCAAAAGGATAGGTTGCTTTGTTGTTAATATTTCTATCAGATTAATTTTTATTGACTTATCAGAGTAATTAATGTAATTCTTAAAATTTTTAAAGTAATAAAGAATTTTATTAAATAATTAAAAATCAATATTAAATAATTCCCCCTTAAAAGTCAGAGACCATTCACTAGGTTAAAAAGCTAGCTACGTGGGTTCTATGTAAAAGATGTGGCCGGATGGGGTGGCTCATGCCTGTAATCTCAGCACTTTGGGAGGCCGAGGCGGGCGGATCACCTGAGGTCGGGAGTTCGAAACCAGCCTGACCAACATGGAGAAACCCCGTCTCTGCTAAAAATACAAAATTAGCTGGGCGTGGTGGCATATGCCTGTAATCCCAGCTACTAGGGAGGCTGAGGCAGGAGAATCGCTTGAACCTGGGAGGCAGAGGTTGCAGTGAGCAGAAATTGCACCATTGCACTCCAGCCTGGGCAACAAGAGCAAAACTCCGTCTCAAAAAAAAAAAAAAAAAAAAGATGTATAAAATACAGTGTTGAGCATTAAGTAACAAATATCAGGTGAAAGTCCATAAAATGGAAAGCAAATGGGGAAGTATTAAATATCAGAAAATGCATATTTGAAGTTAAATGTATCAAATAAGATGAAAAATATTTTATGAGAATAAAAACCAACAATTTTGAGGAAAATACAACTGCCATGAGCCCTTTAAAATATAAGGCACATAAGTCAATACATAAAGGCTAAAAGAAAAATAAAGAAAGGTAGTAGTTGGCACACACCCACCTGCACACACATTATGACAGAGAGTTTTCAATTAAAAAACAAAAAATTTCTTCTCACTGTCCATGAACTATTTGTAAAAATCAAGTATGTATTTGGCCAAAAAAGAAAACAAACAAAATATTTAAATTTAAGATGTTTTCTGCTGTGTCATATAACCATAATCATAATTAGAAAAATGTATGTTAACAATGGAAGTCTCAACTACTTAGAAATTAAAAAAATATAGTGGCCAATTCTCAGATCAAAAAGAAAATACAAAGGGAATTTTTTAAAATCAAGAAAACAATTAAAATGGTAGTATTTCATACAACTTTTGAATTTATTTTGGAAATGTTTATTTTAATGAGCTGATTCAATTCATCCTAGAATTTTACTATTTCACCATCTGATTGCATGCAAGTCTAATTCAGTCAAAGGATGTTATCATATCTCCTTTGTCATTTCTAAATTTGTCTGTTTCTTTCTTGTAAATGTGGTCTAATGTATCACAATTTATTATAAAAATTAGAAAAACATTAGTAATGGAATAGCACCAAAAGATGCTAAAACATCACTTATTAAAATTATTTAACTATTTACTAATAAAAAATTCTCAACAAATACATTTTTAAAACTCAATATCATGATAACGTCTCACTGAGAAAGTGATATTGTCTGTAGAACATTAAAGTAGCTGAAACAGTTTTCGGCATGTATCTTGGTGGATATTATTCAGCCATGACAGTAAAGCAGGTATGCAGGGCGTGTGGAATCTGAGGAATAAGGAGGCCAGCATTTCTGAAGTAATATATAACAGGGAGAGTGTAAGGAGATGAGGCTCTTGTAAGAACTCTAAACTCATTTTAATCTCAGTAAAATGGGAAGATGTTGCAAGGATGAAATCAGGACAATAAACAAAAATATGTTGTAGGATAACCTGAGAATGGAAAAGTCTTCTTGCTATTCATAGGATATGATAAAATTTATACAGAAGACCATAATTATGAATGTCTTTTTTCCTCCAGACATAGTCAATAGTGGTAGTACAGATTCAGAGTATGTAGAGAGTCAGATGTAATCGGGCTTGAGCTTATGCCAAGGGCAAGGATGAAGTGAGATAACGGCAGGATAGATATAGTCAGGAAATTAAATACATTAGAGTGATTAAAACAATTAACTATAAATTTTAGCTGGTTAAGGGTTGAACAAACCATGAAATTCGTCGCAAAAAGATGCGGTAGTTTGAAATATAAAAGTGGCATAAAACAAATGATCAAAAAGTGGAAAATATGATGCTTTTAGATGCTAAAATGTAATAAAAATATAACTCAACATTAATAATATTTCAAATATAAAAATAATTTTTAAAATTAAATTTAATTATAATAGTATCAGCACTTTTTTAATTGGACAAAATGAACTGACTTTTTTATGGGAAAAGAGATATCTACTACCTGCATAAATGAGAAGATTAATGATCCAAGAAAGTGCATATTCAAACCAAAGACATGTAATCAAGTCAGCATTTTATTGGACTAGAAATACAATAATTAAAGTAGTGAAACGGAAGAGAAGATTTATCAATAGGTGTCACTTTATATAAAAATATTATGTACAGGCCGGGCGAGGTGGCTCACGCCTGTAATCCCAGCACTTCGGGAAGCCGAGGCGGGCGGATCATGAGGTCAGGAGATCGAGACAATCCTGGCTAACATGGTGAAACCCTGTCTCTACTAAAAAATACAAAAAATTAGCCGGGCGTGGTGGCGAGCGCCTGTAGTCCCAGCTACTCGGGAGGCTGAGGCAGGAGAATGGCGTGAACCCGGGAGGCGGAGCTTGCAGTGAGCCGAGTGAGCCACTGCATTCCAGCCTGGGCGACACAGCGAGACTCCATCTCAAAAAAAAAAAAAAAAATTATGTACAATTACGTGTGTGTGTGTGTGTGTGTGTGTGTGTATATATATATATATATCCCAAATAATTTACACATTGACAAGGAGTTAGCAAGCTATACAATGGAGAATTCACATATGAGCAAGTTTACATGTTTATAAGTATATGTAAACATAATCAATCTCTTTAGTAGTTACGGACATGAAAATAAAATTACAATTAATTACCACTGTATCCCTAATAGATAGATAAAAATTTAGAATGAGAACATGTATCACTAGCGTTTATTGCTAGTATAATGTCATATTTCATAAGTATAAATTTCATATATATATTTCATAGTATAAATGTCATATTTCAGAAGTATTATGTCTTTAAAAAACCTGTCCAACAGTTCTTATATCTATTAAAATAAAAATGTATCTAGCTATAACCCAACTCCCGGGAATTTATTCCACAGAAATAAATGCTCCAATAAACAAGGTAAAAGCCCAGCAAAAAAAAAAAAAAAAAGAATGGAATAATAAAATTATGGAAAAATTAGAAACTAGAACATTATATAATCTTTAAGAAAATGAATGCATAAAAGATAGAAAGGAAGGTTTTTTTAAGCATAAGCATAGCTATCTCTATAAAACAATCAAAATAACAAAATGTATTTATGTACTTAACATATATTTATTGGACACGTGGCCGAGAGCTACACTGTACATTATTGTAGCCAATAACTATATATAATTTTTTATTTGAAATTTATTGATACAACTAAATAAAAATTTTAAATAAGGAATTAGCCCCTCAGTAGCACCAGCTACTTTCCAAATGCTCAGTAGCCACCAGTGGCTAGTGCTATCATATGGAGCAGTGCAGAAGTCACATCATGGCAAAAAGCCCTATTGGAAAGAATTGTTTAGACCCTGTTGTAGGGTCCAGAGATAGATTACCTCACAAAACTGATGTAATTTCTGACTACATCTAACTTCTAAAGAAAATAAGAAACACATTTATAATGTCATCCAGTTTTTGAAAAATAAACTTCAAAAATATCCTCTGGGATGACTATGTGTCCATATGTTTAAGTTTGCATATAACACATGCAGAAACATATCTTGTTATTTGTTGTGGACGGTAGGATGAAGGATATTGGCAAAATGAAGTTTAAAAAACATAAAAATAGGACATAAGTAAAAGAAGAAAAGAAAAAAGTGCGTATCTAAAAATAGCATGTGACATAACTATATGCATGTACTTAAAATAATGTGTGTTCGTGGAAAAATAAAATGATTTTAAAATGTGGGGAAAAAGAGTGCCATGAGATAATTTTTACTGTAGTCTTAAGTTGTGACAAGTTTTGCATGAGAAAAATATGGGAATGCATTTTTCCCAGATAGCTAGAAACTGCAAAACAAAAGGTTTAGCTCTGTTGGTAATATTTCTCAGAAATTAGGGACATTGTGATTCCATTGATATATGGCTTTGATTTTATTTCCATATGGCTGTGAGCAAATTTCAGTTCTCATTTCATGATAATGTAGAAATTATGAGCTATTTCAATGAAAGTCAACCCACAATTCATGATTTTTAAGGTTTAATGGATTTTTATGCCATACAACCTAACAAAGTAACTATGTAGACTGATTTTAAAAATAGGGTGAAAAAAAGCTATTTCCGGCTGGGCACAGTGGCTCATGTCTGTAATCCCAGTCTTTGGGAGGCTGAGGCGGGTGGATCAGGAGGTCAAGAGATCGAGATCATCCTGGCCAACATGGTGAAATCCCATGTCTACTAAAAATACAAAAATTACCTGGACGTGGTGGCATGTGCCCATAATCCCAGCTACTCGGGAGGTTGAGGCAGGAGAACCACTTGAACCCGGGAGGCGGAGGTTGCAATGAGCGGAGACTGCACCACTGCACTGCAGCCTGGTGACAGAGTGAGACTCTGTCAAACAAACAAACAAACAAAACCCCTTATTTCCAATGGACAGAGAAAAAGAAAGTGATAACAAATATTTCTCCCAAGAAGAAGTAGGTAGAAGTCTTATGTAAAGGAATAAAGGATAAACTTACAGAGATATCTGATTGAAAGTACTGCCTCTGAGGTCATGCCTTCACTGACTTACCCAGAAAAGAGTTGATGAAGGTATTACATTTCCCTAGTGGATTACAAAAATAAAAATAAATAAATAAAGATGGTTCATTTTTGTAACTAACCCAAATGCTTTTTTTTTTTTTTTTTTTTTTTTTTTTTTTGAGACGAGTCTCGCTCTGTCGCCCAGGCTGGAATGCAGTGGCGCGATCTCGGCTCACTGCAACCTCCGCCTCCCGGGTTCACGCTATTCTCCTGCCTCAGCCTCCAGAGTAGCTGGGACCACAGGCGCCAGCCACCACGCCCGGCTAAGTTTTTGTATTTTTATTAGAAACGGGGTTTCACAGTTATTAGCCAGGATGGTCTCGATCTCCTGACCTCGTGATCCGCCCGCCTCGGCCTCCCAAAGTGCTGGGATTACAGGCGTGAACCACCGCGCCCGGCCCCAAATGCTTATTTTCTAAAGCCGATTTTCTGTGGAAAGTAATCATGTTTAATTTAAATCTGGGTTCCGCTATTAGATATAAAGGGGTAGCTTGATGAAGACAAAGCCTCCCTCTGAGAAAAATTATAAAATCTGGATAATATACTAAGGGAAAAAAAATCAAAGAGCAATCCTCAAGACAGTTGTGAGATGGGTGGTGAATGGGGTTGGTGTATACCTGACAAGCCCTGCCAGTTTTCCACGCCGTGAAGGTGCCAGTGTGTAAGCACTGGCAGATGTAGTAGGAAAGAGCTGGGGCACAGCTCCTTTGTCAGTCTCTCCAAAGTGGAAGGACACACACAGTTGTTCAGAGCTATTTAAGTTAGTCAATGGAAGGATCAGGATTTCAATGGAAAGGAACAGCAGAGAAGTGGAACACAACATTTACACCACCTTTTTGTTGAGGCTGATGCCCATTACTAAGCTGCTCAAAAGGAAGTGTTTGAGAAACTAAGTAATGAGTAAGAGGCTAAATATCTAAACAGAGCTATCAGCATGGTTAAGGTGTTGAGAAACTAATGAAACTTAAATTTTACCAAGGAAAGAATGGGACGTGTTAAATATGTCATGTGTCACATAAAACCCCTAAAATACTATTTCCAAGGGACTGGAAAAAAACCAAGTAAAGAAATCGTCTACAACAAGCCTGAAATGTGGCCTGGGAACATGGGTGGCCCTGATGGCTCAAGGTAATTTCCCCTCACTCTGTCTACCACAGTATATCTATATCTAAATCTACATGTATATCTATGTAGCTATATCTACATATTTCAATAATCTATCTATATCTATCCACCTACCTACCTTTCTGTGTCTTTTCTAATGTAAATAATACACTGCTGAGAAGATTGGTTAATAAAGAAATTCTAGGCCTGTGGCTTCACCACTGAAATCTTCTGAACATTTAAGGATGAAATGGGAGCAATATTCCTGAGAAGAGAAAAATATCTTGGATTAGTTGGCTTTCACACTGCTATAAAGAACTACTTCTTTTTTTTTTTTTTTTTCCAAGATGGAGTCTTGCTCTGTCATTCACGCTGGAGTGCAGTGGTGACATCTGGGCTCACTGCAACCTCCGCCTCCCGGGTTCAAGCAGTTCTCCTGCCTCAGCCTCCAGAGTAGCTGGGATTACAGGAATGCATCACCATGCCTGGCTAATTCTTTTTTTTTTTTTTTTGTATTTTTAGTAGTGACAGGGTTTCACCATGTTGGCCAGGCTGGTCTTGAACTCCTGACCTCATGATCTGCCTGCCTCAGCCTCCCAAAGAGCTGGGATTACAGGCATGAGCCACCACACCCAGCCTAAAGAACTACTTTAGAATAGGTAATTTATAAAGAACAGAGGTTTTATTGAGTCATGGTTCTACAGGCTGTACAGGTAGCATGGCTGAGGAGTCTTCAAGAAACTTTTAATCATGGTAGAAGGTGCAGAGGAAGCAGGCACGAAGCAGGCACATCTTACATGGCCAGAGTAGGAGGAAGACAGCAAAGAGGGAGGTATTACACACGTTTAAACAACCATATCTCCTAAGAACTCACTCACTACCAGAAGAACAGCAAGGGGGAAATCTGCCCTCATGATCCAATCACCTCCCATCAGGCCACTCTCCCAACATTGAGGATTGAAATTTGACATGAGATTTGGGTATGGACACAAATCCAAATCATATCAGACCTGTTGTTATTACTACTTAATAGTGATTTATAAGTTGATAACCATTTTGGAATATTATAGTGCCTGGGAAGTCCAAATGAATAATAAATTTGTTATACAGTAATTGTATCTATTTTTATTTTTTAATAATTTTGATGGTGAACTACTTTTGTGCTGCTACATGTATGTTCAGTGTATTCCCTAGCTCTTTATAAGTTTTAAAATTACAAATTGATTTCTTGTAGTCCTTCATAAATTAAAGGAAAAAGATTTACATAAATTATTTTGAAGGGTCTGTGCTTGAGGCATATTATATAATTGAGAGCTTTAGACAAATGTATATCCATTTTTGCAAAATGAATGTTTATCAACTAGTTAACACATTGAATTTTGTTATTTTTATGCTCTAAACAGTAATGATTTAGCTTTATAAGGCAAAGTTTTGTCAATTTTAATTCAACCATAGATTCTTAGTGTTCTAAAAAATCCTCAGAAGGAAGGGGAGAAAATTAACAGTCAAAACTTTTAGCAATATTGTTTCAACCATATATATTATTTAATCTGGAGATGGAAGAGTAAAATATTTGGCAAATATCCTATATGTTTTTTTCAAGGGTTCTAAAAAATAGCAGGTTTACTTAGGAAAGGAAGTTGACAGGTCTCATTAATCTTTTGTTATAAAATTACATAATTCATGCTTCCACAATTATGCATTGGACACAGTTCTAACCCCATTAACAACGAAAGGCATCAAAATGTTTGAATGCGGACAACTGAACTATTAAAAAACAAACTTTCCTTTTTTCTGTTCTGTGTGCAATATATTCTTCTTAATTATAAGAATAAAATATTTGAAACCATCACTGAATTCAGTTAGGAAAAGTTTTCAGACATTTCCGGTGTGACCACTAGCCTGTATGTATATATATTCTTAAAGTTATATACCTTGAAATCTGTTTTTCACTAGGAATCACTGTTAACCTGTGTTATTTTATATGATTATAACAAATCATATCAGCATGTCTATATACTTCTTTAAAAATCCCAAAACAATATACAATTAAAGGGAAGTCACACACAGAAGGTACATAATTTTCGCCCACTAAGTACTACCAATACCCAGCATTCACTGACTTAAAGTGTAAATTACTTTAATTTCATTTATTTACAGAGGTTTAGTACCCCTCCAAGGTGTCTTACAAATTCCCAGCTTTCTATTGAGTTCTTAGACCTAATTATGTTTCTCTTTGTTACAGCGGTTCCCTACATTTGACCTCAGGATCCTTTGCCCGTGTCCATACACTTTGCCACACTGTGTTTCCTCTATTGGCATCGTTTTGCATATGATAGAGCTTCTGAAAAGAAAAACAAGTTCATATCACTGTTGCAGCTTGAACAAAAGAAGCATGTCTTACACACAGCAGAGTCAAACTCCCTGTTGTATGTGGTCAAAATGCACCCATGGTACTCAGAGTTTGACAGTGTTTTACTCTAAGGGGTTCCACAAATAAAGCCAATTAGTAATTATACTTTATGAAAAGCTCAATAACTGAGGAAATACTGCAATTTGTTTCAAGTACAAAAAACGGGCATTGTCTGTGGTAAGAGATGATGGACTTTTTTCTTTCTGTAAAATTTTATGAACTCCTTCTACTTGTAAAACGATATTCCCTTCATACGAATGTATGTTAATGTTTTTAGAGCAAAACTATTTAAAACTCACCCAGGATAAAATCATCCCAGCTAACTTTCATCCTTTGAGAAAAGAAAATATGATAAATTAGTTTTTATTATTCATTTTAATACAAAATGGTTCTAAAAACTGAAAATAATATATACGCATATACATTTATTTATTTACTCGGTGACAATACTCAAAAATTTTTATGCAAAATATGTACTATCGTTACATCAACTGACAAGTGCCAAAATACCTTGTTTTAATGTTTTGGCATGATTGCACCTCAATATCACTTCTATTCCAGAAAACATAGAACTTTAACATACTCATAATATTCTGAAAATAAAACAAAAGCTTACTCTTTGTAAAACAAAGTTTTGAAACAAGCTTTAAAAAAAGTGTCAAATGTTTACAAATATATATGATTGTGTTTATGTGTGTACTATAGATCACCAGGGAGAAGATTGAGTTTTGTTTTTGTTTTGTTATTGTTTCAATGTTCCTTCTCCTAAAGCCCAGTCATTTTCTCCTTGTAAATTCTTTCAGATGCATAATTCCGTGATAACTTCCTTCATAGTCATTCTTCAGTCTCTTCCTCATCTACTTCACCCTGAATGCTTCTGTGTGTTTAATATGCATAGAACATCATTGTAACCATAAATTACTTGCTCTGAAGCTTATAATTATTGTCTATTCATTCTCGTTCGGTTCAATTTTTTTTATTCTCCAATCTTTAGTCTCTGTTTCAGTCAGGAAGATTTTCTGTACCCACCTTTTTTATGTCTGCTTTTGAACCTATCAGAGATGTTCCCACACCTTAAAAGTCTCCCTAGTTTTATTAGTTAGGGTTCTGCATACAGATAGAAGCAACACTATGTAGATAGATATATAAGAGGAAACTTACTGTGAGAATTGGCTCACCTGATTCTGGAGGCTGAGAAGTCTCCAGATACGTCTTCCACAAGGTCAAGACCCAGGAAAGCCAGCGGGTTAACTCATTCTGAGTCCCAAGGCCTGAGAACCGGAGGAACCAGTGTCAGACAGGAGAAGATGGATGTCAAGAAGAGCAGGAGAATTTGGGCCAAGGGTAATAGCTTACACCAGTAATCCCAGAACTTCGGGAGTCCGCTGCAGGTGGATTGCTTGAACCCAGCAGTTGGAGACCAGCCTGACAACATGGACAAACCCCATCTATACAAAAAATAAAATATAAAATAAAATAAAATAATAAAATTAAATTAAAATAAAATAAAATAAAGTAAAATAAATAAGTGGGCTGTGATGGCATGCTCCTGTAGTCCCAGCTACTCAGAGGCTGAGGTTGGGAGGATGGCCTGAGGCTGTAGTGAGCCGTGATCCTGCCACTGCACTCCAACCTAGGTGACAGAGTGAGAGACTCTGTCTCAAATAAATGTAAAATAATCAAAGAAAAAACAAAAAGAATTTTATTCTATCTGGGCCCTCAAATGATTGGATGATGTCCTCCCACCTTGGTGTATATGTAGACATATATACTATATATACGTACTGTGGAATTCTGTAATTTAAACATAGATGCTGAGAATCTGCAATTTCATTGAATTTGGGGGCAAATGTAATCTTCTTTTATCCATAATCTGTGGCAAATAGGATACAGCACTTCTCTTCTGCTAACTCTCCAGGTACATCTGCCACCACACTTCTTCCATACTATGCAAGTACAGCTCCCATATGAATTCTGCTTAAATCACCAGGCCTCACATGAGCACACTGATCTCCACTACTTTGCAGACTAGTTACCAATTCTTGAACATTTCAACTTGGTTTAAATTGCAAGAACATATATTAGTATTTTACCAACACTTTTCAAACAGCTTTTGTTTTCCTGAGTAACATGAGATCCCTCAGTAGGAAAATTATAATTATTTTCTTCTGATGGATTAAGAGGTTGAGATCTTAGAGTAGTGATGTCCTCAGGATCACGTATGAAATAAGGATTAAAGTCAGATTCTGTAATGTAGAAGGCTTTTATTATCATTACCCAGATGCTTCCCAAAGGAGTAAAATTTACTTGGGTAAACTGTAACTCTTTTTTTGAGTAGATAATTGTATACAAATCTTTAGATTTCAGTTATATCAGTAACAATAGTTCCTTGCTTTAAAAATTGTAAAATTGTTCTATATTCATTATCTCTCCACTTATATATCATTCTATTCACATGGATTTTCTAGCTTTCCCAATACCTGGATATGTTTGCATTTGTATTAAATAGTATATTAAATGTAGTCAAATATAGTCAAAATCAGTATCTTCTTTTAAATCATTGTCTGGTTCTCCTTCAATTGTTTCTAATTATTGTTTTACTGTTTCGTAGAGTCTCCACTAGATCATGACAATTTTTTTCATAAAAGTAAGTCACTAAGTTTATATAAAACTTCTCTCTTAAAATTGAGAATAGTGCTTGATAGATAAATGACTATAGAAGAACATTAGAACTATTAGACATTAAGAAAATAAAATGTGATGTTTTAGAAAAAAAAAAAAACCTTGATTAAAAAAATCAATTGGCATCTGTTTGCTTTGTGCCCATACATTTCAGAGACTTTGATAAAAATAATATAGAGAATTTTGATGAGTACAGTGTAAGATTGAAATGCAGCAATAAAACAGTTGGAAAGAAACATTATATTTTCTTTGCTAGAACAGTGGTACAATAGCATATAAGCCACAAAAAAAATATGCCTTATCAATGCTTTTTCTAGGTGAAACTTATCCTAGCTTCTAAAGGGTTTTCTGATTATGATCTGCATATGACAAAAACGTTTCATGCTCGTGCTATCAAATAAATAATCCATATGAAAGTGCATAACTTTATTCTTAGAATAGCAACGAGTCATAATCTCAAAGTTTATTGAGGCAATTCCAATTTCTTTCAAGCAATAAAGTGAATTTAGATAAGTATTTTCTAAACACACAATTAAAAAACATTAAAAAATTAACTCTTGCATTTGTCATATTAACCTTTCTACATTTTTAGTTTTCAGAGAAAAAATAAAAATAAAAACACCACTGACATGCCTCATAGAGCAGCAACAAAATTAGAACATTGTGCCTTGGCAAAGAGAAGAGAAGCGCATAAGCATAAAAATCCTCAAGCAATTGCTTTAGTTGTTCTATTTCAAAAATATGTGTGTGTATTTGTGTGTTTGTGTGTCTATTCATGCATCTATAAATTAGATATAAGTATATGTATAAATGTACGTATGTATACGTGTTTATTGTTTTAGACTACAATAACAAAACATTATAGATTGGGTGACTTAAATAACAGATAGGTATTTATCACAGTTCTCAAGGCTGGAAAGTTCAGAGTCAAGGTGCATACCAATTGGGTTCCTGATGAGGGCTTTCTTCTTGATTTACAGACCATGGTCTTTTTGTTCTGGCTCACATGGCAGAAAAGGATAGAGCTCTCTGGTGTCTCTTTTTCTAAAGATATTAATTCTGTCAAACCAGAGCTCCACTCTCAGTGACCTCATCTAACCCAAATTACTTCTCAAAAGCTCCATCTCAAAATACCATCACATTGATGGTCAGAATTTTGAGGGTGGGAATCCATAGGCGTTATGTATAAATATGAATATACAGATAGAATTACACATATTTACATGTGTATATATTTGTATTCATCATTCATTTATTCAAAAATAGCTCAAATAATTTAGTTAGCTTACCCTGGCAAAATGCCACGGTTTTTTGTTTTGTTTTGTTTTAAATGGAGTTTTGCTCTTGTCACCCAGGCTGGAGTGCAATGGCATGATCTCAGCTCATTGCAACCTCCGTCTCCCAGGTTCAAGTGATTCTCCTGCCTCAGCCTCCCAAGTAGTTGGGATTACAGGTGCCCACCATCACAACCACAAAATGCCATGTTTTAATTCTCTACCACTGTTGTCCAATTGGTCGGGCATGGTCACTCACATCTGAAATCCCAGCACTTCGGGAGGCCGAAGCGGGTGGATCACCTGAGGTCAGGAGTTTGAGACCAGCCTGGCCAAAATGGAGAAACCCCATCTCTACTAAAAATACAAAAATTAGCCAGGCATGGTGGCATGTACCTGTAGTCCCAGCTACTTGGGAGACTGAGGTAGGAGAAGCACTTGTACACGGGAGGCGGAGGTTGCAGTGAGCCGACATGGTGCCACTGCACTCCAGCCTGGGTGACAGAGTCCATCTCAAAAAAAAAAAAAAAAAAAAGAAGAAAAAAGAAAGAAAGAAAAATGTTGTCCAATAGAATTACAATAAATAATAAATGCAAAACGCAAGCCACTTTAACAAATTTTTAATTTTCTAGTAGTCACATAAAATATAAAAAGTAAAAGATGAAAATTAAGTATATCTTTTTACTTTAATATTATTTCTATTGTAATCACTGCCAAAATTATCGATGAAATATTTTACATTATTTTTCATATTAAAGCTTGCATATCAGTATGTATTTCATATCTGCAGCTCATCTCAATTAGGATTAACAATATTTCAAATTTTCAATAGTCATATGTGGCTACTTGATATCATATTGGATCACACAGCTCTAGAACGACTTAAGGAAACACTTAATCCATTTCCACTTTAAATTGTTGCTTTAACAGAATTATCTTCCAGAAAAGCCATGTCCTCTGAGAACAATATAAAGGAACATTCACACTTAAACTCTCAGCTACTTTTGGCAAATAAATATTTTGACTAATTTAGGATATACAGGATAATATAAAATATCCTATACAGATATCTTAAAGCTGGTGTTAACGCAAATCAATGTCTTTTATGAAAAATGTCTAAGCAGATCATATACTGCAAAAAGAAACTGAAAATGTTTCAAGTGCCTCATTTTGCTCATAAGATTGACACAAAGCAGGTTCAATTGCTTAAGAAGAAAAGAAACCAGGGGAGAAAAGGAAGTGGAAAACCCGGGAGACTTTAGAGCACTGAATGACTGAATCCAGAGCCTCAAGTGTTTCAACAAGGAGAGTTTAAATAGTGGTTTGAGCTTGAGAGACTGTGAATGCTAGGAGCTATTAAAGCTATAAAGATTGCATTCTGAAGCTGTTTATTCCTGAAAGTGAGTGGGGAAATCTCAGGGTCAAAGGAAAACAGAACTGAATGAGCTTCTGGAGTACCTCGGGATTAGGGGTTTGCTTTTACAATACTGTATTTTCCTATGGTAGAAGATGAAAATATGGAGAGAAAAATACAAGCATTTTTCTCAGATTCAGAAAGGAGAAATAGGTAGCAACAGTTACTGAGAAAGGTCAAAATCGTGACATTGGGAGTTAGCTTAATGCACCCAGAGTTTGAACTTTTTTTTTTTTTTGATTAATGAAATTCTTCAACCTACAAAATTGGACACCAATTGGAAAAGTTTCTCTCACAAAATTGTCCCTGTTGTGTAACTCTTGGTGAGGCATTTTCAAGGTTTTGATACTTCTGTTTATATAAGTATTTTATACTTGGCCAACATTAGTATTTTTAAAAAGTAATTTGTTTTTGAGACAGAGTCTCGCTCTGTCCCCCAGGCTAGAGTGCACTGGCGCAATCTTGGCTCACTGCAACCTCTGCCTCCTGGATTCAAGCGATTTTCCTGCCTCACCCTCCCAAGTAGCTGGGATTACAGATTACAGGTGGAGCCGCCACCATGCCTGGCTAATTTATTTATTTATTTTATTTTATCTATTTTTTTTTGAGAGAGAGATGGGATTTCGCTATGTGCTGGTCTCAAACTTCTGGCCTCAAGTGATCCACCCACCTCGTCCTCCCAAATTTCTAAGATTACAGGTGTAAGCCACTGCAAGCAACCTTAAAAAGTAAATTTTTAATTGTATTATTTGGTGAAGGGAAAAGGGCAGGAAAAAAAAAAAGTAAATTTAAGTCGAGAAGCCAATTTTTTTAATCCTTCTACTTATCTCTCCAGAAACCTTTGTCCGGGGCATCCTATCTTAATGACATCCTCCACCAGGGTCCTGTTCTATATGAACTTACCCTCTGAGAAATATGTGCATTTAAAAATACCAAGGGAGAAGAAACAAATGGATTTATTTAATAAAACGTAAAAGTTTTGAAATCTGAATTCGAAGACACTACTTTAGAAAGCTGGGATTTTTCCCACCACTCTTCACATCTTATCAAACATGCAATTGCCCATATATGACAGGCTCAGAATTGATCATCCTATCTTTAGTAAGTTAGGAGAAAGTAACAGTAGCAATGGAATGCTAATTATAATAGCAATGATCAGAGAGGGGAGAGAATTCAATCACGCATATTCCATGGACATAAAAATAATTGTAATCCATTAAAATTGTAGATTTTGTCATTCGAAGTAGTTGAAGTCAACACACATTCCCATAGTACTTTCTTCTAGTAAACGCTGACAGCTGTCAATCCTCCTGCTATCTCCTCCCAAAGCACAGTAAAAATAAAAATGTAATAATGTAATTTTTGTCCCAAGACAAGCTAGTTACATTTTCTATTCGGAAACCAATTTCCAACTCTGCAACAAGAAGCAATTTATTTCTATTTTCATTCTTTACGACAGCATACTCTTTTGATAAGAATCATTGATTGCCGGATACATATATATTTTTTCTACATGTGGTCATATGGGCATCCTGTCCTCATCGCCCTATACTCTCCTGAATGAGGAGATTCCATCTGCTCATTGACCGTGAAGTTTTTATATTTCTCCAAATATTTTTCTAAAAATATATGTACATTAGTACTGATTCAAAGTACAACTTAATTGCGCTATTGTGTCAACATTAAATATCAAATGTGAAAAAATTCAATAATAAGGCACTTCTTGTGCTTTGTTGCTTCTGTAAGGAAATAAAAGTTTAAAATGTTACTCTTTGTCAAAACTAATATCCTAAATTTTTAATGAGCTCTACCAAGTATTTGAATAACTGTGAAAAATAAACATCATGATTCATTTAACCCATGTTTAGGGTATTTGATTTTAATGCTTTTTGGTTTGTATAGCAATATAAGACAGAAACCAATCTTGAAACAACATCTATCATGGAGATGTCATAATATATAAATGTTTTGATTTAGGGAAAAAAGTAAAATATATTAAATTTTATGGAATGAGTTAGAGAATAAATAAAATTTAGACATAAAAGCTCTTAACAGAACTGAGAGTCTTAGAATGTTGCTTTTAAGGATCTTCAAAGAATAGCCAAACCAATTTTTCTCCATTAGTGTTATCAGTTGTGTGTGTAAGCCCAGTATTCTATTTTTAATCACAGTTTGGATAGCTATTCACTTGGCACATTCTTAAACAGTCTGTTCCCTGTCACTCTACTGAAAAGAAATCTAATTCTAATTGATCAACTTGTAATTATGAAGACAGAACTTGTTTTATTGATTTTATAATTATTTCATAAATAAATGTCAAAGTTTTAGTTTATTCATTCATATAATAAATACTAGTTTTCAGAAATCCAATTGCCAGGGAAAGAATGAAGGAGAAAATACAGAGAACAAATGGCTAAAAGAGTTGAAATAAATGTCCTACAATGTCAATTCCAAAATAAGTAAGCAGCAGCCACTTTTCTTGATGACTAGCTAAAAATAGTTAATAAACTGCTATAAAAATTGGCAAGTGTGGGAATGTGTAAACCAAGATATCCAAGTATTCGATGTGTACAAACTTATATATTAGATCTTTAAGCTATTTCTGATACCTTGGAGCAAGTCTACAATAAAGAAAAGTTGACAGAGTTCCAACAAAAGTCAATCATTAATGGTGACTTATTTATACAAAGGGTGCAAGGAAGAAGAATCTCTGTAAGTCAATTATTGATGCCTTGCTTATGAAATAAATTAAAGAGGGTCACATTGCACTTCTTTATCACTTGTCAAATAAAATAATGCTTGCTGACTTTTTAACATGTTGAAATGTCAGGATAATTTTAAGTGACTTATATCAATATATAAGCCCAAGATGAATCAAGTGAAAAATGGGCCATCTGTCATCAAATCTTATGAAGGATACTTACAATCTGAAAGTGAATATTAATTATATTTCCATTTGATTTATGACGTTAAAAATTGAAATATCACACATAGTTGTGAACTAATGAATCAATATTTGCTAAAAGTTCTGGAAAAACATTAGGCAGTGATATTCTCTTCAGTATAATAAATATACCTTTTATAAAAATTTAGTATTTGGTGGTATATATAAATGCAGAATTCATTAATTCTTATAATTTTATGGACAATACAGACTCAAAAATAAGTAAGCAGTAAGCCATTTGTCTTGAAAATTAGGTAAAAATAGTGAAGAAACTGCTGTCCAAAGAAATTGTGATTATTCACAGCGATACATTTTCTAGGCTATTCAGTATAGTAATGAATTAATACAACAGTGGACTTAATATTTGCACTCATTATAGTAATTTTGGCTTATTTATTTTCTCTAGCAGAGTTCCATGTATAGAACTGTAATTTCTCTAACTTAATTGTTTTGCAAAATGTGCAATTATAAGATCAATCAAAGCTGTCAAATGCAGGGAATCTTGGGCTCAGATTTACACTAACTCCCCAAGCCAATAAGATTCTTCACCTCTGAGAGCTGTAATTTAACTCTTTGTACAACGTAGGGAAGAAACAAGCTGGCGAGAAGTTGATCTTCACTGTTCACTGTGGGCCAGGGATTGTGGTATTTCCTGAGCAACTTCTCGTAATTTTCATAATGCTTTTTGGAATTATTAATAATTTGTTATAATCCATTATGCCGGTCTTTTAAAAATGAAAGTTATACTCAGGCATGTAAAATCATGATCTGTATTAAAATAAGTATGGTCGTTCCAGTCATTAGGGTGTTTATATACATATTTATTTATCCTGTAGTTACAATAAACAAAAATCATGATAGTAACAATAAAATAATAGCTATATGTTATAATTTTAAAAGTTCTCACAGTTTTCATATATAATTTATATATGTCACTTTACTTTGTTTTTCTGTGTTCTGTGTATTATAGACTAATTTATTTTTTCACTTTACAGAAAAATTTCTGTGTAGTGAAATTTTCCAAAACCACAGTGGTAATGTGTAGCAGAGTAAAAGCTTAAACCGAGGATATTGGTCTCCAAATATTATGCTTTTTATACTTTAAAATGTTGAGAATTATATTAGGATTTCATGGAGACATCCCACATGCAAGTCTCCAAATGACCAACACCATGAGCCATTTAGCTAATATTAGAGTGCAAATCTGCAGGTATGAAGAAGTAGTTTATCTCTCTCCATGCAAAAAGGGCTCGTCACTGTAAGATTTTTAGTGTATTGCATGGTTTGCTTTATTCAGGCAGCATTCTCTCTGACTTGAGTAACTTGCTCAGCACCCCCATCCATAATGTCTAACATAAGGAGCCCCTCGTGGGATAATCCATTCTAAAAATTGCATATCCCATATTCCTGTAATTTTTGTTGTTTGAATAGTTTTAAATTAGAAACACATACATCTCACCATGTATTTTCATGTATAAGTAAATGTATTATTTGCTCTTATAGACACATTTAGGCAATACATAACATTCCAAAAGTGGTTTATGATTACTGACTTTGACTATTTTTGTTACCAAAGAACACACAAATTTAACACATTGTTGGGGTTAAAAAATTTAAGTGTACAGCTTGTAAAATTTATTTTCATATATTTTTCAATACTTTTCTTGGAACATATCTATATGTTTTTCTGTTAGAATAAAACTCACATATTTTGGCAAGCAATCAAATCTGAGCACATTTTCAGTTACATCTTGGAGAACAAATGACTTAAAATATAAATTAAAAATTAGTTTTTTTTAAGATATGAGATATTTCTGCATGTAAAAAGACCTCTTGAGGAGAAACTTAAAATTATATTTTTAGTGAGCTCAGAGTAGAGCTGAGAGTGTGGAAATCAGGTAAAATTTTCATATTATTAACTAGCTAACAAACAATGCTAATAAAATAATTGCATGCTACTTACTTTTCTAAAATGTGTAACAGAAATATATTTTTCTTCATGCTAAAATGTTTCACAGATACCTATATAAGTATCCAGATCCTTCAAAAAAGATATATAATAAACATATTGGTTTAATGTATGCCAAAACCCAGAATTTCCTTATAGAATAAGCTTACCACAATGTTTAATGCCTGAAGATAAAAATCTTAACTTTTATATCTGGTTTTAATTTTCGTAAGTAGTAGATGTATTGGGTCTCTATCAGCTCCCGCAATTTTCTTTCCCACCTTTAGTACTAGGTTGCTTATTAAGATCAATAGAGTAAGAAATAATAAATAAAGTAGCTTAGATAGGTCTAGGTATACTGTTTCTGCCTATTCCTTTCATATACTCCTCCTGTATTTTCTTTTAAAATTGAATGACTGATTTCATGACTTTCAGGTAAGTCTCAATAATGAGTTGCATTAATAATGAAGAACCTACATACAGCTCTTTATTAATTATTTTGGCATATATTTTCTAATTCAAATTAGCCCACACTCTTGAGATTTAGATAATGATTAATGAGCAATTAGATATTCATCAAATGCCTACTATGACAGCGCCTATGCTTAGTACTGGGGAAATAAAGCTGAACAACAGCAGCAAAGCCAAACTCCTGTAATTACAGAGCTACAAATTCATAGTAGAGTCAGGTAATAAGCACATAGTCAAACAAAGTAAAATTGGTGCTCTAAGTGCCATGAAAGGAAATTAATGGCTATATGAAAACTGACAATAAGAAGTCTGACCCAATCATGCAGGTCTTAGAGGGGCCTTAGGAGAAATTCCTGAAACTGAAACCTAAGGATAATAGAAAAAATGAATGGGGTGGAAAAATGATTCAGGCAAAGTTTTCTGTAGCTGTTGTGCCTGGCTTGGTGCATGTAGTAAGGTAAACAGAGTTGGTGTGGTTCACATAGATAGAGTTGGAAGAACAATGACAAAGAATTAATGTGGAGATGTAGCTATGCTAACAGTAACTTCAAGTTAGGGCAAACAGCTAAATATGCATTTTAAAGCATTTCACTGGCTGCAGTGTTTGAAACGGTTGTGCATATGTGTACAAGGATATAAGATGGAGAAGAAAGATGTGGGGATATGAACTATTAAGTTATTGCAGCCACCTAGGGTAAAGATGAAATGGCTAAGCCTAGTAGGCAAATATGGAGAGATGGATAGACTTGAGATGTAGTTAAGAAAATAATGATGAAGTCTAGAAAAAAGGTAAATCTGATAGTAAAAAGGGGTGATGTAAAACATGATTCTTATGTTTCTGGCTTGCATGATTAGAAGAATGATTATATCTTTTAATGAAAAAGGGATCATTGGATCACAATCAAGTTTTCTGGAGAATATCATGAGTTCAAACTTGGTTGCATTTACTGTGCGGTGGCTGTGGATACCCACGGGGAAGTGTATATAGGTAGTTGATTGAGCTCATAAGAGAGTTCTGAGCCAGAGTAATAAACTCGCGTTTCAACAGCGTAATATTAAGCAATAGAAGCTTTGCTTTCCATAAAAGCTTATGTTTCTAAAATGTGTTTTTAAATTTGTCATAATAATCTGATAGAGCCATACAAAAATATTGCAAAGTTTGTGTTTTGCAATTTTGTTGTAAACAGCAATATCTGCATGACACCTTGGGAAATAAATTTAATTTAGAGCTTTTAAAAGTTGCTACAGAGCTAGCTTTATGGGAGCTTAGATAAGATAGAAATAGAGAAAAAAATCAATCTTTTGTTTAAAACTCAATGCACATAATACACAGTATTCAATAAGACAGAATTTCAGGCCAGACATAGTGGTTCAGGCCTGTAATCCCAACACTTTGGGAGGCTGAGGCAGGCGGATTACTTGAGGCCAGAAGTTCGAAACCAGCCTGGCTAACATGGCGAAACCCGGTGTCTACTAAAAATACAAAAATTAGCCAGGCGTGGTGGCACACACCTGTCGTCCCAGCTACTTGGGAGGCTGAGGCAGGAGAATCACTTGAACTTGGAAGGCGGAGGATGAAGTGAGCTAAGATTATTCCATTGCACTCTAGCCTGGGTGACAGAGTGAGACTCTGTCTCAAAAAAAAAAAAAAAAAAAAAAAAAAAAGAGAGAATTTTAAAGTATTGCTAAAAAAGGCTAGTTTAATCACCAGCAAAGTTGTTTGTTGTGCATGTATTTTGGTGTATGTGTGTGTGTGTCTGTCCATGTGATATAATAAACACTTATATATACACTCTAATTAATACTTACATATATTATAGCACACAAAATGTTCAAGGAAATATTCTATTTGCTTTATTTATGTGAACTCCGTTAATCCTCCAAACAACCCTATAAGGTAAGTATTTTTTGTTTTCCCATTCCGCATATGAAGAGAACAATCATAGGAAAGCTAAATGGCCTTTTAAAGCCCCTCCAGCTAGTAAAGGGATAAGCTAGAAATCAAACATTGGTGACCTGCTTTAGTGTTCTGCTCTGTGTACATTTCATTATTGTTTTCCACTATTCACTCACTGCCTTCCTTGTAATAAGATTCCATACCCCATGGCATTGTCATGACTTGCATTGACTTCCTATGGGAGGAATACTCGCCCCCATCCCATCAGATCGTATTTGCTCATTTGATTTGTTCTGACCAATGAAATAGAAGCAGAAGTGACAGATACATTGCAAAACCGTACTCAAGGTGGCCTTGGACCAACCCAGTTTTTTCTCCCTTCTTGCTATAATATTCAAGAAAAACTAAGAATATGCTGGGAATACAACATCCCGAGCTAGGAGGGGAACTATTAAGAAGAGCCTGTGTTCTGTTCTTCTCTCTGCTAGAATAGGAGGTCCTTCAGTGCTTTAGCCTGTCTGGTCATGTTTTCCCTGAGGTACATAACCTGGGTTTGGTTGCCTTCCTTTAAGTGTTGCAAGTGGGAAGCATCCAAGTGAGACTCTATTCACCCGGGGCAGCTATCCTGAGTCCTGGGGCATTGTTTTACAGTAAATCCTAGGATTCTGTTGTCCCTTGTTGCTTATATATTGTAATAAATGCACTTTATGTAACTTGTTGCATATGAGTGTGTTCTGTCTCACTGAACTCAAGACAAATTCATAACCAGTGCCCAGTGAACCTGCCCAACAGCCCTTTCTAACCATAGGGCTTAAGAGACATTGAGTGCATTTACCAGCTTTCTTACTTTCTCCTCCAACAACAGTATGTGACTGGCGGAGCTGCTCCTTCCACCTGGGTCCTAGAATAAGTCACATGAATAGAGACACTAACAACCAACAGCTCCTAATATAGCAAGTAAAAGGAAAATAAATGATTCTGATTTTAAGACAAGCATTATGAATGAGGAGAATTTAAATTAAATTTATTTTTTTCTTGTGGAGTGATAATGAATAAAAAGCAGAGAACCACTGTTACCTACCAATGACATGCTGAAGTTTTCTGTCACCACAGTTTCACCTATAGAAACTTGACTGTTAAAAATTTTAAATACTGTGTAATGACTCTTCATAAAAAATAAACCCACAAAACCCACCTCTTCATCCATAAGAAGAAAAGTGGTGTACTCAAGATGTTAAATGTTTTTATGCCACCACATTTATACATAAATGTATAATATCACCACATGTAATTTTTATTTGAGTACACATTGCTTTACTGACTACATTTTCTCATTAAAACTATAACTTTTGCAGTATACTTTAGACAACTTGATATCTTCTGGTTTATTTAACGGGGAATCACTCATATAAAATATACTTAACTACTATACGTCTGACATATTTTAAATTTAACAGTTTTATTTTACTGCAAGTTTAACAAGCGGAGAAATCTGGAAGAAACCCTCTTAAGTTAGTCTTCCAAATCAATACCATAACGCTCAAGCCTGTAATCCCAGCACTTTGGGAGGCCAAGGCAGGCGGATCACGAGGTCAGGAGATCGAGACCATCCTGGCCAACACGGTAAAATCTGGTCTCTACAAAAATACAAAAATTAGCCGGGCATGGTGGCGGGCGCCTGTAGTCCCAGCTACTCTGGAGGCTGAGGCAGGAGAATGGCGTGAACCTGGGAGGCGGAGGTTGCAGCGAGCCGAGAGATTGCGCCACTGTACTCCAGCCTGGGTGACAGAGTGAGACTCTGTCTCAAAAAAAAAAAAAAAAAAAAAAAAAAAAAAAGATCCAGCATGCAATCTTTACAAATGCACTAAGTAGCCCTCCCCATAACTGCCGGGTTTTTACAGAAAATACATAACTTCATTCTAATATGAAAAAATGATTAGATAAACCTATATTGAGACACATTTTCTTTTTTGTTTGTTTGGTTTTTTTTTGAGACGGAGTCTCACTCCATCCCCCAGGCTGAAATGCAGTGGCGCAAACTTGCCTTACTGCAGCCTCCCTCCTCCCAGGCTCAAGTGATCTCCTGCTTCAGCCTCCAGAGTAGCTGGAACTACAGATGTGCACCACCACTGCTAGCTAATTTTCATATTTTTAGTAAAGAGGGGTTTCACCATGTTGTTCAGGCAGGAACTCCTGAGCACATGCGACCCTCCCGCCACGGCCTCCCTAATTGCTGGGATTACAGGCGTAAGCCACTGCACCCCGCGAAGACACATTTTCAAACTGGCCACCACTTTTGAAAAGTATCATTGCAACGAAAGACTGGAAAGACGGAAGAGCTGTCACCACTTGAAGGAGTCTAGGGAGCTAGAATCACTGAATGCAGTGTGGAGTGCTGAATTCTGACATGTAAAAAATGAATTAGTGGAGAAATTTCTTATAGTTAATAGTATTTGTTGCAATTCTAATTTTCTGGTTTTGCTCATCATACTATGCTTATGTAAGTTATTAACTTTAGGATAAGCTGGTGAAGATTATACATACAAAGTGAACTATTTCTGACACTTTTCTGAGTCTAAACTCATTATAAATATAATAAATGAATAAGTTTTATAGTAGCTGACACTTCTGTCTCTTAATTCTATAAAATTAACAAGCAAAATAGGGATGTTTTCATTAAAACCTTATATTGTTTCTAAAATAGTTTGTTTTATGTTATGTAATGAACCATCCAAAGTTTATTCCCAAAAACTATTTTTCAGGAGTTTGGGGCTCAACTATTGGTGGGTTAGACCTGCCTAGTTGATCTTTCTGTCAGGCTTTGTCCTTATCTAGCAGTTGGCTGATTATGTCTTATGGTTGAAAGGCATTTTTGGCCGGGCACAGTGGCTCACACCTGTAATCTCAGAACTTTGGGAGGCCAAGGTGGGTGGATCAGCTGAGGTCAGGAGTTCGAGACTAGCCTGGCCAACATGGTGAAACCCCATCTCTACTAAAAATACAAAAATTAGCTAGGCATGATGGTGCACACATGTAGTCCCAGCTACACGGGAGGCTGAGGCAGGAGAATCGCTTGAACCTGGAAGGTGGAGGTTGCAGTGAGCCAAGATGGTGCCACTGCACTCCAGCCTGGGTGACAGAGGGAGTCTCCATCTCAAAAAAAAAAAAAAAAAAAAAAGAAAAGAAAGTCACTCTTTGTATTTATGTATTTTTGTATTCATGGGGTACAAGTGCAATTTTGTTACACATGTAGTGGTAAAATCAGAGGATCCATCACCCAAATAACATAAATTGTACCCAAGTGATTTCTCATTGTCCATCACACTCCTTGTGGAGAAGGGAGCTCCTTGTCGCCCTTCTAAGTTTTCTTTGCCTATTATTCCACACTCTACGTCAAGGTATAAACCTCTTTTAGCACCCAGTTATGAGTAAGAACATATGATATTTGTCATGTCTGGCTTGTTTCACTTAAGATAATGAACTCCAGTTCCATCCAGGTTTCTGCAAAAGGCATGATTTCATTTTTTTTTTTATGGCTGAATAGTATTCTGTTGTGTATATATGCCACATTTTCTTTATGTTTTCGAGATGAAAACATGGCCGTTCATACTCCAGCAGGTTAGCTCAGGCTTTTCCACGTGGTGCTCTCAGGGTTCCAAGAACCGAAAGAGGAAAAGTCCCAGTGTGCAAGAATTTATTAATCTGTATCTTAAATCATTTTTGTTAATGTCATATTGGTCAAAACAAATTGCATAACTTTGCCCATCTCTTAATGGGAAGAGCTACAATATTATATTGCAAAGTGGTCTACATTCGGAGATAAAAAGAATATGTGGCCATTTTTCATGCAGTTCACCACAATTGCACAGTTTATCTTAGTTGTCTTTTCTTTTTACTTGATGATGTTTTCCTTTGTATTTTAAAATAATTATCTCTTTAATTCCAGGGAATATGTCTAATGATCTTTGCATTATGTGTATCACAAGACTGGCAATTTGCAAGAATCTAGTAACTGCTAAAGAATCATTAAATTAATGGTTGATTAAATGAAAAATGTATTAACTTTAAATTTTAAAATCATATTAACTTGGAAGACTTGACATTAAAATGTAAAATATATTATGTATGAAACTTTATTTCTATTCAATATACTACATGTAATTCTCTATAAGTTTCTTATGCTTCGGTTTGGTCATTCATTGCTAATTTTTCCTTCTAATAAATGGTCTACTTTGGCTGTACTAACTTGTCAGTCTTCTGTGATCTATGTTTACTGATTTTTCCAGAGGCATCTATGTTTACTGATTTTTTTAATAAAAGGGTCAAATACTATATATCTTAATTTTTTTTTTTTTACTTTTGAAATACCAATCAGAATTGCTTCTTAATGTAATTGCTCAGTTCCAAAGACATTTTTTGAATTCCTACAATGGGACAAGTGGAATATTTTGTAATTGTTAAAATCAATTTTCTCAATCCTTTTAACAGTTGCTAGACTACCATTTGCTTGTTGTTCAGGTGTCATGTGGGCAATTTTGCTTTACTTTTAACCATCAAATGCCTTAGATTTTGCCATCTGTTTAATATCATCTTCATCAGCTACAAAAAGAAAATTAATGAATTATTTCAAATTTGAAGAGTGAATATTAAAAGACTACGGAGAGTAAAGCTTACAAACAAATACAATTAGGATTTCTATTAAAATTGTACTAAATTAAACTAAGGTGTATTTGTTTTTCAATATTACCATATAAATATTAATGATTTTTTAAAACTGAAGGACAGGTTTGTCTTTAGTAATTTCAGAAAAATACTTGATTTTGTTCATTAGTGTATATCCAGCACCTAGTTAGTGACTAATACATTATAAACAAAAACAAAACAAGTAATCCAGTTACATCCATGAAGTAAAATAACTGTGGCTGTCATCTCCAACAGGGCAGGTACATCTCTAGGAAATTTATCACTTTTAACTGTTTATCTCCTTCACTGACACTAAATTGTGAAAAAAATGCCTTTATTTGTAAACGTCTTCTGTCCATGCATAATTTGCCTAAGCAGACTTTAAGTGGGAGGAAAAGAATCCCTAGATTTTTTTGGATAATTTTCTAGAACATTAGGATGATTTAATTTTATTTTAATGCATTACCTCTTTTGGAGTCCCTTTTATGGTCATGGCTTATGTATTTGTGTTATGCTTCTTCAAAAGCATCAGAGGAGCACTAATTTAGGATAGCTGTAATTCTGTCATCTCTTTGAGAGCAGTAAAGAAAGTTGTGTGCTAACACAAGCTCTTGTCCTTTGTTTCTGTGGATTCTCCACATAGGCTTTTAAAAAATCCTTTACCAGGAAAATCAATATGTAGAGTGGTCACTTCTTAGTGACTTTGTTTTTATAGGTGATAAGAGCATAATTATTTTACTCTACCTTACTAATGCCCCAGACCTTTCCATATTTAAGATAAAAAATTAAAAATTAAATAACTTCAATTTAAAAGGAAAATATGAGAAAAAGAGAGAAAATATTTACTTTTCATTTATCTCTGTTTTTCTTCTTCATTTGTTTTCTACAACAAGTTCGTTTCTTAATAATTGATAATAACACTTGAATTAACCAATGTGCCTCTCATCAAGTTGAGAAAATAATAGAACCATCAGTTGTTTTCAATTTCCCCTTCCTAGAATCATCAGCATTCTCTTCCTGATTAAAGCAAGCAATTCATTAATTAGTATAAACACTGGTTACCCTGAAATTGAACAAGCTTCTAATACACAATCAAATCCAGCAATCTACTTAGAATATAACCTATAATCAAGACAGAGCCATTGTGCATAGCAAGCAAGAGATAAGCAGAAACTTGCAGCAGAAATTTGTCAAACCACACCATCAAAGATTTTAGAGTACAAACTATTTTTTCTATCAAATAATGCAGTTACAATAGCAAAATCAAAGCTACCATATTATTTAAGTAATACACAGTCTGTAGATTAGAGTAGGTAAAGAGCTTTCAACCATTTCCCAAGATATCTGTAAGACCTGTGGATCCCCCCAGGGTGTATCATAACAGCAGGAAGCATATTTGAAAAACAGTTCATCCTCTACTTTTAAAGCTCTCACCAATATGAAGTAGTACTTGAAACTATGTGTTTTTGTTCTTAACCCTATTTTCTCCTATATTTTCCTTCTACAGTTTGATTTGACCTGCATAGTAAATTTGTTTTATTTTGAAACAGTTCTAAGAAACATAGAGGACTAAAAACTTCAGGTTTATGAACTCTCTTGGATGAATTCTCCCTTGTTTCTTTTTAATATTAATAACAAAAGAACACAACAGTTCAGTAAAATAAAATAAACCTGCTAAGTTATATTAATCTTCAAAATAATTCATATTTCTTCTATATTTCATGAGTACAGCATGGCATCTGATTATTTATGTAACAACCTTATTTTACACCTTTATCTATGACAAGCAACATAATAGTCAATACTAATCAATTGGGGAAAAGCCGTGTGACCTGTGTTAGTCCGTTTTCACACCGCTATAAAGAACTACTGAGACCGAGTAGTTTATGAAGCAAAGAGGATTAATTGACTCACAGCTCCACATGGCTGGGGAGGCCTCGGGAAACTTACAATCATGCCAGAAGCGGAAGTAGGCACCTTCTTTGCAAGGTACATAATTGGTCTTTACAACCCTATGCTTTATAACTACCTAAGTCACAGATTTAATGAATTGAATGAAATTGTAAGGCTAGACTCTTCAAATTTTTTTCCATGTTTGTGTTTTCACCCTTGCCTTATTTTTGTGATAATATAATTTTTGCCTGCTATATCATATCCACTCTCCATGATGGCATCCCTGAAAGTTCTAATCTATACTGATCTCCTCTTTTGCTGGAATAGTAAAATACTTATCATATGTGCATCAATGATTAGCATAAGTCTAAATAATTGATAATGGACAGAGGAGTTTATCTTCTCCTAAATGAGGGTACTGGCAATTGATAAGAACTCTGGTTATATTCTCTCAAGAGTTTTCCTCATCCCCATACATGTTCAAGAGTGGAGAAAAATAACCATGCAATACACTGGGATATCTTCATTAGGTATGAATTAACAGTCTTGACTTGAGACCTCTTCTAATGAACAGATTGGCTTAAAGCAAATATTTCACTACAATATTATTTCAAGAGCACCTAAACTTTTCATGGAGAAACCATGTCTCATACAAAACCACTGTGGGAAATTTCATTCATCCTTTCTCAAACACTAAGATGCTATTAATTCCTTCTTCATCTCTTCCATCCATACAAAAGCTTACAAAAATAAAATAGGGTGTATTTTACTGCTTATATCCATTATTTAGTTTTATTTACTCCTATCCTGGCTTTTAAACCTTTAAAAATCTTCCTTTGTAATATATTTGGATGATTATGGTTTTTAAACCCTATGATAATCTTTTTTTAGCTGATTTTTAAATGTTTATTCCAAACATGTTCATTGTTCCACTTACAGGGCATTTATTTTGTTGTCATTTGATGGGAGAAACACTGTGAGTAGGCATTACATTTTCGCCAGAGACTATAAATTTCCCCACTATAACAATACACTACATAGGAAAACATAACCATTATATCACAATAATTTTCGCTAATTTATAATTGAAAACTCCATCTTTCCTTTCCCACTGGCCCACCATCGGTCAGGAGTTTTAGTCTAACACCTAAAGCACAGTGGAGAAAACAGCTTTTTGATCGTTTCAGAAGCCATAATCATTTGCGGAAGAACTGATCCCTGAACGCAGGTCTTATCAGGTAAAGAGAAAAAGACAGTCTACTCATTTTTAAAAGCTCAAAAATAATAATTTTATGTGCCTTTTTCTCCCTATACTGAAATTTCATGTAGAATATGCTAGTGATTTCAGTTGGCAGGTTACACTTTATGAAGTGGAAGAATTTATTTATTTTTTATTTTCTCATATTGTTTCTTCTGTTACTAACTTCTGATGTTATTAAATCCCGCAATGATGTTTTTCTGCAATAGAGCCTATGGTAAGTACAGTTCTTCTGAAATTTCATGAAGAGTAGCCCATGAGCTGCTTCCTTACATACCACGCATTGAACAGTGTTACTCTCTCCTTCCTTCCTCAGGGCACTCACTCTGCATTATGTCTGAGGGGAGAAACTAGATTTGAATTTTGCTGGTCAGTAAGGAGAAAATTTCTTTTTTTCAAGAGAGCCTAAAGTCCTAAGTATTATTTACACAAGTTCGAATTATTATAGCTTGCCGTCTACAAGGTTTTAAAGTGCTTCGTGAACAAGATATTGAATTACAAACTAGACCTGTCATGATTATGTTCCACAAAGAAATTGAGACATAAAAGACATATATACTTAAAGAATGTATCTACCCACTTTTGGGGAAAGAACTGAATTGGCAAATCACCTATACATGTTACTTCTTAAAATATCTTCTTTACAAAATAAATATTAAGGGTTACATTTTACTTCATATAGAAAATATACCTCCAACATTAAAATATTATGTTTTCTTTATTCTAAGCTACTCTTAAAAGTGTCTATTGTTGTCTGGAGTTAAAGTCTTCTTAACTGGAGGCCAAGGACATCCAAATGTCCTGCTAACATTAAAATGATAGTTTTCTTTCATCTTTCCATTGGTTATGGTTTGTTTCTTGAGGAAACTTTTGTGACCTCTGTCACCATCCAATTTTCCCTTGGATATGCTACTAACCTGATTTGGTTGCCACTCAAGCCGGATCACAGACCACCTAGCCCCCATGGCTCCTGACACAGTCCCTGTGAGAGTCCCTGCCCTCTAACAAGCATGCTGACCCCAATTATTCTTGAAATTACAAAATCATAGAAATGGAGGGCAGAATAGTAATTGGCAGGAATGTGGAGGATGGGAGAAAATTAGGTGTGATTCTAAAATGACAAAACCAGGACCCTTGAGATAATGAGACTCTTCTGTGTCTTGAATGCAGTGATAGCTACTTTAAACATACACACGTGATAAAATTATGCAGAACTAAATACTCACAGAAGCACATAAATAAATGTAAAATTGGAGAAATTTGAATAAGTTAGGTGGATTATATTAAACGCGGTTGCCTAGTTGTGATATTGTGCACAATATCATACTGGGAGAAATTAAGTAAAGGCTTGATAAGATCTCTCTGCGATGTTTATGATAACTGCATGCAAGCCTACACAAAATAAAAACTTCAATTAAAAATTCAATAAACTTGACAAAAAGTGCATGGTACACTGTTTCACTAATGAAATATAGCACATTCACCCACAAATTTAGAATAGATGCTATAGACGTACTGTAATTGGCAAAAGTCTTATTTTAAAAACTGGATTTCAATGTTTTTCCTGTTATCTCCTGTAAACTTAAAGAATATCATATCTTATTTAGATGGAGCTGAAATGCAAGAATCTTCTGATCTGTAAACTTCAGAACTTCTGGAATGTAACGGAAAATATTAATAATGTAAATGTTACACTCAATGCACACAACAGAAAATATGCTACAGCTGCTAATATTGAAATCATAACAACAAGATTAGTAACAACAAAAATAATTCAACATCTACTAAAAATCCTACTGTTCATTCAGAAATATGGGAATGTGGAAAAAAAATCATAAAATTTTGAAAACTCATATAGACATTGCAAAGTGCTATAGATAAGGCATTTAAATGTCACCCAATTGTTTCTTTCTATTCTATAATGTTGTTCCTTGAATAAGAACATAATTTCAACATTTCCATGTACTTGTTTCTAGATTTGCTTTGGAAATATTGTAGGTACTTGATACAAATTTTGGATGCTTAAAATTAACTCTATTTATATTATTACAGCTTTCCTGGCTACCAATATTTAAAAAAAAACATTATTTTAAACTTAGCATATCATATGGTTTTATTCTTCCTTCGAAGTAATCAATAATGCATTAAATTTTTCATAATGATCATAATAATAACAAGAAATCATGCATTCTTCATTGGTAACAACCTGAAAATTTTTGGATTAAATGTTTTCCAACATTGTCTGATTAACTTTTTAAAAATGCTTCCACTCTTTATAATAAAAAAGCATGATATATATATTTCCTTCTCTTGACTTTTTATTTTTCTTCATCAGTAACACATATTGAACAATTTAATTTTAAAATGCTCTCAAATATTTTGCCAATACATGGAAACAGACAAAGAAAAAACATATTTTTATTAAATGTATTTTTACATGGATGAAAAAATACTCCAGGACAACCTTACATGAATGTAAATATAGTGACTCAAAAACAATAAAACAATATGAATTAACCAAAAGGGAACTGAACATAAATTTGAGACAGGGGTCACCTGCATATATCACAAATATATATATATAATATAGTGTATAAAGTATTTCTGAAGCTCAATAAATTTCATATAAATTATTTTAATATTTTGTTTGACATGAGCCATAATGCTCATGTTTGTGATTTTTTAAATTAAAGCAATGACAGAGGAACTCACTTTTAATTTTATTTTTAATTTAACTATTCCAATAAATAATATAGTCTAAGTCTGTATTAGTTTTCTAGGGCTGTTGCAATAAATTACCACAAACAGGCTTAACACAAATTTGTTTTCTCACAATTCTGGAGACTAGAATTTTGAGATCAAGGAAGGATTGGTATACTCTGAGGCTTCTCTCCTCAGTTTAAGATGGCCATTCTGTCTCTCTGTCTTTACTTGTTCAACTCTCTGTACAACTTTGTCTCCAAATTTTCTCTTCTATAAGAACACCAGGCATATTGGATTAGAGTCTACCACAATGACCTCATTTTAATTTAATTACCTCTGCAAAGATCTACTCTCTAAATATGGTCAAATATAGTCACATTCTGCAGTTCTGGGGGTTAGGACTTCATCATATGAATTTTAAGTAGATACAGGTAAGGCCATAAAAAGAGTCCAACACCATTCTGGTTTGACTTCCCTCCCCAACCTCCCAAAACAAAATAAAACAAAAAACTGCAACTACTAATGTATTCATGACACATCTTTCATGTCACTGAGATTCCAATTCTCCCATTTCTGATACTGCTGTATGCCCTAATTACCACCCCAGTAGAGAACTTATGAAAACAACGGGTAGTCCAGTAAAGGGATATGTGAGATTTAACTTATTAATAATGGCTTGGAACTTTTTATTTTTTATTATTTCATTTTTTTTCCTCCAGCAATAAATCCAAACCTTTGGAACTTTTTAAGTGATACAATGTCATGTCTATGATGTTATAATTAATAAAAAGTTAAAATATACATATTAATACATCTGTGTATGTGTGTATATATATGTATATTTGAAATGTACTGCTTACATTTAAACCCTGAAGAGAATGTAAATGGTCTCATTAAATGACCTTTTATGACTGATAAATTATTTGGTTGAAAGAAAAATATGTTCTATCTTATGAGGAAATTCATGAGCTATGAAGAGTCCAAGAAGGGATAAAATAAATCAATCTCTTTAGTTCACTTCAAATAAACTGTTGCTGAAAGAATGCTAAATATGGCTTCACCTTTGATGTAAGGGACTTGGCAGTGGAGATGATACCACTGAAATAGAAGAGGAATATGACAACAAAATCTGTTAGATAAAGGCAGAGACTCATGCAAGCTGCCATTTTTTTTTTTTTTTTTTTTTTTGAGTTCGAGTTTCGCTTTTGTTGCCCAGGCTAGAATACAACAGCGCACTCTCGGCTCACTGCAATCTCTGCCTCCTGGGTTCAAGCAATTCTCAGTCTCCCAAGTAGCTGAGATTACAGGCCTCTGCCATCATGACTAACTAATTTTTGTGTTTTTAGTGGAGACGGGGTTTCACAATGTTGGACAGGCTGGTCTTGAACTCCTGACCTCAGGTGATCTGCCTGCCTTACCCTCCCAAAGTGCTGGGATTACAGGCATCAGCCACTGCACCTGGCTAAGCTGACAATTTGGAAGACACTGAGAGCATTCTTACTTAAATATAATATCATGGAAGATGTAAGAAAAAATATTTGTATTTATGTATCAGTTTCTTGTTATGGCTATAACAAATTACAAAAACTCTGTGGCCTAAAACAATGTAAATTTATCTTACAGTTCTAGAGTTTCTGTTTCCAGAGTGAGAACTTAGGTACCAATACAAAAGTGTCAGCAGAACTAATATTTTTTTCTAGAGACTCCAGGGGATAATTCATGCTTTGTCAGCTTATAGGGGCATCTGGCATTATTTAGCTCGTTGCCCCATTGCTCCAGTCCCTGCTGCCTCCTTCACATCGCCTCTTTCATCTGCTGTGTTCCAAAAGTGTTCTGATTCCCTCTTATATGGACACTTGTGATTAGATTTAGGGCTCGCCCAGACAACCCAGAATCATCTCCTGTTCTCAAGATCCTTTCCTTAATCATATCCACAAAGGTGTTTTTTTTTCTTTTTTGCCATATAAAGCAACCATCACAATTCCAGGAATTAGGAGCAGAATATCTGTGGGGGCCTACCACAATCTATATGCCCTCCAATTTCTTAAATGTGACTTCAGAGAATACTGGAAATTCATCAGCCTACAGTATCTTTAACAGAGCATTTTGGGAACAGAGTTAGCATGTCAAATTAAGGGCTCATCTAACTATACATAGGAAGCTGTAGACTTCCTGTGGAGCACAAAGCAGGGATGCACATATGGCTATTTCTCACCCAGATTAGTCCATTCTCACACTTCAAACGAAAAATCTGATGTCTAAATATACAGTGCTATATGCCTTGCTGGTTATGCCATGAGCTTGCTTAAAATTGTTACAGATACGAAAATATAAATAGAACCCATTGCACTTGAAAATTATTTCCAGATTAAATTGGCTTCCATGTAATCAGTCTTTTCCCCTGAATTATCTTCTTCGGTATGCACCTAAGCAATGCAACCTTCTCATACACGTAGATGCATGACTTTATATTTATGGAGATTTTATATACATTCATCATGTCTCTGTAGCTAGATTGAAAGCTCCTTAAGGGCTAGAACCAAGTATTCCGCTTTACATTTATTTTGCAAGCTGGAATAGCCTCTATTCATTTTTTAAGACAGTCCTCAGAATTCACTTCCTTCCCCTACAGGTCTGAGAGAGCCATCGCATATATTGAATTTAATTCTTGTGGTCCATTTTCATGCGAAATTCACCTATACCCTTTTCATGATACTGCCCTAGGAGCTCATTTTTGAAATGATATTTGAGGTTAACATTTTCCATGTTTTTTTCTCTGAGGACACTTATTTGTGTGTAACAGTTTTTTTTAATAATCCAAGACAACAAGGGAACATAAGGACACTGTAATTATTTCTTATGTAACAAAATACGCTTAGTTAACAGTTCATTTTGTTTTAATTTCAGCATTCTGATCATCCAAGTATGGTGTGAGTATAAACCAGTAAGTCATATCAGCCAAAATCTGCTCTGACTGGTCAGTTCATTTGAACATGCCAGTAAATGTTATGAATACCATTTCCTGACTTTAACTTTTGGGTATCGGTAAATGTCCCCCCTTTTTCCTACAGCCTGATAGTAATATTACTTTTTATTGGTTTTCTACAGTTTTAAAACACAGACATATTGTCAAACATTTGACAATCGTAGGTCAGTCCTCTCTCAAAATATTTATTTATGCATTATGTAGTTATGCATACATTTACTTATACATTTATTAAAATTTTATAGTCCAGGAAATCCCAAAATCTGCTAACAAGTATATTGGATCATTTTGATGTTTCATGGATCGATTCTCCTTAACTGGAGACTAAATCAGGGTATTCATTCACCGATAAAACAGTTTATTTTATTACACCAATCGGGGATATTTTTAGAAGATGATTTTACCAGAGACCAAAATGTTAGTATAATGTGTGTGTGTGTGTGTGTGTGTGTGTGTGTTAATTTCATATCGCTTCAGACAGTAAATGAGAAACAAATGTTTTACCTCAATTTCTTTGTAAAGTTTATAATGCATAAAATTTGAAATAAGAATTAAGCCATAGAACAAGATAAAAATAATCTCATAAAATTAAACCTGGTTATAAAACACTACTCATTCTATACATGTTTATAAAAGCACTACTTTAAAAGTGATAGCACATGTGTTAAATGTGATAGACAGTGAGGTATGATAAACAGTATGTTAAACACAGCTTTCAGATGCTTACAAGAATAGCTATGCTATGGGCAAATAAGGCATAATAATTTTTGATATGTTGAAATATAAATTTTAGAATCCTAAAATATTAAAGTTGGCAAATGTCTCAAAGTCCTTTTCACCAAATCCCATTACCTGTAGAAATGTCTCCTAATATACCTGGCCACTCTTCATCTTACTTCTTAGAACACGCACTGTCGAGGAGTCCTACCTTAGCCTACTGCTGTCAAGAAAGAAAAGTGTTTTAGAGGTTTCCCTAAAACCTAACATCCTTCCCCTTCTATTAGTTTTATCTCTTGTTCTTGTTTTACTTTTGAAGCTAGAAAGATTACTTAATCCCTTTTCAGAAAGTAATAGAATTTAAACAACTTACACATCGGCAGGTCTCTTTGTAGTTCTCTCTGTTCAAAGTTATAACCTCCACTGTCTCATATTTTCACTCATGTAGTTAAATCTTTTATTATGTCTTACCTTCAAACATGCAAAGAACTGAAGAAATACTTTATCCATTTTTAAATAATCTTATTTATTTTAACTGAATCAAATATAACATACAAAAACTGCCCAAATGTTAAGTATTCAATTTGATGAATTTTGACTGGCGTGCATCAAGTAACTGTCAACTAAAACAAGAAGTAGAGTATTTGCTTTGCTTCAGGAAGTTTCTTCATACCACTTTCATTTGATTCCCATCCATTTGATGCAACCACTACTCCGCTTTCTGCACTATGAATAACTAAAGAGATAACAGGTTCCCATCTGCAGGAAGGGAGAAAACTTCAGAATTTCTGACAGTCTTTAGGGTAGATAAATAACGGAAAAACAATCCTATATAAGATATCAGAAAAGTAATTTAGAAAAAAAAGGAAGCAAACACAAATCACCTCCTCTGCATATTTTTACAATGAGAAAGAGATATCCATGCAACAAGTGATTTTTCCTAACAGAGATTTGTAATTGTAAATTACTGCATAGTCATTTAAAACAAAAGGGAGTTTGACAGGAGTGCCTGATTTAGCTTTCCTTTCAACACTAATCAGTCCTCCGAGTCACCTCTTCTTCATAAGGTGGTGGGTGCCTCTGTCACTGTTTTTAAGCAGTGTCTTTATTTATAACCATATATATATGAATGAATTTACCCTACTGAGTAACAAAATTTAGTGCAGCTTTCACTCTGTGCATTTCACTGCCAAGAGGAAATGCTTGTGATACCTTTTTAGATGGTTAAGTGGAGAGGCTCAATCATCATGACAGTACAAGGGCAATGGAATTGAGTCTTTTAATAAATGGTTGCCTCAAAACTGCATCTCTGGCAAACCAGAAAGTCTGGTTTATTTTAGTCCCTAAATATCTCTCTAATCTTCCTAACTTTAGTTCATCTGCCTGAACACCACACTCATTCAAACTTTCTCATTTGGAATATTACAATAGTTTCCTAGCAACCACTATCATTTGTGCATGCTGACCTCCTTCCTATCTAAAAATGTAACTTTTCTGGTAAACACCCTCTACTGGCATGCCAGATCCAAAATAGGGATCACTTTAGTAAACACAGTCTGTAAGACCCTGCACTCACTGATCCTGGCTATCTCTCACTGCACTGTCTCCAATTCTCTCTATGTCAACCACTGCATTAAATTTCAATTATCTTATTTATAGAGCCTTCCCACATGCCTGTTGTTCTTATGTCTTTGCCATTTCATCTAATTAATGCCTATGCTTTCCTTATATAAGTGTTTAATGATTAATAATTGCAAAGTATCTTTAAGTTAAATACCTTTATTTTAACCATGGTTTGTAGAACACTCATCATTGTAGCAGTTGCCATATCTGATATTGAATTGTTCTAATTTAATCATTTGATGAATTTATATGTCTCTCAACTGAAAGAACACATATGATTAAGTTATCTCTAAAAGCTGGCACTATATCTACCATGTAGTAGGCAGTAGGGGGTTAATACCTCTATACTGAATTAATTAGTAAATCTGTTTTTAATGAACAAGACACCACAAATAAGCCAGTGGTCACGAGTAGTTTCTGATAAATTGATAAAGAGAAGGTTGACTAGGTAATAAACTTATAAGATTTGATTGCACCAACTGAGAATTTATTTAAAATAGCCAAAGAGTAAAATGTCTTTACATTGCTTTATTTAGTAGTCAGTTTATTGACTATTATGGACACATTAACTTTCACCAACAATGGAAGTTTAAACATTTAATTTTTACTATGCCAAAGATTAATAAAATATAAATGATTGGATTTCATAACATGTACTATTATCTTTACTGAAATAATATATTCAATAAGTGAACCACACAAGGAAGGGTTTTTAAAGAATAATATAAAATGAGTATGGATGAATATTTAGAATCAAAATTATACTATATATATTAATCCCATAATATGTGTATTTCTAGGAAGGAAATGAAATTATATCCATGGTTTCCCTGTTAAGACATTCAAACATGTTGTTTTCCTGGAAAAGAATCCAATCTACATATATTTTCAGAATGTACAAATATTACATGCCCTGGTAAACAGTCCCAATATGGATAGAAAAAATATGTGGAGGAAAAGAGATACTTTAAAAATTGATTTGTAAGAGTCCTCACTGAAAGTTTGAATTTGGTGTTATTCCCAGTTATGTAGATATTGAAATAGACAGGCTAGACAGAGCAAAGATAAGACAGATGTCTTAAAAAGAACCAAGTCTTTCCCACGTACATTCTGCTGCCTCTTTCCTTTTCTCTGCAGCTCCTAAGGACATTCTTTCTCTGCAAACTAAGTTTAAGACAAGGCAAAAGATCTCAGCATTCAGATAATATAAACTAAAACATAAGATGCAACTGTTGGCCAAGAGCTGTATCTCATGACTGTAGTCCCAAAACTTTGGAAGGCAGAAGCGGGGAGGACTGCTTGAGCCCAAGAGTTCCAGACCAGCCTAGGCAACATGGCAAAACCCCACCTTTGCAAAAAAATTTAAAAAATTAGCTGATGTGATGGTGCACACCTGTAATTCCAGCTACTCAGGAGGCTGAGGCGGGAGGATCACTTCAGCCTGGCAGGTCGGGACTGCAAGGCGCCATGATGGTGTCACTGCACTCCAGGCTGAGTGACTGAGTGAGACCCTGTGTCAAAAAAAAAAAAAAAGTGCAACTGTTCTTCCAAGAAGGTGGGGACCTAGAGTACTAAAGCATCACTTTAAGGGGTTGCCATGTCAAATTTCTAAAAATTGGTAGCTCTACCAAAAAAAAAAAAATCAAAACACTTAAGAAAGATTCTGCAAAATCTCAGTCATTTGATGTAGATAACGAACCCTCAGCAGATAAGGGATCTGGTGGCGTAGAAGCTTTCTAGCCTCTTAGAGAATGCATTTAGTTTTGTTGTTGTCCAGAAGGTTCTATTATTTAAACATTTTTATATTGTTCTACCTCATATAGTGTATAGAGGGAATAGTAGTTTTGCCTGATTTTGTAGCGTACAAAGTGTGATCGTTAATTGCATGTGTTAAGTTGACTAGGTTATGGGATGCCCAGATAGATGACAAAATATTATTTCTGTGTATGTCTGTGGGTGTGTTTCCAAAAAAGATTAGCATTTAAAATAATAGACTGAGTTAAAAAATATCCACCCTCATCAGTGTGGGCAGGCATCATCCAATCTGTTGAAGGAGAAATAGAATAAAAAGGCAAAAAAGGACAGGTTATTTCTCACTTCTTGAGATAGAACATCTATCTTTTCCTGCCCTTAGACATCAGAGCTTCTATCTCCCACCTTTGGGTTCAAGTTCTGACATGTACAACATGATGACTACAGTTAATAATCCTGCATTGTTTACTTAAAATTTGCTAACAGAGTAAATCTTAAGTGCTCTTACCATCCCCCCCACACACATATATGCACCAGTGGTAATTACAGGTAGTGATGGATATGTTAATTAATTTGACAGTGGTAATCACTACACAATGTATACATATATCAAAAAATTACATTGTACACCTTGAGTGTATACATTTTTTAGCAATATATGATTTAAACTGAAATTTAAAAAATAATAGAGGAAGAAAATGGCATTGGGATGGGGTGAGGCAGAGGTGGAATAAACAGCTTCTTTTCCCACAAAAAAATTGCATTCAAAAATCATTGTTTATAATATAATATTAAAGTTTATTTCAGTTTATACAGCTCCTCTCCTTTTAGAAATTGCATGCTCCTTTTGCTCCACTGCTACACCTCATTTTCACTAACTTTATTATGCAAAGCATATCACTTTGTACTCCCTGCTTCCTCGTGGTTTTCCTTCCTTTCTTCACTATCCAAGACTAATTAATATGTTTTGCTATGAATCATCCACTCCAGCTTCTACCCTTCAGCTGTAAACAATTAGCAGTGACTTGGGAATTTCTAATTCTTCCTTCTCACGTACACTAATGCTCTGTACTGAAAGGGAAAAGCAATATAGTATTTCTTCCCACTGAGATGAATAATGCCATTCCCTACAACCACCCCCTCCCCAACCACCACCACCATCACATATACGGAAGGTAGAAGTAGCTACTATCAATTTAATGTCATGCAGCAGTTCCCTGTCCCTAACTTCTTCATTAAGGTTGACATTAAAAATGAAATAAACCTAAGAAGGGCTTAAGAGATGGACCTATCCATCAGAGAGATATAAAAATAGATATATTTGTGTAAAATATAGCAACACTTTAGCAGTATGCAGTCTTTAATATCTGTATTGTTTATTTAGGAATAAAAGTATTTATGTGAAATTACATGCCTGCTATATATATATATAGATAATCAGCTGGACAAAAACGTTTCATCTCCCCTCTTGATAAAACTCTTACTAGTTGAAGTCAAATAAGCAAACGTTCCTTCTTTTAGCTTAGTGAAGGTCAGAGAAACAAATAATAATACTAGATTATTTTCCAGCCAATAAACACTTTACTTAGTAAAGACAGTGAAAAGCAGGAACATAGAAATGTGAAGCTGCAGAGAAACTGGTTTTAAAAGGGCTACAGTAAGTAATACGTTGTGTACGTTTTCTGGACTTCATATCACTATTTCCTTATGGCGTTGGTTTGGGTAATGTGAACTGCTAGACAAAATAGATCCAACCACCTATAATGTTCAAACACGAAAAAAATGTATTTTTCACTCACCTGTCTAAATCTTGTTTTCCTGGTTTACAGTGAATTACCTCCACAATCCAGGTAACTAGATTTTTTTCTATCTTCTAATTTTCTATTATTAAGACTCCACTGCCTTTTTTCTTCTATTAGCGTTTTGCTAGTGGAAATAATGAGAAAGGCTTTTCAATGGCAATTGCAAACATAACAGTGATAAAAAATTTCGCCCTACTAGGTGGAGCTCAACCACCACTGTGCCCTTGGTACTCCACTATGGAACACATCTATTTCTTAAAAATCATCACATAATAATAACACATATGACTTCTATCCACATTCCATTGTCTAGAACTAGTCATATAGCCCAACCTAACATCAAGAGAGACTGGGGAAATAAAGGCTAGATATATGCCCAACAAGAGAAAATTGATGTTTACTCAATATCCTTTGTAAACATGTATTTGCAATTTTTGTTTTTCAGATTGAAGTTGGCAGTCGGGCGCGGTGGCTCACGCCTGTAATCCCAGCAGTTTGGGAGGCCAAGGCGGGCGGATCACGAGGTCAGGAGATCGAGACCATCCTGGCTAACATAGTGAAACCCGGTCTCTACTAAAAATACAAAAGAATTAGCCAGGCGTAGTGGCGGGTGCCTGTAGTCCCAGCTACTCGGGAGTCTGAGGCAGGAGAATGGCGTGAACCCGGGAGGCGGAGCTTGCAGTGAGCCGAGATCGCACCACTGCACTCCAGCCTGGGCGACAGAGCGAGACTCCGTCTCACAAAAAAAAAAAAAAAGAAAGAAAGAAAGAAAAAAAAGAAAGAAAGAAAGAAAAAAAAAAGATTGAAGTTTCCTCTGGAGTTAAGACTAAAAGGGTGAGTTCTCATTTTTACATGTGATGATTTCAAATACACATGTTTAATCAGTGTAAATTGGATTCAAGTAACTTGTCTTAAGTTTGTAAATACGGACAATCTCACAGGGACAAAACTTTTTTCCTTGTTTTATTTTCAGACATAATCATCTATTTTGTGTAATACTGTTGAGCTGTAATTACAAAAATGAGTAAGATAACATCTACCTCTTAGGATTCCTTGTTATTGTTATTATTCATAAACTGCTTCTAAGAGCTTCATTTTAACAGTAATGGCTTCTTTGAAAGCCATTTAAAGCAAATACACAATCGATTTAAGTTCTGTTTGTTTTAATACTTATGCAACTTTTTTTTCTGGTTAAATATTTGCTAGATTGATAAATTTTATTAGGAAAATTAGAAATTCCAGTTTATGTAAAGTTTTTCAGATGATGTAATAATGTAGTTTTTAGTTGTACTGGCTCTTGGAAGAAACTGCTGGCTTATTAACTTACCATGTGCATTTGTTAATTTTTAATTTTTTTACAAATACAAATTACAAATATTAATGATGTACAATAGGATGTTTTTATATGATGTTGAACATTGCAGAATGACTAAATCAGCCTAAATAATATATCTATTATCTCACATACTTATCATATTTTTGTGATGACAATGTATATAATTTACTCTTTTAGCAGTGTTTAAGTGTGAAGTTAAATGCATTGTTATGAACAATAATCACCATGTTGTACAGTAGATATCGAACTTATTCCTTCCGTCTAACTGAAATTTTGTATCCCTTGATCAAGATTTTCTTAATTCCTTCAACTCCATCCCTGGCCCCATTCTACTGTCTCCTTTAAGTTCTACTTTTTCAGACATCACATGTGAGATCATACGGTATTTGTCTTTCTGTGCCTAGCTTCATTTACTTAGCATACTGTCCTCCAGGTTCATCTCTGTCGTCCCAAAGGACAGGATGTCCTCCTTTTTAAAGGTTGAATAGTATTCTGTTGTCTATATACTCTATATTTTCTTTAACTATTCATCTGATGATGGACACTTAGGTTGAATCCATAGTTTTGCTATTGTGAATAGTGTTACAATGAACACGACAGTGCACATATATTTTTGACATACAGATTTCATTCCCTTATACTTTATACCCAGAAGTGGAATGGCTGGATCATGTGGTGGTTCTACTTTTAATTTTTTTCCAAAACTCCATACTGTTTTCCGTAATGGCTGTACTAATTTACCTTCCCACCAACAGTATACAAGGATTCCTTTTATTTCCACACCCTCTTCAACACTTGTTCTCTCTTGTCTTTTTGATAGTAGCCATCATAACAACTCCTTAAGTGCAGTTTCCATATGTCTACCGAATGTCAAACATTGTGCTAAATGTTGATAATATTGTGATAAAACACAAAAATTTGTCTTTGCCCCACACAAAGTTTATATTATAGTATGGTAAAACAATAGCTATCAGTTGAACTCTTATTATGTTTTTACTTAATCAGAAAAGAAAATAAGTATTTATTACCTCCATTTTGATTCCAAGAAAAATAACTTGTCTAAGGTCTCATTAATCATAAAAGCAAAGATGGGACACAAACTCCAAAGAGAGATTGCTGGCACCACGCCAGTCTCTTTATATCACCTATGACGGTGATTTTTTTCTTTTTTTCTTTTTTTTATGAATAAATGTAATAATATATTTTAATACACAAAAAGTGGCAAAAGTAAAGGGAGAAAGAGACAAAACAGTCATAGAGATTTTAATCTTAGTGAATAAGAGAACAAGTAGGTAAAAATCAGTAAAAATAAAAAAGATTTGATCAAACAATTTTACCTAATTGACATTAAACAATTTATACCACACTGCAAAATACAAATTCTTATCAAGTATTCATTACATTCATCAATATAAACAATATGCTGAACCATAAAACAAGTCTCAATAAATTAAAAGTATTTGAAATTTTGTTCTATATTTTCTGAAAAAAATAGACTTAAATTAGAAATAAAGTGTGCAAAATCTCCCAAAATGTGAAATCAAGCAGCACATATCTAAATGGTCCATAAGTTAAAGAAGAAATAATAATAGAGATTACTATAATTTACATTTGAATGTTAATGGAAACACAGCATATCAAAATTTGTGGGATATAGCAAAAGAAGTGTTTCTTATATAACAAATATTGCATTATTTTTCTATAATTTCATTGGAAAGTAAGTATATTATTACTGTTTAGTTTTCCATGCTTAATTTTAAATTACTTTCTATCCCAGTATTCAAGTAAATTATGCCTTATGCCATGTAGTCTTACCTCCATTTTCTAATAAACCTGTGTGTTTCCCTTGCAGGTAGCTTTTAAAATTTTATTTTTCACTTAAAGTGGAGAAATTACTTGCTGATATGTACTTTTTTAAACAATGAAGAAATAGTGCCATCTTCTGTCTATGTTTTATTCAACAACTGGGAATAAAGAAACATTGGGTTATTATACATAAGCAAAAAGAAGCAAAGAATTTGGAGACATTATGATTTTAGTATAATATGCTACATCTTTGAACACTTGCAAAGGGGCTAATTATTTGAAAGGCCTCTCAGGACAAAGGCATGTTTAAAACAGTTCTGTGTGATTAATTATTCAAAACCTTTGAATATGCATTCAAACATTGGAGAAAAAAGGAAGGAGGCAGGGGAGACAGCTGAGAGTAACAGAAACAGGTGGCAAGTGTTTTTAACTATTTGGTGTTTACAGTGTTGAAGGATTAAAAAGCATTTTTTCTGTTTTTATAACATCTATGAATTCCCCATTCATTGATATCTTCACAAAACTATGCTTGATACTGAAAAATTCTCCAATCACTTATTTGACAAGTGAAAAGTCGGAAAAATAGGAATACATTTTTAAATGAGCTTTTTAATTTCTACATTAATAAATATACTTTTATCTGCATGTGGTTCATAGATTTCAAACTAAAGTCAGAATAAGTAGCTAACATAAATGAAAATATTTTTAGATTTATGAAGTAGCTCAGAAAACCAATTTCTTAAAAATCATATTTGGAAAAATACATTATTAGGCCGAACTTACTTTCATCCATTGCTGCCCTCTCTAAGGTAAAACACAAAAACAAATAAAATCTATCAAATAATTGTATAACTTTTACTAGTATTGAAAAAGGGTATTTGAGTTGCTTTAAATTTTATTTTTATAATGTATCTTGAGAAGATTGCAGTTTTACCACTAGTCAAACTTTTATAAACACATCAGAAATTACATTTAAAAACCAGATCAGGAATTATTTTTCTAAGAAACTAGAAGAAATCAAAGACAAATTAATAATAACTAATAGTTTGAAGCCCGCTTATCTACAAGACTCTAAAGATATAAAAACAAGAACATAAGTTAAAGGCAGCTTCATTTCACGCTTCAGAAAGCTGGTCTTTGGCACACAAGTTTGCTTGCCTTGTATGATCATTTTGCATATTCAGAGGTGAATCCCTGGCGGGGACAGGAAAACATGTGTGGGTGAAGCTCAGAGTAGCAGCACGTCATCAGCAGCTTGACATTCTTCAAAGAAAAAAAAGGTCCTTGCATTTTGGCTATATCACTTACAGTTCACTTTTTTGTGTAATTCTCTATCGGTAAGATTTATTCTAATGGTTTAAAGTGGATTTGTTACCCATTCTTTCCCATTCTGGTGTGGAATCTCCCCGATGAATCTCCAAATAGCTAAACATATTTAAATTCACGTAAATTGATGATTTTTGTCTGATATCAAAGAAGTCAATGCTAGACAGAGTTTACAGCCACATGAAATTAATGGGGCAACTGAGTATCATAACTTCAAGAATGCTGGTTATCTGAGATCTGAAAGGTCACTGGATTTGAGGGAAAAAATCTCTCATCCATTTCTAAATGCTCAATGTGAGGGGCTGCTGCCTGCTTCTAATGTGTGCTAATATCTATGTCCTATTTACATTATATTGGGGTATTACATGTTGATTACAAATATGAAACACACTATAGAAAACTATGCACTGCATATTTATTTAGTCTATCCAGCTCGAAAACCTTTTGTGTGAATTAATTTCAGATTTTCTGGATTCACATTACTCTCCAAATGCATTAATGTCAGCATTTCTTTATTTTGTTCTCCACATTTTCATTATATAGCATTATATGAATGGTGGGCTAGTAAGTGGACCACTTACACTGATCTGAAAGGTTATGTGTGTATATATATACTCCTTTGAACATATATAAATATAGCTTACATTTCCATTTTATGTGACTAAAATTTGCATAATTACCTTTTAACTGAAGACATTTTCCAAGAATATGTCAATGTAGATATAAATCATTGTGAATAGTTTAACTTTTTTGATTTCTCATGAAACCCATCACTACCATTATTTCTTAAGGGATAGACACAGATGTCAAGCTACTTTCTCAATGTCACAAAATCATAACCAGACATAAGCGTTGAGTCCAGTTTTTTTAGACTGTAACCATTAAGCTATTTTATCTCCATATGATCAATAAGATATTAGTTTGCCTGCCTCATGTCTTTATTCTATGACCTACGTTTCTTTGAAGTACATTTCTCTGAATCAGAATATTTCATCTATGGACATTTACCAACCTTCTACAGAAATCAGTAGTTTGTCCTTGCCATTATTTCCAATATACTAAACAGCCCATGAACTCTATGCTCAGTGGGGTAAATATCTCATTATTTTACACTCTTTTAATTGATCTTTTCATAATTCATTTATACCATTCATAGAATTCTGATATTTGATTTAGTGGAAAGAGTTCATTGGTTCATATATCTCAGTAATGTCCAGATTCGACCTCTTCCCTGTTTTATTTCTACCTTTTCCCTATATTTTAATCTAGTCAGTTGACTGTATGTAATTTTAATTATGTTTTATGTGTTCATGATATATATTAGCAAATACATTTGTCCTATGTACGAGGATGTAATTACAGCACTGTACTATTTCTATTGGTATAAAACGGAGAAGATACCATGTAAATCTCAGTAAATGTAAACCTTAGAAAACAGAAATAAAACATAATTTCCACTTTCAAAGGTTTTTATGACTTGAGTAGACAAAGAGAGGTTGACTTGTGATTTTCTCACGTTGGTGATGAGTTTTTGAGTACATAGGTAATATAAGTGAAACTTTGGTTTTACAATAGTGTACAAAAAGGGTGTGAAAACTAAGAAATTGGGGAGATTGGCAAATAGGCATCTGCAATTGTAGGTGCATGAAGTTATTAAACTTAATGGTATATTCAACTCCATAAAATAGAAAACTTTATCAATCAAAAATATTTAAATATTGGCAATTGCAAATGATTTAAGTAAATTAATGGAAGGAGAAATGACTCTTCTTTTTACCTGAAACAGTTCAATGTATTATAGGTATATTTGTGAAATACAGCCTAAATTAATAAAATAAAACATGATAATTTATAGGAGCCAAGAGTAATCATTTAAAAAGAAAACATTGAACTGAATTAAGATATTTGTTGAGGTCAGTGTTGGGGGATACTTCTAGAGCACTAAAAGGACATTATAATCATCTTCTGCAGGTTGTTCATGTATTTCATTTCCAGTAAAGTGTGGTCAAGACTTTTTTAGTCCTATGATGGTTTTATTGGATCTATACTGGTGAAAAAAAAATCCTTGTCTACAGAAAAAATTCGTAAGCTTAGAATGATTAATATACTGTCTCATTAACATAGATTATGGAGGTTGAAATTTAACTAGTGTTTTCTTTTTTTTTTTTTTGAGGTGGAATCTTGCTCTGTTGCCCAGGCTGGAGTGCAGTGGAGAGACCTCAGCTCACTGCCAGCTCTGCCTCCTGGGTGCACACCATTATCCTGCTCAGCCTCCCAAGTAGCTGGGACTACAGGCGCCCACCACCACGCCTGGCTAAGTTTTTGTGTTTTTAGTACAGACGGGGTTTCACCGTGGTAGCCAGGATGGTCTCAATCTCCTGACTTCATGATCCACCTGCCTCGGCCTCCCTAATAATATTTTTAAACACAGTTAACCAGTTTCACAGTGATATTTGACTAGAAGCATTTGGTGTCATGTTACTGACTAACAGTATGCAGATAATTTTTCTATTTGGGGAAAAGAATCAGTAAGGAAAGGCTGTAGATTTAGTGAGGCTAATGTTTAGGAGTTATTCTTTGAATTTTAAGAAACACATGAATAAAACATAGAAATTTTTTTTCTACACTGGGTATGAAATGATAGTCATCTTAACTAGGATGAAAAAAATGGGAAATAAAAATTATATATATAAAAAAACAGAATGGTGAAAAACATTCAGATTACTTGATAAGTAAAGAGAAACACTCCATTTCAAGTTGCAAAAATAAGATTTACAGGAATGAGCATTTAGGTATCCAAAAGGTTCTCAGAGATTTGAACAATTTTTAGGCAGTATAAGAAATTTTATTATACTTATGGTAAACAAATTTATTTAAAAGCTATATTTGTTGTTAGTTTGTGACCCAGGGACATGCTCTGATCACATTTTAAAACTTTAGAAAATAGCATTGACATTAGCTTGACAGATGGAGTGAGCTATGATCCCAGAAATGACTGCAACAGCCCAGTCAAGGAATGATAAATGATTACACTAATAATGTTGTAGTTAATGGAGTGCAAGTAATGGATACAAGTGATAGGAAAGAATATCCTTTGGATTTGTCCATATGTTATACAAGGTATGTGGGAAAGAAAAGACTTGGAGATGATGCTGAGGTTTGTAACTGGCATGGATAAACAGGTGGTGATACTGTTAACGTAGAAGAAGACAAATAAATAAAAAGCTGTGTGTTTTCTGTTACCGTGAAATTACCACATAATAAGTGTCCTAAAAACAACATGACTTATTATTTTATAGTTGTGGAAGTAAGATGTCCAAAATGAGTCTCACTGGTCTAAAATCAAGGTGTTAGCAGGATTACATTCCTTCTGGACATTCTAAAAATTCTGTTTCCTTGCATTTTCCAAATTCTAGACTCTGTTCATATTCCTTAGCTGAAGTGGCCTAGCTCTGTGTCCCCACCCAAATCGCATCTCGAATTTTAATCCAAATTGTAATTCCCACATTTTGGGGGAGGGAACCTCATGAAAGGAGATTAGATCATTGGGGCTGTCTTCCCATGCTGTTCTCATGACAGTGAGTGCATTCTCAGGAGATCTGACGGTTTTATAAGGGGCCTTTTCCCCACTGCACTTCACTCTCCTGCGGCTGTGTGAAGAAGAACGTATTTGCTTCCCTTTCTGCCATGACTGTAAGTCTCCTGAGGCCTCACCATACATGCATAACTGTGAGTCAATTAAACCTCTTTCCTTTATAAATTACCCAGTCTTGGGCATTTCTTCATTGCAACATGACAATGAACTAATATAGTAAATTGGTACCAGGAGTGGGATGCTGCTATAAAGAGATCCAAAAATGTGGAAGCAACTGTGGAACTGAGTAATAGGCAGAGATTAGAGCAGTTTGGAAGGCTCAGAAGGAGACAGGAAAATGTGGGAAAGTTTGGAACTTCCTAGAGACTTTGTTGAATGTCTTTGACCAAAATGCTGATAGTGATATGGGCAATAAAGTCCAGACTGAACTGGTCTCAGATGGAGATGAAGAACTTGTTGGAAGCTGGAATAAATGTGCCTCTTGTTTTGCTTTAGCAAAGAGACTGGAGGCATTTTGCTCCTGCCCTAGAGATCCACGGAAATTTGAACTTGAGAGATATGATTTAGGGTATTTGGCAGAAGAAATTTCTAAGCAGTAAAGCATTCAAAGGGTGACAGGGCTTAAAAGTTTGGAAAATTTGCAGCCTGATAATGCAGTAGAAAAGAAAAAATATATTCCTTGGGAGAAATTCAAGCTGGCTACAGAAATTTGCATAAGCAACTAGGAGCCAAATGCTAATCACCATGACAATGGGAAAATGTCTCCAGGCATGTCAGATATCTTCAGGGCAGCCCCTCCCATCACAGGCCAGGGGTCTAAGAGGGAAAAATGGTTTTCTGGGCTTGGTGCAGGGCCCCTCTGCTGTGTGCAGCCTCAGGACTTAGTGCCCTGCATCCCAGCCACTCCATCCATGGCTAAAAATGGCCAAGGTACAGCTAAGGCCATTGCTTCAGGGGGTGAAAGCCCCAAGCCTTGGTAGCTTCCACATAGTGTTGGGCCTGCAGTTGCAAAGAAGACAAGAATTGAGATCTGTTACCTCCATCTAGATTTCAGAAGATGTATAGGAATGCTGGATGTCCAGACAGAATTTTGCTACAGAGGCAGAGCCCTCAGGGAGAACCTCTGCTAGGGAAGTGTGAAAGGGAAATGTGGAGTTGGAGCCCCTACACAGAGTTCCCACCAGGGCACTGCCTAATGGGACTGTGAGAAGAAGGCTACCATCCTCCAGACCACAGAATGATAGATCCACTGACAGCTTGCATTGTGTGCCTAAAAATGCCCCAGGCACTCAACACCAGCCTATGAAAGCAGCCAGAACAGGGGCTGTACCCTGCAAAGTAACATCGGCAGAGCTATCCATGGCTGTGGGAGCCCACTTCTTGCATCAGCATGACTTTTATGTGAGGCATGAAGTCAAAGGAGATCATTTTGGAATTTTAAAGTTAATGAATTCCCTATTGGATGTTAGACTTGCATGGGGCCTCTAGCCCCTTTGTTTTGGCCAATTTCTCCCATTTGGAATGGGCATATTTACCCAATGCCTGTACCTCCATTGTATCTAGGAAGTAACTTACTTGCTTTCAATTTTACAGGCTCATAGTTAGAAGGGACTTGCCTTGTCTCAGATAAGACTATGGACTTAGACTTTGAGTTAATGCTGAAATGAGTTAAGACTTTGGGGATCTGTTAGGAAGGCATAAGTGTGTTTTGAAATGTGAGGAAGATGAGATTTGGGAGGGGCAAGGGACAGAATGATATGGTCTGGCTCTGAGTCTCCACCCAAATCTCATCTTGAATTTTAATCCTAATTGTAATTCCCATGTGTCGGGGGAGAGACCGAGTGGGAGGTGATTACATAATGGGGACAGTTCCCCCATGCTGTTCTCATGATAGTGAGTGAGTTCTCACAAGATCTAATGGTTCTATAAGGGACTTTTTCCCCTTCGATCTGCACTTCTCTCTCTCCTGCCTAAGACCTCCGCAGCCATGCAAAACTATGAGTCAATGAAACTCTTTCCTTTATAAATTACCCAATCTTGGATATTTCTTCAAAGCAGCATGAAAACAAACTAATGCATTGGCCCATAACACCCTTCCATCTTCAAAGTCAGAAATGGCAGGTGGCATCTTTCTCACAATGCCATCTCTCTGGTTGGACTCTTATGTGCCCCTCTTCCTCTTTTACAAGTATCACTGGAGTAACACTGCAATGGCATTTCCCTTTAAGATAAATGGGTTAGTAATCTTAATCCCTTTGCAATATTAATTCCCCTTTGCCATAGAACATGACACATCCAGGGGTTCCAGGGCTAAGGATATGAATATCTTTGGGGTCTGTTTTTCTGCCAAAGAGGCACATTATAGTGTAGCCAATAAGGGACAGCAAAAGAATGAAAGTAGCTTTCAAACACACTGATTTTAAGATTCTGGCTCTATAGCCACATAAAAATTTCTAGGAAGGACTTAAAGAGTTAGATACACTCCATAATAGAATTTGCTTTCAACTTTTTAAATCGTGCCATCCTACCTTTGCACAGACACTGCTGCAACTACATAAAAGCCTACTTTTGAGAGTTGGCCATTTTCACTCTCTGGTTTATGTATATTGGTTTTCTATTGCTGCAAAAAATTACCTCAAACTTAGCACCTTAAAAAAATAGCCATTATACCTCATACTTCCAGGTCAGAATTCCAGCACAGTTTGGCTTGTGTGTTCACAGTATCATAAAACTGAAATCAAAGTGTCAGTCCGGCTGAATTCTCATTGTTAGGCTACATGGAAATGTGTGTTGCCAAGCTCGTTCTTGTAGGTAGAATCTAGCTCCTTGCAATTATGAGACCATTCCTCATCCCCATGTTTGCTGTCAATCAAGTGCTGCTCTCAGTCTCTAGAGGTTACCTACATTTCTTGTCCGTGGTCTTGCGGTCTCCATAATCTCCAAGCCAGCAAGAACACATAAATATGTCTGCTTTCGGTCTCCAATTTCCCTTCTGCAATCAGCAGGAGGAAACTCTATGCTTTAAAAGGGCATGTGATTAGGCCTGGATCATCTCCCTATCTCATGGTCAACCTTGCCCTATAGTACAGGCTAAATCAGATTACTCATGCAAGTAAAATCTATTACTTTCAGAGTTCAGAGAATTAAACAAGATGTGTACACCTGAGGAGTGGAAGTCGTGAGGCAATCTTAGAATTCTGCCTATCATACTCAGCATTACTGCTTCCTCATTTCCCATGATACAACTACTTCTAATCTTTGCACCTGAAATCTTGACTTTTGTGTCTACCTTGACCATGGCTCTCTTGCCTGATAATATCAATATCTTTAATCCAACTTTATCAACCATATCTGTGAGCAAGTCATTCTCCTGCCTTCTATCATCCCCCTCCCACTCCATAGCATAGAGAGCTTGGCCAGTCTTCTTTTTTTTTTTCCTGAACATAAGAAAACTGCACATTATTGATGGAATCTTGAGTTATAGCCCTAAGTTTGGAATTGTCAGTGTAGTGTTGACAGAAGATGGAATTAAAAACAAGGGATGCAAAAGATCTGAGATTTTCTCTGGAGCAAGTGTAGAGGTAAAAAGAGAAAAATGTGAAGAGAAAGAAGAGGAGGAGGAGCACGTGTAAAGAAGGGAAAGGCAATAGCTGAGAAAGGAACTTGGAAGAACCCATCACTCACTGGTCAGTAGCTAAAGACGTTGTGCAGACAATGTGCAGATATAACAACCTCAAAATACTTTTAGGTTGAAAGAACTTAAACATTGTTTACAAGTTTGCTTCTTTGAAACTAAAAAATATTTTTAATTAAAAATTGGAACACATATAGATGTAGTCGTTCGTTAGAAAGCATATTCTCAACTTTTCAGACTTAGATTGGTTGGAGAGGTTTCCCTGGGAGCCTCTTCCTAAAAGGTGACAAGGAGGCGTGGGGAAGGGAATAGACATTTGTTCTGAGTACGACGGGAAACATTGCTGTGCAAATGTTTAGAGCTGAATGAAAAACCAAGTCACATACAGGCAAAATGCAGAGGAAAGAGATAATAAATAAATGATTGAGGGTTAGAAACAAATGAATGAGAATTAAAAGTCAGCTTTCTATTCCTCATGCCAGTGACTAGCTAAGATATGAGCATTTTTTGTTTGTTTTTATAGGAATCCAGACAACACATTTTCTTGCTTAACGAGGTTTGTCAGAGTCGGGCTGAATAAGAGTTTTAATTAGCTAGTAGGGTTAATTTTATCTTATGCTTCTTGAAGTGGAAACAAGTAACAAGGAAATGTAAAGAACTTAGATACTGGCCGGGCACCGTGGCTCACGCCTGTAATCTCAGCACTTTGGGAAGTCAAGGCAGATGGATTGCTTGAGGCCAGGAGTTCGAGACAAGCCTGGGCAACATATTGAAACCCCATCTCTACTAAAAATACAAAAATTAGCCTTCTGTGGTGGTGCACACCTGTAGTTCCAGCTACTCTGGAGGCTGAGGCATGAGAATCGCTTGAACTAAGAGGCGGAGTTTCCACTGAGCTGAGATTGTGCCATTGCACTCCAGCCTGGTCAACAAAGAGAGACTCTGTCGCACAAAAAAAAAATAAAGAAAGAAAGAAAAGAGAAAATAATTTAGATACTTAGTATCCTGTTGAGGCAAAAGGGAAGCTTATTTTAACAGTACATTTTTATGTCACAGCTGAACAGCTCTGTCTATAGCTTGGCTGGGCAGCTTCATTATTTAACAGAATTGTGGGAGTGGGGGTAGCGCCTGGGTGGCTTCAGCCTGGGATACGCGAATATGAGGTCATGATGAGAAAGAGAGATTTGATTATGTGGGTCATAAAAGTGGTCATTACCAACCTCCCACATTTGTGGAAATGTATCTCTCTTTCCACAGGGACTGCCTGAAATGAAAAGTGGCTCTTTAGAAACAAGGAGGATTTTATCGCTCAGGCAGAAGCCTCATAAAGGCTGCCATGAGATTTGCCTCGAACAGTTAGGAAGGCACCTTCATCACAGAAGGCCTGCAAAGCTCAGAGTAAAGTGCCCATGAGAAACCGCGGAGACAATTAACCCCTTATAATATTTCTGAAAGGAAATATCCAGAATCCTGGAAGAAGAAAATTATCTTGTTTAAATAGCTTTTAATTAACTGCAAGGAACCATGAAACCGTTTTGAGTGGAGTCAAAAGGGGCCATTTGAGCCGCAGAGGTACTTGGCTGTACACGGCAGCCTCCTGGGGAGATTGCTTTGCTGTCCTATTAGAATTCTTTTCCAGGGTTAAGGGTCATTTTAAAGATCCCCATATGGTATTTCCATACTCACCAAGAAATGACACTAGTTAAAATTACAGGAACTTATTTTGTCCTGTTTATTTGCTATCAAGTGTGTTCAAAATATATATTCGATGCTTTGTGAAGTGTGGCTTGACCAAGCTTCACAGGTCTTTACATTTGCAGCAGTATTTCGAGTAGACAAAAGAGATGAAGACCAGTCATCTTGCCCCATTATATATTATTTCATAGCCTCTAAACCTGATTAAGTTGCTCTCAACTGTAGTAAAGAAAAGGACTGTAACTGCCTACCTCAAAAAGGAAAATGTGTAGCTTTTGATAGATGGGATAAAGAGACATGTACAACCAATAGATATGGTTTTATTGTTAGTATAAGAAACTTGTGACTTCAGCTAATATTGGCTAAAGTCATTAATACTGTTTTTTTTTCTTTCTCAGACACTATCCCAACAACCAAAACATTGAACTTTCGTGGCAAGCTTTGGTAGCACACAGGCCTTCAGCTATTTTACTGTAGTGCATATGTTATGTGTCCACAAAGCTACGAACAATTTTTGCTTAAGGAAATTGACTTTTCATTGTGATGAAAATCCACGAGGACAGGAGAAAAAAAGGAGAAAAGGCCAAGAAGAAGAAAAGAAATGTGTTTCTTACATTCTGAGGAAAATCAGCAGAATATGTGAAGTTTTTTGTTTAGTGTGTAAATTTCATCACACCATTCTGATTGAACATGTCTATGAGGCTAAAATTACAGTGTATGGATGAATGTCAAGTGTTACCAGTTTAAAAAGATAATGTCAATTCTTTATGAACTGCTGCATTCTCATATGAATTACATTTAAGCATATGGCTTTTTAACTTATATATTTATAATGCTTGCTTTAGTCTTAATTGTAAAATTTTCTATAAGTTACAAAAATTCACAGCTGTCAAATCTTTAATAACGAAAGTGTTTTGAAATGCTGGCATTAAGTGTAGACAAAATTTTTGCCAGCATAAGTGCTAACGTGTCTGTAAAACAAAATTAGAACACATGCACTTTTAGTTTTTTAAGGAAAGAAATATACATCCTGACATTCATATTATGAAAAGTAGAGTGATAAATTAGTCTTTAGGTATTAGAACATATAAAATAATGTATTTTGCTTCAAAATAAGGAACAAAACACAATTCACCAAGAATATTAAAGATTAGAAGCCATAATCAAAAAATAAATGACTCTTACTTCAATACTCCAAAACTAAATACATGATGAGGTCTACCCTGTCATTTTTGATCATGGTAAAATCAGGAGCAAATATTTGCTGGGCACCCACTGTATGCATCTATGTTAATCCAGGTTCTCTTAGAAGCAGATGCTAATATGGGATTAAATGTGTGTGGATGGCCAGGGGTATGGTGATTCACTCTGGTAACTCCAGCACTTTGGGAGGCCAAGGCTGGCAGATCACCTGAGGTCAGGAGTTCGAGACCAGCCTGGCCACCATGGCAAAAAACCCTCTCTACTAAAAATACAAAATTAGCCAGGGGCAGTGGCACATACCTGTAGTCTCAGCTACATAGGAGTCTGAGGCAAGAGAATCACTTGAGCCAGGGTGGCAGAGTTTGCAGTGAGCCGAGGTCATGACTCTGTACTTCACCCTGGGTGACAGAGGGAGACTCTGTCTCAAAAAATAAGTAAATAAATAAATGTGTTTGGGTTTTATTAGGGAAATAACTATGGGAAAAATAAATAGGGGGAACCTGGAAGAGCCATAAGAGCCCAAAGCAAATTTGACCCAAAGTGAAAAAGAGAAAATTGGCTGGACCCATCCTGGACTGCCATGCAGCCTAAGAACTATTCATTTGAAATGCCAAAGATTTTTTTGAGCACAAGTCAGCTGACAAAGGGATCCCATGTTTCCTAGGATCTTAGTCTCTCTGTCACACTCAGTCATCCACAGGGATCAGCCTGTCGGGGAAAATGCTTTGGCACAGATGCTGAAATGAATTTAAAAGCAAAGCAGCCAGGGCTCTATGTCAAGAATACTTTCTGTAGCAGAAAGTCTGAGGAGCTTAATCTCAGGGCTTCCAGAAGAATATTCTTGATGTGAGATGGAAAAGTACATGAGAGTCAATGGCAGAATATGTTCCGTTACTACAGGAACCTATAATCAATTTTAAAACCTGCTGAGATGGTTAATTTTATGTGTCAACTTGCCTTGGCTAAGGGATGCTCAGATAGCTGGTAAAAAAAAAAAATGTATCTCTGAGTGTATCTGTGAAGGTGCCTCCATAAGAGAGTCACATTTGAATCTGAAGGCTGAAAAAGGAGATCACCCTCACCAACTCTAGTGGGTATCATCCAATCCTTTGAGGGCAAGCATAGAACAAAAAGGCCAAGAAAGTGCAAATTTGCTCGTTTGAGCTGGGACATCCATGCTCTCCTGTGCTTAGACATCAGTGCTCCTGCTTCTCAGGCCCTCAGACTGAGCTAGGGACTTTTACAGCATTTGATCCCCTGCTTCTCAGGCCCTTGGGTTTGAACTGAAATTACACTGCTGGCTTTTCTGGGCCTCTACCTCTAGAGAACACATGTTGAAACTTCTCAGGTTCCATAATTGCCTGAGCAAATCCCTCAAAAAAGTCACTTCCTATATGTCTTTCTATGTGTCTTATTAGTTTGTTTTTTTGGGGTGAAACATGACTAAAACACCTACTTTGATATTTTCCACTGGAAACTAAGTTAATAAAAAAGCTTTGGGGCATTTTGTTTGCATCCCATTCTCATTCTATTTCTCTGCGCACCTTCCATCATCCTTTCTATGTTTCAATCTTTGATGCCAAGAAATACATCTTCCTCTTTGTGTTATCCGTGAAAGTAAAACATTCTCTAAATTTTGATTTTTGAAGCAGCAGAAAATAAAAACAGATGAGGTAGATACGTTCAGACTCCATTCATCTTGGAAGAACCTATGTCTTCTGAAAAGAAGCTGTTTTTTGGTTATTTTTAATTAAATTTTTAAATTTATTAACAAAGTGCCCTAGGCTCTATGTTGAAAGAACAAGGCTTCATATGAGGATATAACTCTCTATACAATTCCACTGTTTTTAAACTTGTTCAATACCTGTAAATCAAGTGTAAGTTGCACACACAGGATGCCTTATGTTGGCATGAGCTTGCCATTGGTAGGTCTGCATTTTCACCATCCTCTTAGTTCATTCTCGCTTTCTACAGCAGAGGTGATTCTACATAGAACAATGTGTGTGTATGTGTGGGGCAAGTTGTGAAGGGAGGTTGGGGAACATAACAGAATCATGAGTCTTTCCATTGCTGAACAACCAGCATATCAGTGAAAGAGGAGTGGCCTAGAGTTTGAAAAAATTCAGAATAGAAAAGGGGTGACTGAAAGGAAAGGGATATTTAGTATCAAGGAAGAGTCCTAAAACAGGAATTAGGACATCTGAGTTCAAGTCCAACTTCAATATTTATTAGCTGTGTGATTGTTAAAAGATAACTAAATTAGTTAATGTTTGTGTTTAAAAACCCAAATAATAATTATTAAAGAAAATAAAAAATTACCATAAAATTTCTAAGAATATTAAATTTCTGAAAATATTAATTCTGAAATTGCACGTTATGCAAATTAAACAAGTGTATTATAAAGTATCTTAATAAGTATTTACATATACTGTAAACATATCTTAATTATCTATAAATTTACATTCCTACAAATGCTACAGCTTAATTATTTGATTAACAATATAGATGCTTTGGTTTGGGTTAACTCATTCACACATATGCACTACAGAAGCCCAATTCAAACTTAACTCAAAAACACAAAGTAATTATTAGTTCATGTAACAAAGATGTTTGTCTCAGGGAGCAGTAGAATCAAAATGAAAATAATATCATCTTGGCTCTGCCTTTATCAGTTTTGCTTATCTGTGCTTCTCTTTTCTTCCAGGTTTTTTTTTAATTCCTGTTGCAGATAACTTTTTTGCCTCATTGAGAAAGATGACTTCTGTAAATCATAACCCTGTATGCTAACAGCTAGTGATCCAAAATGAAGACAGTTTTCCCCACCATTTCCAGCAGGAGAGTCCATTGGATGATTCTCACCATGTCTGGGTCCTTGTGCCCAGGTTTCAGTCAATTGCTCCTCCCAAAGGGTTGCGGTGTGATCACTGGCCTAGCACAGCTTAAATGCTCGGGCTTGTTGTCATGGAGAACAAAATACAAAGAATGATGATTCCAGCAAGACCACAGGTGAAATATATTCCGACGAAGAATGAGAAATCTATAGCATAATTTGAATTGTTGAAAACAAGGAAAGAAATATCAAAGGATGCCATTTATAGGATAAGAATAGGAGGTAATTGAAAATTCGATTTTATTAGGGCAAAAGCTAACAGTTTGAAACCAGTATAAAGCACTGGGTGTCTGGGAGAAAAGGAAAAGGAAAGGAAGTTGGGAAGGACCTCAGGCCTAAGAATGCACAAATGTCATTTATGTGGAAATTGCACCTTCAATTTTAATACCAACTGATATCTGATGTTTCACAGATATATTATTATTAATTAGAGATGTTACAAAATTCTGCCTAAGCAAACCCATCTCTCCAGATCAGGTGTATATTTCTAGCCAAATTCTACTCCTATGTGAAAGGATACAAAGCAAAATAAAATAAAATCAAGAAATACGAATACCCATGTCAAGTCTCATATTCTTTATCTTTGGCCATTTCGTCTACATTTTCCACAATTTTTTAACCTCTCTGTTCATGATCTATTTTTAAAAGTATAAAATTCTTCAATGCCCAGTTTGTTGACACATGTAAACTGATAAAAATAATAAAAATAAGAAGCAGCTGCTTAAAAAAGAGATCACTCTTTCGTGCTTTCCAAAGTGTGGTGGTGGCTGGAACTGCTTTCTTTTGACAGCCTCTTATATTTTGTCCCCTTGTTCCCCTACGTCGTTCAGTGTTCACTTCTATAGTGATGAATGTATTATGGACTTCAAGGTAGTTTAACTCTAATCAAAGGAATGGGAGTGATCTTAGTAAGAAACTGCAGTAAACCTTAAGTGCATGTTGTTTCTTGCAGCTCATTCACTCACCTATTAAGAGAACTAACTGCTCATTTGTTGTATTTTCCAAATTTGCCCTTTTAAAGCAACTAAATTATAATAATTTTATATACATTTCCTTTCTAATATACTCATTACCTTAGCTGGAAATGAAATACTTATAGGCACCCATATAAGGAGAGTTATACCTTTTAAATGTAAGTAACTATCAAAGTTCAAAATAGAAATACCTCACCTATATACCACTTTGTTTGCTGATTAATTACTGTAGACTTTGAGTTCTGTCAGCCTATAAAGGAAAGTTGCATTTTCTAAACAAAAGAAAATTTTTTTCAGCTTTCAACTTTTTTCTGAGAGCCTGGGTTTTTCCTTGAATTGAAAGTAGTGTTTAATCTTAAGGTGGAGTGGCAGGAGAGTCATTATCTGAATTTATTGTCAAAAACAATCTAAATCCCTAACAAAGGGGAAAATACATTAAGTGGTTTCAGTGAGATGTATGTTGAAGAATAAATGGATGAGTGAATCAATAGATTAATGAGATAAGTGGTCTCTCTTGCTGCCCAGAATCCTTTGGGGTATTCCACAGGATGCTGCCTTTGCCCTGCTAATCAAAAGGGAGACTATGGAGACCCTCTCACTTCAGACCCTTTGTCTCTCAACCACAGGCCCAATTCCAATCCTCCCCAACGTGTGATCTCTGGACATCAATCCCCACCCCTGTCTTAGGAGAATAAAAATAGATGGTGGAGGTTTTCAGTTGGGAGTTTGACAGTCCTTAAGCCCTAGTAACATTTACCTAAAGAAGGTGCAAGATCCATTGGATTCATTTTTGAAATTGTATTGAGCCACTGATGATCAAAGCAAGCTAATGAATCATGATGATATCTGGTTTAACTACCATGGTAGGCATATAAATCTCAGTTGTTTGTCCTATGTGTATGAAACAGCGGTATAATCCAAACAGTCAGTAAAACTAAAATTCTAACTATTTTACAATCTGGTCATTCTCCAGGAGATATACCTGTATTATAGCCTTCCTGGGCTAATTTTCCACATAAAAAGATTCATTTTAATCTGATTTTAAGGAGATGGATGTATTTTGACCCAAAGTGGTATCAGCTAATGAGAGCAAAATAGTCTTTAGCTGTTATTTAATGCTCAGTACACCTTGCATCTAAATTAAAGTGTATAAAGGGCAGTTTTAACTATTTTCAATAAAAATGTTGTAAAATTGTTAAGGGATATGTACTTAAGCATAGACTTACTATTAAAGCCAGTTTAGGCTGAGTGGGGTGGCTCACACCTATAATCCCAGCACCTTGGGAGGCCAAGGATGGAGGATCACTTGAGCCCAGGAGTTCAAGACCAGCCTAAGCAACATAGTAAGATTCTGTCTATAAAATAAAATAAAATAAAATAAAATAAAATAAAATAAAATAAAATACAATAAAATAAAATAAAATAAAATAAAATAAAATAAAATAAAATAAAATAAAATAAAATAAAATGGCTGGGTGTGTTGGTCTGTGCCTGTAGTCCCAGCTACTTGAAAGGCTGAGGTGGGAGGATCACAGGAACCAGGGAGGTTGTGGCTTCATTGAGCCATGATTGCACCACTGCACTGCAGCCTAGGCAACAAAATGAGAGGTATCTAATTTTAAAAAAACAAAACTAAAACCAGAAAACACCATAGTTTATGTTCTATAAATAAAAAAAAAGTAGTCTACAAATATGTCTGATGCCAGAAGAAAGTTACATCAACAGTTGTTATGGATAATGTAAAAAACATCAAACCTAAATAGCTTGACAGCATGTAACTGTTCCTCAGGAATCATCATTATCATCATCACAATTGTCATTATGAGCAGCAGTAACACATCACAGTTATTATGCCCTTACTCAGTATATTTAATTCTATATTTTCTATAACCTTTTGACTTAGGTTTAATAAATCCCATTTAAAAAATAAGAAAACAGGGCTGGGCATGGTGGCTTATACCTGTAATCCCAGCACTTTGGGAGGCCGAGGCAGGCGGGTCATGAGGTCAGGAGATTGAGACCATCCTGGCTAACATGGTGAAACCCCATCTCTACTAAAAATACAAAAAATTAGCCAGGAGTGGTGGTGGGCACCTGTAGTCCCAGCCACTCGGGAGGCTGAGGCAGGAGAATGGCGTGAATCCGGGAGGCCGAGCTTGCAGTGAGCCGAGATCGCACCACTGCACTCCAGCCCAGGCAACAGAGCGAGACTCCATCTCAAAAAACAAAAAATTAATAAAAAATAAATAAAAATAAAAATAAGAAAACAGGAATCATAGAGACTGGGTAACTTTTCTCAGGCCACACAGAAAATAGCAAGAGCCAGATGTGAATCACACATCTTTCTTGTTCTAAATTTCCTGTCGTCAACCACTACCCTGCCTCCCACAGTGTCTCTTAGGCACTCACTTGACATTGTTTTTCCTGATATATCTCACAGGTCCCTGTAGTTTTATTGCATTGATATCCTCCACGGAAATTCTCCAATTTCCCTACTCTACAGTCTGCATTTTTTTTTCAGTTACATATGAAATGCAGCTTTGGAATTCCTCACTCTGTCTACTTAGCTAAAGCTTATGGCAGATTCTTGGCACATATGTTTTACTTTATCAGTTTTCTTCAGAGTGTTGTTCTTGCCACATCACAAATGTTTTTGCTTCCTTACATAATGCAAATTTTCATCACCCAAGCCCATGTATTGGAAAATGTAGAAATAAAATACTGCTTGAGAATTTGAGATATTATAATGAGTTAAATTTGCCCCACATAGAGCCCATTCTCTAGGGACCACACCACTTAGATCTTGTTACTAAAATATATGAACCGAAAGAGAAGCCAAATCAGGAAAAAGCTGGTTCAAGATGTGCAAAGGGCCAACCTCGTTAGAAGGATTTACAACCCAATTACATAAGGTCTAAGAGACTGGGCAAATTATTGAGGCTATTCATATTATTTTACTAGAGCAGAAATTAACTATGTTCAATAATGGAGTTATTAGCTAGACCTTGAAAGGACAATTAGAGATCTTTGTTCCAATACAATTTGATTTGTTTATAAAGCATTTCTTAGTTATAGCTGCCCTGTCTTATTATAAGAATTTTTCTTTTGTTACAAGAATTTAAATTCTTATGTTTAAATTTTGTTATAAGAATTTAAATTCAAATACTAGATATTTTAATAAATATCACTAGCATTAATATTAATATTTTTGCTAAGTGAGAATAACATTCATTTTTAATTTTTTTAATGATAAACATTATCTGAAAAAATGTAACCCTACAGATTATTTTACAGCTAGACATTTTACAAAGTTAAGTACTAAATAATAATGCTTTCAAATTATAGCACTTTTTTTGCACATCATCAACAAACTAAGCTTTTTTTTTTTTATTGCTGTTCTTATAAAACCTGTCTAATTTCGTGTGATAATTAATTTTATGTGTCAACTTGACTGGGTCATGAGGTGCCCAGATATCTGGCCAAGTCTTATTGTGGTGTGTCTCTCAAGATGTTCTTGGATGAGATTAACATTTAAATGGGTAAACTGAAGAAAGCAGTTGTCCTTCCTAATGTGGGTCAGCTTCATGCAATCAGGTGAAAGGCTGAATAGATCAAAAAGCCCAAGTTAAGAGATAATTTCTCCTGCCTCATTACCTCTGAACTGGAACATCAGTTTTTCCCTGCCTCCAGAGACTCTACCTAAAATATTGGCTCTTCCAGTGTCTTGAGCCTGGATCTTGAGCCTGGAAGTACATCATCAGCTCTCCTGGTTCTCAGATCTTTGGACATGGACTGGAACTAAACCTTTGGCTATCTCAAGCCCTAAATTGCTGACTTATCTTGCAAATCTTCAGGAATTGTCAACTTCCACAATCACACGAGCTAATTTCTTATGACAAATCTGATGTGAGTGTGTGTGTAATTATGTATAAGAATTTATATATAAATATATGTAGATTATACATAAGAATATATGTAGATTATATATAAGAACATATATAAGAATATAGGTAGATTATATATAAGAATATATACATATAATCCTATATACATATAATCACATGAGCCAATTTATTATAATAAATCTGATATCTGAAATACATAAATTCACAGATATATGTTTATTTAAAGAATCCTGACTGCCAGAGAGAAATTAAAATAGAAAAAATAGCTTTGGTGATTGGAGATAGTGATTTTAATTTTGTACTTCAGTTTCTCTTGCATCTATACTAATAGATCTTTGGTTTAGCAAAAATAAAGGGGGTGGAGATATTAATGAGGAAGGATAGTTAAGTCTTTTAAGAACCTGTTTAGACATGTCTCCTGAAAAATTAGTGCATATTATGTATGGAAATACTTGACTGCTAATTAGAACTGCTGCATAGTTCTTAAATAAAGACTGGATAAGTAGTCTGGTACTCCAGTTTCTATCCTTCATCAACTTCTAACTCAGTTTGCAAATTTTGAGATTCTCCTTAAAGTTTTCTTGTGCTTCCTATCTCTAATTTTGTTGACATGGAAGAATAAGCTCTTTTGATTATATTTTTTCAGTAGTCATGATGATTAGTTTTGAAATGGGAGAGTTCCCTGATCAGCCTCACAGGACAGGTGATGGGCTGTGTTTCATCTATTTGGTCACTACCATTGCTCAAACCTCTGACAGGAGTGGGGACATGCAGACAGGCAGGTGCAGGAGCCAGCGCACTGGGCTCTGGCCCCACAGCAGTGTGCAGGGGTGGGAGCTTGTGACTCCCATGTTACAATACTCTTTTAGCTCTGCCATCCACAGACCACCTAAGTGGTCTCAGGTGTGTCTTTGTTAGCAGTGTGAAAACAGACTAACGGCCCCTCTGCCTTTCTGCAAGGGCAGAGGGCCAGTGTGACAGCTTTCTATATCCTGAGCTTTTGTCCAGCACCCCGGAAGAATCAGGTCACACACAGATTTGAAGGATAAATACAGAGGTTTTCTTTAGTGGTGGAGGTGGCTTTCAACAGGATGGATGGGGAGCTGGAAGGGGGATTGAGTGGGCAAGTGATCTTCTGCTGGATAGCCAAACTCCTCTCTGACTGCCCCCAGCCAAACGCCTCTCAGCGTTCAGACATTCCTTCTCTTCTCTCTTTCTCTGCCATGCCATTCCCCTGTTCAACTGCTTGTCTTCTCACCTCCTCATCTTCTCATCTGTTTATCTGCTTCTGGAGCCTTTTTATGGGTACAAGATTGCGGGATGTGGAGGGCTAAAGGCAACATTTTGGGCACAAAAACAGGAATGCCTCTCCCAATTTAGGGCCACAGGTCTCCAGGCTTGAGGGTGTGGTCTTTGCTGGGGAACCACCCTCTTCTATCCAGTATTTCCCTGTCTCCTGTCTGTATTAGTTTCATATGCACATTGATTGATTCATTCATTCAAAACAATTTTAACTAAGGGCCCAAGAAACTTCAGTCTTTCTTCTGAGCACTAACACAGGGCAGTGAGAATGAGAGTCAAGACTTCCATTCTCAGGAAGCTTAGAGGGAGTCAAGGAGAAAAACAATAAATGAGTGAAAAAACAAATGTATATGATAATTTCAAATTGTGATAAAATCTGGAAATAAATAAGGGTTATGAAAGAAAATGGGAGTTGTTCTATTTCATTGTTAGGAAAGTTCTTTCTAAGAAGTTCACAATTTAGATGAAACATGAATTGTATAAAGAAACCAGTGAAGTCCTGAATTGAAGACAAAGCCAAACGAACAAGTAAATTAGAGGTGAATTTAGAATGCTGAAGAAACAGATCTCTTCCTCATCAGGCCTGATCAGCAAGAATTCCCATTCATGATCCTCCATGCTCTGTCTACATTCAAGCAATGGCAACCTTGAAAGTTATCTGTGGAAGCTGATGGAGGCTTTACTTAAAATGTCTAGACTACTGATTTACCTTTTGAGGAGGGTTACAAAATAATAAGAAAATAATACTTACTGTATGTGAGCAAGAAATAATCATTTACTGTATTGTATCACTGCAATTCTGAGATGTATCTTTTACATTAGCCAGAATTGCCTATATTAATACAGTCAAAAATTTGGGTTTTTATTAAGTGTCATGAGAATATGTTAACAGACCTCAAGCAGGGTAAGTAATATGATTTGGTCTTTGTTGTTATGCTACCACTCTGCTGAGTGGCAACGGTTTGTAGAGGAACAAGGGCAAGAGATTAATTAGGAATAAGATAATCAAAAGCTGACAATAGCATGGACTAGGGTAGTTGCTACAGAGATAGAAGGAAATACACATGTTCTGTGTTTTTTTCAAGGTAAGTATAAAAGACCTGAAAGATAGACAGGATGTGGAGGTAACTTACAGAGAGTGATAAAGGATGATGTTTTTCTCTAAGTTTCATGTTTTGAGCAATGAGATGAATGTCGGTATTAATTTTTCAATGGGAAGACAGAAGAATACAGTAAAAGTGTATTTTTTGATGGGTTTTTGTGACATCCAGGGTCAATATTAGTGTATCTTTGTGTTGTGACCCATCCATAGACATTTCTGTTAATGCTGGGATTTGGAGGAAGGTGTTAAGGAGAAAATCATTGATAAAGAAACTTCTCAAGTTTAAGTGAAATAAGACCTATTACTTTTCTTACTTCAGTCAATATAATTGAACCTAAAAATACCTGCAAAAAATGTCCTTAATAAAGGCAATAGAAAATTAGCAAGTGTAATTATTAAGGAAATGACTGAAGTAGGCACTAATCAGGACTTAAAGTCAAGACTCGTTGCAAACTTTGCCTATGATCTTCACCAGTTTTCTCACCTTGATTAAGTCTCTTGCCACGTCTGATTAAGTCTCTTTAACAATAAATAGAGCAGACTTATTTCTCTGAATAAGCTTCTTATAATCATTAAAAATAAAAAGTCATGAGAAAACATCTCACAAATTACAAAACACTATAAAATATAAGTAAAAGTTTCTATTACTTTTAAAATAAATACTAGAATTCAAAGTAACTTCCAGTTTTTTAAATTAACATGTTGTGTTTTTTTGTTGCTAAAATGACATTTTTACCATGAATAATTGTGTAGCAAACAGAATACATGAATAATGGGTGGAAAGCATCAATGTAATTTCAGAAAAACAAACAAGCAAACAAATTAACTATAGCATTTCCCAGAAGAATTTCCATGGACATAGTGATTTTCAGAGTTAATATCTTTTGGAAGGGTGGGAAAAGCTTCAAGGTGTAATTAATTCTATACCTAAGTCTCAATTTTGCCAAAGAACAATTCATGAATTAACATGAAGAATGTACATAACTGATATTTTAAAAAAATAGGTAGAAATGCATACAATCTATTTTATAACTACTGGGGAAAAATACCTTTGATTTAATTTTCAAAAATGGCCTAATACTACAGACATAACAAAGCATTGTGAAGAGATCATACAGTGCATGCTTGGTGTGATCAATGCAAGTACTAATGTTGCTTCCTGTCTGATAAAGACAGAGGATACACATAGTAAGTAAATGAATGAATCAATGCAAGTACTAGTGTTGCTTCCTGTCTGATAAAGACAGAGGATACACAGAGTAAGTAAATGAATGTGGTAATTGTGACAATACAACGGCAGTTCAGAATCCAAAATACATTTCAAAATATCAGAAGTTTACAGTTCAATTTTGAGGCATATTTTATATATCTCAAAGTTGAATTGTGGATTTGTGGATTATATACCTAGCAGAGAGTGAAAGAAAACCAACAAAAACAAACATGCAAAACAATGGACCTGTCTTAACATCCAAAATAGCTCCCCAAACCCTTTTCTGGTGTTCACACCCTTGACTATGGACTGAACTTCATGGTGACTCACTGCTAGCAAATAAAGTGATGAATTCAAAAGTAATAAGATGTCACTTCTGAGACTAAGTTACAAAAATAATTGTGTCTTCTATCTTCCTAGCTATTTCTTCCCTCCCCTTGGAACCCTGCCTCTGGAAGAAGCCAGCAATTATTTATGAGTGATTCTATGGAGAAACCAGGCAACAGCCACACGAGTGAGCTCAAAGGGGATCTCACTGGAAATGGTTGCCATCAATACTGGAAATGGCTACCATCTCCACCTATGTACTGATAGCATCCTCAGGACAGATCTTGAATTCGAGCCACCCTGTTAAGCTACACCTGAGTTTTTGACCTATAGATGCTGAGATAAAGAATAATTGGTGTTTTAAGCCACTATGTGTTAGGGTAACAATTTATTACTTACGATAAATAACAAATAATGGCCTTTTTAGCTAAAACCATCTAATTTACTGTAAAATTTTGATTTTAAATTATCTTCACAAAATGCTTAAGAAAGCTATATATATGTGTGTGTGTGTTTATATATGTGTTTATATATTCATATATCTTTATGTATGTATAAACCAATGTTTATATCTTAAGCTTTTTGTGTTCCTCAAAATCTGAAAACAAAATTAACTGTTTTATGAAAGAGAAAAAAGGCATACTTATTATACAGAAGAAAAATTGGTAGGCAACTGTTGACACTATTATGTGAACAACAGTCATCTTTTTAAGACTTTTAAAATTATTTTGAAGAAGATATTTTCCCCTAAACCTTTCAGTTTCAAAAGGTTTTGAATATAAAACAACTGCTGAAATAAAGCATTGACATTTAAACATTAACAGAGCTTCAAAACTCTGTTAATGGGGGAAAAGTTGTGCATATAGGCTAATGTCAGGAGTGCAATATTCTTGCTAAATTCTAAAAGCAGCTTTCTGGTCTAAATTTAGGGCTACTGGCAGTGGATCCAACGTTAGATGGGGATTTGAGAAAACAGTTGTTTCAGCCACACATATAAGCCAGGAGAGTGTTGGCAAGAGTAACTTCCACACAAAACCATGACAGAGAAGGAAACAAAAAGATTCCTGACATTTAGACCAGTTGGAGATAATGTGTCACAAACAAGTAACTACAAATACATGTTTCTAAACAAGGCAGTGATAATTTCTCAACCAGTTGGCTGTTAAAACAAACTCTGCTGTTCCTTTCTATTTTCCTTCACATTCTTTGCGTATTGGTCCTTCCATCTGGCTTACTTTTTTGGACCCAGATCCAGGAGGGCATTTTCCCATAAAGCTTGATAGAGGATAAGCTGCAAAAGCAATCTCTGTACATGGTAATTCCAGTAGTCCAATGTGAAACACGGAAGAACAATTATTCAGCCCACATTTGTTTCCCTGGCAGCTCTCTGAGACCTCTTTTTATAAGGTCACTAATTCCATTCATGAGGGCTCCACCCTCATGATCTAACCAACAACCAAAAGCCCACTTTCAACATGTTGTCACGTTATTGATTAGATTTTAACATATGAATTTTGAAGAGACACGAACATTTGGATCACAGAAGGAAGCTTTATATGGCAGTTCAAATTCAAATTCTGGACTTGGACAACCCAAACACGGCCCCAGCATGACTTGGCAATCACTTTCTTTACAAATTGAGGTGTTCTGATTTTTCAGAACATTCTGATTATTCAGAAATAATGAATGTGCATTACTGACAGCATCAGAAAGTAGTAATTATAAATGTTAAACTGCATATATTTGGAACTTATATCTCTGTAAATAATATGTAACCATGGAACATGATAGCAGTTCCTAAAGTTTAACTAAACTAGCTTACGATTTATAAAAAAACATCACCCTATCGAATATTTTTTATTTAGAGATTGAGCTTTTGAGTAGCACCCCCTTACCTCAGCTTTATAAACATGTTCCTGAATATGTTTTGAAAAGTCTTTCTTTAGGTTTTGTCAATACCTACATTTATTATTCTAATTTATCTACTGGTTCCAGCTCCCAAAATGGACTGAGTTAGTAGTTTGAATTTAAAATTTTAACTTTATCATGATTAAATTATTTAAAATGCAACAATTTCAAGTTTTGGTATGTGCAAAATACAGTAATAGAGGTTCAGTGCAAATCCATACAGAGGAAATGAGGATGTTAGCCAGCTTTGTTAAATCTGTAAATGTGTTTAAGAGCTTTCTTTATGCTATTGTTCCCCCATGCTGTGGAAGTCCATAAGCATTTCATAAACCTTTATCTGGACAAAATAAAAAAGCAGGCCAGTAGTCAGGATCTTGATGTCATGCTCAATAAGGCAAAGTGTGAGGAAAAAGAAAGAAACTAAAAGCTGCAAGAGATTGTGCTGAGTGGGAAAATACGGCTTTTCTTGTTTTGTTACTCTTCATTTCAACAAGGCATACTGTGATATAATTTAAAGTGGAAAATCGATGTGGGTAAATAAAACTTTTTAACTTTTATGTTTGGATTTTATATTTGAGATTTTTCATTTATTTACTCAGTAAAAATAGTTGAATGTCAACTATACAGTCAATCCAATGCAAAGCCCCTGAAGGATAGTGAATTTCTTTTACTTTTAGGTTATAGACAAAAGGGTTGCTTGACTGCAGAGTGTTTTATTCCCCCTAAGAGTACAAGAATTAGAATATGTGTTTTGGAATGTGAACCATGGTGAAGCTAAGATGTGTCTTCAATAAGGAGAATATATGGACCTGGTTTTGTGAACAGAATGATGGGTTGGTTTCTGGGTCTTGAGAGTAAAGAGGAAAGAGAAAAAAACAGTGGTGATATTTCAGGAAACAAGCTACATTCTACTAAAGGCAGAAACTGACTTCCCAGTAATTGCAAGAGCACAGCTTGAGATTCAGAGAGCTTGAACCAAAGTATTAATCTGAGCACCTGGAAGACCATAGAGCCAATTGAGTTGATACCAAAACCTGCAAACAAGAGTACTGTATAGTCCTTCGGTTAGCATATTCAACACAAATTCTTATCCCTATGCCAACTCTTAACCATGGAGGTAGCTATTTAAAATATTTTCCGCCAGGATTTGCAGTTTTAATATCTAATGTACAATTAAATACTTATTAATTTTACTCTAAGTTTCAGTTGAGAGTTTACACAGGTAAGGAGCATTTGGATATTCGATGTATATTTTCTGAGATGTGATTATTGTTACTCTAGCTAAGGAGAGTGTTTCTCCACAACTTACTGGTGTACTAACAAAGCCATGTTTGGTGCTTCCATTCTTAGTGGTGATAATGACTTTGCAGGGTTTCTCCCTCTTTTTCGGTTTCTCCCTCTTTTTCAATTTCTCTGAAATCTGGCTCACTTAAAGTTTCATTATAATTATTAGATAAAAAGCAAGGTAGTCACTTTTCAGGAAATGAAAGATTTCTGGTATTCATAAAATTTAAGTGTCTTGGCAGATATTAAGGTAACATTTCCCTAATTATTATTAAATTGAATTTTTCTAAGCCAAAATGACCTTAAAATAAGGAAAACATTTATTTGCTCCAAGTAAACTTTCTATGCCTTATCACAACACTCTTCTCCCTTTAATTATCTCTTGACATGCCCAGTAAGGTCAAGTTTGTCAGAAAACTTGCACGGATCTTTTTTACATTTACTGATGAAGGCATTGCAAACATTATCCTAGCAGGAATAACAGAAACTCAGGATATTTTTATTTACAGGGCCCCCTGTCTTGAATTCCTCCTTCTACGCTGTGCTAAACTGCTAATTTCTCACTTCATTCCATGACTTTATCAAGCCTTAAACTGAGTAAATTGTGTTCATTGTTTTAGATTCACCTTGATGTGCACAGTTATTCGTGCTGGCTCTGGATCCAATAGACCAGCAACTGTGCTCATTTAATCTTGGCTTAACCATTTCTGGCATCTCGCTTCTGTCACTGGCCAGTATCTCTTACTGGAAAGTCTCCCAGCTAGACATGATCTGCCGACCAGTCTAAAGCTATCATCTGATATGTTTCCCAAGTCCTGAAATTTTTGCCTTCTGACTCTGTTGGGCTTTCTTTCAATACTATGCTATGCTTTACTTGTAACAGCCTTTGCTATGAGCAAATCAAATTATCCTGTTTCTATTTCTCTGTGGTCCTGATGTTACCTAAGAGGTAAAATTTGTAAAGTGCTAATTACTTCATACAGGATCAGAGAGTTAGAGAGTCCTATGGGAATTTAGAATTCCCCAAGTTCCGTTGTTTCCAGAAAACTGGAGCTATTACTTGTTCCCAGTCACATAATTTATTATGACTAAAGGTATGTCTCAAAAACAGGATGCAAGGTTTCAGTCTATTTTTTTCTATAATACTACACTGAAGTAATATAATCACATTAATAGTCATGCCTGTAATCCCAGCACTTTAGGAGACCAAGGTGGGCGATCACAAGGTCAAGAGATTGAGACCATTCTGGCCAACATGGTGAATCCCCGTCTCTACTAAAAATACAAAAATTAGCTGGGTGTGGTGGCACGCACCTATAGTCCCAGATACTCGGGAGGCTGAGGCAGGAGAATAACTTTAACCCAGGAGGCAGAGGTTGCAGTGAGCCTAGATCGCACCACTGCACTCCAACCTGGCAACAGAGCAAGACTCCATCTCAAAAAAAAAAAAAAAAAAAAAAAAAAAGAAAGAAAGAAAAGAAAAGAAAAGACTATCCAGTATATTTTAGTCTACATACGGAAATTGAGCCACTATTAGAAGGGGTTTCCTGGAGGAGGTTCAGGAAAAGCCAAGAATCTCTTGACAACTTATTTGGTGTCATTTATTCAACTGTCAGTAAGCTTGGAAAAATAAAACAAGTATTGCAAAAGAAAAAAAAAGATAATATTGAGAAATGATAAGAAATGCCAAAAACAAGTTGCTAAATTAATGTACAAATAAATGTCAAGTATGACATTTGTTTTACTTCTTTCTTCAATAAGTACTACTGTAAGTTGCTGCAATGTCTTCATCCTTCTCAGTAGAGCTGCCAAAAGTCTGATAGGTCTCCACTCACTTTTACTTATTTCAAGACAGCAGTCATTTGTTTGCTAATTCCTTAATCCCATTGTGATTGAGTATCTCTGAAATGTACAGGCAATCTTTATTTTGTTTAGTTGCCTCAGAATTAAATTGCCCCAGGTATGAAAATCCATGACACAAATAATCAAAAGTAAGAGAGCAGAGTGTCCTCAGATGTCACCAATGCAAAAATAGGCAAGTAAAATCTGTGATGGGATTTTAACATTCACAAAGCACTAGAAAACTATATATCAGAATTTGTGTAACTATCTCAATGACCTGTCACTAGCTTTTTTTCTGGAGATTTCATTATTCATTCATCCAATTATGGCAAAGGAAGATATTCTACTCTCTCTTAATTAAAACTGAAAATGATACATTATATGCAAATATCATTCTACACACAAATATACACATAGACACTCATATATACTCATGCTCACACATACAGTCATCACAAATATTGTGCTTACAGATGGTGAGAGTACGATTATAAACTAATTGCTTTAGAAAGGAAAAGAAGAATATCAAAGTGTGTGCTGGAGGTTGTGTGATCCAAGAGAGAAGAGAAATGGAAAGGAAGCTGGGGTGGTAGGAACGTATTTAATGAGTTCTGATGGGGTGGTGGGGATGGGTGATATTGTGCTTGTCACTATATATGAGTTATTTCATTCAATTATCAAACGTGTTTATTAAGTAGATGTTATTATTTTTGCTTTAAAAGCTAAATATCAAAGATGTTAAGCAACACAGAGCCAAGGTACCACAAATACAAATTACCTGATTCCCAAAAATATTTTTTGTCACCATGTTGGTTCTAAAGCCTACTAGAGTTATATGCTACCTAACTGCCTGAACTTTAACTTTACATTTTCTTTATTTCTTTTCTTTTCCTTTTTTTTTTTTCTTTCTGAGACAGAATCTCGCTCTGTCACCCAGGCTGAAGTGCAGTGGCATGATCTCGGCTCACTACAACCTCTGCCTCCCAGGTTCAAGCTATTCTCCTGCCTCAGCCTCCCAAGTAGCTGGGACTACAGGCACCCGCCACCACGCCCAGCTAATTTTTCTATTTTTAGTAGAGACCGGGTTTCACCATGTTGGCCAGGCTGTTTTCGAACTCCTGACCTTGTGATCCGCTCGCCTCGGCCTCCCAAAGTGCTGGATTACTGGCATGAGCCACTGCGCCTGGCCTAATTTTAAATTTTCAAATTTGCAGTTTGTTAAAAGATCTATTGATAGTATCTCACCCCTACATTAGCTCAATTTCGTCTTCTTATGTGTGGCAACTTTCTCTGACCTTCCCTTAAAAACCTTCCCTAGAAGTTTTGACTGTAACCCTCTTCTATTTGCTTTTATTCACTCTCCTTCAAAGCGTTCATATCCATGTAGCTAGTTGTCTCTTAAATCATGAATTCAAATTCTTTCAAAATTATTACTCTGAGTTACTGTCTAACATGTTTCTTGCAAATAACTCAAATTTTATTTGTCCAGGTTTTGCTCACAAACACTCCAATGAAGCCTAATTATATCTTTAGACAGTTGATCTTAAAAATGCATTTAAAATATTATTTAGATTTTTCCCTTTATTTTCATTTCTGCAAGCATCATCAAGGTCAAGCCGTTATCATAGCTTGAGTTGATTGAAATAAATCTCTTTTTTCTAGTCATTCTTTAGCTAATTTCTTCTACTCAACATGATTCAGTTGGTCTGTCAAAATATATCACACATAAGTACAATATTTCTTTTCCAAACTTTCTGGGATTCCTTCTTGCTTAATGTTAATTCCAAATCTCCTATCCTGGCATTAAAGGCCTTCTAGTCTTATTCACAGTATTTCTTCACCCAGAATACTGTGCCTCTTTCATTATAAATCAATGTTTTCCATTTGTACATGTCCAACTGAAACCCCATCTCCTCCCTGTCTCGCCCAGCCAAAACCAATTTGCTCCTCTGCTCTCACACAGAACTTTGTTTATACCTGTCTTATGTAGTCATTAAATGCTTTCTTAGCGAATGGATGTTGGATTCTCTCTCAGTTTGTTTGGGTTGTCATAACAAAATATCATAAACCAAGTGACTTATAAAGAATAGAAATTTATTTTTCACAGTTCTGAAAGATAGGAGGCTCAAGATCAAGGAACTGGCAGATTTGGTGTCTGGGGAAGACCTGCTTCCTGCTTCAAAAATGGCAGTCTGCTCTGTGTCCTCACATGGTAGAGAGAGTAACCAAGTTCTGTGGGGATTTTTATAAAGACATTAACCCATACATGACGCTTCTGTCTCATGACCTCAGTGAACCCTGATTATCTCCCAAAGACCCCACGCCTTAATACCATCACATTAGGTGGCAGGGTTTCAACATATGAACTTCGGAAGAACTCAGCATTTGTAATGCAAGAGCTTCTACTCTGCAACATACTTAAGGGAAGCCTCTCTCAGATGGATTTTCCCTACATCTTGTCATTAACATTAATTGCCCTGTTTAGGTTGGGTTCACCAGACAGCCTGAGAAAAGTGATGTACTGAGGGAGTACTTTCAGGTAAAGGATGTGTGATCAAGGGGATACAATACTAAGCACACATGTTGTTTTAACTGAAGATTAGATTCTATTTGATCCCACGAAGAGCTCTGGAGTACAAATCACACTATCAAGTTCCTGACCAGGGGTCCCCTCCTACTCTTGGAGGCAGGGGTATAACCTCTTCCAGAATGAGGCAGTTCCCTTTGGGCTGTAGGTAGGCTCCAAAGAAGATGGCAGCTATGTGTTATTAGCGTAGCTAAAGGGTGTATGCATAAACCTGGCAAGGTGATCTGGCCAGGACACCAATAATATCTATAACAATGTATCTTTTGCACATTCAGATCAACTTCCTTTTATTAATTTCAACTTATTTATTTCATTAAGTTTACTTCATAAAGACACTATTTTTTCTGGATTTTAGTTAATTACAGTTTCTAGGAAAACTCGCAAAAGTAGAGTTCATGGGTCAAAGAAAGTTCCCTGCTGCCACATTTGATCTTGAGGTTAAAAATATCATCTCCCTCCTCCATGTCTCATTCTAGGTTCCCCTTCTCTTGGCTAATGTTTCTGGTCTTCTGGTGTTCTGGCATGAGGGCTTCTACCATAGCTTTAAGTTTAACGGAAATCTTACTATGCCCCCTGATGGAAGGGTTGCTTTATGACAACCAAGACCTGGAGCTGTACAGAGCTTAAAATTCCTGGGACTGGATGCTCAGACAGGTGAAATGGATCATTGAGATCACTGAGAGTGACGCTGAATCAAACACTTCCACTCCTACCCCTTGGTTTCCAGAGCTGTGTATTCTTCCTCTTGGGGAAAGATCATGACACAACGATTGCTTCGAAGGTGTTAGCTTCAAGTGAGCAGCACGTATGTTCCTTTAAGATGTCATTTCACTTTTATGGCAGGCTAGCAGCTTTTAGGTAAATACAGGAAAGGTAAGTCTATGCTTCCAGTAGCTCAGGCCAAATACAAACCATAATCTTTGACTCCTGAATTTCTTTCACATACTCTACCACATTCTATTGGTTATGCATTCAAAATATATGTAGAGTCTGATTTTCTCAGTGACTCCATTGTTAACACTATATTTTAAACCATAGTAATCTCCTACTTCTAGGCCATTAAACTGGATCTTGTTTATTTTGTCTTTGCCCCACCACAAAACTACACTCCCGTGAATAGGTTTTATTAAGAATGACTCTTTTTAAAACATGCCTGTCTATATCACTCTTCCGCTCACACCCTGCCAATGACTTTTCCATCTTTCTCAGAAAAAAATCTAAATATTTTCATAAAAGTTTGCAAGGCATACCTGCAATCAAACATCTTATATTTAAATCCACCTCTTACTATTTGTGTGAAACAGACAGGCTAATGGAATTATTTGTGTCTCAGTACAGTATTGAGAGAATTATGTGAGTTGGTGTATAGCAATATACTTATAATAGTTCCTGGCACTGAAACAACACTACATAAATGTTAGCTAATATTTTCATTGTTTCAGTTCTTATTATTGCAGGTGTATTTTGTGCTTGTATTTTTATGAATTACTTAAACATAAATATTTTTCATGTCACATGATAATTCTCAGATACATGATATCTAATGGCTATGTAATATTCTATCCTATATTATGCCATTTTTATTTCTTTCATCTATTCATTCATTTATTCATTGAATCATGCTTTCTAATCGAGGTATTACAGAAACTGCTTGAACTCACTTTGAGGAAAGTAAGTCTATATGAGATAGAAAGCAATAACGCAAGCCAACACATGCATAAAATGTATGATTGAATATGTTCATTATTTTATTTGGCAATTCCACCAAAGGATATACTTTTTCTTCCTCACATGTTTAAATATTTAATGCTATAGCAAAAACATTATCTCAAGAAACTTTCTGTGCATATAGGGAAGAACACAGAGGGATCCTTATCCATCCCTTTCTTCTATGGAAAATGCTGGGCATAAAGAGAGAATAGAGTCCAAGTAGAGGTTAAATTTGAGTTCTGTCTATGTAACCTTTACTTGTGTCAAGGGTGCAATGTGTAGAAATAATGCTGCCATTTGTAGAGTCCAGTCACTTCTCAACTACCAGTAGTCATGACTAAACAGTAAATTGCATAAACCTCAAAAGACATCAGAGACTAATATATATGAAGGATATCAGTACCGTATGTTCCACTGGTCACTTGGTAACATGGAAACAGAAAGAGTAAATATTTCACAGATGGAACATTCAGCAAATCCTATGAAAAAAATTCATATTTATTTTTAATCCTCAAATATACGGTCATTTTAAACAATTTTATTTCTTATTTTAATGGCTACCTAATTTCCTTTAATATCAGAGAAAAATTAAATTAAATTCTATTTTCATCGCCACCCTCTCACCCCTGCTGTGGTTTACCTCTTTGGCATTTTATTATTGAAAAATGCCTACCCACCATATGAAATTATTTATCCAGGACTATAGCCGAAGAACAATAATTTTAAAAGCTACAAAACATTATAATACTAAAAACACACGAAATAGATTGTCCTCCTTTTTAATCTCATAGTGTTATCAAAAAAGTATTAATTTTCACTGAGACTCAGGCAAAAAATATTTTTTACTTTTGCAAGAGCATATTGTATTTATTGTCCATATAATACTGTCTTAAACACGTTAGATTTGTTTACTATTTATTCCCGTAAAAGCAGGGAATTGGAAACCAAAGGAAATCAGACCTTTAAATCCTCTCACCTAATGTGAGCCATTTTTTTTTCTGAGCTGAGGGAAAGAACCATCATATAATAAATCGAATCAGCTGAAAGATCTCTCTTCAGCAAGTAAGCTGTATATAGTTGGAGTGTGAAAGACAAGTGGCCACAGAACAGTCCCTACGCCTGGAAACTTAATTAACTTATATTTTACCATCATAAGAAACAAGGTTAGGGTCTCTACCAAGCTCTGCTATACACACACAACCCCTTTTACCAAAACCTCTGAGACTTGATCTCTGGCAAACCTGGTTTCAGAGTAACACCTCCCGTCGTATCTTTACCAACATGCATATAAAACATTTTCTCATTATATTTTACTCTCATAATGCAATAAAATCTTTTATTAACCTTTACTTAGGATATAAGATTATTTGAGCACCCACCGACAACAAACTGAGTGTAGCATCTCTATTTTATTACCACCTAACCACTCGTCATTGTGGAGAAGACCAAGGTTTTCAAAACCCCTCCCAACTCACCATCATGGTTTGTGGAAAGTAAATCTCTTTCCACTCAGGTGTTGTGATATGAAAAGGAATTAAAGAGAGAGAAATACAGCGCTGGGATAAACAGCAAAAATGAGAACAATTTTAATCTGTTGTGTGTGAAATTAAATATCATGTATCATTTCCCCATTAGACAAACTATGTCCAGAGTAACTAAATATAGTTTTCCTGATTGTTTCTGCTTGGAATCTTACCCATTCAGCGCTTTTTTCTTTTACATTTGAGGAATTAATTTCAAACTTTAAGTTTCAGCTTACCAACATGGCACATGTATACATATGTAACAAACCTGCACGTTGCGCATATGTCCCTAAAACTTCAAGTATAATAAAAAAAAGTTTCAGCTGATATATTGTGTAATAAGTTATTTTAATAGACTTTAAAAAGCTCAATTTTCATTCAGGGGAAAAATTGCATAAGAGTACTGAAGATATCTTGAATGCCAAGAAGCTCTTGGAAAACTAACTTTTTTTAAGTAAAATGCAGAAAAACAGAGAAAACTCAAAGCCAATAAATTGGGCACGGATTTTAAAATTAGAAGCCACCACACTTGCAGAAGCAGTATAAAGTTTTTAAAATCTGGGATGTATTTAATAGACTCAATTATTTTCCATTTAAAATTTTAATATTTTAATAAAGCTAAATTCATAGGTAGAGAAATATTATTGGCATTGGTATATGGAAAAAATTATTGTATGTACTTGTATGTTGCAGCCAAGTACATTGGTATATATCACAACTTTAAAGGAGTGGAGGGAGCTCAGAAAATACCCCTGTTTTGTCATCCAAATTAAAAGTGCCAATAATAAGCACAGAAACTCACATCCCCTTACTAATTTGTTGGCAGTTTTCCCAGAAACATATTTTATGTAGATAAGTCTTCACTTTGCTCATACATTTCATTATATAAATTATTTTTACAAATTAATTTTTCATTAGGCAGAAGAATATGGTTCACTAAGTATGCTGAAATTTACTACATTATTTGCATCTGAGGAATATATGACATGCCACTGACTTTTACTAAGACGGTCTAAGCATTAGAGTGTGTTATGGTCCCCCGTGTGAATACATTTCTGAAATGTTTCCAACACTTATAGCCTGGCATTCAGCCCCCATGATGATCTAGCTCAAAGACATTTGTAGTCTTATCCTGTGCTATTCCTCTTTACATAGTAGATCCTGCAAACCAGTGGAACCATTGCTATTCACTAACATGCCTTTTGCACTTTCTATTCTTCTTTTATTTGCATCTGTCATTTTCAATAATTTTGACCTCATGACCAAAAATTATCTTTAAATTATTGAGGAGGATCCCCCCAAAAAATTTATGTAGGCTGAATCTGTTAATACCAGGCTAAAAGTTAAATGTTTTACAAAATAGTATTTTAATTAATACTTCAAAACATAATCATGATAGATCTATTAAAGTTTTACATAATATATATATATGTGTAGTTTCTAAAACAAAATAAAATAGTGAGCAGAAGAGAATTATTTTACATTTTAGCTACTTTTATTTTTTTATTTTTTATTTTTTATTTTTTTTTTTCAGACGGAGTCTCACACAGTTGCCAGGCTGGAATGAAATGGCATGATCTCGGCTCACTGCAACCTCCGCCTCCCAGGTTGCTCCCAAAGTGCTGGGATTACAGGTGTGAGACACCACACCCAGCCTTTTTTTTTTTTTTTTTTTTGCAGGTTTCTTTACAATCTGGTTTAATAGTTTGGTTTAACAGAAGACAGTTAAATACTAATAACTGCTTTTGCATTCAGTCTGTTGTAATATATTGTTTTGGTAGAAGTGTATGCTGAACATTGAGCATCACACAGAGAAGTATTAGAAAAGGCAAAAGTATTTTAAATGTCTTTTCAGGTAATTGTGCATATTTTTCTTCAACATTACACCAAACTCTACAATATACAATGTGAATTTTTTTCCCTCTGGCACATTAAAATCCTCTGGTTTGTGTTGTACTTTGAATAGGTTTATATCCATTCATGATTTTGTGCCATAAGGAATTAATTATTTGGAAAATATTGCTTTATTAAACTATGCTGATCTGACAAATGTTGGAATATTTCATTATAAACATCTTTTAAAATCATCTTATTAATGACCTCACCAATTTTGTCAAAATTATCTTTAAGTATTTGGAAGCTGTAAACCTCCTGGTAGCAGATACAAGTTTCATAAAATTCTATTTTTTTAAATATGAGTTTTATTATTGTCAACATATTTGGCTAGTTTTCTTTGAAGTGACAGTAAGTATTCAATTTTTAAAAGTCTCCGAATTGATCGTGCCACTGCACCCCAGCCTGGACAACAGAGCGAGACTCTGTCTCAAAAAATAAAAAAAAAATTATTCGAATTTAGTTTTTGACTCCTTTTCTTCTGTATCCATTCGCACTCTTGAAAAGACATTACTCTTACAGTTTTAAAAATCATCTATATGCTTATAACTTTATTTATTTATTTATTTATTGACACGGAGTTTTGCTCTTATTGCCCAGGCTGGAGTACAGTAGCAAGATCTCGGCTCACTGCAAGCTCCTCCTCCCAGGTTCACGCCATTCTCCTGCCTCAGCCTCCCGAGTAGCTGGGACTACAGGCACCTGCCACCACACCCAGCTAATTTTTGTATTTTTTGAAGAGATGGCATTTCACCATGTTGGCCAGGCTGGTCTCAAACTCCTGACCTCAGCTGATCTGCCCACCTCAGCCTCCCAAAATGCTAGGATTACAGGCGAGAGACACCACACCCGGCCTGCTTATAACTTTAAAATGCATATTTTTAGCTCATCTTATTCATTTTCAAGGAAATGCATGATATTTTCTTGGGCCAAAATTTATGTACCGATGATTATTTTAAACAAAAATTGTTTCTTGAAAAAAAAATGTCTAGTTCAGCTCACACTCAAACCAACATACAAGTGCTTTGATTCGAAGAACAACAAAAAAATGTATTTTGATAGGTAGCAGGACTTTCTGTTTTGTCACAAAATATTAAAAAGACATACACTCAAGTGTAGAGATTTAATGGTATGGATAATTTTATTTTTTACTGTTTTATTCAGATGATCTTAAGCTCTTGTCTTGTTTTAACTTTGGTGGTGAAGAATAAAACATCAATGAGTACATCTTGATACCACTGTCTATTTGACTGTAGCATGAGCTGCTTTATTCACCATTGTTTTTGCATGATCATGTCAAATGCCAACACATTAAAAAGGGCACAAAACCATTTAGTATTATTGTGAATTAATTCTTACTTTGCAAACTCCCTGAAAGAATCTTGTCGACCACTGGTGTCCATGGTACATACTTTAAGAACCACCGACTTAACTATTTTCTGTCCCTAGAATACACATCATGACAGTTTTTTGAGGGGAACTGTCATGGAAAATAAATCTGTGAACTTGAGGGCATATCACATCGGGTTAGTTAATTAAAGCTTAGCCACTTGAGGGACAGAGGAACTGCCATTATTGGTTTAAGTAAACTCATATTGCAAGTGATCATTTAATAAAACAATATTAGTGAGTGTATTCAGTTTTGGAAAAGAAATAGATGCGTAACGCATGAAGTAGCCACTTTCAAGAGTGCAATCTAAATTCCCCTCAACAATACTTGCTCTTTCATTATTTTTAAGACAAATTGCAACATTCAGTTTACTGAAACTTCATCATTTTGTTCATAATTTAATTCAGGAAACATTTATAAGCAGTAAGTAGTTTCACCAGACACTTTGCTAGGACCTCAGGACACAGAGTTTATGCACTGTTCATTTTTATCAACGTTATAAAGCTGGTCTTAGGTTGCTCTATGTGATGACACTCCCATTGCAGTGAATCTGTCATCTTCTGCCAAAATCAGTTTTTGCTGAAAGACTCACTGTATAGTATAGTAGCCAAGTAGAAGATTTATACATATATTTCATTTATCAAAAAGTAGTGAATATATTCAATATATGTAGACACAGTCTAGGAGAAAAAAAGTCTGTAGTGTATATGTCTTCCTTTTTTATTTTATTTCCAAGTAAGTAGTATATTCATAAAGATGCCAATTTGACATTCCAAATTTGACATTTACTACAGACTTCACATAGCTTTTCTCTTTTCTGCATGATTCCAGTATATATCAGATCTATCAGAATGAACATTTCTAAACTCAGAGCACAGTATCATCAGTATTTTCCCAGTTCTCAGGTGCACAGCTGGATAAATCACTCATTTTTCTGTTTCAAAAATCACTTCTTTTAACCTGGTTGTTTCAATGTATCAACATCAGTCATCCTTAATCCCCCAAAGATAACATTAGGAAGAATGAAATAAAAAGGAGACTGTAATCCCTCTCTTTCATATCTCTATTTTGAGAATAGGGAAATCACTCGATACCACAAGTTCTATTTGGAATGTCACAAAGTAGATGTAGCACAAAAATATATACTTCTGATCTGTAAACAGTACCAGCTAAATCCATATTCCCATTAATCTCCTGCCACAGCACTGCATGTTCTCTTCATCATGCAGCCAGGTTATTCTAAGTCTCTTAGCATAGCTTCCAAGAATGTACATCTGTCATTTGGAGCTGAGCAACATGTAGATTCACCATCATTCTGGGCAATTGGATCTTGGTAACATTACTGCATTTCTTGAGTTGGATGCCAATAAATTATCTTTAAATGACTTTCAATTATCTGATTAGGTTTAGTTCCCTTAAAGGTATGCCTTTCTGCTATGAGTGAGTACTGCCCTTAAGCTTTAAGTGACCAGCCTGAGTACATGCATTTGGTACGGATAATGCACTTGATCTTTAGAGTTGGCTTTGTGGCTTTTGGCAATATTTCACTATTATGCCTAAGTGTAAGCAGAATAACATTAGATAGATTTATTCATTTTTGAAATTGCTATATTCTTTGGTAGGTAAAGAAATAATCCTCTTCCATATTCATTCATTCATTCATATACATAACCTGATTGTGTTCCAAGTAAGAAAATTTCACTTAATGCTATCATTTCAGTCTAATTATATCAGTCTGAATTCTGTATATACAGATGTCTACTGTATCAGTTCATTTCACTGGCCAAGTATCTTTGAAAGATAAATGTTTCATTATCACATCCAAATTAGGAAAATTATTCCTTTACATACTTGAATTCATACATGCAGTATAAAATATTTATCAATCATTGTTCTATATCAGAAACTGTGCTTCTTATCTACTAGGTATTCAAAGATGAATCAAATGACTTTCCAGTCATCCAGCAAGTTGCAGTTTATTGGACAAGATAGATATATAAACCAATACACCTAAGGAATATGCTATAAAATAGAAGAATGAATTAAGAGTACTGTGAAATACTAAAGGAAAGTACTCCTTCTACTTAGAAGACATGAAGTCTTTCCCAGGGGAGGTGCCACAAGCTCCTAATCTCATTATTTATTTATTCATTCATTTGTATTGAATAAATAGCTTCAGTTTCCTCTTTAATTATATTTCATATATAATAGTACAATTATATTTTATATATAATTGTACAATTATATATTATATATAATTGTACAATTATATATATAATTTTACAATTATATTTTATATATAATTTTATAATTATGTTTTATATATAATTTTATGTCTTCTTTAATTATATTTATGGGGATGCCCCATATTCAAAGCTGAAGGTTGAGGTTTATTTATCCTCAGGTGAGAGGCCAAAAGTCAGACTTAAAAATTATCTGTCATTCTTCAGTTTTGAATTTCAAAGAATACAACTGACCATGTTAGCAAGATTGCAGTAATAAAAATCAAGACTAGTGGAAGAAGGGGTGTTACTTAAGGTGATAATGCAAACTCAAGATCTAAGTAATGACGTCACTACATATCCAGACTAGAAAGAGAAAGAAGAACAATGATAGAAAGAAGGTGAAACAGCATGAGACCCCTCCACTCAGCACACCTGGAGTCGAGTTTCAAGAGGGGAGTCATGGCCCGGCGCGTGGCTCACGCCTGTAATCCCAGCACTTTGGGAGGCCGAGGCGGGCGGAGCAGGAAGTCAGGAGATTAAGGCCGTCCTGGCTAACACGGTGAAATCCCTTCTCTACTAAAAATACAAAAAATTAGCCGGGCGTGGTGGCGGGCGCCTGTAGTGCCAGCTACTCCAGAGGCTGAGGCAGGAGAATGGTGTGAACCCAGGAGGCAGAGCTTGCAGTGAGCTGAGATCGCACCACTGCACCCCAGCCTGGGCGAAAGAGCAAGACTCCGTCTCAAAAAGAAAGAAAAAAAAAAGAGGGGGGTCATTTGAAACATTCAGTTAGGTATGTGTGAAGGGTTGGGTACAAGATATTAGAGATGGAATAGCCGGAGTCATTCCTCATGGAGATTAAAAGAAAATGCTGCCAGACGCTTACATGCCAATAAGGCACAATATAATGGTAGAGCAGAAGTTGTTGGAGGCAGATAGATAGATGAACCTCAGAAGTACCCTGGATTCCTTAGGATTTTCAGAAAACCTAACGGAATCTGAATATCTAACTGAAGGGATGCAGGTTTCCAGGAAGTCTGGTAGATTCTCAAAGACTGGGGTCGTGACAAAGAGAACATCATCAGCAGGGTGTTTGCAACCAAGAATAAATAGCTGAGACCACAGGCTCCTGCCATGGGTGCAAGCATATCAGCTCCTAAGGCTATTTAGGACAAACCCTGGGTCAGCCCACATAGGAAAAGCATCAGATTAACCACCCCCCTGAGACCAATGAGAATGAGAGGTCCCTTTATGGACTAGAAGACCACTTTTTCCCAAATGCCAATCAGGACTCAAATTCTTTACACGCATAGCCACCGTTATGGGGAGGAGATGATAAAATGTGATGTGCATGGCATAAAGACAATTAGTTATTTGAAGATGGTATTAAAGCCAGCCCTGGTAGGGCACTAAGCAGACTGAGGAATTATACTTAAAAATGAATGAGGAATTCTTAAAATGCAGGCTTAAATCTGGCTATTAACCACTGGAATGACAACTCTTAAGAAAGATCAAATTAGTCATAAAGAATAAAGAAGCTGCACTTTATTTTATTGATCTGAAGGTAGAAATGAATCTGTGATATCACTTTGCTTTTATTGAACACACAGTTTGAGCAGCTGGAGATACAATCAATGGGCAAGATATTTCTTGTGGATCGCAGATTGAAGTGGGAAATGTAGACAAAACAAATACAATAAGGAAATAAGCCTGAGACTTCAGGGTATCTTATGTGAGCATATATGAGGCATCTAATCAAATTTTATTATTTTATTTTTTGAGACGGCCTCTCACTCTGGCCCCCAGGCTGGAGTGCAGTGGCACAATCTTGGCTCACTGCAGCCTACTCCTCCTGGGTTCAAGTGATTCTCCTGCCTCAGCCTCCTGAGTAGCTGGGGTGATAGGTGCCCATCATCACGCCCAGCTAATTTTTGCACTTTTAGTAGAGACAGGGTTTCACCATGTTTGCCAGGCTGGTACCGAACTCCTGACCTCATGATCCGCCTTCCTTGGCCTCCCAAACTGCTAGGAATAGAGGCATGAGCCACTGCGCCCAGCCCTAATCAAATATTATGAGTAGGAGGTGGCCAGGAGATACTTTTAGAAAGTTATTTCTGAGAGGAGACATGCAGGAGACATGAGAGTAGACGTGGAGACCTGGCGCCATCAGACTGGTCTCAGAACTGTGAGTACGTAGACTGCTCTGTCTCGTGTGTAGTCACTTCATTAACCCCATCTAGAAACTCACTAGAATGCATCAGTTCTTGAGCCAGCTCTCAAGATTATCCAGTTTTCCTCATTTATCTAAACAGTGTCAACATGAAAGCAAATCAGACATATTGATTGAACTGTCTAATTTATTATTCTATCACAGAGAAAGATGTCAACCAGCTGGAGGTCTTGCCTGTGAGGACACAGCGTTCTCTCCTTGGACCTGCCCAGTTCAACATGTTCATCAATAATCACAATGAAGATACAAAGGGCGTGATACTCGACTCATGACAAGCACAAGGTGGAGGGATAGTGAATACAATAAAAGACAGACACAAGATCCAAGGACTTGTAACAACCTGGAGCCATTTCACAGCCAGAAATAATTCCTCAACTTTGATTCTAAAACACACAACTATACAAGTCAAAATATCACAAGATAAATCTTAGCAGGATCATATGAAGGATAAGAATAATAACAAAAATATGTTAAGGATGTATTCAATAGTATATGCAATGAAAGCCGACAGTGTGACTCCTGTCAGATTCATTTCATGTAAACTTGTGACTATAAGTGTGATATCAGCAAGGAAGAAACCAAGCCCTTTTATCCATTCTGTTTCTTATGTTACATTTGGATGTTATGCACTTCTGGGCTCTAAAGTTACAGAAATTGTAATATCTATTCTGTTAATAAATGTTTCATAGGTGCTTTCTATGTATAAGTAATTGTGTCATTAATTTGGGATAAACAGTTTCTTGGTCTTCAGGAGACGGAGTTAATAGTCTTTATCAGTATGTATCCAGGGGAAGTTAACTATACTGGACAGGTAGAGGAAGAAGAGTTCAGTACAGTTCAAATGCCTGTGAAATACCCGAGTTAAGATGGGAGTTAGTGGCAATTTGGAAATAAGTTTGCAGGTGAAGTTAAATAACCAAAGATCACTATAGTGCTGAAGGGCTTAAACACTGAACTAGTATAATATTATTTTAAAAAATTATTCTGTTTATAGCTGTAATATTTTTCTTTCATTTATGTACAAAGTTATTTTAATAGAACCATGTTATTTGACAATGGAAAATCGATTCATAATATCAGTAAACATACTTTTAAGATTTGCTCTCAGTTTCCCATCAGTTAGTGGGTTATGATTTTAATGCTGTGCAGTGGGGGAACAAAGCAAATCTATTAACGAAGACAATTTGTGAATTACAAGAAGTATAAAAACCTGACAAATTTCTCCGTTTCAGTCTACTTCCATCAATCACCATTAAGTCAGGAAAATATACTCAAAGACTTTTACATCCTGGGTGAAATTTCCCCAGTACCACTTAGTAAAGCAAAACTTCACAATTTAAAAGATGCTATATTGTTTTCCTCTAATATAGGAGCTTCTTTTGAACATTTGTGATATTATTATTGTAACATTATTTTAACAAATACGCATTCAGCATTGTTAAATGCTAGTAACTTTGTGAGTTACTGTGGATACAAAAAAAAATCAATCTGCCCTTGAAGAGATCACATCTTGGTGTCAAAAAAACCCTTATGATCTCAAATGATTGCAATATAACATAATAAACTTTATCGATTTATTTACATTCCTAACACTGTATCTCAAATGTGGTAAGCAATAAATAATTGATTGTTTAATTGGACTGAATATAAAGTCCCTTTGATTGGAATTCAAAGTGTGTGCTATGGATCCTGGATTGAAAACCTGCTGTAGACATGCTCTTGGTGTCTTTCCAGAGGCTTTCTCTTCTCATATTTATCTGTGAACCTCTCCCTTCTTTGTGACGCCTCCCCAAATCTTTTATGCAGAATGAGTAATTGATCATTTCTTGTATAGTTATGCGCTTTAGAATCGATTGCTACTATCAACTAAACATGTTCTAGGCACTTCACATGTATGACACATTTAATCTCTACAGGAATGGATTGAAAATGGAGACTTTCTTCAGCTGATGGACCATGGAGTCTATTGATGGAAGGAAGGCATTTAAAAAGATAAGTCAAATAAAAAATCTTTGAAGCAGAAGAAATATAGCATAGTGATCCCTGATTAACCTCCCTCAGATCTTTCCATGCCCTTCTTCAGGAGTCATGTGGCCAGAGAAACACAAGCTCAGAGGGACCTTAAAATTCGGGAGGGTGTTGTCTATTCCCCATAGTCCTTTACTAAACCTGCAGGGAATTTCATCAACTATGTATTTATTATTTCAGCAAATATCTGTAAGTTTCTCTGATGTGCTAATACTTACCAAGGTATGGATTCAACAAGGAAGAGTTAAATGGCGTTTGCCTTTAAATATTTCACAGACTGCTATTCAGGCAACTAAATAATTATTCTTTAAATTCCATACCACAGGGATGTTCAGGAGGATAGGAGATAAAACATTTTAGAAGGAAACCTAACTCATTCTGAAAGACAATTGAAGACTATTTCCTAGAGGATCTGACAAGATCTGAATATTGAAACATAGATGGTATCTACAAAGAACTAGCGAAGGAAGTCACTAAACAAACAAACACAAAAACAGAATTTGCAGTCACAGATGGATATGAGGTGGCTGAATACTCAGTCTCAGAGTAATGTCTCTGGATTAACACAATTCACCTCAAATCAAATCATGACTGAATGTAGACAATAAAATATGACTGATGGTACATGTGAAATGCAAATGGCAGAGTTGTAAGAACAGGAAGGATGCAGATATTGGAGACTAGGCAGAGACTGAAGTTGTCACTTCTACCATCATTGGTGGATTTTTTGCTTTTTTAAATATTTTTACATAATTTTAATACTCCAGAGCAGATTTTCAAAATGGTAGGGATTAGTGAAAGAAGGGTGATCTACATGCTTTATATAAAACTGCTAAAAATTTCCATAATGCAAAATAATTGAACATAATGAAGGAATTTACTCCCCCATAAAAGAGCAGTATTGCACTTAACCAATTTCCCATTTTTCAACTACCAGGGTTGTTTCTGCCTTTTCCCATTTATTTATGTAAAAAGAAATGCAAAGTCTGCAGAAGAAGAGTAAGAAAACCTTGTTAAACTTTTTCAATAATCCCTGTTACAATGTTCAAAGCAATTACTTTTGCTGTCAACAGGAATAAAATGTACTACCATCAGAGAGTGCAAAGAGTCAAATGTATTACTAAAAATTACAACATAAGCTGCATGCAAATAACCCCACTAGCTCTAAGGGCTTGTCATCCCGTATTTGTAGAGCTGAGGCTTCAGTCATGTGTTATTAAGGCTTTTTAAAAAAAAAAAATTCCTAGACACTGCCCTTCAATTTCAGTGAAAGCCAAAAATGTACAAATGCTTGCTCTCTTGAGGAGCACTATTATTAGTGTGCTTTTAAAAAATAAGTACTTCTTTATAAACAAACCATATAATATGAACATTATGCAATGAAAAGTAATGAAAGCTACATAAACAATATTTTTTCAGATAAATATTTGAACTTTGCTCACACAGGCAGACTTTTGCATAATGATAATTATCTATTGTACTCGAAGGACACATAAGCCTTTCCGTATACATTGTATACATTTCACTTCTCTATGAGAGTATTATATAATGCTGAAAACATAGGCTTGCCTTCCTGACATTACCATTTTCTCAACTGTAACCACTTCATCCCCCAAACCCCAAAATCTTACCAAAGTCAGAGCTCAGCCAGTCTTTAAGGTCAATACTGGTAAAAAAAAAAAAATAATAACACGTGCACATAGCATAAGAAGCAAAGTAATTATTCGATAGTTATTAAACAAAATACAGCAATCCTTTATTTTGTCTTTCTCCTCCTATCAGTTTCATCTATATTTATGTTTGCATTTTGTATTTCATATATCTTGCATTTGTCACATGATCAGGAAAACAAAATCCGTCTACAGCCCACATGTTCCACATGAATAGATTAATACAGGGAATTAGAGGCTTGCATAATCGTTAGCTTAGGGAATAATTCGGGAAGTGGCCCCAAATATCTTACCCTGCAACATAGAAGTGAGTGGTTTTTCAAGGGTTCTCCCTAAAGCCACTGGAATTCTCAAACACCTCTGGAAAACTCCCATCAGACAGCCTCAGTCTACAGTACTAGGACAGAGGATTCTCTCATATTTCACTGGAAAGCTAGTAATCTTCAATTGTGTCCTGGTAATGAGGCCTGGTAAGGAGATTCTAGAAACTATAAATTTAGACCTTTCTGCAAAATGGATCTTAGAAATCATTTACAGGTACATATAAGTAAACTGCTTATGAATACATTTTTATTTTTTATAACTTTTTTCCAAAGTTAATAAGTGCTTCTTTTTTGCCCCAGAAGCTTAAGTTTCTATAGTGATCACATCTGGAGTTCTGAAACACTTTGCAATACTGTTTTGTACATATTCAATTGCATCAGATAACATCACTTCCACCCCTTATTCCTGGAAAGATATACCGGCGCCCTCTTTCTTCAAGCTGGAATAATGGCTCTCCCGGTCACTGTCAAGCTTTCCTGTTCTCTTCTCCCATCCTGGATTCCTGTTTCCTTTTAGGGCTTGACTTTTATCTTTCTTCTTTGCTCTCTCATTTTGACGAAGCAGATTCTCTAGTAGCTTCCTAAGCAAGCGTGCAGGAGAGGTTAGCTTTCTACTACTTCCCTATCTGAAAATACTTTTAATCTCCATGATCTTTGATTAATATGTGGCTTCATATAGACTTCTAGGCTGGACATAATTTCCCTCAGCATTCAGAACACATTATTTAATTTCAGCGGTAAACATTCATCTTTAGAAGTCATAGAAATTTTTTTCTTGATTATTTTGTTTGATCTTTTAGTCATTATTGTTATTGTGTTTAATTTTTTTCCTCTATGTAAGAATTTGGGGTTTCCTCCCTATCGCTGGTGTTTTATAATTTCACAGAGGCACACGTTGTTGTCTGTGTATTTATCAATGTTTGGCAAAAAGTGGTGATGAGGGTAAACTGCTTTTCCTGACTACCTGCTCAACCATTGCAATCTGGAGACCGTGTCCTTTTTGTTCAAGGCAATGTTCTTGCTCAACTTGATGATTTTCTCTACTTCAGGTTTATTTCCTTCTGGAACTCGCTATTTTCTAATGGTAATTTTGCGAATTAGTTACATTGTTTTAGCCTTTTCTTCCTTTTGTTTTCTTTTTCTTTTTTCTTTTTTTTTTTTTTTTGACAGAGTCTCCCTCTGTCGCCTAGGCTGGTGTGTGCAGTGGCGCGATCTCGACTCACTGCAAACTCCGCCTCCCGAGTTCAAGTTATTCTCCTGCCTCGGCCTCCCGAGTAGCTGAGATTTTAGGCACACACCACCACGTTCGACTAATTTTTGTATTTTTAGTAGAGATAGGGTTTTGCCATGTTGTCCAGGCTGGTCTCAAACTCCTGACTTCAAGTAATCCTCCCGCCTTGGCTTCCCAAAGTGCTGAAATTACAGGCGTGAGCTAGCGCTCCTGGCCAGCCTTTTCTTTTTTAAACCTGCCTTTTCACATTTTATAAATATATTTTACAAATATTTTAATTTAATTTAATTTAATTTAATTTATTTATTTTTTGAGACGGAGTCTTGCTCTGTTGCCCAGGCTGGAGCGCAGTGGTGCGATCTCGGCTCACTGCAAGCTCCGCCTCCCGGGTTCACGCCATTCTCCTGCCTCAGCCTCCCGAGTAGCTGGGACTACAGGCGCCTGCCACCACGCCTGGCTAATTTTTTGTATTTTTAGTAGAGACAGGGTTTTACCGTGTTAGCCAGGAAGTTCTCGATCTCCTGACCTCGTGATCCGCCTGCCTCGGCCTCCCAAAGTGCTGGGATTACAAATATTTTATTGTTAACTAAAATAAAATTATTAACTATTATGATACGGGTATATATTATATTTATACATATTTTATATATTATGTTAAATATAAATATTTACATATTATAATATTTATATGTGTATGTTATAGTATATTTGTTCTTATTTCTGGTAGATTTTTATAGTGACAGGAGACAGATGAATTCCTAGCAGACAGGGACAGGTCCTGGTGAAACTTAACCTTCAGGCCAAGGAGAGTCTGAAGCCTGAAAACCGAGCTGCCAGTTCCAGATAGAGTCCAGGACCAGAGTGAGAACTTCCATTGCCATCCTACCCTCTCTCTGACAACTGGTTCCTTCTGAATGATGCCATTTAACCAATCGAATGGTGCCTTTCCCAAGCCCACCCATGGACCGATTTGCATGTATTCCGTTATTCTAAGCCCTTAAAAATCCTGGACTTAGCCTCGCAGACGGCAACCTGCTTTCAGGACCTCTCTTGCTGCTGAGACCTTTCTGCCACTCAATACAATTCTACTCTGTCTTACTCACTCTCCTGTGTACACGTACCTTATTCCTCTTGGTTGCAGAACAAGAACCTGGAACGTGCTGAATTGAGGAAGCAAAAGAACTGTAATGCTCCTGCTCGCCAAGCTGCAGGCGGCTGGAGTAAAAGAGCTGTAATAACACTCCTTCCTGCTTGCCAGTCTAAAGGAGTGAAAAGGCCGCTGGGTGCTACTCCCTCCTGCTCGCCAAACTACTGGACTAAAAAAAGCTACAACAATTTCAGCAATAATATCAATTAATTTATTATATTTTAGTGTTAAAAGTATTATATTCTATTATATATTTTTTAGATTATGCTGTTTTGTTTTTCATGTGTGCAATAGCAATCTGCTTTTAGTGGAGAATATTAATTTCTTTTATTGATTTGAATCTTTTTCTGTTCCCTGCATTATCTCTACTGTCTCCAGTTTTGTCACTGTATTTGTGTGCTGTTTGTGTTTCTATTTTATGTGTTAATTGGTTATTTCATATCTGGAGAACCCAGGCTGTATATTCATGGAGAATGAACTGATTGGAAACTTTCTGGACATTGATAGAAAATGTCAGTAGTGTATTTAGATGAATGGGAATCAGAATCAAATGTGTTTCACTCATGAACTCCCAAATGCTGGTATCGTGTATATATTGTTACTAAGACCAGTTTTTGTACTAAAAAATCCTCTAATTTCCTTCTAGAAGTGATGTAAGTGGGGCCGGGAACGGTGGCGTATGCCTGTAATCCCAGCACTTTGGTCGGCCAAGGTGGGCGGATCACGAGGTGAAGAGATCGAGGCCATCTTGGCCAACATGGTGAAACCCCATCTCTACTAAAAATACAGAAAATTAGCCGGGCATGGTGGTGGGTGCCTGTAGTCCCAGCTACTCAGGATGCTGAGGCAGGAGAATTGCTTGAACCTGGGAGGCGGAGGTGGCAGTGAGCCGAGATCATGCCACTGCACTCCAGCCTGGTGACAGAGCAAGACTCCGCCAAAAAAAAAAAAAAAAAAAAAGTGATGTAAGTGGGTATAGGAGACACATGCCCTGGTGAGATGACCTATAGGAGCAAGTGGAGGTAGGCTAGGAGGCTAAGGGCTTTCTCTCCAGTGGAAAGGCTTTTAGTTGAATGTTTTAGTTTTTCAGTTCTCAGTCACATCTTCTGTTTTTATGGTATCTGAGCTCACCACTGGAATCACTGCTTCAGTTTCCGCTGAACAGTGGCCTTTGGTCTGAAGGTAGAGGAAAGCATACAAGAAGGAACAGTGGTTTTGCTGCATGGGATGGAGGAGGTCTAACTGCTTTGAATAGACTTTTACTATCTTTCTCCTTTAAGCTCCACAATTCAGTGCTCTCATATCCAACTTCTGTGTATTGTATTATCCCAGTCTTGAGCCTGTGCATTCTCTTGCAGCAAATTAAATTGTTCCTCCTGTTTCCCTTGGAGCCCCACCTTTTCTGCCAGTCTGTGTGTTGCATAATCCCTCCTGTGCTGGTTACTAGTTACATAACTCATGTGACTCAACTCGCAGCCAATTAGCATAAACCTAGGTCTTATGTTCAAATTGATAGTCAAATTCAAGGGACACATAAGCTTTATTTGGTATGACATTTGTTCAGCTTTAAGGAAAATATAATAGAAGCGATAGAACATAATGGAGACTTCATGACACCTAGGTGGAACTGCTAATTTCCAAAATTACTCTGAACTTTGATGTACAGTCAGCCCTCTATACCATGGGTTCCACATTCGTGGATTCAACTAACTGAAGATCAAAGTATTTGGAAAAAAAACAAAAAGCAGACTGGGTGGGGTGGCTCACGCCTGTAATTCCAGGCTTTGGGAGGCCGAGGCGGGTGGATTACGAGATCAAGAGATCAAAACAATCCTGGCCAACATGGTGAAATCCTGTCTCTACTAAAAATACAAAAATTAACTGGGCATGGTGGTGACGTGGTTTGTAGTCCCAACTACTCGGGAGGCTGAAGCAGGAGAATCGTTTGAACCTGGAAGGAGGAGGTTGCAGTGAGCCGAGATCGTGCCACTGCACTATAGCCTGGTGACAGAGCGAGACTCTGTCTCAAAAATATAAATAAAAAATAAAATTAAATTAAAAAAATTATGGTTGTGTCCAATCCCCCATGGATACTGACAGAAGATTTTGTGTGGTTACAAGAGTTGAGCGTGCTTGGAATAGACTAACTCAATTTAGGAAAACTATAAATTCTCGGGTCTCTTCAGCTTGTATTCCATATTTTCATGGTGTATCCATGTATCCCCTTCAGGCTTGTGTGAATTGTTATGATTTTCTGGTGCAACTACACTCATAAGTTATTCATCAATTACAGGTTACTCAGTTAAAAAAGTCAGCCAAATACAGATGCTTTGTTTCAAACATAACAACTGCAGCAGAACTCTCATTTATTTTGGTTTGCTACCCCTAAAATTCCTTAAATTAGAGTTTCTTTTGTTTGTTAGAGATGGAGTCTTGCTTTGTCGCCCAGGCTGGAGTTCTATGGGGTGATCTTGGCTCACTGCAACCTCCGCCTACTGGGTTCTAGCAATTCTCCTGCCTCAGCCTCCCGAATAGCTGGGACTACAGGTGCACACTGCCATGCCAGGCTAATTTCTTGTATTTTAGTAGAGACGGGGTTTCACCATGTTGCCCAGGCTGGTCTCGAACTCCTGAGCTCAGGCAATCCACCTGCCTCGGCCTCCCAAAGTGCTAGGATTACAGGCATAAGCCACAGCACCCAGCCAAATTAGAGTTTCTAACTTAGGCAACCAATCCTCCTCAGCCCTCTTTAAGGTAAGAAAAATAATATGGAGTGGCTAAAATGCTTTTATTGACATCCATCCATTTTCTTATCACAACAAAGTTTTTGACATATTTGCCTCCTTTTCTCTCTTGTCCTAGTGTATCAGTCTGTTCTCAAGCTGCTAAGAGATACCTGAGACCAAGTAATTTATAAAGGAAAGAGGTTTAATTGATACACAGTTCCACATGGCTGGGGAGACCTCACAATCATGACTGAAGGCAAATGAGGAGCAAAGTCATGTCTTACATGGTGGCAGACAAGACAATCTGTGCAGGAGAACTCCCATTTACAAAACCATCAGATCTCATGAGACTTATTCATTACCATGAGAGCAGTATGGGAGAAGCCACCCCCATGATTCAATTATTTCCACCTGTCCCTGCCATTGACACATGGTGATTATTACAATTCAAGGTGAGATTTGAGTAGGAACACAGTCAAACCATTTTATTCTGCCCCTGGCCCCTCCCAAATCTCATGTCATCACCTGTCAAAACTAATCATGCCTTCCCAACAGTTCTCCAACGTCTTAACTCATTTCATCATTAACTCAAAAGTCCACAGTCCAAAGTCTTATCTGAGACAAGCCAAGTCCTTTCCACCTATGAACCTGTAAAATAAAAGACAAGTTAGTTACTTCCTGGATACAATGGTGATATAGGCATTTTACGTCCATTCCAAATGGAAGACATTTGCCAAAATGTGGGGGCTACAGGCCCCATACAAGTCTGAAATCCAGTGGGGCAGTTAAATCTTAAAGCTCCAAAATGATATCCTTTGACTCCATGTCTCACATCCAAGTCACACTGTTGCAAGTGGTGTGTTTCTACATCCTTGAGTAGCTCCATCACTGTGGCCTTTCAGGGTACAGCCCCCACTCCTGGATGCTTTCATTTCATGGCGTTGAGTGTCTGCAGCTTTTTCAGGCACATGGTGCAAGCTGTCAGTGGACCTAACATTCTGCATTTTGAAGGACTGTGACTCTCTTCTCATAGCTCCACTAGGCAGTGTCTCTGTGGGGACTATGTGTGGGCACTCTCACTCCACATCTCTGTTCCACATTGCCCTAGCAGGGGTTCCCCATGAAGGATCTGCCCCTGCAGCACACCTCTGCCTGGACATCCAAGCAGTTGCATACAACCTATGAAATCTATACAGAGGTTCCCAAATCTCAATTCTTGACTTCTGTGCACCTGTAGGGTCAACACAATGTGGATGCCACCAAGGCTTAGGGCTTGCAGCCACCAAAGACATGGCCTGAGCTGTACCTTGGTCCCTTTAAGCCATGGCTGGACCAAGTCCCTAGGCTGCACACAGCACCAGGGCCCTGGGCCCAGCATAGAAAAGCATTTTTTCCTCCTAGGCCTCTGGGCCTGTGAAGGGAGGGGTTGCTGAAAAAGTTTCTGACATGCCCTGGAGACATTTTCCTCATTGCCTTGGTGGTTAACATTCTGCTCCTTGTTACTTAGGCAAATTTCTGCAGCCAGCTTGAATTTCTCCCCAGAAAAATGGGTTTTCATTTTCTATTGCATTGTCAGGATGCAAATTTTCCAAAGGTTGATGCTCTGCTACCTCTTGAACACTTTGCCACTTAGCGATTTCTTTTGACACATGCCCTATATCATCTCTCTCAAGTTCAAGGTTCCACAAATCTCAAGGGCAGGGGCAATATGCCACCAGTATCTTTGCTAAAACATAGTAAGAGTAATGTTTGCTTTGGTTCCCAACAAGTTCCTCATCTTCATCTGACACCACCTCAGCCTGAATTTATTATCCAAATCACTATCAGCATTTTGGTCAAAGGCATTCAACAAGTCTCTAAAAAGTTCTAAACTTCCCACATCATCTTGTTTTCTTCTGAGTCCTCCAAACTGTTCCAACCTCTGCCTGTTACTCAGTTCCAAAGTTGCTTCCACATTTTTGGGTATCTTTACAGCAGCACCTCACTCTGCCAGTACCAATTTACTGTATGAGTCTGTTTTCATGCTGGTAAGAAAGAGATACCCAAGACTGGGTAATTCATAAAGAAAAGAGATTTAATGGACTCACAGCTCCACATGGCAGGGGAGGCCTCACAATCATGGCTGAAGGTGAATGAAGAACAAAGTCATGTCTTACATGGCAGCACGTAGGAGAGCTTGTGCAGGGACCTCTCAACTATAAAACCATCATATTTCATGAGACTTCTTCACTACCACAAGAACCATATGGGGGAAATTTCACCATGATTCAATTATCTCCACCTGGCCCCACCCTTGACATGTGGGAATTATTACAATTCAAGGTGAGATGTGGGTGGGAATACAGCCAAACCTTATCACCTAGACTGTTTGATCTAAATTTATAGCTTTATTTTTTTCCCTTTCTTATTATTTGAACATATTTATTGAACTTGTACATGTGTTTAATTTACTCAGAAATTCCTAAGATTCAACAACCTTTGATTAATTTCATAGGCAGAAAAATAACATTAAAGAAAGGAAGGCTGTTCTCCCTGTAATCCCAGCACTTTGGGAGGCCAAGGTGGGAGGATTACGTGGTCAGGAGATCGAGACCATCCTGGCTAACACAGTGAAACGCTGTCTCTACTAAAAATACAAAATATTAGCTGGGCATGGTGGCATATGCCTGTAGTCCCTGCTACTTGGGAGGCTGAGGCAGGAGAATCACTTGAACCCAGGAGGTGGAGATTGCAGTGAGCTGAGATCGCGCTATTGCACTCTAGTCTGGACAACAGAGTGAGACTCCATCTCAAAAAAAAAAAAAAAAGGAAGACTATTCTGATATAACCTCTCAAGTTTAGAGGAAAAATAAGGAATCCAGGGATATTTATGATTTAACACCTGCTCAACTCTACTAAACAAATCATAAGTGGAAAGCCAACAATCCAATAAGAATTGTGTGTAAATCCATCCAATATCTCTGTGCCAACACTCACAATGAAGTGAATCAAATGGACCACAGAATTTCTGGTACTTAATGTTATTTTTCTTTTACAGACATCTTAAAAAGATATAGGACAATGGCAAGTTTTCTGTTCACAAATAAATGAAAAATAATACCCATAATAATTAAGACTTAATTAAGGACATTGCCACAAATTAAGTATTATCCTTGATTATTTTTCTAAAATATCCAGTTGCGTGTTACAGTTTTAAGAAAATTCTAAAGTTTCCATTTGCTAAAAATCATATTTCAAGGAACAGTGGTTTTGGAAAAAGATCACTAAAGCAGAATGAACAAAATTGCTTTTCTCTTTCATTTTGGATGCTGGGCAGAAGACATACAAAAGCCTTTGATAGCCAAAACACATTACTTAACAATTAACATTATGTTTTTAAAACTTGTAATATAAATGTAGAAAATAAATATTTCTAATGTTACAACTGGATCATAGCAAATGAAACTAATCGGTTGAAGTAATTGATCAAAATTTTCTGTTTAAGAAAAAGTAAAATTCTTGCCCAAGTATCAAAACTGGCAAGTTAATGAGTATGACATAAATGACCAATACTCAGTCTCCAAATGCGATTTGAACAGTCGAACTCTGTAGTCAAACTTTACCTTGAAGCAAAACACATTCTCACAAAAAGTCACATTTGGAGAGTCTGTATTTAACAAGAACATTAAAATTTAAATATCCCTGATGATGATTCAAATCATTAAGTTTTAGAAAACTCCAAGCCCCGTGATTGCAAATTTCTCAAGGCAATTTAGCAAAACACACCAGAAACCTGTTAAATAGATTATTTTATTGTGCCAATGTTTTATTAGCTTAACAGATCTATTTATTTAAGAGGACCCTGCAGCCTTATAAAATACATTTTATTTGGTATGCATGACGCAGCTATTTAAGAGAATTTGCATACTGGCGTCAACTTCCACCAGGCACCTTAGGAATTAGTATTTTCCTTCATATACAACTTCTGTGAATTATTTAGTATAGTACTAGGTAGGCAGGTAAAATTGAATTTGTGGACCATTAAATGGAATTAGCCAAACTATAAGGCTAAGGGAATAGTCTTCCAGGCTGCCAAGTGTGTCAGGAATGCTTAGATTTTAAAATTTTACTAAATACAGAATCTTTAAATGTGAATTATTGACAGAATGGTTTATGCTTTAAGGTAAAATTAGTTTTTTAATCCACATGCTATTTTTCCAAATTCCATTAGTTAGAATTCTCCCTACTAATTTGTATCAAAGCTTTTGGCACTTCTTATCAGAGTATATATATATACTTGATCATATATATATATGATCTTTATTGTCTATACATCTAGAGCTTATATTTTTTATTTTTATTTTTTATCTTATTTTCTTTCATATGGAGTCTCACTCTGTCACCCAGGCTGGAGTGCAGAAGTACAATCATAACTCAAGGCAGCCTTAAACTCCTGGACTCAGGAGATCTTCTCACCTAAGCCTCCAAAGTAGCTGAGACTACAGTTGTATGCCACCATGATGATTACTTGAGGAAGAGAATGAAATTGTGGGCGTTGGTCAAAGAAGAATTTACCTTAATTTTTAATGTTTTAATATGTAAAAGGCACTATGTTATTCTATTAACCTTAAGTGTTGAATTGTAGAAGTTAGAACAAAATCTGAATTTGAGTGGGGCCCTAAACAGAATTAAGATTGATAGATGTGTAGGTCAGCCCTGGGACATCACGACTCAGCTGATCAGATGATAATAGAAATATCTACAAAAGAGATAGGAACCTGATTTTTTGGCAGAAAGCAAATTTCATGACTCAGGAGGGCCTCTTGGGTTTTGAACCTAAAAACTCTTGAGGCAGCTGTCCATTAAAACCTATTTGAAAGACAACTTGCTCTGGCTAACACAGTGAAATCCCATCTCTACTAAAAAAATGCAAAAATTAACCAGGTGTGGTGGCACACACCTGTAGTCCCAGCTACTTGGGAGACTGAGGCAGGAGAATTGCTTGAACCCAGGAGGCAGAGGTTGCAGTGGGCCGAGATCTCGCCATTGCACTCCAGCCTGGGTGACAGAGCAAGACTCCACCTCAAAAAAAAAAAAAAAAAAAAAAAAGGCAACTTGCTACCTTGTTACTGGCAGTTCTTTTTTCAAAATTGTCCCAACTCCCAACTACCATAAGATAACAGAAGATTCTGAAGCCACTAATATTAATCACATCTTCTGTGTATGCCCAAAAAAAGACATTCAAAAGAAGGGGATGGCCAGACGCAGTGGCTCACACCTGTAATCCCATCACTTTGGGAGGCTGAGGCGGGTGGATCACGAGGTCAGGAGTTCAAGACCAGTCTGGCCAAGATGGTGAAACCTCGTCTCCACTAAAAATACAAAAATTAGCTGGGCGTGGTGGAAGGTGCCTGTAATCCCAGCTACTCAGGAGGCTGAGACAGAGAATTGCTTGAACCTGGGGGGCAGAGGTTGCAGTGAGCCGAGATCGTGCCACTGCACTCCAGCCTGGGTGACAAGAACGAGACTCCATCTCAAAAAAAAAAAAAAAAAAAGAAGGGGACAACAGAAACACGGTAGATTACTCATAAATTTGGAAAGGTTATCCCATGAGATAACAACATGGCTTCCATTGGTGTTATGTAAGCACTAGAATTCCCTCTCAGGAAAGGTTAAGCAGGTTGACTGGATTACTGATAGGAATGTAGGCCATGTTGCTATTTGGAAATCAACTGCAATTCACCTTGCAGACAGTAAAACCTTAAAGGAAGAAGGTAAGGACAAATTTACCTATAGGCAGTTAAAAACTATAAACTGGGCAGAAGAAGACATGAGTTCCAGACTTCATGAGGTGACATTTGGAAATTTACAGATTTTGGGGCTATCGCCAGGGTCTTTGCTCTATGGTCAAGAAAATAAACCTTCCAGGCACGGTTGCTCATGTCCGTTATCCCACCTCTTTGGGAGGCCAAAGTGGGATGATTTCTTGAGCCTAGGAGTTCAAGGACAGCCTGGCCAACATAGCAAGACCCTGTCTCTATAAAATAATAATAATAAATTAGCCAAGTATGGTGGCATACAACTGTAGTCTCAGCTACTTTGGAGGCTTAGGTGAGAAGATCTCTTGAGTCCAGGAGTTTAAGTCTGCCTTGAGTTATGAATGTACTTCTGCACTCCAGCCTGGGTGACAGAGTGAGACTCCATCTGAAAGAAAATAAGATAAAAAATAAAAAGAAAAAATTAAGCTCTAGATGTATAGACAATAAAGATCATCCCTGTATAAAGTAATCAGTTATGAAAATCTCTGTGGGAATTAAAGGAAGAATTAAAGTGGGCTATGTGGATCCACACCAAAAAAAATAAAACACAGTTCCCTGCTTAGTGGGTATAGCAGGTTGGAGTCTCTGTGAGTCAGATCCTGAGATACAATTGGATGTTCAAAAGGTTTATTGGGGAATAATATCAAATAATGAAAGTAGAAGAGGAGGAAAGCAGGACTGGCTGGGGAACCATCAGATCACAGTGGAGATCTGACAATGTTCCTGCCATTCCAATGGTTCTCTGAAGTGACACACCTTGTCATAGTCCCATGTTGAGTGGCAATGGTCATGCTCTGTCAGTGTGTGACAGGAATTGCCTTGAGAAAAACACGACCTTGGCTCAAAATCTGACAGGGGTGATGAAGGAACAAAAGCAGGAGACTGTCAGAGAGAAAGTAAATAGTTACTTAAAGGAAGATCTCAGTGACCTATTGTCATATCTACCACAATTTACTCCTTTTACTGAATGTAGCCACTTTTCCTTACACATGTGGGAGCAACTTTGCCAGGGTTCTAGAGAGCTTCTCTTCCTGCGAAGGAACATTGAAGAGAAAGATGAGATGAAATATAGCCCACCTTACTGCGGTTAGTCTCGAGGCTGCAGTGGGATTCATCTTCTTCCTTATGCACTATTCAATACAAACCCACTTCTCCTCAGCTACAACCTCCATTGCTCTGGGTGGCTTACTCCATGGTGAGTGGGGGAATGAGTGACTTAAAATCTCACTCCTGAGCTGACAGGTCATCCAATAACTAAGATCTTTTCAGGCTAGTTTTGTTGAACTTATACTTCACAGTCACCAAGAGACACTCAAGAAGATCACCTTACTTCCATATGTAGTCCTACTGCCCCCATTATATAATAGCAGCCCTAGTTTCTTCCCCCAATCAGGGTCAGTTGCCCATGAGAAGATTGAACAGTATTTTTTTTGCTTACTGATTCCTAGAAAAAGGAGCCCAAAGTGTCAGGCAGTAACTTGTAGTTCAATCACAATTTCCTGTTTTCATGGATGAGAATACACCCCTTTGAGTACTAGGAAGTCTCATCCTGAAGAATACATTAGTGAGAAACAGTAAGAGAAATACTCCAGTGGGCCTCTAGGAATGATGGTGCAAGGGGCAACTCCTGTTTCTTCTCTTTGTTCTTGGACCCACGCATTCTTCCACTTGGAGCACCATGTTGTGTTAAGGTCTTTGAATTAACGCTTACACTATAGCCTAGAGTTTGGTGCGTTTTGATGACAGAGTGTTGCAGAAGGAGCGCTGATGTTTTCCCATCAGTTTTCTCAGGTTCAGGAAAAAAATAGACAAGGGGAAAGATGGGGCTACACAGCTGTCAAACATCAAAAACAGGGTCAAATTCTTTATTACATTCACAAAGCAGATGGAACCCGGTTTACTGGACAGCAGCCTATAATTACCATCCTAATCATCGAGTTCTATGTAGAACATGAGGAAATGTAATTCCTTTCAGGATTTTAGTGTAATTTAAATTGATGTATGTTATACACACATTATTTTAATATTTTTAAAAGAGCTCTATGTACAACAAAGCATATGTCAGCTCCTTTACTGTAAGCAATAATTTTCCAGTATGAGAACAATTTGGAGATACTGAGTTGAAGTCTCCAAAACTAATTGGCCAGGGAAAAAATTGAATTTAGCCTTAGAAAAAAATTATGTATCTAATGAAATGTCTTTATCAAGACTAATAAAATAGTTCAAATAATTGTGGATGGTAAAGAAAAAGGAGCAATTGAGCCAGCAAAAATATATATATGTGTATAATTTTTTTTGAGACAGAGTCTCACTCTGTGGCCCAGGCTGAAGTACAGTGGCACAATCCCAGCTCACTGCAACCTCTGTCTCCCAGCTTCAAGTGATTCTCATGTCTCAGCTACCTCAGTAGCTGGGATTACAGGTGTGTGCCACCACACCCAGATAATTTTTGTATATTTAGTAGAGTTGCGGTTTCGCCCTGTTGGCCAGGCTTGTCTTGAACTCCTGGCCTCAAGCTAACCACCAGCCTCAGCCGCCCAAAGTGCTGGGATTACAGGCATGAGCCAACACACCCGGCTGAGCCACTAAAAGAATTTAGATAAGGGAAAAGATACAGTCATGGCCAAATGCTTTGTAGAGGGAATATCTCTTCCTCCAATGGATGTTTCGAAGACGGTGGTTGTTGGGGTATTCGGTGGCTAATTCTTCAGTGTGAATTATTGCAGAAAATGACCTAAGTCAAATGTTGAAAGAAAATATGGGCAACAAGTTACTGACAAATCTGAGAGAGTGAACTGAAAAGGAAGGAATTAAAACAACTGGGCTATAATTCATTTCTCCCCCAGTTACTATGGATTGGATGCTCTGGGCAAAGAAGGCAAGTTCTAGTCTTCTAGTCTTGCAAAAATGATAGCTGAACCTCTAGACAAGCAGTCTAACAAAGTTGGTTAGGAGAAAATTCCTCATCTGTTGAATGCTTTGAGCACTGATTTTCCTATTTTAGAATTGTCTGCGATAAACAAACTTATACTATGTGAATTTATGGGACATGGTTCCTTAAGGAATGTTACATAAGTAAACAACTATCTGGGGAAAAAAAAAAAGGAAAATATGAAATAACTTAAGAAGCCTGTCCTGTTGGGTGACCTATAATCCTCATTTAAAGATCTCTTTTATTTGAGTCTGATAGCATGTGTTCCAATGGGAACACAGCATGTGTCCAATGTGAGAAGGAACAGCTTGTGGAGTCAGGAGGATGTGCAAAGCCTCTCTCTGAATTTTGTTTGTTTGCATCCGTGTAATTGTCAGTAAAGCTCACTACTGTGAAAGTCTCTGATTTGTGTGTTTCCTATTAGACAATCAGATCTCTGTGTTAGATTAGTTTTCTGTTTTTTTATGCACTTAACTACAAATGATTTTTGTAATCTTTGAATGAAAACTTTTTCATCTCAATTCATTGTTAAATTGGTTTATAGTTTTAACTTCTACACCAGCTTTTAAAATTTGGCAATGAATTTGCATCATACTCATAAAAGGAATTGAGAAACACTTTCTATTTTTCTTTAGGTTTAAGTATGTTTAAAATAACATAAGTTAGATAAGAACTTTAGCATATATCCATTATGTTTTCTTATCACTCACTTAGTATGTAAAATAATACAAATAATTTGCAATTTTGGAACATCAATAACTATAGGTGCCCCAGGGATATTGATCTAGATTTCAGGTATACTCACCCCTGGGTATACTCAGGGGATTATTTCCCACAGTATCTCCTTAGGATACCAAAATCCACTGATATTTAGTTCTTGCTGTAAAATGGTGTAGCATTTGCATATAACCTATGCGCATCCTCTTTATATTTTAAATCATCTATAGATTACTTATAATACCTTGTATAATGTAAGTGTTATGTAAATGGTTGTTATATTGCATTGTTTAGGGAATAACGACAAGAACAAAGGTCTGTACATGTTCAGTACAGATGCAATCATTCATTATTTTTCTAAATATTTTCAATCTGCAGTTGGTTGAATCCACAGATGTGGAAACCACAGATGCAGAGGGCTGCCTCTATAACAGTGTTTTTTTTTTTTTTTTTTTTTTTGGTAGCACGTCAAGCCTACATGACAGTGTAGATTTGCTTCCATTTAAGTCCTGGAGCAAAGCCTAACATTTTACTATTTTTCAGGAATTCAGCAGACAGAGGCCTGAGAGTTTGCTTAATGAGGAGCTGTAACACCTGAGATCTATGACTGCTGAATTCCGTTCACCGTAGTGAACATAAAATCAAACTGGACTTGAAGGATAATGTGCTTCCACGGCTGTGCGACTGAGTGAGAACTGAACCCTTGGGTAGTCGAGGATAGGAGCATGAGCAGGTAACTGAGAACGAGGGGAGGAGAGGCTAGAGCATGGAATTTCGGTGTTTTGGGTTAACATTTCAACACAGAAATCAAGGTTTTGCTTCCTTTTACTCAAGTAGACCCCACTAGCTGAAACTAGTATTTTGTCACCTTTACTAGATTTTCCATTCTTTGGCAGTCCCACATTACTTGAAAACCACTGGGATGTACAATTATGAGCCGAAAAAGAAATTTACCACTCATTTGAGGAGACTCAGAAAACTGAAAGAAGAAGATTAAGCTAAATGCTTGGAACAGGTCACTTCCATCATTAGAAGAAACGACAAATGAAACAGACTTTAAATAATGCCAGTCTTGGTTAGATTGCTTATAGAGTTAAGATTGGGGTATGAAAAAGACTTTCTCACATTTTTAAACAATGATTTTAAAATTTAAAACTACAGTAGACTAATTGAAAACAGGATACTTACTTTTGTGAAATTTGAATCATATGATTAGATTAGTGGCCTTAAGTATTTTTTTTTTTTTTTTTTTTTTTTTTTTTTTTTTTTTTTTTGGACGCAGTTTCACTCTTCTTGCCCAGTATGGAATGCAATGCGCAGTCTCGGCTCACTGCAACCTCCACCTCCCGGGTCCAAGTGATTCTCTTGCCTCAGCCTCCTGAGTAGCTGGGATTACAGGCGCCTGACACAATGCCTGGCTATTTTTTTTTTTTTAATTTTTAGTAGAGACAGGATTTTACCATATTGGCCAGGCTGGTCTTGAACTCCTGAGCTCAAGTGATCTGTCTGCCTCAGCCTCCCAAAGTGCTGGGATTACAGGCATGAGCCACCGTACCCGGCCAAGATTTCATAATCACATATCCACATAAAATATTTTAAAGCTGTGTGCCTTCCTTCACATTTTTATGGTTTCTCTCTAAAATGAACTGTTCTAAGCTTAAGAAATTAAATATTGTACAATTTTCACATAATTGTAAATATTATAAAATAATATATTCATGTAATCATTAATATTAAAAATTTGCTATTGTATATCAAAACACCACAAAAATTAATTTTAATTTAAAAAGTATTTTTCTTTTTTTTAGTTGGAAATTTTATTTTATTTTATTATTTTGTTTTATTATTATTATACTTTAAGTTTTAGGGTACATGTGCACAATGTGCAGGTTAGTTACATATGTATACATGTGCCATGCTGGTGTGCTGCACCCATTAACTCGTCATTTAGCATTAGGTATATCTCCTAATGCTATCCCTCCCCCTCCCCCCACCCCACAACAGTCCCCAGAGTGTGATGTTCCCCTTCCTGTGTCCATGTGTTCTCATTGTTCAATTCCCACCTATGAGTGAGAACATGCGGTTCTTTAACAGTTAGAAATTTTATAATGACCCTTTTTCTTCTTGAGCTCACAATTTCATTCTACTTCTTTCAGAGAATTCTATACCACAGTAAAATATTAGATAATTGTAATTATTTTCGATGACAATTTTAAATATTTTTTGCTACCAGATACGTAAAATATGAATGTGAAGTGAAAAAAATTTTTTTTAAATTCTTGCCCCATAAGACATTTAGTATTATGAAACCAAACATTATTTTGGTTTGAGGTGTCATTTTAGTTATTAATGTAGACTGCTGATCATAACATAAATATATTACGTAACTTTATATATGATTATAGATTATCAATGCCTAAACATTTTAGAACTGCACACCACTTACAAAGGTAAATGAGCCTGGCGTGGTGGTTCACGCCTGTAATCCCAGCACTTTGGGAGGCCGAGGCGGGCGGATTACCTGAGGTTGGGAGTTCGAGACCAGGCTGACCAACATGGAGAAACCCCGTCTCTAATAAAAATACAAAATTAGCTAGCATGATGGCACATGCCTTTAATCCCAGCTACTCAGGAGGCTGAGGAACGGGAATTGCTTGAACCCGGGAGGCAGAGGTTGCAGTGAGCTGCGATTGCACTACTGCACTCCAGCCTGGACAACAAGAGTGAAACTAAAAAACAAACAACAACAAAAAAAAGGTAAATGAATCCTAATTGTCAATAGTTCATTTGGTCCTATATGGCTATCAATTCCTGTTAGCGTGACACAGGCTTCAGAACTAAGTATCTCCATAATTTCAGTTTTTACTAATGTAACATTGAGAAATTTTGTTTCATATACCTAAGCGCATATGAATGGGAGGTACCTCACTGTACAATGTCACTCAACAAAATGTCAAAGAGAATACAGTGCTCTATTATACGATTTGTCCAAAATGATTATTCAACTGACAAATCAATTCACTCTTCCTCCTATTATGTTGAAAACGACATACTGGAAATATATGATAAACAAAACAATTTATTTCTCAGTCACTAGATGTAACCATTGGACAACATCGTTTAGGAATAAACAATGATATTGAAAATAAAAACAAGAGGCCGGGCGCGGTGGCTCATGCCTGCAATCCCAGCACTTTGGGAGGCCGAGGCGGGCGGATCACGAGGTCAGGAGATCAAGACCATCCTGGCTAACATGGTGAAACCCCGTCTCTACTAAAAATACAAAAAAAAAAAAAAAAAAAATTAACTGGGCATGGTGGTGGGCGCCTGTAGTCCCAGCTACTTGGGAGGCTGAGGCAGGAGAATTGCTTGAAGCTGGGAGGCGGAGGTTGCAGCGAGCCGAGATCACGCCACTGCACTCCAGCCTGAGCAACAGAGCGAGACTCTGTCTCAAAAAAAAAAAAAAAAGAAAAGAAAAGAAAAGAAAAACAAGAGAATGATTAGCACTAAAACCACAATGATGGGTTCCCCGAGGAGAATGACGATTATTATCTTTGGAGTGGGGCACACCAGGGAATCCCAGAGAGAAAGGAGCTATAACTGAATAGCAGATATTTACTCAAGTTATATTTATCCTTTAAGATTTTGTATAAGGCATGTATCTATGTCTATGCATGTATGTGTCTATGCATACATATATAATATACAGTATTTTATGTATATGATTGTGTGTGTATATATATAATATTAAAACAAAATAAAAGCCAATACATTTTAAAAAAACATAATTATACAGTCTAACATTAGTACTAAGAAGACTTAGATAAAGCAATTAATCTAAAATATACAAGGGGGCAAGTCAGAAGGCACACATATTTGGTCTTCAAAGATTATAAAATTTTGCAGACTTTTCCATATTGAATATTTAAAAAATCAAATAATATTAGAGCTAAACACAATGCATTCCAGTTACTGCCAAAATAGAGCAAAATTTCTACTGAAGAAACCTGTTTGTATTTGTGCAAATTGAGGGCATGACATCAGACAAATTAGATATGGTAAGTTCTAAAGGACACTGTTACAAAACTATACTTTATGCAAATGTGCTTGCATAAAAACAATTTCCTGCACCCATCAACTCGTCATTTAACATTACGTATATCTCCTAATGCTATCCCTCCCCCCTCCCCCCACCCCACAACAGGCCCCGGTGTGTGATGTTCCCCTTCCTGTGTCCATGTGTTCTCATTGTTCAATTCCCACCTATGAGTGAGAGCATGCGGTGTTTGGTTTTTTGTCCTTGAGATAGTTTGCTGAGAATGATGGTTTCCAGCTTCATCCATGTCCCTACAAAGGACATGAACTCATCATTTTTTATGGCTGCATAGTATTCCATGGTGTATATATGCCACATTTTCTTAATCCAGTCTATCATTGTTGGACATTTGGCTTGGTTCCAAGTCTTTGCTATTGTGAATAGTGCTGCAATAAACATACATGTGCATGTGTGTTTATAGCAGCATGATTTATAATCCTTTGGGTATATACCCAGTGATGGGATGGCTGGGTCAAATGGTATTTCTAGTTCAAGATCCCTGAGGAATTGCCACACTGACTTCCACGATGGTTGAACTAGTTTACAGTCCCACCAACAGTGTAAAAGTGTTCCTATTGCACACCAACATGGCACATGTATACATATGTAACTAACCTGCACATTGTTCACATGTACCCGAAAATTTAAAATATAATAAAAAAAATTCCTTATAAAATGTAAAATTATCTTTTTGTCAGCAGAACCATCAGTTTTTTTGTTTTGCTTTTATGCCTCCTATATTAAGAAGATCATCTCACATAGCAAAGCTATCTGCTAAAAAGCTTTCTCTTTCACCGACCCCATGTGAAACATTGTACACCTTTTTCTGGGCCAAAGTACTTAATGTGAATGTTATACAGGAAAGTGTAAAATAATACACCATTAATTTTACACTACATTTTGATATCAGAGCTACCCTGGCTCCCAGAGAATGAACAACTGTCAGGAAAGTTTCTTTCAGGAGGAAGGGCAGAGAAAGATCATAAGCCAGGGAGACAGAGGAAGCTAGATCCTTATCCAGGAGCTAACTCCAACACAAACCAGTTCTGACACCCTGAGACACCCGTAACCTTCCTAAGTCTCAGTCTCTTTATCTACAAAGTGTGTTTTGTTAGCTTTAAAAGATTCAATACAGGCAAAGTGTCACAAGTAAATGTAAGTTATAAACTTTATTTCAGAGACCTGGAAGGCATACCAAGGCAAACAGAAGAGCTGCAGCAAATGAAGACAGTGTGGTATTGGCAAAATAAGAGGCAAACAGATCAAATATTCAGTAGTCACATGTGGCTAGTGGCTACTGTATTGGACAGTACAGCTGTTTAGTATTTATTTATTCATTCTACTGTTATTATGTGAGTTCTTTCTACTTTGGAGATATTACTATTAATGTTCCTAGGAACATTCTAATACTTGTTTTTAGTGTTTATTTGTATGTGTCTCTGTTGCATATGTATGCAGAAGTGGAATTGCTGGCTTATAGATTATCATATGTTCAACTTCATAAGTTACAGGCAAACAATATTCCAAAGTGGTTGTATCAATTTCCCTCCTACCAGCAGTGTGCAAATTAATTTAAAAATTATGTCTACACAAAAACCTGCACACAGATATTTATAAATGCCTTATCATAACTGCTAAAACTTGGAAGCAACCAGCATGCCCTTCAATAGGTGAATGGATACATAACTCATGGTATAGCCAAAAATGAAGGATTTAGTTATGTATTCAAGATTCATAATAAATGAGCTGTCAAGCCATGAACAGACATGGAGGAAACTTAAATGCATATTACTAAGTGATAGAAGCCAATCTGAACAGTCTATCTCCTGTATACTTTTAACTATTTGACATTCTGGAAAAGGCAAGACTAAGGAGATATTCAAAAGATCACAGTTTCCAGAGGGAAACCATGGGGAAGGCAGGGGATGAATAGCTGGAGCACAGAAGATTATTAGGACAGTGAAATTATTCTGTATGATACTACTATGGTGGACACATACAGAGTACAATGGTCTAGACTCATACATGGTACAATACCAAGAGTAAACCCTAACATCAGTTATGAACTCTGGGGATAATGAAGTGTCAGGTTGGGTTCATTGATTGTAACAAATGTCCCACTCGGGTGCTGTGGGATGTTGATAATGGAAGAGGCTGCATATTTGTGGGGACACAGTAAATGAGAATCTCTGCATTTTTGCTCAATTGCTGTGACGCTAAAGCTTCTCAAAAATAAGCTATTAAAAAACTAAATAAATCCTTTAAATGGTAATATAGTGGAATAATGACATTTTATAGGCAAAATGACATAAAGAAAATATTGATATATCTGATATCAACATTTCCATTTTCACAGATTTACTTATATATGGGATTATGGTTAATTGATGGTAAAATGTTATTTGCAAATTATAAGAATTTTTTAACCTATTGTTAATAGGTAATAAGGCCTGATGCTACAACAGGCAAAAGATTTAAAAGAGTATAAAGTGAAAAGCTTGATGATAACTGTGGCTCGCTTTATCATCAAACTTTTGTTACCTCATCAACGATTCAGTGAACATATGCTATTTGCTAGCATTGTCAAAGTACATGAAGAAAATGAATCTCCTAGTATATCAAAACATTACAGCGAATGTTATAGACAAAATTGGAGACTTACGCTACATGATTGTACTTGCTTCAGAAGAGAATATGAATAAATGAAAAGAAAATTTGTTAGTTTTTTTTTTCAAGAGATTCTCCAGAGAGGAAGAAAAAACAGTTTGCACCATAAAAAATAAGCAAGAATAATTTTAGCTGAAGACTAGAACAGGATAACTAGATGAGCTAACCCAAAAGAGGGGCTACTCAAAATTTAGTTAGTTGTGAATTTCATCCAAACATTTATTTGTCAACTATGATTTACTAGTTGTTGTATTAGACATTGAAGATACAAAAGTCAGTAATTACAGAGGAGCCTACTGCATAGTGAGATAGTAACACAAACACATGATTGTAATACAATTGTAATATTATTTAAGCATAAAGCCCAGTGCATCCTGATAACTTTTAGTAGTTGCTGTTAAATACTAAATGCCAGACATATTAAGTATTTACTTTTAAGATCTCCTGTGTCTGTGGCCTCCTATTCTTATTACTCCTCTGGTGGTAGTTTTATTACTAGCTCAGGGGCCTAGCTGATCCATATAGCAGTGCATGAATTTCTGTAAAGCTATTTGTATAAAGAATCTCAAAGCCCATCATCTGGGTTTAGGGAATTGAGCCATTACAAGATTGCAAGATCACCTAGTTTTGTTCCCCCGGATATTTCTTTAATAACTCTTTACTATGCTCACTTTAGGAGTAGAGACGCCAAAGTTGCAACTGAATCTGTCATGCTCTGCTTTACTTTGAGGTAGAGAAAAGGTCTATTGACTCTTAATAGGTGCAAAAATTCTGTATATATGTTGGAGAATTTTGAGCAGACATCTCACATCTAAGTGAAAGAGTTGAAACTGAAGTAACAGGAGAATTTTGCAAAAACACTTAATTCATCTGCATAAGTCACTCTGCTAGAATATAAAAGGGACACCTGTACACATAGGACACATGAGACCTGATAAGAAGACAAAAATCTGTGACTTTCAGTTATGTAATTCAGGGTAACGATATGAAGCTTGTTTAATAAAATGATCTGGAGACTAGAATGAAATGCAACTGAGATAAAGATCCCAACTTAACTTTTAAAACTTACACTCTTTTTGTTTGTTTGTTTGTTTGTTTTTATTATACTTTAAGTTTTAGGGTACATGTGCACAACATGCAGGTTAGTTACATGTGTATACATGTGCCATGCTGGTGTGCTGCACCCATTAACTCGTCATTTAACATTAGGTACTAAAGGTCATTATTTTTGAGTCTGTCTTTATCTCTAAGCGCTGACTATTCACAGATATTTAAAGTTCTGAAAGCCTTTTTCCCTCTTTCTCTCTCTCTCTCACTCTTGAATGTGTCCTTTTGAGCTTTGACTATAAATGTAAAAAGAAAGAATAGCAGCTTTTATGTATTTAAATACAGTCCAAGGTAGTCAGTCATCTCCTGGTTCTAATTTCATACGATGATCTGAGCTTAGATCACTCTTCAATCTTTAGATAAGTTTTTAAAAACAGAGGCAAAATTAACACATTTTAGATAAACCTATGTACAGTTTTAATTTTTGAGAAGAGGAGGGAAAGGAACTTAACTACTTAGTGCATCTGTGGTAAGACAAGTTGTCATCCTTGTTGGTATCCATTACAAAAAAGTCAATTGCAAATGGTTTTGTATTTCTTAGTTGTACAAAAATCTGGGTCTGTGTTTCTACATGTTTTTCAACTAATAAAAAGCTTGTAAAACTAAAAAAATAAAAATAAAAATAAAACTTACACTCTTTGAAGGAAAGTTTTCCCTCCTATAAAAAGAGCTTATGAGGTAAATTTAGAGGACTTTAGGAATAAATACTATAACATCTGTTGTTTAATATATATGACAGTATTTGTTTAATATATATCACAGGTTTACTTCGAATGCTTCTGGATAAATTAGGAAAAAAAAATGGCTATGATGGACAGTGGAAGGTTTGAATTTAGTTACATTTCAGTGATGGAATTATCAATCCAAAAGACATGTAAAATCATGTAACGTACAAATTAAGTAAACTGGGTGGGGGAGAAAGCAAAAAATGAAAAACTATAGCAAAAAATGGAAGAGTAAAATATTTTCAGAAAACACATACTAGATAAAAAGAAGACAATGGAGAGAGAACCTATACAATGGAGGTGCGACATAATTAATATCCTGGACAGAAGGAAACGGCTGTGTCAGGGTCACCTGCATACTGGGACAGGCAGAGTGAAGAAAACAGTGGAAGCTTTTTCTTCTTTCATTTGTTAAAGTTAGCTGTTTAGCTTTATAAAGATATCCCTAGGAATATGACATTGTAACTTTTCTCTGGCTTTGTGCTTTCTTAGATACTAAATTCTGCCTTGTGGTGACGAAAATTAATGGCATAAATGCATTCATAAAGGAAGTTATTAAAGAGTTATGTGACTGAATTACAAGTAAGGATTATTATACTTGCAAGTTCATAATGTAAATTTTTAAAAAAAAAACATAATACAGAAAGGGCGTGACTTCTAAAAACACAGTCCCGAGAAGAGTTGTACAATTCATAAGGATATCTAAGCTGTGTATAAGTAGTTTGTGTAAGTGCTTGACTTTCCATAATTTTGATCCTGTAGTAATTTTTTTAAAAAATTAAAGGCCGTAGGGACATGGATGAAGCTGGAAACCCATCATTTTGAGCAAACTATCGCAAGGACAGAAAACCAAACACCGCATGTTCTCACTCATAGGTGGGAATTGAACAATGAGGACACTTGGACACATGGTGAGGACTATCACACACTGGGGCCTGTCGTGGGGTGGGGGGAATGGGGAGGGATAGCATTAGGAGATATACCTAATGTAAATGGTGAGTTAATGGGTGCAGCACACCAACATGGCACATGTATACATATGTAACAAACCTGCACGTTGTGCACATGTACCCTAGAACTTAGAGTATAATAAAAAAAATTAAAGGCCATATATTTACTTTAGAATGTAATGAATTCTTGAAAACAGAAAGACTAAGAGTTGATCAATCTGGTGAAGGCATCATCCTTTATTGTGTATAAAGTTTGTTTAGGGGAAGCACTGTTCCTTGAGGAGCTGATAGAGTCAATGTTTAACAGTAGGGATTCTATCCCCATGTTTTCTTATCTTGGAGATTGAGGGGGTGAAAGTGTCACTGTGTCTGCTGGAGAGCTCAGATTTAAATTAAATATTAGACCACAATAATTTTATGATCATAGGTTTCTAGGTGTTTGGTATTTTTATTACTCTATTTCTACAGGGTTTGTTTGTTTTGATAGTTGTCATTTTAATTGTTTGGCTTTATCATACATTATCTCCACTCCCCTTTAGAATTGTGCCAGACTAGAGGAAATGAGGATAAATCTGGAAGAGAGAGAAGAAGAGAGAGGTAGAGGAAATAAAATTATTGACTTTGGATCATTTTTGATACAAATAGTAACAGAAAGATATTTTTATTAAACATTCCTGGTACACGTGAACTTAAAATGTGGCATATATATATGCTGACATCCTATTAGGTATTTTTCATATCATTCATGTGCTAGATGAAATAGAATGAGAATTAGAATGAAGCAAAACATACCAGATTATGTAAATAACAGTGAGAAAGATTGTGGAGTGAGTGAGTTAATAAAAAATCCCTGAGCACCAAATCTGCTTCTGAGCCTTAGGTTAAGCATTGGAATGATTTCATCCAGAGTTAAAAATTTATCTTTGAATTAAATATCTAAAGGGATACCTCAGAAGACTAAAATTAGAACCCTAGTTTCCTTCCAAGGGAAAAGATCAAATACATGTACAAACTTACATGTCCTTGTAATTGAGTAACCTTCAGTTTGATTGAGAATTTAACACTGTAAATAAAAGGTAAGTTTTAATTTACCAGCTCCGTATGGGTTGTTGGAGAATTAAATCATTTTGGGGAGCCCATATTTGCATAACACAATTTATTATTTGTAATTAACTAACCTTTACAAAGTTCCATTTTTAATTTCCTCCTGTCAAGATATCTGGAAAATGCAAAGTTAATAAGCATTGCATATAAGGGACTGCGTTATTGTAGAAGCTTTGGTAAGCATTGGATGGATGAAACAGGCAAATCCCAAGTTAATTAAAGAGTTGTCAACCCATCACATTGTTCACTTGAAAACATGTGGAGAAATATTTTATATTATTTCTAAGTAACAACATACATAAGTTATCATTTCGTAGAGTAATAAGCTAAAGTAACATTGACCAGCACTGTTTGATCAGCATTGTTTTCTTCTAGTCCTTCCTATTTTGTGAGCACCAAACATTCATAGCCGAGCAAAACCTAAATTAAAATCAGATTATTAGATATAGTATATATATAATGATAAAATCCAATTAGGATATTATATTCTATCATTGGTATATATACATATATATTTTTGGACAATATTTTCAATAGGATGGGAAACAGTTAATCTCTACAGCACAAAAATTGATTACAGTGTTTTGACAATGATGGTTTCCATCACAATAGGATTATTATACTTTGTGTTTTGAGCAGAGAGAATTATAAATTATTATAAGTGATTAAAAACCAGTCAAAGTCGTGCAATGCTATGGAATCCATCAAACTAGAGGGTCCTTTACACCATGCCAGCACTCCACCAAAAGGATACCTAGAAATTTATTTTGCCTACTTCCAAGTCTAATAAAAATAATTAAAATTGACATTCTCACATTTGTTTTTTTCCTCCTTTTAATATTCTCGGCTAATAAGAAATATTGATGCTTCTTGGGATTTAATGGGTTTATTTTTAATAAGAAAAAAAAAAAAAAGCAATTACAAAGAAAACATCCATCCCCTACCCCCGACCTCAGAGTGTTATCAAGCTCTGCTTGATGCTTTATCTAACCATTATAGTACATAGAAACAAAAACAGTAGTAGTAGTTGGCCATATGAATCTAAATTAGATCCAATGCTTTGTGGGACTGTAGGAGGTCTTCTATGTCAGTTTCTTGAATGTACATATGAGACACCCACAAGATCAAGTGTGCAAGCTAGTGTAGCCATTCATGTCTTTCTATTTTACTAGGTTACTAACTTTTCTCAATATTTTAGTCTTTTTACTCGCTGATTTGGTCTAGTTCTGTGTCCCCACCCAAATCTCATGTGGAATTGTCATTCTCAATTTTGGAGATGGGGCCTGGTGGGAAGTGATTGGATCATGGGGGTGGTTACTAAAGGTTTGGCATCATTCCCTTAGTGCTGTCTCATGATAGAGTTCTCAGGAGATCTGGTCGCTTGAAAGTGTGTAGCACTCCTGTCTCTCTCTCTCTCCTGATGGCCATGTGAAGACAGTGAAGACATGCTTGCTTCCCCTTCACCTTCCACCATGATTGCAAGTTTCCTGAGGCCTCCTCAGCCATGCTTCCTGTAGGGTCTGTGGAACTGTGAGTCATTTAAGCCTCTTTTCTTTAGAAATTACCCAGTTTCAGGTACGTCTTTATAGCAATCTGAGAACAGACTAATACACTTATCAAAATGTCTTATGATAGGACTGACTAAGTAAATTTAGAATAGTTGTTCAGGAAGATGATAAGTACAAAACAAAACAGCTTGATTCTCAAGCCATTTCTATAATCACATGCATTTTTGCATTTACACACACACACACACACACACACACACACACCACTCATACAAATGTAATCTGACTTCGTAGTGACCATTGTAATTTTCTTACACAATTTCCTTAAAATTAAAATTTCTTACACAATTTTCTTAAAATGGTGTCAACTAGAAACATGAATTATTTGCCAGGTTCTTAAAATTTGAAATTTGCTTTGGAATATTTAAAAGGGCAAAGCTCACTAATTTTTTTCACAGCCTGGCTCTTCAATAATTTCCTATTACATGATTGTCACCACCATCCATCATGTTATTTCAAAAAGAAATTTGGGAATTCTTTTCTAACCATAGTAAATCATCAGACATTAAGAAAAAAATGCACCCTGCTGGAGTGGCTCACGCCTATAATCTCAATACTTTGGGAGGCTGAAGTGGGAGGATCTCTTGAGGCCAGGAATTCAAGACAAACCTTGGCAACATAGCAAAACCATCTCTCTACAAAAATATTTTAAGAAATAATTAGCCCGGCTTGGTGGTGTGCACCTGTGGTCCTAGCTACTTAAGAGGCTGAGGTGGGAGGACCACTTTAGCCCAAGAGTTTGAAGCTGCAGTGAGTTATGATCATGTCACTGCATTCCAGTCTGGGTGACAAAGTGATGCCCTGTCTAAAAAAAAAAAAAAAAAAAAGGAAAAGGAAAGAAGAAAGGAAAAGAAAAATGCAGGCCTGGCATGGTGACTCACACCTGTAATCCCAGAATGTTGGGAGGCTGAGGTGGATGGATCATCTGTGGTCAGGAGTTCAAGATCAGCCTGACCAACATGGTGAAACCCTGTCTCTACTAAAAATACAAAAATTAGCCGGGCGTGCTGGCGCAGGTCAGTATTCCCAGCTATTCGGGAGGCTGAAGCAGGAGAATTGCTTGAACCCAGGAGGCGAAGGTTGCAGTGAGCTGAGATCGCACCACTGCACTCCAGCCTAGGCAACAGAGTGAGACTCTGTCTCAAAAAAAAAAAAAAAAAAAAGAAAAGAAAAGAAAAGAAAATGCAGAGAAAAATTGTTTTCTGCAATTTAAAAAAAATTTAAAGTTTTTAAAAAGTATTTTTAAAGTTCTTTTTAAAATTTTTTTCCTTCTAATCTTTTACAGAACCACTAAATTGACTGTGGAAAATGGGCAAGTACAAAAAAGTTCACACATAAACGAATAATAATTGTTTTAATTGTATAAACCAGAAGTTTTTCTAATAATAATTAATGAAAGGTAAATTATATATAGCAGATTATAGTAACAATGTTATATAATTTTTATCCACCCAATTGTAAGGGTTAATCAAAAATAAAACTAAGCTGTTATAAGCAGAGAATAGGAATGATATTCTCCATTAGAGAAAATATTGGCTGAATCTTTAAAAAAAAACAGATACTCTAGTAAAATCTACCAAGAAACTTAAAAATCTCACTTGATTATTTATTCAGTTTTTTTCTATTCTGAAGAAAGAACAGTATTCTAGAAAAAAAATCAATCTATAAAAGTAGTAATAATTATTTGGCCAAAATTATAGAAATATTTTTCTATGCATAAATATATATATATATAATTTATACATTTTTCTATGTATAAATATGTATAAAATTTATAAATGTATTTTAATATTAAGCTCAAAAATGGAAACCTGTGTTATTGCTCCTAATCATGATTCCCCTTTTCCAGTAGAAGGTTTTATATTTATCATTGTCCTTTGTCATGTGACTTGCACTACCGTAATATAGGGAGGATGTTATTCTCCACCTCCTTGTCAGGTTGATCATGTGATTTGCTTTGTCAACAGAATGTGTGTGAAAGTGATGTACACGAGGCTGGGCGCAGTGGTTCACGCCTGTAATCCCAGTACTTTGGGAGGCCGAGGCGGGTGGATCACGAGGTCAGGAGATCGAGACCATCCTGGCTAACACGGTGAAACCCCGTCTCTACTAAAAATACAAAAAAATAGCCAGGCATGGTGGCGGGCGCCTGTAGTGCCAAATACTCTGGAGGCTGAGGCAGGAGAATGGCGTGAACCCGGGAGGCGGAGGTTGCAGTGAGCCGAGAGATCGCGCCACTGCACTCCAGCCTGGGCAACACAGTGAGACTCTGCCTCAAAAAAAAAAAAAAAAGTGGTAAGAAAGTGATGTACACGAGTTGTCACTGGAGGTTTAAGAGCCATTCCATGTTTCCAATGCTCTCCTATTTCTCTTCTGTCAAGAGAAGCACATTGCCTGAATAGGGGTCTGCTCCTTGGGATTGGAGCTCAGCATAGAGAATAGAGCTTGATTAGGTGTAAAGTTTCATAAAGGATTTTGAAAATTTTTGAAACTGCACAATTTGTACAGTTTTTCAACCTCATATACTATATATGGATACACCACACACGTATGCAAATATATGTAAATTAATATATTAAATTAAATTATATAATAGTAAATTGTTAAATTAATAATATAATTTAATAGCTTTTCCTTTGAAGGCATATATGAGAGATTATTTATAAAATATTTTAAATAGATAATACAAAAATTTAAAAAATATATAATGTTATATAAAAATATTATATATATAATGTTATATAAAAATATTATTTTACATAATTACATATTATTTATGTATATAGTTTATATAATTTAAATAATATATTATATAAAATCATATTTACTAATTGTTTATTAGTATAGATGAGTATACTTTTTTATTGTTGTATTCATGAAAAGTAGCTTGATAGGCATTTACATTGTTACTGGATCTTTTCATAATCTCAAATATGACTTGAACATTTTAACATCTAGATTCGTGTTCTGTATCTTAAAACGTTTAATGTTTGATTAAACTAATTTGTTAAACTCATAAGAAAGGAGTGAATTTCCATTTCAGATTTATGTCATTTGCAGTGTGTACCTACGTAATGTCATGATAGGCATTTTACATTTTTAACTATATATTTTTGAGGAATCCTAAAGGTGCAGTGGATGGTGTCTGCAGTATGCAAGCCTGGTGGCTGTGGGACCAGCTAAAGTCTGTATTCCAAATTTTATGGAGAAGATCAGGAGAATTATATGCTATGATATATTTAAAAATGTACAAATATGCTTCAAAAGATTAAAAGTAGTTTGTAACCTATGCAATATTTGAAGAGTAGCTAGCGTATTGATATCTACTTCCTGCATTGTAGCTTTATGTATCTGGTGATGAAACACCTTTACATGCATCCTGTTCAGAAACCTGGAGCCAAGTAACACTTCATAAAAGTGCTGAAATGGCTACCATTCAACAATATTTCATCATATAGTCTGTTTTCTATTCATTTCACATTTATTCTCTCATCTTTCATCTATGGACTTCTTTTCTATATTTTCACTAGATAAATTTTTATTATAGAGAGACAACTTTAGAAGGGGAACTCTGCCAGAGACTCGGTGATTTATTAACAATACAGAGTCTGATTCTTATTAAGTACAGAGGTATAATTTTCATCTCCTCTCCATCCTTTCCCATTTTCAATTTCTGCTTCTAATTTATGCCCCCAATTCACCTTCTGGTTTATGCCCCCAATTCACCTTCTGGTCTCCACACAATGACCTTCTTCAGCCCTCACTATCATAATATAGAATCCCCAGCATGAACAGGCAGACTCGCCCTTCTGCAAATAGTGACTCAAGGTCACCTGTCTCTTTCCATTGGGGAATCCAGCATCTTTCATCCATAGCTTCCAAGCATGAGACAATGAGATGATGGAGCATAAAAAGTGATGTTTTAAGGGAAAGGCAAAGATACTCTACAGATCACTTTTGTTATCATTCTTATAAATTCTGCTTCACATAGCCCCAACCTAATGGGGAGAAACTTAGAGTGGCATTCCCTTTTGTGCATAGGAAGTATAAACAGAGCTGATGATCACATAACTAATTTCTTCCATATGATCTTCTACCTAAAATACATGAATATATTCAAAGGTAAATTTAAATATTAAGCTACATTTATTAATTCCACAAATATATCATATGTGCACTGTATGACAAGCACTATGGGATGCACTATATATATAAGTGTTATAAGTGCTAACAAAATCCAGACCCTACTTTTGAGTAATACAAATAATGACGCGATATTGTTGTATTTCTTTTTGTCTTCTTCTTTTTTTTTTTTCTTTTTGAGATGGAGTCTCACTTTGTCGCCCAGGCTGGGATGCAATGGCGATCTTGGCTCACTGCAACCTCCACCTGCCAAGTTCAAGTGATTCTCCTGCCTCAGCCTCCCTAGTATTTGGAACTACAGGCATGTGCCACTATCCCCTGCTAATTTTTTGTATTTTTAGTAGAGAAGGGGTTTCACTGTGTTAGCAAGGATGGTCTCGATCTCCTGACCTCTTGACCTACCCGCCTCGGCCTCCCAAAATGCTGGGATTACAGGTGTGAGCCATGGCACCTGGCCTCTTTTTGTCTTCTTAATACTATTTTATCTAATGGCTTTTGTCAGCCATGGTGGTCAGTGAAAAAATATATGATAAAACTTACTGAACTGAATACAGCTACTAAATCATATTTTTTCACTTCAGCATAATTGTTTGTGTTTGAAACACCATAACTGCAAAACATGAAGGATATAAAAGATGGGCAAAACACAGCAAATAAAAGGAAAGCATAATAGTGACATGACTTTGATGAAATTAATTTCTTATTTAAAATATTTTTATACCCCTAACAAATAAAAGATCTTAAGATATCGTACCTAACATCTTTACTGACTTTTTAATGAGAAATGTAGTTTTACAGTGATTTAGTAATTTTTTGCATAAAGTTTACTGAAAATAAAAGAATATTTCTAATGTATGTGGGGTTTTTTTAGCACCTTCTGAACAGCCAGGCACAGTGGCTCACACCTGTAATCCCAGCACTTTGGGAGGCCGAGGCAGGTGGATCACGAGGTCAAGAGATGGACACCCTCCTGGCCAACCCGGTGAAACCCCATCTCTACTAAAAATACAAAAATTAGCTGGGTGTGGTGGCACACCCCTGAAGTCCCAGCTACTCGGGAGGCTGAGGAAGGAGAACTGCTTGAACCAAGGAGGTGGAGGTTGCATTGAGCCGAGATTGTGCCACTGCACTCCAGCCTGGTGACAGAGCAAGACTCCATCTCAAAAAAAAAAAAGACCTACTATGTACTGGGCCCACCTCTACGCTTTGGGGAAAAAAAAATTAGATAGAGCTCAGATGTTTAGAGCTTGCAGTCTGGGTCAATGGTTAGACATCTAAACAGATATGATATCATAATGAGGTAAGTACAAAGAGAGTTAGACACTAAGTTACTTCCCTATGTCAGTGACTCAAATTGCTTTGAGTACACAGATCCTTCCCAGCAGCTAATTATGGTACAATTTGATGAAATGTGTGTAGAGTGTCACCAGTACACAAATCATGGTTTGTTCCAAATTACTGCTGAATACCTCCTTTTAGGTGTCCACTCTTCAATCCCATCAAATTCTCTATTTATATAACTCATTTACACACCAGAACTAGATCAAGCCGTAGTGTGCAGCACTTTCCCCTTTACTACAGTGCAGAAGAGTGCAGTGTTCATGAACTCAGGCTTAAAGTAGGGGCTCAAAACCATGACTTTGCTACCTACCAGGCTGGAAAGGATATTTCACTTATCATGCTTAAAAGTGTTTTTTTTTTCCCTTCCTGAGAAAAGTTGGAAAAAGAATACTACTTATCTTAGCAAGTGTTACAATGTAAGCAGAGGCTTAGCATAGAATTAAATGTATGGTGCTCATTAAATGACAATATATAAACTGTAGTAGTTGCTGTCAACATTGATATTATCATTATTACATCATTTTGTGTGAATCTGTATAATAACTTTTGTAATTTTGTAATTAATAAAGGGATGGAAATTGCAAAAAGAGAAATGATTGCTTTGTTAATTGATTAATATGTGGCATTATACGCACAGTGTTTAAAAGCATGGCCTTTGAACGAAAATTGCCTTGGTTTAAATCTCACAGTTACCTTCTAACTTATGGTCTAAACTTGGTAAAAATACGTATTCTTTCCTACTTCAGTTTCCCCAGCAAATAAATTGAGAAAATAATAGTTCCTTTATATTTGTCAGGGTTTTCCAGAGAAACAGGACCAATAAAATGCATATATATACATGTATGTGTGTGTATTTATTATTAAATATGAGGAATTGACTCACATAATTATGGAGGCTGCGAAGCCTCATAATCTCCTTTCTCCCAGCTGTAGACCCAGGAAAGCTGGTGGTGCAATTCAGTCTAAGTGTGAAGGCCTGAGAACCAGAGGAACCAATGATGTAAATGCCAGTTCCAGAATGAGAGAAGATGAGATGTCCAGTCAAGCAGTGGGGCAGAAAAGAAAATGAGAGATGAGGGGCAGATTACTCTTTCCTCTACCTTTTGTTCTATTGAGGGCCTTAAGAGATTGGACAATGATACCCACCACACTGAGAAGGCAATCTACTGTACTGAATTATCCAATTCCAATGCTAATCCCTTCCACAAACACCCTCTCAGAAACAGCCGAAATAATGATTGGTCTGGGCACACCAAGGCCCAGTCAAGTTGACACATGAGATTAACTATCATACCCTCTGTCCTGAATTTACCATGAAATTGTATGAAGTGAAATATGTAAAGTGCTTAGCATGATACCTTGCACATAATAAGTACTATGTAAGTGAATGCTTTGTCACTAATACTACTGTTTTAATTATTTATAGTATTCATGATACTATTAATATCCTCTTGGAAAGCATATGAAGTATATGGGATTCCTCTGATCTCTTATATTCCCAATATTGAGATCACTTATTCCCTGCCTCTTTGTAAGGTCTCCTTCTTTTTTTGGCTGTTACCACATTAAGGGTAAAATGTTGTATCAGGGTTTCAAAATTCTTTTTCTGAAACCTGGCAAATTGTCTCCCTAACCACTTCTTCATGACATAGATCATGCCTAATGCATTGAAGACATACAGCATTCTTATTCCTTCAACAAAATTGTGGTGGAGCACCTGCCAGGTGTTGCTATCACAGCAGCTATGCATTTTCCTCACACTCATCTGGGGCTTTTCCATCACGTGCTCGGCCCTTCATCTCATCACTTGTAGACATAAAACTGTTCCTAGTGTTCTCTCCTTGAAACTTTTCCTTCCCTTATCTGTATTTTTTCCCTAAAAGAGTTCCTTCAAATCTACAATTTTAAACGCCAACTATCTCACTATGCTTAGTCTTTCTCCTAAACTAGCTCAAAACTCTGGTTATCAAAGGCATGATAACATCTCTCCCCCACCACCACTGGTAGCCCATTGGCATTGAAGATTCACCTCGTACAAAACTGAACACCTCTCTTCATCCACCTTACTTCCTAAAAAGGGTATCTTTTGTCATTGGTGTCACCATTTATTCAACTTTCCGTCATGACTTATAAAGATATCATGGATTCCTCCCTATCTGTTACTCCCCATGACCCCAGTCAATTATCAAATCTTGCTAATCCAAAGGTGACATGTCTCCCCACCGCTACTGCTGTCTCAGTCTAAACTTCATCATTTCTTAAGTTAATTACTGAAATAGCCCCTTGACTATCCTGTAATATTTCATCACTTATAGATCAGAATATCATTATGTCATTTTCCTATTTAAGAGCATTAAGTAATTTGCAATGTCCTTGAATAAAGTTCACAGTCCTGAGCATGGGTTATAAATCCATGCATGATATGATCCTTGTATATCTTCTAACCTCATCCATCTTATTTGCTTTGGTTCCCAATTCAGATCTACTTAAGAAGGCATTTATTTCTTCTCCTATGATAGCCCCTCTGTTTAAAATTTCCTTTCCTCCTTCATTTCAAAATGAAAAGAAATCATTTTCTCTTATTAAAGCTGCTTTTAATCACTTCTGTATAAATGTAGGAGTCTATCAATATGACATTCTTATTATCCCTCAACATTCTTACATGCTTTTTTTCAAACTGTCTCAAAATCATTTACATTTTTGCCTAATTTCCCTGCTGGTCTGTGAATCCCTTGTAGTCTGATTCTGAGACACAGTCTTAGTTCTAATATAAGCAGGCACAGCAGGTCTTGACATATTGTAGATTCTCAGATTTTTTTTTTTGAAATGATGAACAATGGAATAAATAAATCAATGAAGCATGTTGATTGGGAGAATTTTTTTAGAAGATGGTTGATGTGATTATACTCAGATATGTTGCATTGGGTAAGACTTTTAGGAAACTGGTAAATTCATAGTTTAATATTTATAAAATCAACAATCAAAAACAAAATTTTGAGACAGTGTGTTCTCACATATTAGAAACCATTTACTTATAAAAAAATGACTTCATCTGGGCGCAGTGGCTCAAGCCTGTAATCCCAGCACTTTGGGAGGCCAAGGCGGGTGGATCACAAGGTCAGGAGTTTAAGACCAGCCTGGCCAGTATGGTGAAACTCCATCTCTACTAAAAATACAAAAATTAGCTGGGTGTGGTGGTGCATGCCTGTAGTCCCAGCTACTCAGGTGGCTGAGGCAGAAGAATTGCTTGAACCCAGGAGGTGGAGGTTGCAGTGAGCCGAGATCGTGCCACTGCACTCCAGCCTGGCCACAGAGCAAATCTCTGTCTCAAAAAAAATAAAAAATAACTTATATGATACAAAGGCATAACAGAGATCCTGTTTTATTTAATGGTTCATTCAATTTTTGATTAACTTAGGCAGACTTTCCTAATAGGCTAATTTGCATCCACTCAAAATTCATAGTTTCAAGCTCTAATGCCCAAGGTGATCGTATTTGAGGAAAAGCCTTTTGGGAGGTAATTGGGGTGGGGCTCTCGTAATAGAATTAGTCTCCTTATAACAAGAGGCCAGAGAAATTTCTCACTTTCTCTCTTTCTTTTGTGTACATGCTAAACACAGAAAGATGGCATGTGAGCGCACAGAGAGATGCTGACTGCCTACAAGCCAGGAAACATGTCCTGAGAATAACACCTGCCTTGCTGGGACTCCCCAGCCTCCAGAACTGTGAGAAATAAATTTCTGTTGTTTAAGCCACTAAATCTGGTGGGTTTTTTTTGTTTGCTTTTTTTTTTTTTTTTTTTTTTTTTTTTTTTGAGACGGAATCTTGCTGTGTTGCCCAGGCTGGAGTGCAGTGGCGCAATCTCCGCTCACTGCAAGCTCCACCTCCCGAGTTCACGCCATTCTCCTGCCTCAGCCTCCTAAATCTGGTGTTTTGTTATGGCAGCACAAGAAGACTAACACAACTTTATTATGACACCAGTGGAATTCTTAGTACATGGGATCTCAGCAGTTAAAACGGCTGAAGAGATTACCGTGGCCGATCTTCTATGAGTGCAAGAACCACCTTTCTAACAATTCTGAAGTGTTATTATTTAAATGTCAGTGGAAAAATGTACTGTGAAATGGAATCAATTTGGTATTGCCAGTTATTAATTCTATTGCTAATTAATATTAATATTTTCCTCCAGAAAAAAAATATATCTATTTCTGTACTTAGAAGAAGATTAAGAAATGTAAAAGTATGTACTATTATTATCTATGGGTGTTGAGATTACAAGAGTTTCTTAATTTTTTCTGTATATTTTAAATATTTTTCAAATTTTCTAAAATGTTTTTCTAAAAATTAACTGAGGAAAAAATAAAATTAGACAAAGAGAAAAAGAATGAAAGAAATATAGAGAGAGGCTATTTCTGTGCTGAAGTAAAAGATCCCTCCTGTTTACTACTCTTAAACAAAAAAAAATTGTCTTTAATGAATATGATGCTTCTACAAATATCTAGCTATGATAGTCATTATCACTCCCTTTAGATTTCTCTTTTTAAAGTTAATAATAATCTTATTTCTTCTGCATGTATCCCTGCATTTATTTCAGAAAAGCTCCCTGAGGTGATGGCAAAATGTTTGGGATTATTAATTGAATTATTTTTCTGCTGTGTTATTTTTCAAAAAAAAAAAACTCAAGTGTATTTTTAAAAAATATATGGGTTACAGTACATGAACCCAAATTTTGACTATATTTCTTAAAATATATATTATTCTATCTTAACGACATGGTTTTACCTATGACATTTAATCCCGTATTTAATTGTTCTCATCTCAATATTTTATATTGGAGGTGATAGAGATAATTATTTCTGTACAAATAATGCTTATATATTATACATGAAAGAAAAATACATGTAAAAGAATAATTAGCAAAATAATCTAAAAATTTTCTGTTTTGTTGACTTCAGTGAAGAGAAAATACATTAGGTCAACTAAAGATTTATGCATTTATTTTAAGTTATGTGAAAATATTGAGTTCATCTGAGTTTTAACTATAAGAGATAATGACACACGTCACATATTCATGTGACACTCAATCATAATTTTATTAGGAAAGGAACCAAAGCAGTTATAAACTAAGAAGACTTTGGTTCAATTAAAAATATTAATACTATTGAAAACATACAAGAAATAATGATGGTATTTAATTAATGCATTAGTAACCCTTTATAGATTATGACATATCACTGGTTGATTTTGCCACCATGCTGGGTATTAATGACATTACTTATCAATCTATAAATCTAACTAATGTAGCGTATATATGAATGGCAACTAAATTTTAGATATTATATTTCATTTGTGTGGCCCATTTTATAAATGTATACTTTTTTGTACTTATTTATCTATTTACTTATCTCATATGACAGAGTTGATTTACAGTATTTTTCTTGTCATTAAATTAAATCTCCCCATCTGAGACAGAATCATTAAGAGCAGCCACACCTAAAGAATAGCTACTGCTATTTAACATACAGTTACCTTGCCTAGAATAACAGGAATTAGATACAGGCATTTATAGGATAGTTTATTGAATATTATCACCCCCTTTTAAGAGTGTTACCTTAAATCATATAAAATACATTTTGACAGAAATTTGGTATCTATTTATCCTACAAAAAACTTCTTTTAAAAATTTATGTTCTTTAAACTTTTCTACATTTTTTCCCATTTGCTGCTCTTCATATTTTTATTCTATCTGGAAAAATCATAGAGCATCATGAAATTTAATTTTGGGAAAATTACTGGCTTAAGGAGAATATGGTCACTGATATGGTTTGGCTGTATCCTCACCCAAATCTCATCTTGAATTCCTACGTGTTATGGGAGTAACCTGGTGGGAGGTAATTGAATCATGGGGACAGGTCTTTCCTGTACTGTTCTGTCACTGATATGCTTTGGCTGTGTCTCTACCCAAATCTCATCTTAAATTCCCATTTGTTGTGGGAGGAATCTGGTGGGAGGTAACTGAAATCTTGGAGGCAGGTCTTTCCTGTACTGTTCTGGTGGTAGTGATGGTTTTGAAACTGGGAGTTTCCCTACACAAGTTCTCTTTGCTTACTGCCATTCATGTAAGACGTGACTTGCTCTTCCTTGCCTTCCACCATGATTGTGAGGCTTCCCCAGCCACGTGGAACTGTAAGTCCAATTAGACCTCTTTCCTTCGTAAATTGCCCAGTCTTGGGTGTGTCTTTATCAGCAGTATGAAAACAGACTGTTACAGTCACCTATAAATGAACTATGTCAAAACAAACATTCCATGGATTATTAAATCCATTGATATTAATGATTTATTTACATACATAAACAAAACAAAAAGTCACTTAACAATGGCAATAATAATAATGTTTGTTTGCATTTATTAAGCTCTTAATATGTAGGAGGCACTGTTCTAAGCCCTTTACATGTATGAATTTATTAAAACAAATTATCTGGCAATTAATTGAATTTGAGAAAGTTTGAGCCAAGTTGATCCATCTCCGTTCTATTATTTAAGGCCAATAGGTCAAACAGATAAAATTACTCACCTGGCATTAATGTTTATATTGGAACAAAGATATCAGCTTAAAGAATGTCTGCATCTGGGCTGGGTGCGGTGGCTCACGCCTGTAATCCCAGCACTTTGGGAGGCTGAGGTGGGTGGATCACAAGGTCAGGAGATCGGAACCATCCTACTAACACGGTGAAACCCCGTCTCTACTAAAAATGCAAAGAATTAGACAGGCGTGGTGGCACATGCCTGTAGTCCCAGCTACTCGGGAGGCTGAGGCAGGAGAATTGCTTGAAGCCGGGAGGCGGAGGTTACAGTGAGCTGAGATGGTGCCACTGCACTCCAGCCTGGATGACAGAGCGAGACTCCGTCTCAAAAAAAAAAAAAGAATTTCTGCATCAGTTATATGATATAATTCAAAGGCCCGTTTAAAGTTAAAGAGCCCACAGATTGTTCCTTCTAGTTCCAAGATTTAGTTGTCTATTAATTCACTTCAGTGTTAGTTATGAGTTGATCCTAAAAATAGAAATATTGCATTCACCAATTATATTAGGTGAAGAGTTGAAAAAGTTACCTATTTTTTTTCTTCTGTCTGTGGATTTTATTCACTCCCTATGCGTACCAAAGAACACACAATCAACACAAGCTTCCAGATGCAGAGATTTGTTCTGAACTCTGTGGAGCAGGTTTGCTTAACAGCAAGCATTCTCTCATCAATTTTACCTTCAGCATTTGAGATTTCGTTAACTCCTTAAGCTAATTCAAATATTGACATTTTTCAGCACTGTTCATTTTGTAATCAGGGAGCAACAGAAAAAAAAGATGAGAAAGCACATCACAAAATCACATAAATTCAAAAGACATATTTGTATCTCACACAAATAGTACCTCTGAGCTCCAACAAGAGTAATTCAGTGGCAAGCCTGAAAGTATTGATTTGTTCAAACCCCCCCAAGGGCCATGCCCTTTCTCTATTTAGTGAGAAAAAAATACAAAAATGTGTCATTTATAACAAAGATTTTAATATCAAGCTGATCAAAAGCTATGTTATAATGGCCCACGTACTCATTAAATTTTAAATTTATTTTTAGTATTTTTTCATTACTTAGATTTATTTATTTCTATACATTTTAGTATCATAACATCCTCCCCCTTTCAACGAATCTGAGAGTACAATTTTCCTTCACAGTCGACAGTCATTCTTCTCAAGAAGAGAAATAATTTTGGAAATGATGAAGAATGAGATTGCCTTGCTGATTTTAATCCAAAAGATGCTTTGAGGTGAAATCTGACAGAGGGTCCCTGCGGATATTTTATACTGTATCAGCATTGCCGTTGTCTTTCCTAATCAGCAGTTTTATCTATTCTCCATGGTAGGGCATAGATATTTTTTTTATGCTTGAGATTTCACAGAATGGGAAGTCTGAAGCCCTGAAGATTTCTGATCACATTTTTCAAAAGCATCATAACTTATTCATTCATCACTTGTGGTTCCACACATACATGCAATTACCATATGTATCTCTCTCTGCTAAGGCCTATGTTACCATGGAGACAATGGACTTCTTTGATATTTGAGGACACTGGTCACTTTTACTACTCGCTGAAATGTGGTTTTAGCTAATATCATTAGGTTAAGTTATTCAAACAACCCAGTTAAATTTATCATATTAAACACTACCAATTATATTTTCAACTTACAATTTATGCATAACACAAAACTACCTTTAGAACATGCCTGAGTCTGTTGCTTAACAGTACATGTTCACAAAATTAAACACAAGTACAAAAATTATTCATATCTAATATATTTTCAATGGCACTGGACATATTTGCTCTTTATTTATTTATATATTTATTTATTTATTTGACACAGGGTCTCACTCTGTCACCCAGGCTATAGTGCAGTGGCATGATCTGGGTTCAGTGAAACCTCTTCCTCCCGGGCTCAAGCAATCCTCCCACCTCAACCTCCAGAATTTCTGGGACTACAGGCATGCACCACCAAGCCTGGCTAATTTTTTGTATTTTTTGTAGAGATGGGGTCTTTCCATGTTACTCAGGCTGGTCTCGAACTCCTGGACTCAAGCGATCCGCCTGCCTTGGCCTTCCAAAGTGTTGGGATTGCGGGTGTGAGCCACTGCACCAGGCTTCCTCTTAATTTTAAATGCACGCTTCAGATGTGTAGGAAAGGTAAATTTTTTTCTCTATTTTCTCTTGCCTTAAGATTCTCTGCCTTAGATTTTTATATCAAAGTATGCAGTGTCATTTGTATAGTAATATCTACTTCCATGACAGAGAAACAAATCTAGTAAACTAACTCAAACTAACACATTAATAACAATGAATTTGACATACAAAAGTATTTGTATTTTATCAAAAGATTTCTTATAGAATGTATTCATCCTAGGGAGGTTCCATAATGGAAGTATGAGATCCTGGGGCATCTTTTCCTTGGAGAATTTTAGACGATATCTGACCTTCAATATGTGATAAGAAACTGCCCTGTCATCAAAGTCAATGTTATCACTGTTAAGTGAGGATTTGTTTGTGTTAAATTAAATGATTAATGGATGTGGGAAATTATGTCTTAATAAGAAAATAGAATTAGCCTGGGCAACATGGCAAAACCCCGTTTCTACAAAAAATGCAAAAATTAGCCAGGCCTGGTGGCTTGTGCTTGTAGTCTCAGCTACTAGGGAGGCTGAGGTAGGAGGATCGCTTGAACCTGGGAAGCGGAAGGCTGCAGTAAGCCAAGATCATGTCACTGCACTCCAACCTGAGTGACAGAGTGAGACCCTGTCTCAAAATAAATAAATAGATAAATAAATAAAAAACAAATGAAAGAACGAATGAAAATAGAATTCACTTAAGCATATATCCACCCAACTAAATCTGGCCCAACTGATTTTTCTGGTTTTATTCCCTTAGAGGCAACGTGGACTAAGGAAAAGAGAATGATCCTGAAAGGTTAAATAGAATTATGGCTTTGACAACTAATGCTGCCTAACACTGGACAACTCAGGTAAGATCATTCTCTCTTACAAAGTCGCCTTTCCACAATTTGCCTTGTTGATCAGTTCCTTTCTATTTTTATCTGGTTTGTTGTCTCTCTTCTGTCATTTCTGCTCTACCTCTAAGATGATTTTTTGTTCTTGTTTTCTTGTCTCCTCCATACATTTTTGTGCTTATGAAAATTTCTTACTTGTTTTCTTCTCTTCACCAACTAAAATCTACCTTTAGACTAGAAATGTGTGACCATTTCTTACGTTGTGTGACTATTTAGCAGTCTGGCATAGCCTGTAAGCCTTTTTCTGAGAACGATGTTTTCAATGCGTGAAAGCAAATACAAAGAATGATAAAGGAAATCGCTGAAATACAGGTGTGAAACTAGGGTAGTCCCCTCTTATCTGCAAAGGATACAATCCAAGACCCCAGTGTATGCCTGTAATTTGGATAGTATTGAACCCAGCTGCCATCAATCAGAGCACAGTTCTGTTCATGTCTTCCACCCACATATTTATTGCCTCTTCTATCTCCTAACTAAGCACTTATTATGCACTGGGACAATAATTTTTGCAGTTTGAGGTGCAACAGACAAACTGGCACAAAACTCTTTTCTCTTCGCCAGATTAAGGATGGAAGATTTGATCTTACCATATGTTATAGTAACTTCAGCATACAATTTTTTCCTTTCTTCTTTGCTTTGACAATATTCACTTTTTCGTTTTAAAGAAAGTACTTTAAGACGTCTTTTTGGCATATGCGAGTTGCCAGCATCGCTACTCTTGTTCTTTGGGGCCATGATGAAGTAAAAGAAGGGTTATTTGAACACAAACACTGGACGAAGGAATGATTCACAATGCCCAGGGCAGTAGGGAGTGGAACAGAGTGAAATTTCATCATGTTACTCAGAATGGTGTGCCATGAAAACATTAATTGTTCTGATTTTTTTTTTTTTTTTTTGAGATGGAGTCTCGCTCTGTTGCCCAGGCTGGAGTGCAGTGGCGCAATCTCAGCTCACTGCAAGCTCCGCCTCCTGGGTTCACGTCATTCTCCTGCCTCAGCCTCCCGAGTAGGTGGGACTACAGGCGCCCGCCACCAGGCTGGCTAATTTTTTGTATTTTTAGTAGAGACGAGGTTTCACCATGTTAGCCAGGATGGTCTTGATCTCCTGACCGCGTGATCCGCCTGTCTCGGCCTCCCAAAGTGCTGGGATTACAGGCGTGAGCCACCGCGCCCGGCCTCTGAAATTTTTGTTTTGTTTTGAGGCAGACTCTCGCTCTGTTGCCCAGGCTGGAGTGCAGTGGTGTGATCTCGGCTCACTGCAACCTCCACCTTCTGGGTTCAAGCAATTCTCCTGCCTCAGCCTCCCAAGTAGCTCGGACAACAGGTGCACACCACTGCGCCCAGCTAATTTTTCTATTTTTAATACAGATGGGGTTTCTTCATTTTGGCTAGGTGGGTCTCGAACTCTTGACCTCAGGTGATCCACCCACTTCAGCCTCCCAAAGCGCTGGGATTACAGGTCTGTGAGCCACTGTGACTGGCCAGTTGGACAATATTGATAGATAATTAAAACGTGGCATTTTGCCAAGGTAAGTTAACTAAATTATCTGAGCTATGTTTGTGAATAAATGAATGATAAATATATATATATATATACACACATGTAAATATGTGTAATTATATATGTATATTCATATTTATACATAACTCCTATGGCAAAATGGTTTTTCCACTCACCCTCGCCCCCTTAAATTCTGACGCCCTCGGCCTCCCAAAGAGCTGGGGTTACAGGTGTGAACCACCGCACCTGGCCTGAAATATTTTTCATTTGATATTTTTAGACCAAGGTTGGCTGCAGTTAATGGAAACCATAGGCAGTGAAATGTGAATAATGCGAGAGGACTACTGGATAGTTGACCCTCGAGCAACATGGGTTTGGGCTGCATAGATCCCCTTCTACACAGATTTTTTTTCTCCATCTGCCATCCCTGAGATCTCAAGACCAACTCTTCCTCCTTATCATCCTCTTCATCCTACTCAATGTGAAGATGAAGTGAATGAAGATCTTTATGATAATCTACTTTCACTTAATGAATAGTAAATATATTTTCTCTTCCTTTTGATTTTTAATCACATTTTATTTTCTCTAACTTTATTGTAACAATACCTTATATAAAACATTTAATATACAAAATATGTGTTAATCAACTATTTATATTATTGGTAAGGCATCCAGTCAACTATAGGCTGTTGGTAGTTAAGTGTTGGGGAAGTCAAAATTTATCCAGAGATTTTCTACTTTGAGGGAAGCCAGCGTCCCCCACCCCCATATTGTTCAAGGGTCAACTGTAATTTAAAATACTTTATTAACATAAGTCAAAAGATCTAAAGACACGTTTCATAGGTATCATAATTTCAAAATAAGGATAAGCACCAATAATCTTTCAAAATGTCTGCAGCAACTATAATGTTACATGAGAGTATGTGAAGTTTATGTTGGTGATACTGTGCTCTGTTCTCTAGGACATGATGGCTCATACCTGTAATCCCAGCACTTTGGGAGGCTGAGGCGGGTTAATCACCTGATGTCAGGAGTTTGAGACCAGCCTGGCCAACAGGGTAAAACCCTGTCTCTACTGAAAATACGAAAATTAGCCAGGCATGGTTGTGGGCGCCTGTAATGCCACCTAGTCGGGAGGCTGAGGCAGAAGAATCACTTGAACTCAGGAGGTGGAAGTTGCAGTGAGCTAAGATTGTTACATTGCACTCTAGCCTGGATGACAAGAGTGAAACTCTGTCAAAAAAGGAAAGGAGGGGAAGGGAAGGGAAGAAGAGAGAGAGAGAGAGAAGGAAAGAAAGAAAGAAAGAAAGAAAGAAAGAAAGAAAGAAAGAAAGAAAGAAAGAAAGAAAGAAAGAGAAAGGAAGAAAGAAAGAAAGGGAGAGAAGGAGGGAGGGAGGAAGGAAGGAAGGAAGGAAAGAAAGAAAGAAAGAAAGAAAGAAAGAAAGAAAGAAAGAAAGAAAGAAAGAAAGAAAAGGAAAGGAAAGGAAGGGAAGGAGGGAGGGAGGGAGGGAAAGGAAGGAAGGAAAGAAAGAAAAAGGGAAGAAAGGAAAGAAAGGAAAGAAAGAAAAAAGAAAGAAAGAGAGAGAAGGAGAGAGGGAGGGAGGGAGGGAGGAAGGAAGGAAAAAAGAAAGGAAAGGAAAGGAAGGAGGGAGGGAGGGAGGGAAAGGAAGGAAGGAAAGAAAGAAAAAGGGAAGAAAGGAAAGAAAAAAAGAAGGAAAGAGAAGGAAAGGAATGAAGGGAGGGAGGGAGGGAGGAAGGAAGGAAGGAAGAAAGGAAGGAAGGAAGGAAGGAAATGGTATTTTAAGAGGTTAGTCAAAATAATGACGTATTATTTTCTCTCAAGATCACAGACTCCTTACTTCTCTCCATGGATTCCTTAGGTGAAGACCACTTTCTGTAGATCAACCCCTCCTCATCCCCTATTTAATAACAGTTCATATCATAATGCTTCTTAATAAATAATTTTATTTCCCTTTTCACTGATATGATTGGAAACTTTTTGAGGTCATCAACCTTTGTATGTTTGATGACATTGCCAGTGACTAATCAATAAATATTTTGGAACAAGTAGAAGAGATCTTGCTGTTCACTCCCGGTGTCTCTCAAAGAAATCCAGCCCTGTGTAGGTGATTGCTAATAAGACTTATCTATTCCTAATATGAGTGTGAGATGAGGTGCTTCATGAGAACTATGACAAATTCCCAAAGAATTTAGTCCTCCCAATACGTTGGAACTAAGGCTAAAGTTTAGGCTGTCTCCTATGTCCTCCCTCAATAAATAAATAAACCTATTTATGTATCTAATAAATTACATTAGGATAAAATGTAAATGTTCTTAGTCAAGGAGAGGGAGATAAGAAGGGAGAAACTGTCTCACCTGGCCCTATTTGCTACCCAGAAAACATAGGAAAATAAAGATATAAGAATGGGAATTTATGGAATATAAATGGAGAAGAGACACTAGCCAAGAGAAATTCAACCCCAGGTCCCTTGGAGTTAAGAAAGAAAAACATTAAATAGGCCCAGTTCTAATAATTCTAATAGGCATGCCTCTTAACAAAAACAAATCATCAAATGCTTAGGAATGAGACACCTCAATTTTCAAGTCTTTTTTGTCATGTAGAGAAGGCCCCTCCTCTGAAAAAGTCTCTCAGGACATACGTCAGTCATGTTATCTTGTTATAGTCAAAGCAGTTACCACCTGGAAACCCTTCGAGATCAATGACCAAATGCTTAAAGTACCACTCAGTGATTGTGAAAGGATTAAACATCAATAAATGGCTAATATTGCACCTGGTAGTGAGTATGGTTGAGTTTCTCTCCAAATTTTCTTTCTGAAAATTTACAGAGCCTTGATTATAAGCAATGTGCTTGATTCAGAAACATCAGCCAACTTGGAATTACAACTTGCACTGCTGGGTTTGTTTGCAAATAAAATAAAAGCAAGAAGAAAAACACAGAGACAAGATTATAAAAGACACTAGAATTTGGAAAAGAGATTAAATATTATTAAAATATCATTCCTAGGAATTAGAAACAGTTCTGTAAGCAATAACCTAATAGTAGACTGCACAAAACGCCATAACAGAAATTAAATTTTCATTTGTGAACAGGAATAATGAGGTAATATAAAAGAGATGGACTTGGATTTTTTTGCCACTAAAGATTAATAATTGTCTAAGGTCTGTATTCAGAATTAAGATGCACATTTGGTTGTAGAGAAAGATCATTTATTAGGTGTGCTCATCCTTTAACCTTGGTCCACAGTCATGGCATGAAATAGATGCAATTTCCATTTCACCAGCACTGGTGTCAGGCTATTTCAATATATATACTAGATAAAATATATATACTAGATACAATATATATTTCAATATGTATACTAGATAAAAGTAAGTATGTCCTTTCTAGAGAAAAATGCAATATAAAAAGGGAATATAATGGCCGGGCATGGTGGCTCGCACCTGTAATCCGAGCTCTTTGGGAGGCCGAGGCGGGTGTATCGCCTGAGGTTGGGAGTTCGAGACCAGCTTGGCCAACATGGAGAAAACCCATCTCTACTAAAAATACAAACAAAATTAGCCGGGCGTGGTGGCGCATGCCTGTAATCCCAGCTACTCAGGAGGCTGAGGCAGGAGAATTGCTTGAACCCGGGAGGAGGAGGTTGCAACGAGCTGAAGATCGTGCCATTGCACTCCAGCCTGGGCAACGAAAGCGAAACTCTGTCTCAAAAGAAAACAAAAGAAAACAAAACAAACAAAGCAAAACAAAAAAATGGGCATATTAATAAAAAGTAGTCCTTTTCAATGTGAATGTTGGACACGATATTGTCAAGTTAGTTGTTGGGAAAGATTGACATCTAAAAGGTGCTCTAACCATTTTGGAAATAATTTATAGTTATGAAATTATTACCTTAAAACCATATTGTATTGGCATAATGCTTTACTTTTATTTCTTTAAGGCTTTAAAATCATTTTATCATGTTTAGATTCTGTATGAAGTAGTATATTAAATAATACGATACTTATTTCCACGCAAAAATGTAGAGTTTATATTTTTAATTGTGGTGTGTCAAGGTTTATTTGAAAACTAAATATATAAACTATAATATTAAAAATATATAAATTGTAATAAGTAGTCAGTTTGTCTCAAATTTTAATTGTAAATTATCAGTATCCTTTGCCTGGATGTCCGTATAGACTGGACTGTCTGTTTCAGTTGGATAACTCAGCAGGTTCAGCGGTAGATAGGAGTTGATATTCATTAGAGGGCTAAGATTACACCAGATAGTTTTCATCGTGTTTCCCATCATATCCCAAAACATTGCAGTAAAGTAGAACGTTCTATCCATGTTACAGATGAAGAAATTATATCTAATATAGATGAAATAGCCCACAATTTTAGGCTAAATCCAAATTTAGTCCAGAATCCAAATCCAAATCTGTATAGTACATTTTGAAATAAGAAAGTGTGATGCCTCCAGCTTTGGTCTTTCTCAAGATTTCCTTGGCTATTCTGGTTTTTGGTTTTTTTTTGACTCTGTATGAATTTGAATTTTTTTTCTATTTTTGTGGAAAATGCACAGCTCTACCATTCATCCTAGTGTCTTCCATGATGCATTTGGTTCCTAATTCGCTTGAGACATTAAAAATTCAATTGCAACACTATCACAATGTATCATTATTTTCTGAGTTAAACAATTTTTTCCAGCCCTTAGACTAGGATCATGGTAAACTTATGGTAAATTAGGTTTCTTGCTGGTGTTGTTATTATTTTGGATTTTTCAATTTTTATATGGCAAGATAATGTTTTCCTAATAAGGACTGTTTCTCATTCCTAGATTCTTGATTTGGGGTGGGAGGAGAGGGTTTTTTCCCAGGACATCTCTATTCAGATCTAGGTTTTAGCCCTGTCTTCCAAAGTATAGAATATACATGTGTGAGAAAAATATTTCAGAGTTGTAAAAGTTTCTTATGTATTTTGAAAATTAACCACTTAATTTTGTTAATAAGGTTTGGAAATGTTTTCTCCCATTCTGTAGCTTGCCTTTTCATTCTGTTGATTGTTTTCTTTGCTGTGCAGAAAATTTTACTTTGATGTCGTCCTATTTTTCTATTTTTGCTTTAGCAGACTATGCTTTTGATGTCATAGCTAAGAAATAATTACCAAAATCAATTTCAACAAGTTTTTCCCTGTGTATGTGTGTTTTTCCCCCCTAGGAGTTGTACAGTGTCAGTTCTTGTGTTTAAATCTTTATCCATTGTTAGTTGATTTTTGTCTGTAATTAAGATAAGGGTAAAATTTTATCATATTTGCATATGAATATATATAGTGTTTCCAAAACCATTTGTTGAACTGTACTCAACACCACTGTACTCTTCTCATTGTATGTTATTGGCATCCTTGTCAAACCTCAGGTAACCATAAGTATTAATATATGCATAGGTGTATTTCAGGGCTCTGTATGCTGCCCCATCTGTCTTTATATCTATCTTTATGTCAGTACCACACTGTTTTAATTATTATAGCTTTGAATTTTGAATTTTGAAATAAGGAAATGTGCTGCCTCCAGCTTTGGTCTTTCTCAAGATTGCTTCAGCTATTCTGGTTTCTTTTTGTGAATCTATATGAATTTGAATGTTGTTTTCTATCTTTGTAAAATGTGCCAGTGGGATTTTGACAGAGAGAGCATTAAATCTAATATGGAAATAGCTTTCGGTATTATAGATATTTTCACAGTATTAAGTATTTTAATCCATGAACATGAGATATTTCTTTCATATATTGTGTCTATTTGATATCTTTCATTGTGTTTGTAGTTTTCAGTGTACAATTATTTTACTTCCTTGGTTAAGTCTATTTCTATATCGTCTATTCTTTTTTGATGTTATTATAACTAAAACCTTTAATTTCCATTTTAGATGTGTTTTGTTAGTACATGGAAACACAACTGACTTTTTTATGTTGATATTGTATCCTGCAACTTTACCAATTCCTCTGGCTAGGTTTTCCAGTGCTATGTTGAATAGAAGTGGTGAGAGTGGACATTCTTCTCTTTTTCCTGATCTTACAGAAAAAGCTTTCACTTTTTCACCATGAAGTATAATGCTCCCTGTGAGCCTACATATATGACCTTTATTATGTTGATGTACATTTAATTATTACTCCCATTAATTCTCCAAAGATGGAGGTCTGGAATTGAAGAAATATGCAAAGGCGCGTAAAATGCAATTTACATACAATTATATGGTAGTAAGTAAATGCTATAAGAATAATGGAGAACAGCAGGGGACAAAAAAGGATAGTGTAGTTGTTGGGAGCTCTTTTCTTGAGGGTGGTCAGATTCTAATTGAACAGAAACATGATGGCAGTTAGGGGACAGGTCATGTGGAGAGCTGACAGAAACCTGTTGCCAACAAGGGAAACAACAAGTCCAGAAGTTTTGAGGAAGCTGTGTGCATGACATGTTTGATGAATAGCAGGAAGGTCAGTAAGGCTAGAGGTGAATGAGGAAAGATAAGTGAAAGGAGATGAGATCTTGCAGGTGGGAAAGTAGTTCATGAGGATTTTTAAGTTATGGTGTGAATCGTGAACTACTACATGCCACAAAAAACTTGCCCATGTGCTAGAGGCTTTGGCCAAACTTTAGCCCAGCTTCTACCTGCACTAGGCCTTGTCCTCACAGTGGCCATAAGCCCTGAGCAATGTTATTCTGCCAAACCACAAAATATAATTCATACCAACCCACATTGTCAAACCATGTTCAGTAATGTTTTACTCACTCTTCTTCTGTAATTTTTCATTTCCTGGTAGCCCCCTTTTTGGTTCCTCAGGCACCCTCTTTTCCCCATCCCTTTCTTTTTTTTTCACATCCCTGTGTCCCTTTATGTTCTCTCTCAGTTCTTCCTTTAAAAACCTTAGTCACCTTTATTTTAGTTGGCATTGAGTTCATTCCATATTGGACTCTGTCTTCCTGTTGTAGGCTGAATGTTTTGTCCCTCAAAATTCATAGGCTAAAATCCTAACCCCAAAGGTGATGGGGACTTTGGAAGGTGATTAGGTCATGAGACTTCTGCCCTCATGAATAGGATCAGTGCCCTTGTAAAAGATGCCCAAGGAATCTCTCTCTCCTGTTCCGCCATATGAGTTCAGTGAGAAAGTGGTATTTACAACATGGGAACCAGACCCTAGCCAGGCACTTAATTTGCCAACATCTTGATCTTGAGCTTCCCAGCCTCCTGGACGGTGAGAAGTACATTTATGTTGCTTATAAGCTACCTAGGTCATGGTGATTTTTTAACAGCAGCCTGAAATGATTAAGACACTTTTCTACTACAATACTTTAAATAAAATTTGTCTTGTTTTTTCACTCTGGTAACCATAAGGATTTTGACCTATATTTCACACAATATGGAAAGTCATTGAAAAGGTTTGGACAAAGAATGACATGTTTGGACAAAGAATGACATAACACAAAGAATGACATGTTTGGACAAAGAATGACATAACACTTGTGTTTTATACAAACATCTCTAGCTATTACAGGAAATAACAGGAGAGCTTCAAAAACAGAGAGACATTTTGAAAGACCATGGGTTTGCTGAATTCTCCTGAGCTAAGTCCAAGGCCTCCTTCAGACCCAGAAGAGCTTTCTTGACATTCAGTACTGAGGCTGGGTTGATTTAAGGAGTAAATACAGCAGAGATTTAGGAGAATTGAATTGCCAAATATAACTGTTCAGTCATTCAGTGTCACAAAGTCCAGTCTCTTCACTTAAGTTGATAAACTTGGGACCAAATTAGCACACATATGGTAAGCAAGATGAGCCTACTCCGAATGGGATTGTGTTTACCCATTGTGATGTTAGGGACACTGTGAAGGACACGTTCTCTTAAAATCTTTAGTCCTCAATTCCTAAAATTCCTCAGTTAGGTATCTATATCTTTGTATTCAGAACTGCTTTATCTACAGTCTACTGTTCTAATTTAAATACACCTAGAAGAATATCATGTAAATGTCACATCTCTTTACTGTGGATACATTTAGGAACACATAGGAAAAGCAGATCAGAATAAAAAACATTGATCCCTGAAAGATGGGAGTAAAAATATGCTGAAATAAGATACAAGTGTTAAAAGCTGGGGATGTCAATGAGTCACAGTCAATCTTTGCCTGCTCACAATTTTGCCAAGGGCTGGCCAGAGAGTAGAATAAAATCTTGAACTAGCTGTAGTCAAAAATAATTTTTTAAATAAATATAAACAGATGCAACAAATTATGAGAAAATTGACTGGAAAATTACTATAGAAAAAATATTTAACAAAGAGTTTTGAGGAAGAATTATAATAATAGCTGAAATTTATTAAGCAGAGCAATTCACATAAGCTAGTTACTGTTCTAAGGTATGTATACATATATTTATATAATGTGTACATGTATGTGTGCACACATGTGTATATATGTGCACATATATATTCATTTCACCTTTATGACAAGCCAATGAGTTAGAAAATATTATTTTACCATTCAATATTTGTAGAAAATAAAACACAGAAAAATTAAAGGACTTACCCAAGACTATGCAGCTAATACCTGACTTGGCAGAATTTGAACACGAGTCTCACTCCAGAGTCTATGAAATGTAACACTGCAAGCATATCTTAAAAGAGCAACATAACATTTTGTTTCCTGCAAATATAGAAACTCTTCATTTCATGTTAACACTTCCTTTTATGTAAATGCAGTCTTTGAGTGCAATTGATAGTAAAATCAGACACACACACACACACACACACACACACACATTCCAATTCTACCTCTCAGGTATCAGTAAAAAGAAAATAAATGTAAAAATGGTTAAGAATAAGATAATAACTGCACTGGGGGAAGTGACTCATTGTATATAAAAGAACTTTGGAAACTATTTGAAGTCTGATAGACCTGGGTTTTTGTTCTTCCTCAGCAAGTTAATAACAGTGACAATAAGTGAGTTCCTTTACTTTTAACAGTCTCGTTTTTTTGGTCTGTAAAATGGTAATGATAACCATCTAAAAATATTGTGTAAAACAAAAATAATATGTATGAAACAGCTGGCACTTAGTAGGCAAACAATGAAGAATATTTGCTGAATAAAAAGTAACCAGGAAAATTTGGTTTTGTTCTCTTTTTAAAGTGTTAATAATGCCACACTGGAAATGGGGATTTTAGTTCCGGCATTAGCTTTTTGATAACAGAATAGAATATCTACTGTGGCCTCTCCCACAAGGAAAGCCTATAACATACTTGGAAAGTTATAGGCTCTCTTACAATGAAAAAGAGAACAAAGAGCCCCAACTAGAAAATATGCCTTCATGTTCTCAATGCATTTTGAATTATAGTAGACCCAAAGGAAAGCAACACTTTACAACCACTCTGGGTAAGTCTCTATTTGTCCTATATACAATGTACATATAATATAATACTACCATTTATTCCATATATTTTAGCTTCTAGAAAACAATCAGGATCTCTGGCTTTAAGAGAAATGGATTTATTGGCAATAAGAGTCTGAATTATCAACTCAAATAAAATAGCAATTTCCCCACAAATCAATCACACACCAGGGAGAAAAACACTGTTCTAAATTATGTAACAAGTGTAAAAAGTGTTTCTAAAGGCTTCATTCAGAATGAAAGCTTTACAATTACTTATATTATCTATGACTTGTATAAACTTTTAGAATGACAAAGTATTTTCTAAGTTCTGTTCACACCCACAAGTTGCATTACATATCCTCAGAAGGATTTGGGTTGGGATATAGGAGAGTAATGTTTAGGCTGCTTGCATTTAATTATTCCATATTTCTTGTAGAAAAGAAAGAACCATATGGCCCTTATAGCAAAATACTGGTCCTTGAAGACCACCATTTGCATTTGTAACTCCTTCATAATTTAAAATAAGCAAAGATGGTCTGTTTCTGTGGAAAGTACACATGTCTGCCTGAATTAATTTTCTTAGATTCTGATTTGAAAAAAAGTACATTTTCTTGTTTTATTCCAATCTTCAATGAAGAAAGATAAAAAATGTAGGGCAAGAAATAAATGGACAAATTTCTAAAGGTGTGTGACATGATTTGGCTCTGTCCTCACCCAAATCTCATCTTGAATTGCAGCTTCCATGTTTCCCACATGTTGTGAGAGGGACCTGGTGGGTGGTAATTGAATCATGGGGGAAGGTTTTTCCAGTGCTGTTCTCATGATAGTAAATAAGTCTCATGAGATCTGATGGTTTTATAAAGGGGAGTTCCCCTGCATACACTCTCTTGCCTGCCGCCATGTAAGATGTGACTTTGCTTCTCCTTTGCCTTCTGCAATGATTGTGAGGCCTCCTCAGCAATACGGAACTGTGAGTCAATTAAAACGCTTTCTTTTATAAATTACCCAGTCTTGGGTATGTCTTTATTAGTATCGTGAGAACTGACAAATACAGTACATGTGTGATTTTTGGAAAAGCATATTGATTTACAGGATGGAGATATAGAGAAAATAATCAACAAGAAAAAAAAACTGAGAGTGTTGGCATTTAAAAATATTTATTGTTCCTCACCTATTTGCATTGGGAAAACTCCAAAAGTTTGAAAACATGCATTGTTGGTTAGGCTGTAGGGGAAGTACTTTGTCATACATTAGCTGGTGAGGATACAAAATGGTTCAACATCTATTATGGAAATTTGTTGATATCTAGCAAAATTGCATATGTTTTTCTGTTTGATCCAGCAATCTTACTTCTAGGAAACTATTCCCAAAATACAAAAGAACAAATACAATGCTATGTAGTCAATGAAACACTGATTGACATAGCAAAAGACTGGAAATAACTCAAATGTTGATAAATATGTAACTGGTTGTTAAATTATGGTAAATACCCAAAAGAGAGTACTGCACAGCTAAAAAAATTATAAAAAACTATTTCTATATAGTATTTAAGGAAAACTTCCAGGATATATTGTCAAGTTAACAAGTTAACTTCCAGGATATATTGTCAAGTTAACTTTAACATAAAGTGGAGAAAAATATTTTTTATTTACAATTCACAATGCTTCATTGTAAATTATATATTCATTTTAATTTTTTAATTTTCTATTTTTCTGGGTATATAGTAAGTTTATACATATGGAATATATTAGATATTTTGATACAAGCATGCAATGTGAAATAAGCACATCATGGAAAACTGGGTGTCCATCCCCTCAAGCATTTATCCATCATGTTACAAACAATCCAATTGTATTATTTTAGTTACTTTAAAATACGTAATTAAGTTATTATGACTATAGTCACCCTGTTGCATATTCAAAACATTTTATATTTTTTAATTTATCTTAATTTTTTTTCTCTTTTTATTATACTTTAATTTCTAGGGTACATGTGCACAATGTACAGGTTTGTTACAAATGTCTACATGTGCCATGTTGGTGTGCTGCACCCATTAACTGGTCATTTACATTAGGTATTTCTCCTAATGCTATCCCTCCCCCACCCCCACCCCCCAACAAGCCCCGGTGTGTGATGTTCCCCACCCTGCGTCCAAGTGTTCTCATTGTTATTATGTTTTAGAAAGTGTTTATTATATTGTCCACGTCTCTATTGTGGGGCTGAGCATAGTGTTTCATAAAGATCTCATAAAGATTTTTCCAATTATTTTGCACAACAAGAATTTAAACTTGAAAAATAAACTTATGAGATTCATTATATATGTCTTCATATCAGTACCAAGTTGGAGAGTTGTAATTTTCATCTTACAACTTTCATGTTAAAACTATACTAAACAGTATGAAATCTAGAATCCAATGTTTATGCCTAAGAGTTTTTTCCATTTTATACTTTTCTTTTGCTTTCCATTATTATCCACTTAGACTGTATGCATTATCTCTATCTTGTGTGATACATTTCTGATTTCTATAAGGAAATGCCAAATATATTGGCAAATGTCATTATTTAAACAGTCTTTATGATAAATTCAACTCAACAACCTAATTTCTCATTTGTTAGTATGACCAAGATTACAAGTAACAACCTTGCAGTTTGTCCAACCATGTGAATGCTTTTTAAAAATTATTGATTAGATGAGGCAATGTTTTATTGTTTTGATAAACAACATAGAAAAACTGTAAACCATAATAAACCATAAATTTGTTTATAAGTTCAATGAACAGCTAAGAGAATATATGTATAATGTAGATTACATATATTTTTGAAAATAGTATACCAATTATAATCAATTTGATTTTCCTTAATAATAATGTAATATAATAGATATACTGAAATAAACATGCAGCTGACAAACATTTCAAGTTTAAGCTTTGTTAAAAATGTCCTTAATGCCAATTTGTTTCAGTGGGAAGAGAAACATAGCAGTGTGTGAAGAGATTGTAAGAAATTACATTTTCTAAATGCTGATCTAGCAATAGTCACTGGCTTCCATCTGGAGCTGTCTGGTAACTAGAATAATCCAAAGGAGATTGACACTGACCATGTAATTTGACCAAATTGGGCAACAAAACAGTCTTGATGGTGTGCAAAATTTTTATATTTTGCTTATTGTATTAATTTTATCCAATTAGATGAGCAATGTGTTTACTGCATTGTCAAAATCAACAATTAACAAGTAATTATCCAGAATATTTTTTCAAATGAATGATTACATCCTCCAGGTTAGCAAATCACTTTAGTTAATTTGGTTATTTCCACTGTTCCACTGTATTTTACATTGCATTGACCAAGAGTGAATGTTTTTATGGCTAGGAGAACATTTAATTACATAACCATGGTCACAGCTACACCAGTGCCCAAAATTCTATTTTTAAAATATGGCCTTTTCTTTGTTCAAAAAACAAAATGTGTCCTGCTTTATATCAACAAACCATTCAAACATAAAGTTGAGCTTTGGATGACAGGCCTAACTAGCCCATAGGGAAAGGAAATGTATATTGTAATGCATGAGACACAAAATATTTTCTTTCTAGTTGAGTATTCGTTGTTGTAATCCTTTAGGGTGAACAGTGCTTCCCCTTACACTGACATTTGAAAAAAAAGTTTACTTTTTTTTTGCTGATGCAATAACACATTAATTCTGAACTAAATGCCCTAATTAGCAACACAAATGTGAGAATATCTGGCTGGTTTATTTATTTATTTATTTATTTATTTATTTATTTATTTATTTATTTATTTTTTGAGACAGAGTCTCGTTCTGTCACCCAGGCTGGAGTGCAGTGGCGTGAACTCTGCTCACTGCAAGCTCCACCTCCAGGGTTCATGCCATTCTCCTGCCTCAGCCTCCCAAGTAGCTGGGACTACAGGAGTCCACTACCATGCCCGGCTAGTTTTTTTCTGTATTTTCAGTAGAGACAGGGTTTCACCGTGTTATCCAGGATGGTCTCGATCTCCTGACCTCATGATCCGCCCATCTCGGCCTCCCAAAGTGCTGGGATTACAGGCGTGAGCCACCGCACCCAGCCCCTATCTGGCTGGGTTTTAAAGCTAAAGCTTGTGTGCTTGGAGAGTACTAAACCCAAAATCTTACCATAAAAAACTTTTGTTCTCATTCAGTAGGGCTATCTAGTAACATGGCGACCAGCATGGTCAGCCTGTGAAGAAATGAGAAATGATTCCTTAACACACTGGTTCTTCCTGGCGTATCCCACCAACTCAATAGTATTTTCATTCAGAGAAATCACTTTTGTTGGTTCTCTTTCCACTGCAATATGGCAACTGTGAAAGGTATTATCATTAGTTTTTTTGTAACTAAAACATTAAATTCCTACCCAGACGTGAGGAGTGGGTGAGGAAATTAATTCTCTGGAGGGAAAGAAACTGTTAATAAACTCATAGTGTGCCTCTTTCACTCCCAGAGATCAGTGGGGAGACATGATGTTCTTTCTGAAAACTTGACGAGTCCAAGAAAAAAGAAATATACATTAATTTCAGAATTTCTGCAAGGCTTTGTAAAACCAAGTGTCGATATCCGAAATTCTGAGACCTGCTGAGACATTTTAAAAGGCCTGCAGAGGATGAGCGCAGTGGCTCACATCTGTAATCCTGGCACTTTGGGAGGCCAAGGTGGGCAGATCACCTGAGGTCAGGAGTTGGAGACCAGCCTGGCCAACACGGTGAAAACCTGTCTCTACTAATAATACAAAAATTAGCCAGGCAGGGGCACGCCTGTAATCCCAGCTACTTGGGAGGCTGAGGAAAGAGGATGGCTTGAACCTGGGAGGCAGAGGTTTCAGTGAGCCAGGATTGCGTCATTGCACACCAGCCTGGGCGACAAGAGCAAAACTTTATCTCAAAAATAAATAAATAAATAAATAAATAAATAAATAAATAAATAAATAAAAGATCTGCATTTCTTTTCTTTTTTTTCCTTTTTTCCTTTTTTTTTTTTTTTTGAGATGGAGTTTCACTCTGTCACCAGGCTGCAGTGCAATGGCGCGATCTCAGCTCACTGCAACCTCCACCTCCTGGGTTCAAACGATTCTCCTGCCTCAGCCTCCTGAGTAGCTGGGACTACTGACTCACGCCACCACGCCCAGCTATTTTTTTTTTTTTTTTGTATTTTTAGTAGAGACGGGGTTTCACCATGTTGGCCCAGATGGTCTCGATTTCCTGACCTCGTGATCTGCTCTCTTTGACCTCCCAAAGTGCTGGGATTACAGCCTGAGCCACTGCACCCTGCCGAAGGTCTGCATGTCTTGTATCTGTTAAGTGACTTTTGGCATTGTTGAGATACACAAGAAAAAGAAGTGAAACGAATATTATCTCTAGGTTCAGGAAATTTAGGATTTTGATATAAGATTTAATAAAAGAAAATTTTTCCTTAAAATGAAATTAGGCAACTTCTACTATGCTGACTCATAGTTGTAGTTTTTTCTTTTTGACCTGTGTGCGTGCATGCACAAGTACATGCATTGAGACTGAAAATTAACACAAGGACACAAAGACCAAACGAATTTGGACATCCAGAGCCCAGATCATACAGCCTGCTGAAGTATGACATGGTTTCATTGTTGCCTGAAGTTTACCTCTAAAATTTACTAATGTGAAATATTTTTAGGTGTGGATGGCCTTGGTGGTAGGTAGGAAAGAATCATAAACTGAGAACAATTTCTGTGGTAGTGAACAAGGTTTCAAAAGAAGTTTGGAAATATGATTAGGGATGATTGATGAACAAAACTCTGAAATTAGGGAGAGAAGGGAAAACTACAAATCAAGAGAGTGACGCTAGAGACCCTCTGAGTAGCAGTTTATGATTTGTGTATGTGTGTTTTTTCCTTGCACTACTACAGTTTAACACAGGCTTTCAAATCGTAGCTATTTCAAAATTCCCTCTAGTTAACCCTAAGCTTTCAGTATTTACATTTGCAAGATTTATGTTAATAGAATTCTGTGGAATTAACCAAGCAGGTTGTTAACCAACAGTTTGAATTTCTTCGCATCACTCTTACCCTGAAACTAATGCCCATGGGAGAAACATCATGTCATGTGGACTTGAGTCCCAGAGTCACACAAAGAGGTAGATAAAAATGCAAAGAATGTCCAAGCAGATCTGAGAGCAAAAGGAAGAGGGACATGGCAGAAGCAGTCACAATATTGACAACTCTGTAGTATACCTGAGGCAAACTAGCCCATTAGGATGAAATACTTGTATAAGGAAAATATCACTTTGAAGACAAGACAGCTGTTTCTTTCTTGCCCACTGATTGTATATTTGGTGTTGAACTGTGTTTTATGATTTCCTCATGAGAAATTTTATCTCATGATTTAACCACAGTAGATGCCAGCTCAGTAGAGGAATAAGAAACATGCCTGTAGAAAGCTATAAACAATGCTGATTTTCTCCACGGCCTTTCCATTTCTATTATAATGCTCACCATGAGCCATTAACCAAAGATTAATACTTTCGATAGCACATAGTGGACAGAGACTGATCTGTTTTATGTGTGAAATTAAATTTCCTCCTCTTTTTAAACTCCTTTGCTTATTTTTGTTGCTATCAGATAATGCGTTAGCAAAATGCTGCAATATTGAAACGTCAATATTCATTTATAAAATTCATTGAGATGCTTTAAATGAATCCAAGTAGCACAAAATAATTTGTATGAAAAAAGCTCCTTGCCTAATCAGACTCATAAATTCGAGTGAACATTTAATCATTTAGGTTTATTTGATTTACTAGCAGTTTATAAGATTCTTTGATGATACAAATGCAGAATAAATAACAGTACAAAAATTAGGAATTTTTCAAATTAAACTCACTGAGTGAGTTTGTTGCACAAATAATGAACATGCAATTAATAGCAAACAATAAAGTATTGGGCCATATTCTATTTCTAAAGGCAATTGAAAAACTAATGAATCATAAGTTGTAAACAAAAATAATAGACTTTTTTATCTTAAAAATTTGCATTATTTCATTTTTGCCTCGTGGATACATGGAAAATGTCATTTATATTGTTTCTTAAATGATATACTCTAAATATATTACATTCAAATACAGCTTTAAGCATGCTATGAAATATTCATGTGATGATTTCACCTCCCCCATTTGTATCCATTAAATGAAATATAATACAACTGATGCTCAAGGGAAATAATTAAAAATCAATACTCTCAGGATTTCCTCTATAAATGAGCAGCGACAGACAATTTTATTTGATAGGTACTAGCAGCAGGGTAACAAAGCAGGATCATTATTTTGTCATTCAAGCACTGCAATACTGGGATAAATTTTGGAAACTGGCTATGTAGATGCTGTTAGAAACACCTACTGTTGTTTTCAAACAAAGACACTCAAAAAGAGCATTTTCAGTGCTGTATCCCCTCATTGAACTTTCCTCACATGTCTGAAAACCAGACAAGATGTCATAGCAGGAAGACGAGGTGAAAATAAATGGGAATTGTTTCATAATGAGAGGGAATGTAGTGTAATGAATAGCGGAGAGAATATTAGACCAAGAAAACCAGAAGTCTGGAAATTTTATCCCGGTTTTCCTGCTGAGTTTCTGTGAGGCCTTAGAAAAAAACAGATAAATCATAAGTTGTAAACAAAAATAATGGACTATTTTTTCTATCTAAAAATTTTACATTGTTTCATTTTTGCCATTCTGGGGCTCACTTTTCTCATCTGTAAAATGAAATGGTGAAATTAATGATTAACAAGGTACCTTCAGCACTTCCCTTGATAACTGCTACTATAATATTAAACACTGCAAAAATCTCATGTTTATAACCAATGCAATTTTACTACAGAAAATTCGGAAATAATGAAAAGAATCTTGGAAGGTTTGAGATGTGAGGAATGAAATTAATAAGGAATGATGTGGAAGAAGAACTAAACTTGTAGGGCAGGGGTCCCCAACCCCCCGCCACAGACCTGTACCAGTCCTTGGCCTGTTAGAAACCGAGGCACACAGCAGGAGGTGACTAGCATTGCAGCCTGAGCTCCTCTTCCTCTTAGATCAATGGCGGAACTAGATTCTCACAGGAGCACAAACCGTATTGTGACCTGTGCATATGAGGAATCCAAGTTGTGTGCTCCTTATTAGAATATAACTAATGCCTGATGATCTGAGGTGAAACAGTTTCATCCTGAAACCATGCCCCCCATTTTTCATGGAAAAATTGTCTTCCATGAAACCGATTCCTATGCCAAAAAGGCTGAGGACCGATGTTGTAGGAAAATATAAAGGATTGATAGAAGGTATTAGTCCATTCTCACGCTGCTATGAAAAAATATCCAAGACTGGGTAATTTATAAAGGAAAGAGGTATAATTGATTCACAGTTCCCCAGGGCTGGGGAAGGCTCAGGAAATGTATAGTCGTGGTGGAAGGTGAAGTAAACACTTCTCTCTTCACACAGTGGCAGGAAGGAGAAGTGCCGAGCAAGGCGGGGGAAGTCCCTTATAAAACCATCAGATCTCAGGAGAATTCACTCACTATCAGGAGAACAGCATGGAGGTAACTGCCCCCATGATTCAATTACCTTTCACTGGGTTCTTGCCATGACTCGTGGGGATTATGGAAACTACGATTCAAGATGATATTTGGGTGGAGTCACAGCCAAACCATATTATAAGGTAATAAGAATACCCTAATAATAGTAATAACAATAATATCTTCACAATAATATCAATGGTTGACTTTTGAAGTGAAAACAGGTCAAAATATTGGAAAATAACCACATATCAGGGAGAGGATGACCAATAAAAATTCAAAAATAAAGAGTTATAAAGTTCTCTGTTTTAAAAAAAGATAGTATAGATTAACTTTAGAGTCTTCTAGGTTAAGTATGGATAGTAAACAGTGGATAACAACTGGTCATCTATGTGAAAAAAATGAAAATGGATCCCTAGTTTCTATAATATACTATTGTTTATCTATAGGGAAAAAATAAAATTAGATCCTCAGTAAGTTCTTACATTAAAAATGGAAATTTAAAAGCAAAAATATTAATATTTTGTTGCTATATAACAAATTCTACAGTCTTTGTTGCTTAAAATCACATTGATTTATGATCTTACAGTTCTGTAGATCAGAACCCCAGGTGATCTCAGATGGTTTCTCTGCTTAGATTCTCACAAAGTCCAGATCAAGGTGCTGGCCAGGTTGGTCTCCAGTCTGGAGGCTCAGGAGAATAACCTGCTTCCAGCCTCATTTAGTTTGTCGGCTGAATTCAGTTCCTTGTGGTTGTAGAACTAAGGTTCCTAAATCCTCACAGGCTGTCAGTCAGGCACCAGTCTCAACTTCTCAATACCACCTACATTTCTCTTCATATGGACCCCCCATGGTCAAGCAACCAAAATCCATCACACCTTTCTAGTCCTTTGAAACTCTCTGGCTTCTTATTCTGCTGCTGCTCTTGCTGCTGCCACTACCTGGAGAAAACTCAGCTTTTAAAGACTTGCTTGATTGAGTAAAGGCCACCCAGCAGAATTTCCAAATATAAAGGTCAATTAAGTTGGGTCTTAAATGATATAGTCAAAATTCCCTCATGGCAATACCTAGTTTAAGGTTTGACTGAAAAAAAAAAGTGGGGAAGGGGCAGCAATGCTGGGAAATAAGCATCTTTAGAATTATGACTGCCACACAAACCTTTTAACATTTTTAGGAAAAAAACACAAGAAGATATGCATGTAACCTAAAGGTGATAAAGACTTTTTTAAAAACAAAAGCAAGCAAACAAACACAACTAAAAATCAACAAATAAATTAATAGATGACATTAAAATACAAAGTTTTTTAAATCTAAAATTTTCTTAACATGGAGAAGTCATTTTCAATATTTAAAACTGACAAAGGAATCATAGTTAAAATATAGGAAGAAGTCTACTAATTAAGTGGAATAAGTACAATAACCCCACACAGAAATGACCAGAAGAGACCATTAGACATGTTACCAAAAAAGAGATCTGAAAAGATTATTAACAAGTCAAAGTATAATCAAATTATTTAGTCACCAGGAAGGACACACTCAGTTCAATAACATTTAATATTACACCTATTAGATTGTCAAACTTAAAGAAAATTTAACGGCACTCATTTTTGGTCATAATTTAGAGAAAACCTTTCATGTCTTAATGATGGAAATCTAAATTAATATAACCAGTTTGTAAAGCGAATTGCAATTATTTTATAAAACTCAGCATAAACATATCCTGTGGCCAAGCAATTCCACACTTTTATGTACTATAGAAAAATTGCTGCCTAAGTGAAGGAGACATGTAAAATAGCAGATTTGGATCATAGCAACTTGTTCATAATAACAAAAATGTGGGTCGGGCGTGGTGGCTCACCCCTGTAATCCCAGTACTTTGGGAGGCCAAGGCAGGTGGATGACAAGGTCAAGAGTTCCAGACCAGCCTGGCCAACACGGTAAAACCCTGTCTCTACCGAAAATATAAAAATTAGCCGGGTATGGTGGCAGGCGCCTGTAATCCCAGCTACTTGTGAGGCGGAGACAGGAGAATTGCTTGAAACCAGAAGGCAGAGGTTGCAGTGAGCCAAGATCGCGCCACTGCACTCACTCCAGCATGGGCAAAAGAGCGAAACTCCACCTCAAAAAAAAAAAAGAAAGAAAGAAAGAAAAGAAATGTGGAAACACCCCAAATTGTACCTAAAGCAGAATGAAATATAAAATGTATTTTATATATGTGTGTGTATATATATATATATATATATGTATTTTTTTTTTTTTTGAGATGGAGTCTCCCTTTGTCGCCCAGGCTGGAGTGCAGTGGCACGATCTCGGCTCACTGCCAGCTCCGCCTCCTGGGTTCACGCCATTCTCCTGCCTCAGCCTCCAGAGTAGCTGGGACTACAGGTGCCTGCCACCACGCCTGGCTAATTTTTTGTATTTTTTAGTAGAGACGGGGTTTCACCGTGTTAGCCAGGATGGTCTCGATCTCCTGACCTCCTGAACTACCTGCCTTGGCCTCCCAAAGTGCTGGGATTACAGGAGTGAGCTGCCGCACCCAGCCAACGTGTAATATATTTATACAATGTGATATTATACAGGCACAATTCTAAAACTTTTGGTTTCAGGACAAACTTACACTCTAACAATGTATTAAGGAGTCCAAAATTCTTTTGTTTTGTGGCTCACGTGCATTGACATTTACTGTATTATTAAAACAGTGAGATTATTTTAATACCTATTCATTATATAAAAATAAGAAACTCATGATATGTTAATATCAATAGCTTATGTTTAAAATATATTTTACAAAAAATTGCTAAGTGGAGTTTTATGTATTTGCATATCTCTTTTATGTCTGTTTTAATAGAAAATAGCTGCTTTGCTTTCAAACTGTTTTTGACATATTGCTCTGGTTAAAGTGTGTGGTGAAGAAAATCTTGTCTCAACACAAATACGTTGTTAAAAATGGGAAGAGTATTTTAATAGATTTTATGTATAATTATTTATATCCTTCCTTGATACTATGTCAATGTCTATGTCAAAATTCTACTAGTGGTAGTTTCTTAAAAATAGTTGAATGGTTTTGTAATATCATGCATTGATCATTCAAAAAATTATTTTGCAGAATTTTTCAAATTTCCAAATTTTGACATATTTCATTTTACAATATAAAAAATTCACATTTGTAATATCTCATCAAAAATGTATCCAAGTATTGAGGTACTGTTGAGCTCAGAGTAGTGGATACATGTTGAGCTCAGAGCAGTGGATACATATTTTCCAAAATTATACATTTATTCTGGAAAGTTGCAACAGTCTCCAATCTGCTTTCCTTCCACTTTCACTCTGCTCTTCTGTTATACAGGGAAGTCAGAAAAATACGATTATATATATTAAGTCATGTCACTCTCCTGATCTAAGCCTACTGAAGGCTTTCCATCTCTCTCAAGATGAAACATAATGTCTTAACTGGATTCCGTCTGCACCCTCATCTGTAACCTATCTTACCCTTCTGTTCCTGTCACTCATTCTGTTTAAGAACAACCAAGTCCCACCCCTACCTTTAGGCCCAGGCATTTACTGTTCCTTCTGCCAAGAATGTTCCTCCAGGTTATCTCCTTCCCTTCATTCACGTCTCAGCTTAAATGTCGTCTCTTCAATGGAGAAGTCCCGATGACCTAATGGAGAATACCAAGGTAAACTATTTTCTGTTCTGTCACTTTGCTTTCAGTTTTTATAGCATGTCTATTTTGTAAATATTTTGGCATGATTACATGTACACATGTATTTTATACATTTAACTTTTCAAACAATATTACATGCATATGTGTATTAATTTTAAATTTATGATCTATGTCCCTCACTTAGTTTATTGGAATCAAGTTTGTTTCTGGTTACTTCATCTCAAATACCTCGAACAGTGCTTGCTCATTTTAAGCACTCATTTTAAGCACTCAATGTATTTTTGTGAATGAATGTGTAAATGCAAGAATGAGTGAAGAATTTCATAAGTGATATGTTTCTTTCAATCAACTTCTTTATTTTTTTCTAATTTTTTTACTTTCTCACTCCATTGCTGATTTTGTATGTGTGTGTGTATGTGTGTGTGTGTGTGTGTGTGTGTACAAATCCCCTCTCCCATTCACTTCTGCTTCCTGTGATTTCTACTGTTCACATTTTTTATTTTCCTGTGGGTCCTAATGAAAGCCTTCTCTCTTTGTGCCTTTCAGGTTTTATACCACTCATCAGCTCTGTACTTCTTGTCTTCTCCATTTGGTTCAGGAAGCTGAGACTAAGTCATAAGCCAGGCTGTGATCTATGTGGTAACCTGAAGCTCTGAAAACTTATAATGAAATCCTGCTCTTCAGCTGTATTTCTAAGAGTGAAAGTTATGGGGAAAAAAAGAAATTCAATGAAAAATAATGGGACAATTGCTAAATTATGAATCACAATGTAATAACCAATCATGATGCAAAATTATTACTCACAGTCTGGCCTTTAGTGCTGACTGGCAATTCCACTATATCTCATAGTCCATGTCTTCTAGGTGACAATCTGGTACTTCTTGCTCTACCTGCAAACCTCTAAAATCACCCTCTTAATCTCAATTGACACCCTCTTCTGATCAACTATAGCTGCATAGCAAACCACCAGAGAGTATGAGATGGAGCTTAAAACAAATTACACTCTCTAGTAACAAATTATTTACAGTATTCCCATAAGAAAAAAAATGGATTATTGTATCAGATGTGGTGGCTTATGTCTATAATCCCAGCACTTTGGGAGGAAGAGGCGAGAGGATCACTTGAGACCAGGAGTTTCAGACCAGCCTGGGCAGTGTAACCAGATCCCATCTCTACCATAAAAGAAAGAAAGACAAAGAGAGAGGAGGAAGGAAGGAAGGAGAGAAAGAAAGAGAGAGAGGGAGAGAGAGAAAGATGAAAGAAAGAAAGAAAAAAAGAAAGAAAGAAAGAAGAAAGAAAGAAAGAAAGAAAGAAAGAAAGAAAGAAAGAAAGAAAGAAAGAAAAAGAGAGAAAGGAAGGAAGGAAGGAAGGAAGAAAACGAAGGAAGGAGGGAGGGAGAGAGGGAGGAAAAAAGAAAAAAGGAAGGAAGGAAGGAAAAGAAAGAAGGAAGGGAGGGAGGGAGGGTGGGTAAGGAAGGAAGAAAGAAAGAGAAAGAAAGAAAGAAGGAAAAGAAAGAAAGAAAGAAAAAGAAAAGAAAGATTGATTCATTCTACCTTTCCAAGGCATGTATAAAGCCTCTGCTCAGTGTGCACTTGCTTGATGCCCAGGATCTCATTGAGAGGTGGCAGCGTGCTGGCAGTCCTCCCAGCCCTCGCTCGCTCTTGGTGCCTCCTCTGCCTGGGCTCCCACTTTGGCGGCACTTGAGGAGGCCTTCGGCCCACCGCTGCACTGTGGGAGCCCCTTTCTGGCCTGGCCAAGGCCAGAGCCGGCCCCCTCAGCTTGCAGGGAGGTGTGGAGGGAGAGGCGTGAGCGGGAACCCGGGCTGCGCGGGGCGCTTGCGGGCCAGCTGGAGTTCCGGGTGGGCGTGGGCTTGGCGGGCCCCGCACGTGGAGCAGCCGGCCGGCCCTGCCGGCCCGGGGAATGAGGGACTTAGCACCCGGGCCAGCAGCTGCGGAGGGTGTACTGGGTCCCCAGCAGTGCCAGCCCACCGGCGCTGCGCTCGATTTCTCACCGGGCCTTAGCTGCCTTCCCGCGGGTCAGGGCTTGGGACCTGCAGCCCGCCATGCCTGAGCCTTCCCCCGCCTCCGTGGGCTCCTGTGCGGCCCAAACCTCCTCGACGAGCGCCACACCCTACTCCACAGCGCCCAGTCCCATCGACCACCCAAGGGCTGAGGAGTGCGGGTGCAAGGCGCGGGACTGGCAGGCAGCTCCACCTGCAGCCCCAGTGTGGGATCCACTGGGTGAAGCCAGCTGGGCTCCTGAGTCTGGTGGGGACGTGGAGAACCTTTATGTCTACCTCAGGGATTGTAAATACACCAGTTGGCACTCCGTATCTAGCTCAAAGTTTGTAAACACACCAATCAGCACCCTGTGTCTAGCTCAGGGTTTGTGAATGCACCAATCCACACTCTGTATCTAGCTACTCTGGTGGGGCCTTGGAGAACCTTTGTGTCCACACTCTGTATCTAGCTAATCTGGTGGGGACTTGGAGAACCTTTGTGTCCATACTCTGTATCTAACTAATCTGGGGGGGATATGGAGAATCTTTGTGTCTAGCTCAGGGATTATAAGCGCACCAATCAGCACCCTGTCAAAACAGACCACTCAGCTCTTCCAATCAGCAGGACGTGGGTGGGGCCAGATAAGAGAATAAAAGCAGGCTGCCCGAGCCAGCAGTGGCAACCGGCTGGGGTCCCCTTCCACACTGTGGAAGCTTTGTTCTTTCGCTCTTTGCAATAAATCTTGCTACTGTTCACTCTTTGGGTCCACACTGCTTTTATGAGCTGTAACACTGACCGCGAAGATCTGCAGCTTCACTCCTGAGCCCAACGAGAGACCACCAGCCCACCGGGAGGAACGAACGACTCCAGAAGCGCCACCTTAAGAGCCGTAACACTCACCGCGAAGGTCTGCAGCTTCACTCCTGAGCCAGCGAGACCACGAACCCACCAGAAGGAAGAAATTCCGAACACATCCGAACATCAGAAGGAACAAACTCCAGACGCGCCACCTTAAGAGCTGTAGCACTCACCGCGAGGGTCCGCGGCTTCATTCTTGAAGTCAGTGAGACCAATAACCCACCAATTCCGGACACATCATCATCTAACTAAATTCAAGTGAGAATGAGGCTCTTTGATTATGGTTCTGGCAATGCAGACACCCTCCTCCAAATTCTGTGTCTTACAGTCTGGAGCACTACGAACTACAAAGAAAAGGTATCTGTCATGTCATACTCCCAACTTTCAATAACATGACAGGTATAGAGTAACCATGATAAAAACAAAACTTCCATTCAAATAGGAGAGCCGAGAGGGATGGAAGGCACATAGAATTCACAGGTTCATAGCAACTTTGAAATCCAGCCAGTCACGTTGACAGTTCCTTGATTGGGACCCAAGTATGTTCCTTAGGAATGATTCGCTGCGAGGTAGGTCCCTCTGCCTGAGTCATTCTCGCATTTGTATGAGAAATCATCTGTGATTGCATCACCTTCCTTTTTTTTTTTTTTTTTTTTTTTTTTGAGACGGAGTCTCACTCTATCGCCCAGGCTGGAGTGCAGTGGCGCCATCTCGGCTCACTGCAAGCTCCGCCTCCCGGGTTCATGCCATTCTCCTGCCTCAGGCCCCCCGAGTAGCTGGGACTACAGGCGCCAGCCAGGACGCCTGGCTAATTTTTGTATTTTTAGTAGAGACGGGGTTTCGCCTTGTTAGCCAGGATGGTCTCAATCTCCTGACCTCGTGATCTGCCCATCTTGGCCTCCCAAAGTGCTGGGTTTACAGGCGTGAGCCACCACGCCTGGCCGAGCATTGATTTTATATTTGAACTCAACTAGTATTTGTACATTTACCTTTTCTCTCAGTTCTTCTGAAAAATAGACCAGTTCTGTCCTTAGAACGTTCTTCTCATAATTTATTGTATATAGTTTATTCACAGAAATAAACTTTTCAAAATTTATTATATGTAGTTTATTCATAGAAATAATTTCAAACTCATTTGCATAGATATACCCATAGTCAGATCCAGTAATATTTTTTATACTACAGTTCAGGCCATAGTTTTGTTAAGATTTCTGTCTCTACATATCATTAGTTATCCTTTTTCTCAGCCTACAATAACATTTTTCTCACTTTCTCCAAGTTTTTGCCGTAACTGCCGATTCCCAAGGCTATAACATAAGTTTAATGTTTTGTCACAGCAGCACTGAATTTCTAGTACTAAATTATTTTTCAAGCATCTAGTTTTATATGAAATAACACTGTAAAAGCAGATTACAAAAACCACAGTCGTTTAATTTATCTGTGTATATATATCTTATGGTTACCTAAGTGAGGGCAGGTTTGTTTTTTCTCACATAATTTCAGCTGGGATGGCTCAACTTGGGCTGGATGATATCCTTCCAAGTTAGCTCACAAACTGGCGAAGGTGTTCAACGGAGTTTCACAGTAGTTATAATACAAATCCAAATGAGACATCTCCATGTAGGGGAAAAAAAAGTCAGCAAATAACCACAGACCTTGGACAAATTCCAATATGCTTCACTCTTACTTTGCATCCTCAGGACATTGCATTCAAAATACAATCTTTATCTCTATTCCCCAGTGCCTCTGTAAGATAAGACAAGAAGACAACACAGAAGAGGAGAGTCCTTCTCAAGGTGCTGCTCACTCCTCAGTCCTTTAATCCAGAATTTTCTCATTCAAAACACCCAAGTAAGAGATTTCCTAACTGAGCTTTTCTTAAATTGATTTCATGAAACTATAGGTTATATTAAGTATCCGAAATGGTATGTAATGATGTGCATTTTTTCTTCAGTGTAAATCCATGGAAAATATCTTTCTTCTGAGTAAATTCAGTGAGTTAACATATAATTAATAAACTGCTTCCATTGCACCCATGTTTTTCCTACTCTCTTCCCTGTCCCTTCATGTCAATATTCCTTTTAAGCTTGTACCCAATTTTTCACCCTAACACATTAGTTGAAATGGATTTCCTCTTTTCTACCTCTATCTATAACTGATTCTTCCAAGACCTTTTTAAGAAACACTGGTATCAGAAGTTCGATACCATCCTGGGCAATGACGAATCTCTCTCTCTCATATTTTGTTGTTGTTGTTTTGTTTTTGAGACGGAGTCTAGCTCTGTCACCTAGGCTGGAGTGCAGTGGCATGATCTCGGCTCACTGCAACTTCCGCCTCCCAGATTCAAGTGATTCTCCTGCCTCAGCCTCTGGAGTAGCTAGGATTACAGACATGAGCCATCATGCCCCGCTAATTTTTGTATTTTTGGTAGAGACAGGGTTTCACCATGTTGGCCAGGCTGGTCTCAAACTCCTGACCTCAAGTGATCTGCCTGCCTTGGCCTCCCAAAGTGCTGGGATTACAGGTGTGAGCCACCATGCCTGGCCTCTACAAAAAATAATTTAAAAATTAGCTGGGCATGATGGTGCACACTTGCTGTTCCAGCTATTTGGGAGGTTGAGGCAGGAGGTCACTTGAGCCTCGGAGGTCAAGACTGTAATGAACCATGATTGCATAGCTGCACCACAGCCTGGGTGACAGAGCAAGACTCTGTCTCAAAAGAAAAAAATAAAGAAGGAAAAAAAAAAAGAAAAAGAAAAGAAATAAAATACTGGTATTATGAGATTTTTTTCCTGTCTTCTGCAGGCCAAACTGATACGCCTTTTCCATACAATGCCTATGCTTCTAATAGTTCCCTTGCACGACAAAATTCAGATTTATGATTCCAAACTGCCTCAATTTTGCAATATCTTTATATTAGTCTTTGTTTCCATGGCTTATACCTGGACTCTGCCTTTTTGTTTGTTTCTTCCAATCTGTTAATCCTTTAGATGACATTCTGATACTTTAAATTTAAATGTTAGTAATACTGATCTGGTCACTATATCTACAATTCCTCCATTTTTCTAGTGTTTTCAATATTTTTGTTATTTAACTAGTATTTGAATATACAATTGGCACAATAATGACATTGGATAAATGTCTGTTCACTGAATGAATTGGTAGATATTTCATCTTCCAAACTAAACTAGAAGTCAATGGTCAGAAAACACTAAATGTTGTTGGACTAAATCAAAGTAAATAAATGAACAGTGTTTGTGTGTGTGTGTGTGTGAGAGAGAGAGAGAGTGAAAAAGAGAAGGAAAGAGAGAGAAAGAGAGAGAAAAGAGGTAAAGTGACAGTGTCCTTAAAACCTGGCGAGATGCTTTAAATTTCTAAATGACCAGCTTTCTCCTAGAAAAAACATTAAACCCTAGAAGAGTTTGATTCAACAGTTTGCTCCTTTTCTAAGACATTTAGATAGGAAAGTTTTCATATGCAGCTGTTTTATTTTTAACCTTTGATTATTACCATTTTAAATGTTAACTCTTGTTCCAACATTGGCCACAATTTTCTGGTCACCTTTATGTCTAATTTATTAGAATTCCTTCCTTGTTTTCCTGACCCTTTTCAGGATTTATATTTCAAAATTTGATCATTTTCTATCTCTGAAGTTTGACATTGCTAATATTAAGCCTTAAAATTAACCTTTAAGTACCTAAGAAGTTTTTAATATTTGCTTTACTTTCTAAATATAAATTACTGTCTTAGCTTGGGATGCTATAACGAAATACTATAGACTGTGTGGCTTAAACAACACAAATTTATTTCTCAGTTCTGGAAGCCAGGAAGTTCAAGATCAAGATGCCAAAACGTTTGATTTCTGGTGAAGGCTCACTTCCTGATTTGTAGACAACTGTCTTCTCACTGTATTCTCACATGGCATAGAAAGCTGAGAGCTCTGGTCTCTTCCTGTTTTCAGAAGGACTCTAATTTCATCACAGCAGCTTTATCCTCATGGCTTTATCTATGCCTAATAACCTCCAAAAACCCCTCCTGCAAATACCAACACATCAAGGGTTAGGACTTCAACATACACATGTTGACCAGAGAAACAAACATTTAGCCTATAACAATGATTTGGATTTATTTATGGAGAAGGAAGCTATAGAAGAATAACTAAAATGCATAAAGGCAAATTGAATGTTCAAAGGGTAAGCATGGGTCTGATTGTTAATATCACTATTAGCTCAGCTACAAATGAGCATCTGGAGCAATAGCATCTCTCTAGGTTTGAAGAGGTGAGCGGCGGTGCCTCAGCGATCTCCTCTGCAGCATAGGAAATGATGGCTGTTTCTTTCCGCTGGAAGCATGGCCACGAAAGCCCTCCTCTGAAAGTGCTCTTGCTGTACTGACTTTGCTTGTCAACAATGTGGCACTCCTCACTTAACAGACACTCCCTACATCAGTATTGGGTGTCCTCTGAAGGAAAACTGAATCTTCCCCACCTCACTTTCCTCTTTATGCCATAACTGAGTTCCGGAATGTGAAAGCCTACACTGCTGGATCTGCTGTGTGGACTTGACCCTGACCAGGGAGCTCCAAAAACCGGTGATGATAACATGATGTAATTGAGAGTGAAAGGAAGGCAACTGAGAGGATAAGAGAACGTAAACAAGAGGTGAGTGTATTCCCGAGTTAGTTATGCAAAAGTGAACATCATTATATCTTTGAAAGTTATTTGTGGGGTTTGGTATTATCTATGAGAAATGTACCTTTTCAGTGCTGAGTACAGAGTGAACCCTCAATATTTTGCTGGTAGTGGTATAGTTGTTCTTGAATGGATCAATGAAAGCAATTGCACAAGGTACTGTTTTGGAAAGAAGAAAATGAATATGCATACAGCAAATGTATAATATTTGAAAGAAAAAGAGGATAATCAATCTATTTAGTACTAATTTTGCATTTAGCACAGTTCATTGGTGACTGACAGTTTGCAATTTTTCTACTAAATGATAATGAGAAAACACAAGTAATTTATATTTTCACCTAAACATCATATTACTTTCTGGTGTCATACGTCCTAAATCCTTTTTTTTTTTAATTTTTTTTTTACAACTTCCTGAATGCACTGCATTTCTTACATTTAATAATGTCAAGACTTTTCTCTGTAGGGTTTACATTTGATTTTGCCACACAATAGACAATTTCTAAGGCAACATATAATTCCAATCCATTAGGCTAATGGATTGCAGCTGCTGTGAACAGTGGGCAGGTCATTTTTCAATAATGAAGTCTAATAACACATAAAAGATAAAGATAAATAAACTGAAAAAAATGACATGACTCTATATATAGCTAATATAAGTGCTTGTTTCTATTTATGTAAAAATTCAGTGTTTTTTTTTTCTTTTTTTCTAGAAAATCCTACTAATTTTACATGGCTAACAGAACTTTTAAAACATGAACATCTAATACATATGAATAATTGCATTATAAAATACTCAAGAAAGTCATTAGAGTAACAGACTTTGCTTTTTATAAATCATGTTTAATCAATATTTTTATTTCCCTCTTTTCAATTTCTATGTGTAATAAATCTATTGTAATTACTCACCTTCACTTATTTATCACACTAGTTGTTATAGATTTTGCTTCTCCAAAGGAGCAAAGCTCCAATTTGCTACCAAATTGGCAAAGCTGTCTGGTGGAACAATCTGTTCACAAGAAGAGTGAGACCTGATACCACAGCAACGCTGCCAGAAGTTCATGATTTTAACTTTGACGGTTTTCTGTCTTCTGTCTGTCTTTCTGAGAAAAGTATATTGTTTTGGCCGGGCGTGGTGGCTCACGCCTATAATCCCAGCACTTTGGGAGGCCGAGGCAGGCAGATCAGGAGGTCAGGAGATCGAGACCATCCTGGCTAACACGGTGAAACCCCGTCTCTACTAAAAATACAAAAAATTACCCGAGCGTGGTGGCGGGTCCTGTAGTCCCAGCTACTCGGGAGGCTGAAGCAGGAGAATGCTGTGAACCCAGGAGGCGGAGCTTGCAGTGAGCAGAGATTGCGCTACTGCACTCCAGCCTGGGTGACAGAGCGAGATTCTGCCTCAAACAAACAAACAAACAAACAAAAAACAAAAACAAAAACAAAAAAAAAGTGTATTGTTTTACTGTTTTCTGAAGCTTAAAAAATGACAAGTTATATATTTATTATTATACCTGACTGTTCTGATCTGAAAACTGAAATCCCCCACCTTGGCTGAAGAATAAAAAGGAAATGCAAAGTACTAAACCCACTGGTTTTAGACCCATATGTTTATATGGGTTCCCAATCAACCATATATTCATTAAAACTGCCTTTCTTAAAATAAATATTCTTCCCCCTTTTTCTATAAAACGTGGCTCTGCCTTCATCGTTGTTAAAATGTATTCCATGGTAGTAGGTAAGTGAAAGTGTCTGTCTTCGTATATAGTAAATGTCTACACTATTTCCATTGTTTATTCTGAGAGGTTTTGTTCTAAACTTATGTTTTTATTCTTCATCAATATCAATTTATATCAATATATTTTTGTATTGTTAATGGAAAAGAAATATACTACTCTGGATGTTTACATATATATCACATTACATATCACCATATTACATATGGTGTGTGTATATATATACACACACAACATATATGTGGAGGGTGTGTGTATATATATATATATATACACACACATATATAAAATACCACATGTGGAGAGTATATATATATATATATATATATATATATATACACTATATGGAGAGAGAGAGAAGGAGACAGTCAGAGAGAAAGAAAGGGGACAAGTCAAGAGCAGAAAAGAGAAAAGAGAAAGAAAAGGAAGAAGAAAGGTTGGGGGAGAGAAGAAAGGATAAGTACTACAGACCTCGAGTTACACAGAATGTTTAATATATATACTTGGTAGGATTTGCACACACATGCACACACACCCAGACACGAGCACACAAGATTCCTAGAGTCGAGAGGAAGGATGTGAGAAAATACAGTTAGTAAAGCCCAACTAGGAATAGAGTATTAGCAACATCTATCTTCCTTAAAGAAATGGAGGTAGAAGAGTGAGATGGGGTATTTTGGAAAATACGAGATGTCTTTATTCTGTGGAAGTGCTGAGATGCCATTATATGAGGATTTTAGTGCGCCCTCCCCACCAGAATTTATGGTGACATGGAGGCTCCAAGGGAGAGAGGGGTTTGGATCTCTCCATACTATAAGAAGAATTAAAATTAATAACAGAAATGTGTCTCTATCACCACCTAGAAGGGGAGTGCTGAGGGTGGTGTGAGTGTGAGAAGCCTGAAAAAGAGTTTCTATGAATTGCAGATGCTGCTGAGAACTGCTGGACCAGCTTCCCTCCTCAGCCAGTCTGAGTGGCCAACACATTGTTGGGGCTCATGCTAGTTCCCACAGAGGGAGCATGTGTAGGTCTGAGGGGACAGCACAGCTGCATGCTGGCCAGCAGCAGGGGTGACAGGAGTGGCAGCATCAGGGCAGAGAGCTCAGGTAGAGCCCACGTGGTCAGCTGCCTGGCTAGAGAGTACAGGTGACCCACATGGAGGGTGTTGCCTGCAGCAGCTCTTGGGTGTGAAGGAGACTAGCCCATCACACTCCATAGGCAAGAGGTCAGAAATGATCTCGTCCTTGGGGGACAGATTTTAGGGAGGGAAGCCAATGAGGAGAGCTCTTATTTATATTTTCTCCCTGGGTGTTCCCCTGGTGCTACATATCAGAAAAGAAAGACCCCCAAGTGGTCAGACAGAAAAGACCCTCAGAGTGTTTTCAACTTCTTCCAAGTGCACATGGGAGGAAGGTGCAGGTGAAAATGCTGGGCGCTTGAGAAGCAAGGATTTAAGACCATACTTTGGCTTAATCTATGGCTGGTCCTCCTCACTCTGAAGTTCATGTACAGTTACTCAGAGCAAATGGGAGGTCACTGGGAACAACATCTGAAGATGAAGCAGCCCAGGACCTGCCCAAATCCAGGGACAACATCTACATGGGTCCATGAGTATGCAGGACGGTGGGGGTGAAGTCCAGTGTTCAAGAGGATAGCATTATTTGGCCCCACCCTGCAACTTCTAAGGAGGGCCCTGTTACAATCACAGCATTTTCCTGGAACTCTTTCAGGAGTGTAAATAATGTGTATTGGGAACATGAGGCTTTCTTTCAATAAGCTTGTCTAGAGATGTTGGGCTGTCACAGTAGATAGAATGGCTAGAAAATGGATTGAAATTTTTACTCTTCATCTGAATAGTTTGACAGCCTACAGACATATGTAATGTTAACCATATGTCATCGCCTTCAAATTCTTTTCAAAATTGCAAAGACGGTATTATTTTAATTGTGTGAACTAATTTTTAAAGAGCCAATTACCTGATTTTTTTTAAATGGCATCTGTATGTACCAGCTAACCTTGCCTAAAGAATTTTAAATTATTTTATAGCTTGAGACCATCTTATACTGTAAAAATTTGAAATCTCCTTCCTAGAAAAACATTTCAAAATAGACTCTCTTAAATGTAGACATTCAATGACATCTAAAGTAAATGGTATTTTAAATTTAGCTAAATAGAGTACTTTAGATTATAACATCCTCTTTCCCACACATCTGTCTCAAGTATAACTGTTAAGATTTTGCTAATACAAACAACTGTGAATGACCTTCTATTAGCAGAAATCAACTTGCAATAAGCTATAAGATAGTACTATAAATTAGTATGATTTGTGGTTATTGTCATTCTTTTTCTAAGGCCTTACAAGACGAGGTTAAAAGTGGGATTGAATTTGGAGAAGCGTTTCTAGGAAGGGGAACTGGTGAGGGGGCCCCTTATCCAGTTTCCTACCTGGGACATACTAAATATTAATAGTTGTGAGCATCTTTTCATGTGCTTATTGGCTACTTGTATAATCTTCTTGGAAGAAGTGTCTATTTAAATCATTTTACATATTATAAAATTTACCATTTTAAAGTATGCAATTCAAGGGTGTTATAGTATACTCACAGTTGTGTAGCCATCATCACAATCTAATTTTAGATTATTTTCACCACTCCAGAAAGAAATCCATTAGCAGTTTCCTCCTCCCATCCTCTCCTCCCTCCAGTTCCTGACGAGCACCAATCTACTTCCAGTCCCTATGAATTTATCTATTATGGCCATTCCACATGAATAGAATCTCACAATATGTGGCCTTTTGTAAAAATTTACTTCACTTAGGTTAATGTTTTCAAGATTAATCTATGTTCTAGCAGGTAACATTTTTCATTGAGGAATAATATCCAATTTGATACATATACCACATTTTGTTTATCTATTCATCAGCTAATGGACATTTGGATTGTTTCAATTTTTTGGCTGTTATGAGTATCATGTACAAGTTTATGTGTGGACATATTTTTATTTCTCTTAGGTATATTCCAAGGAGCAGAATTGCTGAGTCATATGGTTTACCCTTTAGGGAAACTTCCAAACTATTTTTCAAAGTGAGTGTAACATTGTAAAATTCCACCAAATGATGTGTGAAGTTCCAGTATCTCCACATTTTCAACACTTATTATTGTGTTTTCCTAAAATATATTTTAGCTACTTTCGTGGGTATAAAGCAGTAATCTAATGGTTTGGGTTTGCATTTTCCTGAAAATGAATGCAATTGACATCTTTTTAAGTAAATACTTGTCCATGTGGATATCTTCTTTCTGGTAATATTTATTCAAATTCTTTTAACTGTTTTTTAATTCTATTTTTCCATCTTTTAATTGTTGAGTAATGAGTTCTTTATATTCTGGATAGTAAACCCTTATTCCAAAGGGTGCTTGCTTTAGTCAAACTCTTTTCCTTTATCTACTGAGGTTATCAGATAATTTTGTCCTTTATTCTGTTAATACAGGATATAGATTGTTTTTAATTGAATCAGCATTGTTACATCATAGTCTTTTCTTATATACCATTTATCTTAAAATCAAAGAAGAGAAACCTGGGGGAAAATGCCCTCAAGGCAAAAAGTATCTGTCCATCTAACTCAATACAGCATTATCCCAGGATAATCTATATACTTTATTTATTCAAACAAATGATATTTATTCCCTAATACGTACCAGGGGATAAGGAAATCTAAAGGCATAACATTTTTCTCTGGGATTTCACAATGACTAAGGAAGAAAAATGACAATTGTGGCACAATTCTTGTCATTTAAACATGATTTAAACATTACACATCTAGAAAATGCATTCTGAAAATTCTAGCGAAAAAATTTGTAAATTTGTCTTTTTTCTTCTTCTTAGTTTGTTTAAAAAGTATAGTTTATGAGGCCGGGCAAGGTAACTTATGCCTATAATCCCAGCACTTGGGAAGCTGAGGCAGATGGATGACTTGAGGCCAGGAGTTCAAGACCAGCCTGGTCAACATGGCGAAACACTGTCTCTACTAAAAATTAAAAAAAAAAAAAAAAGCTGGGTGTGGTAGCACGCACCTGTGGTCTCAGCTACTTGGAAGGCTGAGGCAGGAGAATCACTTGAGCCTGGGAGGCGGAAGTTGCAGTGAGCCGAGATCCTGCCACTGCACTCCAGCACTCCAGCACTCCAGGCTGGGTGACAGAGTAAGAGTCTTTCTGGAAAAAAAAAAAAAAAAAAAAAAAAAGGTATAGCTTATGGTCCCTTAGAATCTTGAGGAAAATCTAAGAAAATAGAACTAATATGGTAGTACGTATCTTCTTCCATGATAAACTTTATCAGAGTAACTCAAATACAAACCATAGAATAGCAACTAAGCTGTTTTTTTCCATTCTCTTGTTGAAGTGGTTTGAGTCCTTAGCTGGCACCATGATGGATTGGAATTGCAAGAGGGGGAAACATCGAGGAAGGAGAAAGGAAAGAGGTAGCTGGGAGTTAGGGAGAGCCTTTAGACAGGAGAGAAAGTCTTAACAGGGACAACATGTGAAAGGAGGGAGGTAAAAATGGAGATTCATAGAAAAAGATTTCAATGGTAGTGCAGCTCTGAAAATGGAAAGTCTAGAGAAAAGACAGTCTATTAGCATAATTCACTGTTGAGTAGGAGTGACCAAGATTTAGTAACACTTTTATGCTCAACTATTGTCTGGGAGCAAGTATAGTCCAAAATTAAGTATCTTCTAACATATAATAGGGGAGGAAACCTATGGGATCTTGCATTTGGTGATGTGGTTTCAGACCCGAAAGTACAATTGATGATAGAAAAAAAGGACGAACTGGAAGTTATTAAAATTTCAAATTTCTTCTCTGTGGCAATGTTAAGAGAAATAAAAGACGTGCCACAAACTTGAAGAAACTATTTGCAGAGCACATATCTGATAAGGGGCTTGCATCCAAAACTTACAAAAACTAGTATTCAGCAGTATGAAAAAAATTAAAATGGGCAAAAGATACGAAAAGACACCTCACCAAATAAGATACACAGATGTCAAACCCAAGACAAGATGCTCAACATTATTTGTCAATAAGAAATTGCAAATTAGAACAGTGAGATAGCTCTACACACCTAATATAAAGGATAAAATAAAACAACAACAACAATAAAAAAAAACAAAACTCACAATACCAAATGCTGGTGAGGATGTGGAGCAATAGAAACAATGTCCATTGGGCCGGGCAAGGTGGCTCACATCTGTCATCCCAGCATTTTGGGAGGCCAAGGTGGGCAGATCACGAGGTCAGGAGATCGAGACCATCCTGGCTAACACAGTGAAAACCCATCTCTACTAAAAAAATATAAAAAATTAGCCAGGCGTGGTGGCGGGCGCCTGTGGTCCAGCTACTCGGGAGGCTGAGGCAGGAGAATGGCGTGAACCCAGGAGGCGGAGCTTGCAGCGAGACGAGATCGGGACACTGCACTCCAGCCTGGGGGACAGAGTCAGACTCCGTCTCAAAAAAAAAAAAAAAAAAAAAAAAAACAAGAAAAAAAAGAAACCACATCCATTGTTGGTTGGAATGAAGACTAATACAGCCACTTTTTAAGACAGTGTGGAAGTTTCTTACAAAATTAAACATAGCCTTATCAGATATTTCATAGATGGTGCTCCTGGGTACTTACCCAATTGACTTGAAAACTTATGATCACACAAATAATTTTATGTAAGTATTTACAATAACTTTAATTATAATTGCCCCAAACTGGAACAGACCAAGATATCCTGCATAGTGAATGGATAAACAGACTATATACAAAGAAACATTTTCAGCAACAAAAAGAAATGCACTATCATATTATGAGAAGACACGATGAAACCATAAATGCATATTGATAATAAATGATGCCAGTCTGGAAAGGTCCCATAATGTGCAATTCCAATTATATGACATTCTGGAAGGGGCAAAACTATAGAGACAGTAAAAGGATCACTGATTGCCAAGGATTGGAGGAGTGTTGTATGTTAAGGGTTGAGTACTTAAAACATTTAGTACTCACGTACCCCTGAACCTAAAAGTTTTTTTTTTAATTGGGTAATTTTATAGAATGCTGAAACTATTGTGTAAGATACTGTAAAGGTGAATGCAGAGATTATGCATTTGTCAAAATCTGTAGAATTTTACAACACAGTGAATCGTAAGGTATGCGAATTTAAAAATATCATTTAGGCTATGGAGAGATCTGAAGAAGGAAGGCAGACTGGGAAAATCCAGCTATATTACAAATGTCTAAATTAATCTCACAGAAGAAATTGGTGATGCAGGAAAGGTACTGACCTAAGTAACTTTGAAAGTAAGTGCAGTCTGCAAGACTAAAGACAAAATTAACTGCAAATATACCCCCACCACACCACCCAGGGGTGCAGTTAACAATTCCGAAGCTGCTATACATGTATATAGGAATTGAACGATTAAGCTAGTGAATGGCAGATGATGGTTCAAATTTGGAGTAGGCTTTTACAGCAAAACAATAGGAGGAGGCTAGGATGATCCCTGCATAATGGGTTAGAGCTGGAGACATTACTAAGAACTCATGTTTAGCTTAATATGGATACAGTTGATTACATATTAGAAACATTTATTGATATATTAATAGGTGCATACCTAGATTAGTATATGCACATATGTTTCATTTTTTGTCCGCTGAGAGTGGCTAAAATAAATGACACCCCAGTAGTATGAAATATACCTACTGCCCAGATCATAGTTGTTGATATCATAATCCACAAAAAGGAACAGTGTTTCCTGGGGAGATGGCTGAAACTAGGATGAAAGCAGGAAATTTATAAGCCTGAATCACCCTGTAGTGCCTTAAAGTAAGAAAGAGCTAAAAATAAGAAACAAAAATAAACCCATTCCAGAAAACTGAGGTTAGGGGGATGCACAAGGAGCCAACAGGCAAAGCTGAAACAATTTGAGCAACAGTAGTTAAAAAGTGCTTTTGGATGATAACCTGAGGTATAAAATAAACATGCATTTATACTGATATAAATAAATTATTTTGTAAGTTAATAGGGAAGAAGAGATCAAAGAGATAAATCTCTTGCACAGTGGAATACCTAATAATCTATGTAGATACTCTGCCATCAAGGAAGGGAGTATAACTTCTCCCTTCTTTTTTTTTTTTTTTTTTTTTTTTTTGAGACAGAGTCTGGCTCTGTCTCCCAGGCTGGAGTGCAGTGGCACAATCTCGGCTCACTGCAAGCTCCGCCTCCCGGGTTCACACCATTCTCCTGCCTCAGCCTCCCGAGTAGCTGGGACTACGCCTGGCTAATTTTTTTTTGTATTTTTAGTAGAGACGGGGTTTCACCGTGTTAGCCAGGATGGTCCGCCTGCCTCAGCCCCCCAAAGGGCTGGGATTACAAGCGTGAGCCACCGCGCTCAGCCAACTTCTCCCTTCTTAAGAGTCCGCTGTGCATTGTGACTTCAATCCAAAGAGTTCAATATGGAAAGCAAAGGGGCAAAAAAAAAAGACTAATGTTATGGTGGAGAAACTTGACAATCACTACTTCAGTCATGTGATCAACTCTAGGTCAGCAATCATAAATTATGTTAGTGGTATGTTCCCTCAGTACAATGTAATAATCATGGCACTTCATGAACTTCTCTTCCAAACCTATAACTTTAGTCAAATCAAAGAAAAACATCCAAAAAATTCCAGTAAAGCAGCATGCCATAATATACCTAACCATATTCCTCAAAATTCTCAAGGTCACCACCAACAAAGACAGACTGAGATATTGTCAAACTGAAGCCAACAACAAAATGAAACGTGGGATGCTGCAAGGAATCCTGGAAAAAAAAACAAAAAACAAAAAACATCTATAGCACACAGCATCAAGTTCCACCGGCTTTAGTGGATATGCCTAAATTGTTTCCCAATCTTACCACCTACAATTTCATCGACTCTCCAAAACTATCTTGTGAAGTGGAAAGAGAATGGATTTTTTAGTCCACTTTATATTTAGAAAACAACAAAAAAAAATGAATCTTTAATGAATCATTAAGATGAATCAGGACATATTAGTAATATGGAAAACTGGAATTAAATCTGAAGATGTGGCAATCTTGTACTTAAAATAATAGTGCAGTAGCAGCTGTAGAGATTGAGTTGCTGTTGCAGCAGCATAATTGATATCAACATGTCTTAGACGTGAATATAATGTAAATATTGCTAATTCTCTATTTTAGCATACCCTGGAATTATCTTTTTGTGTCATATAGAAGCAATGCAGTAGAGAGCAACCAATCCACCATGATTGTTTCCTGGCATATTTTCTTTAATCATTATCACATAGCCAGCGGATTTATTTCGACCATAATAGCAGATGATTTATTATTTTGAGGCTACAGAATGAGACAGCTGAAAGGGGGTTTTGAAATGGAAATTGTGACATTTACTGTGGGAGCAATGATCTTATACAGAAGCCAGGTGGTGACTGTTTACCATTCAGACAGATGGAGGTCCTGCAGTAGAGTTATTTGTGTGTGTGTGTGTGTGTGCTTATTTTTTTTCTGTTAGAAAAATTAGCTTAAATAATTCAAGTTTCTTTTTTTCTTCCTTGCTAGACTGGTGCACTGTGCAAAACGAAGTATTAAAAGACTTTTTCTACTGAGCAAAATGCAGTTTTGTGTATATCGATTTCCTTTTGTGTCACCGCAATTGTTTTAGCCATTTCAAGTTTTCATAACACTGTAGTGACCAGTTAACATGACCAAATGGTAGTAAGGATCCCATGCAACTATAATTATAAAGATCTATGACAATAATACAATAAACATTTGTCTCAGGAGAATTGCCTAAATTGACTTTCTATGTATCTTTCAGACAGTATGAACATTAAAACAATAATATTAATATTTCTTAAACATTCGGCCTATTTGCTTAGAAATTTTATAGCAAGCCCTACTGCTAAATATTGAATTGAAGAGGTCTTCGCATGTTATAGCCAAATTTACTCTTTGAAGTGTGCGTTAACACTCATTTTGTTAGTTTTTGCGTGTATACCCTGTAGTTATATTCTGAAAAAAAGGTAGATGAATGAAAGTAATAGATAGCTGTTGCTCATACATTTTAATTATGTGAATTATAAGTTTTGATTGTCCACATACAATGTCAGTACTAGAAGGAAACTTTGATTCATCTAATCTAACCAATGTGGTCAAATAAAGCTAAGGATAATGTCATAGATTACGACTTCACTTATTCCATGAAAGTCTAGACTCCACAATCTGATAACCTACACATTTCTAATTTATCAGGCAAATCTGAATAAAAGCCATCATAATGTATGTTTGGCCAAGAGATTGTGATGTGGTCAGAAACTGCCTTGGGGTGTACCACAGTCAGCTCATCTGACAGAAAAGACGCCTGTTCTTGGCCAAAAATTAAAGAAGCATTATATCCTTAAAATTTATGGAATCGTCTTCCTTAACCCAATTGAAAACATAGCTCCTAGATGCATTTTAAAAAAAGGTAATTTTATTTTCTTTTTCTTTTTTCTTTTTTCTTTTTTTTTTGAGACAGAGTCTCACTTTGTTACCCAGGCTAGAGTGCAGTGGCACAATCTCTCTCACTACAACCTCCTCCCAGGTTCAAGTGATCCTCCTGCCTCAGCCCCCCTAGTAGCTGGGATTGCAGGCACCCATCACCACGCCTGGCTAATTTTTGTATTTTTAGTAGAGACAGGGTTTCACCATGTTGACCAGGCTGGTCTCAAACTGCTGACCTCATGTTCTGCCCGCCTCAGGTTCCTAAAGTGCTGGGATTACAGGCGTGAGCCACTGTGCCCGCCTGAGTCCTATATAATATTTTAACTACTTGCTTGTTTTCTCCTTACCTATGCTGAAAAGAAAGATTCATATTAGACTCCTTGATGATAGCCTTTTCAATATGAAACATGAGGCATGCAAAGAAGTAGTAAAATGATATATTAATTAAATCTTAATATTATTAAAGAAGTTTAATTTAGATGGAAAACATTAATTATATGTTTAGTGGAGGCAAGAGACAGTTTACCTGCCATATGTGGAGCATCTAATAGTTTTCCATTTTGTAAAAAGTGTCTCTCTAATTGTACATATAATTAAATGCTTATATATACACTGATTTTAAAGTATCCAGGAATCTACACACTGCATGTTAAAAAATGGGTGTATACTTTTCATGCAAGTTATATCATTTTTTTCTCCTTTTCTTATCTAGGTATTTTGAGATTCCCTCAATGCACTTGTATAACTTGGACATTACAGAAATACTAAAAGAGATACTCACTTGCTAATTATCTTGGTCCCTTCTGGCTGCTTAGCAAAATATCTTAGACTGGACAATTTTTAAACAACATAATGTATTTATCAAGCTTCTAGTGGCTAGGGAGTTCAAGATCAAAGTGTGGAAAGATTCAATGTCTATAAGAACATTTTGTTTCAAAGATGGTGGCAAAAGTTAGGGAAGAGGGAGGGGTAAATAGGCAGGGCACAGGGAGGTTTCAGGGCAGCTAAACTACTCTGAAAATATTATAATGGTGCAAACATGGCTTTATATATTTGCCCAAACCCATAGGTTGCATAATACCAAGATATCTTTGTTGGACTTTGGATGATTATGGTGTGTCAATGTAGACTCATCCCTTTTACTATATATACGACCCTGGTGGGAGATACTGGCAATGGGGGAGTTATGCATGTGTGGGCGTGGAAATGTGTGGGAAACCTTTTATATCTTCTGCTCAATTTTGCTGTGAACCTGAAACATCCCTAAAAATTAAAGTGTATTAAAAGGAAACTAAATAAAACAGACACTAAATGTTTGTAGATAACTCATACATAGATATATCAGTAATTCTATCCGCATGCATCATTGTTATTACTTGACTCAAAAGTTTTAAATAATTCTTTTTGGAAAATGAATCAAGTGACATCTTATTCAAAATGAAAAACTATGTAATAAATCACTGTTGTAATACAGCTTACTCAACTCTGTATTTGTTTTCTATTACCACAAACTTAACATAAATTTGTCTCACAGTTCCATAGGCCAGAAGTCTGAAATGGGTCTTACTTGACAAAGATCAAGGTATAGGCAGGCTGTGTTTCTTTCTGGAAGCTCTAGTAAGTAATTCAGTTCTTTGTAACAACATTCAGGTTCGTGAGAGCATTCAGTTCAGTTTCTTGGGGTTGTAGGTCCCTGTTTCCTTTCTGGTTGCCAGGGACCACCTACCTTCCTTGGCTTACTGCTTTCTTGATCTTCAAAGCCATGAGTGGTAAGCCAAGCCTCTTTCACATTGTTAAATATTTTCTGTCTCTTCTTTTGCATCTCTCTGATGTTCCTATTTTTCTTCTTCCATTTTGAAAGCCTCATGTAATTACTTTGGGCCCCATAGATAATTCAGAATGATCTCCTCATATTAGGATCTACAATGTTAATCACCTCTGGGGTCCTCATTTTGCCATGTATTGTAATGTATTTACAGGTTGTGTGATTAAGGTGTGAACTTTCTGGATGTCAGGCATTATTCTGCCTACCACAAGTTCACATATATTAAATATACTGATATGGTTTGGCTGTGTCCCCACCCAAATCTTTTCTTGAAATTTAGCTCCCATAATCCCCACGTGTCATCGGAGGGACCCCGTGGGAGGTAATTACATCATGAGGGCGGGTTTTTCCTGTGCTGTTCTTGTGTTAGCAAATAAGTCTCATTGGCTCTGATGGTTTTATAAAGGACAGTTTATAAAACTGTGAGGCCTCCCCAGTCATGTGGAACTGTGAGTCCATTAAACCTCTTTCTCTTTGTAAATTACCTAGTCTCAGGTATTTCTTCATAACAGCATGAGAACAGACTAATACATACTTATATAAGTAATTATAAGTATATTATATGTAGTTCAGAAAATAATTTCTAACTTTTCTATGCAATAGAAGATGGGGATTAAAATTCCAGATAATTAAGTTGATACCAGGACCTCACTTTATTTAATCTCTTAAGAGATTAATTAAGCATAAACATTTACATATAGTTAATGGTGGAGATTATGCTGCTATTATAAAAGGTAAAATTTTGATCATCACAAACTATATGGAAATTATTACCCTGAATTTCAGGATAACTATTTATCACAATTAAATAAGCCAGACAAGAAACAGATACTGTAAACAGACAGGGAAGTTCTCTAGGGATTATAGGATTTTAATCAACTTAAGCCATCAGCCTGTTTTATAGCCTCGTGCCCTCTAGCCTGTTTCTTCCTAAATCTTGTGTGGAATTCGGTCACCTAAGTGGGCCACCTAAGCTCCTGGCAGACTCCAGCAACTTATAGATGAACTCGAGTAACTTTCCTTATTCCTGTACTAAAGTCTCCGCCCCAAGAGGAGATATGGTTTTGTTACCATAATATGCCACCTATGTGCAGGCAAAGTGACTCACTGCTTTTGGGCAGCAAAGACTCCTTCTCTACATGTGATGGGCACCCTCTCCCCTCTCCATCACCTCATAAAACCCTCCTGTCACTTACTCTAGGGGAGATACTGCTCTGGAGAATACTCCTAGTTTTCTCCTTCCTTGCCAGGCAATAACACCCCTCTTGAGAAAAACCTGCATCCTTGTGAAGAGTCATTGGTTACTTTCCAGGTGAATGAACCCTGTTTTTGGGGGGTAACAATACCACTTCCCAAAGAAGAACAGGTAATGGAAAAGAATTATGGTAGCAGTCCAGACTTTAGAAGATAGGTTTGATGAACACAGTTGTAGCATTTGAAAATGAAGAAATAAGAAAGATGGCTAAATAACTGGCAGATGTTTGCAGGCTGTCTAGAGGCTACTTGCAGTTACAGGAAAAGACAGAAAAAAGATTTTGGAGAAATTCATATGTAATATATTTTGAAATCAACTGGGATTATGAATAAATTTCAAAAGTATATGTTTTAAAAGAGAATCATAGGCAAAGCAATTGAATTACTAATTACTGTACCTGCATATACACATCAATATAAGTATACAGATATATATGTGTGTATGTTTGTGTGTCTGTGTGTGTGTATGTATATATATATATATATATAATATTTATATGTAAATAGGTCAGGTGCGGTGGCTCGCGCCTGTAATCCCAGCACTTTGGGAGACTGAGGTGGGTGGATCACAAGGTCAGGATTTTTAGACCAGCCTGGCCAACATAGTGAAACCCCGTCTCTACTAAAAATACAAAAAATTAGCTGGGCACAGTGGCATGTGCCTGTAATCCCAGCTACTCGGGAGGCTGAGGCAGGAGAATCGCTTGAACCCAGGAGGCGGAGGTTGCAGTTAGCTGAGATCGCGCCACTGCGCTCCAACCTGGGCGACAGAGTGAGACTCTGTCTCAAAAAATATATATGTAAATATATAGAAAAATATACGAAAAGCATACAAATATATGACTGCACACTAGATATTGACACTCTGCTAATTGCTAATAACATGTATCTATATTTATAAAATTAGTTTCAGGCTCTAAGCAAATGGTTGTTTTTCCAAGGTTATTAGAAATATAATGAACAATAATATTGTATATAAATGCACATAAATTTAGCCTTTTGAAGGCATGCATATATATCTGAATGTGTATATGTATGTACATATTCTTGTATGTGTGTATGTGCATACTCGCCCTTCACAGCATCAAGAACACTGGGAATACTGTATTTCAAAAGTAGAAACAAAAGTCAGTGATTTGGGTAAGAATTGAAGTGATATTAACCAAATGAACATAAAATGCTTAGTGTCTTCTATTTTAGTCATCTTCTAGTAAGTTCTCTGTAGTAGATTTACACATCAGAACTAATAATAAATAAGAAGAAATGAACATGTTACTCTTACGTATGTTTTATTTTGAATTCCAATGTAGATATCTGTGATACATTGAAATAAATCAGTATTTTTTCTTAAATTTCTTAAATTTTCTAATTTATAAAATAATTACGAATATATGATTTCTGATCCACTACCCACATTGCAATTTTATATTTCACTATGGAAGAAAAAATGTCCACCTATTACTTCCACAAGCCCCACAGTAAAGCATTTAGAAAAAGAGAGTTCTCCAGTGCAGTGTTACTTATTTACCATTGATCTAAACAATAGGCAAAGTGAACTATCGTTAATCATATTTATTTCCCTTCTTTGAAGGAAGATCTCATTATTACAAGTCAACTAACAATAAGGGTTTATTACTAGAGAGTCAAAGTTTTTAACATGCAATAGTAAATTTTGTAGATCTATATAGTAATTTCAGGTAATAAGTAATAAGACAGATATAATTTTACAAATCAGTAAATCAAAAATACAGAGCCCATGCAAACTGGGCTACAAAAATCCTGATCGCTACTATTATATATGTAATAAACTCAAACAGTAAATGACATGAGCATTAATGCATCATCTGATTCCAGAATTCCTAAGTTCATTAGCCTTTTTAAAATAAAATTTGACCCTTATGTAATATTAATGATAACCTGCTACATGCATATTTTAAAATACATTTTAATGTTGGTGTCACTGTTTCAACTGTAAAGACAGGGCACATTTTAAAAACCTATATGGACCACAGCAGAATTTAAAACATTACATTGCAGTGGTTGTGATTTTGTTAATAACAAAATCAGCTCTGACATTTTTATTAAAAAGTTTTTTTATTATTATCTAACTAGATACAGACATGCCTTATTTACCTAGAACCACAAATGGACACTCTATCACATAGACCTGCTTTTTCAACTAGCATGTGATTCACTCAAGTCTTAGTCTAGAATCCCCTTGTAACCAGTTTCTGTTGGACTGCTCTGGTAGAACAGTAGTCATGAATAACAAATAAATAAACACTGAAAATCTCTATTTTAAAAGGTGTCTTGATTTTCTATCATAAAAGGAATAAGTGTAGGCCAAAATCTGATTATACATTACTCAAGATAAAATTATATTCTATCTTATACCAGAAAGGACTGCAAAAAGTAAAAATTCCACATTGTTAAGCAGCATTAAATGAGTGCTTCTTATTTACTAAATTATTCTGTTGAGATTCTAATACTATTATAACTTGTTAATTTTCAAATATATCTTTATCACTGGTCTGTAAGCTCCTTAATAATAGGGATTATGCTTTTTATCCCTAAGATTAAGATTTTTATCCCTAAGATCTACACTCTTCACTTTATACTAGATGTTCAATAGATATTTGACTCATAAGTGAATAACCTGAATTTTTAAAACATTAATGAGTTTTTACTTTTTGTGCATTTATCAACTTTAATTAAGAAATTAATTTGGCCAGGCGCAGTGGCTCACACCTATAATCCCAGTACTTTGGGAGGCAAAGGCAGGTGGATGATGAGGTCAGGAGTTGGAGACCAGTCTGGCCAACACAGTGAAATAATGTCTCTACTAAAAATACAAAAAATTAGCCAGGTATGGTGGTGCGCACCTGTAATCTCAGCTACTCGGGAGGCTGAGGAAGGAGAATCACATGAACCCAGGAGGCAGAGTTTACAGTGAGCCAAGTTCACAAAGTTACACTCCAGCCTGGGCAACAGTACGAGACTCTGTCTCAAAATAATAATAATAATTATTATTTATTTATTTATTTATTTACAAATACGTGTTTATTGAATGCTTATAATAGGCAACATTGTAGGGCACAATTGGACATAATTTATACATTTGGGAATAAAGTAGAAAAGCATTTCAAGTAAGTTTAACAGAATAGGAAAGGAACCATGGTTGGGAAAAGTTAAGACATACATGGTAAGGATGGTGGCTCAGTTCAGTCAATATAAAAAAATAGGAATTATGTTTGTGACACCCATACAATAGTCCCATAGAACTGATGTTTATAGTTTCTCTGGAATAAACATAGAAATTGACCCTCCCAGTCTTACAACTTGAAAAAGTTACATTTGTTTTATCTGAGTTCCTTTATCAGGAAATCGACCATCAGGCCTCCCAGATAGTATTAGGGAATGGAAATTTATCAGATCAACTCATGCGGACAAGGAGAAGCCAGACCCCTGGCCCATCATGACTGCCTAACCCACCTTCTGCCGACCAATTGCCTAACCTGTTGACCAACTGCTCTACCTTATCTCTCCCTAAATTCTGTTTTTTCACCCATGGTTACATTTCTTCCCTGCTATATAAACCCCTCATTTTAGTCTGTCAGGGAGATGGATTTGAGACTCCCTTCTCCTTACCAACAGCACTCAAATAATGTCTTCTCCCTTGGCAGTACTTATTATTTCAGTGGATGGCTTTCTGGTCAGGGAGCAGCAGGACACAGACAGAACTCTTGCTGTTTGGGTAACATTTGTAAGGGAATAATATAGTAAAAGTATTTTGAGACCTGGACAATAGACACCTTAAGAGTTGATACATTTGAATATCTTTGATTGTAGACCATGGGAAACGGAGACTGAGAATTTTTGCTGAAATAAAGAAATCCTTAGATTTGTGCTTCAAGAAGTGTAATCTGCCAGTGAAGCATGAAAAGTATCACAGAAACAGAGAATGGAGGCAGAGAGACAAACGTAATGGTTCTGCCTCTATTTCAAACAGAATATTAAGGCCTTAAGGATGGTGGAAATAAAAATGAAGAGATGAAAAGAAATGGTAAATATTACAAAAAATGTATAAATAGAACCTACAAATACAGTAAATGTGGGGAAAATGTACAGAGGTTTAATCAAGCATGAGGCTCACATTTATATAGTAAAACTGACACTAGAATGGATTTCATGTCTTTAGTATCATAAATTTGACGTGGTAAAACATCACAATATTTTTATTCAATGCCACAAGGCATTCGAGTTTGAAAGCTAACCAAGTAGAAAAAAAAATGGTAAAAAGGATAGCTGCCTCAGTTTATAACATATTTTTTCACAGTTTCTCCTGGCATTAACAACAAATAATTCTTCCTTAGGGTGAAAAATGTAGGCAAAACTACTACTTGGCTAAAATTGCTAAATAAGTCAGCCCAGTCTTATCTGGGCCGAACTTGTATTTCTTGGCTAATGGAAGTTGGTTTTGTGTGTATCACCAATCATGAATCTTCTGAAGAGTTTATATTTTCTAAAATTGTATATTTTATGTCTTATATAATAAAATGTATGAGCCTGAAGGTTTGGAGACCAGGTTTTAGAAATAATTTTACACCCTAGTGCTTAAATATGCAATATCCATTCAGTAATTTAGATTAAAAATTACCAAAGCAGGATTCCTCTTGTTACGTTTGTACCATAAGTTAGCTTTGTCTTACTTTCTTCTATATTCTCAATCAGTTTTTGTAGATAAACCCTTTTTTTACTACTGTCAAGTTATATGCATTAAATTTATTAACCAGCAAAAGTATTTAAAGAGGGCCCTGCTAGATACATATTTTATTTTTTTGGCATGCATTTGCATAAGTCTGTCAAAAGAGTATTATGGCTCACTTTTAAACATTCTAGATCCAGATTTTTTCCTTTAAATCTTGTAGGATGCATAGTAGAAAAATCAAATGTTATTACGGTTAAAATATAAAATGATCCACACTAAAATTTTAAAGAGTTTAACTCTTTAAAATAAAGAGAATCAAATTCAAAATCATAGGCGTGTGAAAAGAAGGCTTTTATTTTTTTTTAATAGGGTGAACATAGAAATAAAGAAAAGCACCTGTTTTATTGTTTGCAGCTATGTAGTGGCCTTATTTGGTCTGTCCCATTGGAAAGTGCCTAGTTATATAACTATAAGTTAATTGGCAACCTGCTATTGGTTAAGCTTAACTTTCTTTTTTTTTTTTTTTAAATATAGGCATTTACACAAAACAGCCTAAATTACATTTCACTTATGTTTGCATATCAAACAAGGTTAAGGCCACTTTCAAGGCCTGTCTTTTTCTGCTCAGGGATTATTTTCAGGCCTAGTCTCCATTTCATTTTACTTAAACTGGACCAATGACACATGATTACAAATTAGAAATGTATAAATACAAAGATAACAGTGTGTAGTTTATGAGACAGATAGGCTCATAAACTGCATTTCTTCTCACACCCAACTTATCTCCATGTGGTGCACCTACCTACATCCTAAAGCAAAACCTTAAACGCCTTTAAAATAATCCAATGGAAGGAAAAAGGGGAAAAGAAAAAAGAGAGAGGCAAGAAAGAAGGAAGCACAAGTGATGGTAGTGAAAAGGAGAGACACATCTCTTCAGTTGGAACTTCCTACAGGAGGCTTTGCCAAGCCACCAAGTGATTAATTCAGATTTTGGCTGTGGCTTTCAGGAAAGAACACCTTGGAACTTTACTACTGAAACAGGAAAAGTTCCTTTGTCCCCCTCGCAGGGCGTGCAATGGGGGTGGGGCTCACTTATACAGCACCCCACTGCTCAGACCTCTAGGGGAGCATACAGACGGGCAGTCTGTGGGGGCTCCAACCCTACGGCAGTGTCTAGGGGTGAATGTTTACAGCTCCTGAAGCCCCAGTGGGCGTGTGTTACAGGGTTCTCTTTTAGTTTGGTGTTTATAGGCAGCCTGTGTCAACCAGCTCAATTAGACCCTCTATCTTGTCACAAGGACAGAGGGCTTTCTGTAACCTGGGTTCTTGCCCTGGTGTACTGGAAGAATTGGATTACATGTGGGCTTGGAGAATGAATGCAAAGTTTCATTGAGTGGAAGTAGCTCTCTGCCGATAAGGGAGCCAGATAGGAGATGGATTCCCCTGGAGTTGAGCCACTCGGTGGCCCTGGTTCTCCTCCTACTGCACAGCCAAACTCCACATTGTTCCACCAGTCGGTGGCCTGCTGGCCTGCTGGCGCCTGTCAGCATGCTCTTCTGCTGGCATGCTCTCGTTGACCTGCTGGTGCCTGTCAGCATGCTCTTCTGCTGGCGTGCTCTCGTTGACCAGCCACTTGTGTCTTCTTTCGCTGATGTGTTCTTCACGATGTCCAGCCACTTGTGTCTGCCTGCTAGGGTCTAAGATTTTTTTATAGGCCCAAGATAGGGGCGTGGTGGGCCGTGGTGGTCTTGGGAAATGCAACATTTGGGCACAAAGGCAGGAATGCCTGTCCTCACCTAGGTCCATGGGGGTGTAGCCCTAGCCAGGGATCACACCCTTCTCTACCCAGCACTTCTTCCCACTTCTGTTTCATTTAAAGGGACCATGCTCTTCCCTTCCCAGCACTCCTGTATCACTACTCATAAACAAGACGAATATGCAACAAGGTTAGTTAAAAAAATAAAGTTGTTGGCTGGGTGTGGTGGCTCACGCCTGTAATCCCAGCACTTTGGGAAGTCGAGGCGGGCGGATCACCCGAGGTCAGGAGTTTGAGACCAGCCTGGCCAACATGGTGAAACCCCATCTCTCTAAAAATACAAAATTAGTCAGACGTGGTGGCACATGCCTGTAATCCCAATGACTCGGGAGGCTGAGACAGGAGAATTGCTTGAACCCAGGAGGCAGAGGTTGCAGTGAGCCAAGATCTCACTCCAGTCTGGGCAGAAAAGAGTGAAACTCTGTGTCAATAGTAATAATAATAATAAGGCTGTCATTTTATTCATTTCTAATATACACAAGTAAATAAAGAATAGAAATTCAGCATTGTTTTTCTAAAATCAGAAGACATCCATTAGCCCCTGACCCCTACCCCAACCTGCAAATAGTTAGTAAAGATCAATTATGTTTCAGGCCCACTGGTAAATATTAATCTGGCTGTGTCCTGAAGTAGAAAAGATTGAGACTAATTGAAGAGTCTGGTGGGACTCCAGGATAAGGAATTCTTTAGAAAATTTCTACTAACCCAAGTGTCCTCGGAGACACACTTGGGTTAGCAGAAAGCTGGTAGTAGGGCCTGTCTCAGAGGGCTCTGGGGCACAATGACTGAGAATTTAGGAGAAGCCCACATAGCAACACTGTGCAGTGGCAAAGGATGCCACAGCAATGAGGACTTCCCAATGATGCCACGACAGGTGCAGGTGATAGGGAAAGGAGGCAGAGAAATTCTAGGCAGAAAAGGGCAAGTCCCCATAAAACCTCACCGTCAAGCCTGAAACCACAGCTCAAAGTGAGAACTTATATCCCTATTTTCCGGCCTGAATGTCACCTTTTTCTAAACCAACCATGGACCACCCTGTCCCCATCTTGTGCCGATAAAAACCCCAGACTCAGCCCGTAAAGAGAGAGAAACAACTGGGTGCTAGAGAGTATGGCTGGACATCAGAGAGAAGTGGTTTGACTTCAGAAAGAGAGCTTGATGGTGTAACTCCAGAGAAGAATCCAGCAGGAGATGGCCAGACTTCAGGGGAAGATTAGCTTCCCACCCTATCTTCTTTTCTGCTCCCTTTTGACTAAGAGCCACTTTCATCGGCAATAAAGTCCCCTGCATTTACCATCCTTCAATTCGTTCATGTGACCTAATTTCTCCGGGATACTGGACAAGAGCTCGGGAGCCACGAGTGCAGATACAAAAGAATGTCGCACTGGCCCTTGGCCCTTGCTGGCAGAAGGCAACTGCCTTATGTGAAGAGGCAGAGACCCGCTGAGCAGTTAACACTCAGGCTGTCCACAGACAGCAGAGCTAAAAGAGCACTGTAACACTCTCTCTGGGGATCCAGGGGTCATGGGCACTGCCCAGATGCTGCTGCAGGACCTGCATGGAGTTCGCTCCTGCAGCTCCCAAAAGCTCTTGCCTGGCTCCTGTACCTGCTCCCCTTCACACTCCCTCCCATGGGGGGTGGAACACAGCAGGTCTGAGTGGGTGGAGTTTGCCCTTGCTGGTGCTGAAGTGGCCGGCTGGTTCCATCACTCACGCACTCCAGTTCTCCCCTCATTCACTTACGTGTTTCCTCTATGAGGAGTTGAGAGCTGCAGGCTGAGTGGCCAAGGCAGCCCGTCATGAGTCCCGTGAAGGGATCAGGGAAATATCCTGCTTCAGAGGTCCCAACATAGACCTTCCTGTGACTGTGGGAGCCTGTGCTCCCAGCTATTGAGGTTTAAACACAAAACAGAATCAATCACTAAGATCCTACTTTGTGGCAAACTCATTGAGTTCTATGATTGGGACTAAAATATTTTTGCATTACCATTGAAATTATTTAAATACTTCCTTTATGCTAACAGTTGCTAAACACAACATTCTTGACATATGGCTAAACATATTTAAAATTTATTAACTTTTCATGAGATGAATTATAGTTATATTTTATATGTAAAATATGAAAATGTTCCTCATGCGAGCTTGCTAATTAAAAATATTTTAATGTTATACAATTAAACGTGTAAAGAGAAAAAAAGTCAAAGACTTTACTGTTAAAGAAATGTAGTGGCTGGGCATGGTGGCTCACGCCTGTAATCCCAGCACTTTGGGAGGTTGAGGCAGGGGGATCACCTGAGGTCAGGAGTTCCACACCAGCCTGGCCAACATGGTGAAACCCTGTCTCTACTAAAAATACAAAAATTAGCCAGGCATGGTGGAGGGCACTGGTAATTCCAGCTACTTGAGAGGCTGAGGTAGGAGAATCACTTGAACCCGGGAAGCGGAGGTTGCAGTGAGCTGAGATCACACCACTGCACTCCAGCCTGGACAACAAGGCTAGAGTCCGTCTCAAAAAAAAAAAAAAAAAATTTAGTTAGGAGGATGAATGCCTGTGTGTGCTCCCTGGCGAAAAAAATAAAATATATACTTTGTATAGCTCTAGAGTGGTAAGGGATAAGAGATCTTCAGGGGCATCTAGTCCAGTTTCCATCTGATGTTGAATCACCTATCTAACAAAATGCCAGACATGTGCTCACCTAGGCTGTGCCTGAAAACTTTCAGTGATGCAGACAATATTATGGCTTAAGGTTCTGCTTCTCTAGAGGCAGTCAGAGTTATCCGTGGACAGCTCTGAGTGGTGGAAAATTTCTCTTTACATTTAGCTAAAACTGTGTTCCCTGGAGTTTCATCTTTTTCATTCCAGTTTGAAGCATCAGGGCTATAAGGAACAAATCAAAGGCCTCTTGCACATGAAAGCACTTGGTCTATTTAAGGAGAACTCTCTTATTCCCCTTGAGTTTTCTCTTCTAGAGATTCAATATCCACAGTTTCTTTGAGGAGGCTTCATCTGTCATGTTGTCAATTCCCTTCATAATTTTAGTCTCCTCAGCTCTGAATGTCTTCCACTTTGTCAATATCTTTCTTAAAGTCTGGTGACTTGAATGGAACAAACAGATTCGGCCAAATGACAGGCAGTATACTGTCACTTTCTTTGTCCTGGGCTTCTGTCGCTTTTCTCATTTTACATGTCTATCAGTGTAACCAAGTTCAAAATGGCTTTTTAGGCAGTATGACTTATGATGATTCATGTTGTTAACATGACTCACTGTGGCCTTGTATTGGGTTTGTTGTCCATAAATTGTCAGGATACTTTTTAACCAATACTGCTACTCTTCCCTCTATTTGTGTTAAATCTTGTTTTTCCTTTTTTTTTTTTTTTTTGAGACAGAGTCTCGCTCTGTCACCCAGGCTGGAATGCAGTGGTGCAATCTCGGCTTACTGCAAGCTCCGCCTCCAGGGTTCACGCCATTCTCCTTCCTCAGCCTCCCGAGTAGCTAGGACTACAGGCACCTGCCACCACACCTGGCTATTTTTTTTTTTTTTTGTATTTTTAATAGAGACGGGGTTTCACCGTGTTAGCCAGGATGGACTCGATCTCCTGACCTCGTGATCTGCCCGCCTCGGCCTCCCGAAGTGCTGGGATTATAGGTGTGAGCCACTGCACCCGGCCTAAATCCTTGTTTTTCATCTGAGAACCTCACATTAAATTCAGCTAATTTTTATATATAATCTTAAATTCATCTGTCTGGCTTTCCAAGAAAACCGTTGTCTCCTGGCCCTGTCATTTACTACCTCTCCCAGATTTCAGAAATATTATTAGATTCTAGAGTGCATGATTCTTTGCTCTCAAGTGTCAACCACATAACTTAGCCAAACAGAAAATCACAATCATAATCTAAGGATTTTTTTTTCAAATTGCCTCAGAAAAACTTGATTATCTCAGTTATCTTGCATTTATTCTCTCCACATTTTTATTGTTAAAACCTAGGCAATTAAAAATTGTCTATTGGACTAGAAGCTTCATGCTGTTCTGTGTTTGGGTTTCCGTTGTGTATCTAGGATCTGACAAAGTGAGCACGTGCTGAATATTTATTTAACACATGGGTTATTGATGTTATTTGCATGCTATGCTGGCACATGCTCTACTGCTATGAAAAAGCTGTACATAAATAATTTCTGGTGGTTAGAGACTCTTAGTGGAGTTACCTTATAAAAATATTTGAGTCGATAAGACAAACAAATAAAAACATTCACAGGGTAACTCATCTTAAAATGTTACAGAAAATAGTTACTTAAAACAATCTACCATTTAAATACAAAAAGCACACACATGTTTGACACATAATAAAGATACAGCTGCATTTTCAGGAAGTTGTTTTATAACATCCTAAAAATAGTTCAATTATGATGTTACCGTGTATCAAAGCAGAAAAGGAGAGAACAACTTTAAGCCAATTAAATGGGCATTACAAGCAGCTGTTCCAGAAAAGGCTGCTGGCATTAGAAAAGGCTACTGCTATACAGAAAATTATTTCTTTCCTTTTTTTGTCTCCCTGAAAGATGCAACATATACGGATTCACATCTTCATATGTGGCCTATCTAAGACATAAAATCTTTTAAAAGTGTTTTCTCTATGCTGTCAAAACTCTATGAGCCAGAACTTCATGCAAAATGGTGTTTATTTTGGTGTTTTGTCATCGCTCTCCTAGGTCATTTGAAAACCAGAAAATAATGAGTTTGAGAAAAAAATCCTTGATAGATAAACACTGCATAGAAGAGCGCTTTAAGAATCTAGGACTTGAATAAAGGCTTACCTTTAATTTTAACCAGATTTCTCCATCAGTATCGGCATATGCATGTAAAGAGATATTTCAGGATTTTTAAAAAAACTATTAAGATTCAATACCTCTTGCTAATCAAATACATATATTAAAAATATCATTAAGAATAAGCTTGCAAGCTGATGCTGTTTTCAAATACTAATCATAGCCTTCACAGTACCTGGAACTGACAGGTGCCATTGTGTGAAAATCATGAAATCAAAGAAGCCATATTCATTTTCCCTTGAATGTCACTTAATACTGCAATGACTACATCTTTGACTTAACTACCGCTATTGTGAGCCAATATTTGTGGTTAAATTCTTTCTTTTACATTGAGGGGAATACTCTAATTTACTTTCTGGAGAATAAACAAAAAGAACAGATCTTTCTGATCATAACCTATCGCCTTGCCAATGGTGGTCACTTAAAAGTACTCGTCCAACCGCAATTCCAGGTACAAGTCCAGGTCTGTGAGAATATTCATCAGCTTTCATCTGCAGTGACATTGCTTGCTCTGTGTCACACTAAGGGTGCTTGGGAAGCCTGCATTAGCAGCGATATCAAGACTCTACTCTTTGTTCATGGACTGCAGGGAAATATTTGCACAAAAAATATGATTATTGTAAATATGTTTCAAAAATATTAACATTTACATGTCACTAATTTCAACTTGTTTTAATAAACTGTGATCTGAGTAACATTTTTGCCAAGCACTAAATATTGGAAATACTATTCTTAAAAATGATAATTCATACTAGTTATACTCATTCAAGTACTTGTGTGACTCAAAGTATCATAAATCATAACTACAGAGAGACTTTAAATATCATTAACTTCATTTCCCTCATTTTATAAATAACCTGAAGCCAAGCAAGATTTGTTAGGAAGTAATGTAACCCAAGATGGTGCATCAGTATCCTGACTTCCACACAATTGCATTTTTTTTTTTTTTTGGATGGAGTCTTGCTCTGTTGCCCAGGCCGGAGTGCAGTCGCACAAACTAGGCTCACTGCAAGCTCCGCCTCCTGGGTTCATGCCATTCTCCTGCCTCAGCCTCCCGAGTAGCTGGGACTACAGGCACCCACCATCACGCCCGGCTAATTTTTTTGTATTTTTAGTAGAGACAGGGTTTCACCATGTTAGCCAGGATGGTCTTGATCTCCTGACCTTGTAATCCACCCACCTTGCCCTCCCAAAGTGCTGGGATTACAGGCATGAGCCATCACGCACGGCCACATTTGCACTTTTGTATGTTAACTACCTCTGCAAGGTATGAAAGGTTGAATTATATTCAGGTTTAAATTAAAGAATAAAATAATGTTACTGAAACACCAGGAGTTTTGTCTAGGTCCTGCTGCTTACAACACATAATGCCAGTCATAAAGACAAGAAGTATTGCAGGGAAGAGGCTTCAATCTGGGGCGGCAGCTGAAGAGATGGGAGATCAGTCTCAAATCCATCTCCCTGACTGACTAAAATTAGGGATTTATATGGGAAGGAAGAAATGTAACCATGTATGGGAAAACAGGAGTTAGGGAAGAGTAAAGAAAAGGAATTGGTCAATATGTGGTCAGGTGATCATGATGGGTGAGAGGTCTGGTATCTCCTTGTCAGATGTGGTGATCTGGTGAATGTCAGTTCCTTGATTCTATCTTAAGCCCTGATGGCTGGTTTCCTGAGAAAGGAACTCAGATAAAACAAATGAAGCTTTTCAAGTTTCAAGACTGGGAGGAACAGTTTCTATGTTTATTCAAAGGAAACCACAGACATTGGTTCTATGGGACAGCTTGGGTGGTTTCAGTAACATTTCATAAACCCTGAGCAATGTCCTCAAATGTGTTTTGTTCTACCCACCTAGGGCCCCTGCACAGCTAATTTCTTGTCCAGTTACCTATTTTCTGCCATGTCTGAATGAACCTTTTATTGTCTGTTCCAGGAATGGACCTGAGCCCACTAAATATTATTTCTTAGCCAGCTGACACAATGTAAAGTTTTATGAGCAGGGGATGCTGAAAATACTTTGCAGAAAGAAAGAGCTTTTCTTCTTGGTCTAAGGTGCTCCTCATGGCAGTATCTCACAGTACATAGGGTATCCCCAGTGTCCAGCTCTGCAGTGCAGACGACTTCTCTAGTACTGAGTCATGCTGCACACACTTCTCCAGAAAACAGCTCCTGCAATGGATAGAAGCCAGCAGCCCAAAGCCTACAGGATAAGCCAAAAGCATCCACAGGTTGTTTTGTAGAGGACTTACTCCAGTGGGTCACCTTCGAGTGAATGGCTTTACTTGACACTCTAGAGGGCAGTTTCTGGCAAGTTCTACATGTGTGATGCCTCAGCTACTTCTCTGCCATTCAACAACTGTGCCCTCCCTAACAAGGTCTGACTTTGTCAGGAGAGATCTTGATAGGGAGGGTCTCTCTAACAAGGAGAGAATGGGGACCTGACTCAAGTGCCATTGATTGCCCATTATAGTTTCTATCCTACATTTTTAGAGTTCTTTTTACTTCTTACCAGCCAATTCCTCATTAATCCAATCTCCTAGTATAGTTAACATCCTTTTTCTTTGCTGTTCAAATTGCTCGGCAGTATCTGTCTTCTCATTGCACCCTTACTGATACACTTCTCTTTTCCTGGAAGTTTTAACTCTTCCCATATTTTCTTCATTATTTTATACTCATCTTCCTGAATCCAGCTCAAATGTCACATTCTCAAGAAAGACTTTGAAATTCACCCTGAGATGAATTTATATTTTTTCTTCATTGACCTTATTGTTCCATATACTTTTTTTCATAGCCTTTACCACAGTTTTAATGTTATATATTTCTGTGACTATTTGATTACTCTGCTATTCATCTCAAATTTCTATGAGGGAGGAAACAGTATTTCTGTCTCTTTTTGTCAATGTATATTTAAATCCCTGTACCAGATCTGGCACACTGCGGTACCCTGTAAATATTACTGCAAGAATAAAACAACATCTTTAATAAAGCTTTAGATTGACTCTCAAAGTTTGGAGAACTTCTAGAGAAACAGGGTAGTTTCTGAACTCCTTTTGGAAAAGCAGAGAAGCCCTGAAGATTTAACGACTAAGAATTTAAAAATATCAGGTTGGTGCAAAACCTAATGAAACTACTTTACTTTCAATGGCAAAAACCACAATTACTTTTGCACCAATCTAATAAATAAATCTAAATATTGGTTATGGTAATTAAAATTAAAATTGTCTCTACAGAGTGACCAGTGAGGTAGTATTCTGTCTCTATGACCTATTCTGGTCTTGCTAAAACTTCCACATCATTTCTGGATTCCAAAATCTCTCTCAATTATTTTCTTATTTACATGATTTGAACTTTTTCTTCATACTATAGCCAACTATTAAAATAATATGCAAGTTCCTCAGTATTCTAAAACATACTTCAGCCTGAAAGTACATTTAATGATTTTTTAATTTGATTAGTGAGAGGATAATGAATAGTCACGTAATCTGTTCCTGATTTTTGTAAGCCCAGCACTGACTGTGTATTATCCCATCCTAGTTTTGTCTGATTTTTATTCTTGCCTTTTATTGCTGGTTCTCCTCCGCTCCGCATCTTTACAAGGTTCCTAGTTTGTTTACCAGCCATTTTTCTTTACTCTCCAGAGATTTATTTATAAAATTTTCCTAAGGCTTTTCTTATCTCAACTATTCTATAACTTTTCAAGAAATATTTACTTAATGCCAACTGATTTTTTTTATATTAATGAATCTCCAAAGATTCTTAATTTGATGATTTGACTTGCATATTTTCTTATTTCCACTATAATTCAAATATGATCTAAACATTTTTAAATCTGTAAAGACACATTTTGTAATAAAGATTCCAATATCCTAATGCAGGGGGTAGTCCTAGAGTTACATTATGTATAACTTCATATATCCTATGGGTGCTTAGGATATATAACACTCATTCTCATCAGATGGAAATGCCAATAGTCATGTGAAAATCATCTGTTGTTTTCTCCTCGCTTCATGGCCAAATATTCATCATTCTCATTTCAAGTTAAGATAAAATGTCAAAGCAAATATTTATTTTCCTAAGTCACAAAGTGAAGAGTCTCCAGGTCATAGTTCTTGGTGAAAACTAAAAAAAATTATGCCCAAACTTCACCATGCTGTTATTGTTCTGCCTTCCTTAGACTTCGCTTATTTTGTAACATACAACATGTTTCCCAGTAACTACCAGGTCTAGCTCCTGAATACCTTCTCTTATTCTGATAACTGCCTTTTGTAAATACTCATCTTTTAAGTGCTTTACCTATCAATCCCTCATTTGTTTTACTGAAGTCAATATTGACTGTTTATCTTATTTGTACCACTTCAATTTAATGAATCAACCTACTGATTTTTCTTTTTTCCAAGTTACAATAATGATTATATTTTATCTCTCAAAATATTCTATTTTTATTCTATCCTTTCTTCTTTTAATTTGAAACTTCATATGAGGATGTTTTAAAGTAATAATATCTATTCCATAGAAGGAAATCTTTTAATGGTCACTCTACACTCTAAGATATATGCTTTCTAGAAATAGTAATCCCGACTTTTAAAAATATAATACGTATAGTCATATTTTGCACTACTATGAAAAGATAGATTGATAGATAGATGGGTGGGTAGATAGATAGATAAATAGAGATAAATAACACTGTAGACAAGGTAGCTTAGAGAGCAAACACTTATTTCTCACAGTTCTGGAGGTTGGTAAGTCCAAGATCAAGGCACTAGCGGATTCAGTATCTGGTGAGGATTCTCTTTCTAGTTTGCAGGAAAGTACTGTCTAGATCTTTTCAGTGTATTCTTACTGAATAAAAGAGAGAAAGATCGCTCTCTTTCTCTTTCTATAAGGACACTAATAAGGGGGCTCCACCCTTACAACCTAATTAACTCCAAAAGGTTCCACTTCCCAGTACCATCACATTGATAAGAGAGCTTCACCATGTGAATTTGGGAGGATGGGAGTATTCAATTCACAGCACACAGGAATCCTGAGTAGTTATTTTATCTACTAATCAGCTACACATTGATACAGGAAAAGGACTAGAAGGCAAGTCTAAGCAAGCAATTCTTGGACAAATGGGATTTACTATTAACATATACGGTTTTCACATAAATTGCATGCAAAAAATATGAATACCTTCTGAATTATTACAGCTGATCTGTAGTGTAGTAGTTGACAGTAAGGCTAAGAAATGAGGCCAATATGTATTATTAATAATTTGGGTGTACTTTTCTTTAATGTATAGAAGCATAAAAGTTATTAAAGCAAAGACTGAAAACTCATCTGATGCTCTTTCATCAGGCTTTGCCTAGGTTTTTCAAAAAATATGGATTTGAACTCCAATAATCTAAAACAATGTGTTTTTTTACTTTTTTCCTCAGAAAATTGAAAAAAATCTCTAAATAGAGTCTGACTCAATTTTTTTAAGAATGCCATAGTCACTCCACCCTCTATATAAGGGTATCTTGTGAAAAAATATATAAAATATATTATTTTATATACTAAATGCATTATATATTTATAAATATTTATATACATATAAATTATTTCATTCTCATACCTCCTTATTAAGAGGAGAGTTATGGGGACTATATGTGGAGGAAAATGAGAATGGGGAACATGGAAAATTATCACAATCAGATAATATAAAATGTTTATGGACACTACAATTGCGGAATTTGGTTTAGATAGGTCTTTGTCTATTCCCATGGGATAATAAAGTAGCTTGTGACCAAAAAACTTGTAAAACTCAAGATTTTAAGCATTTGAGAGAAAACACAAATATTTTAATATCCTATGGGTGGAGACAAATGGTGACACAGTAGGATTTGTGGCCATTTTTTAAACGAAATATTTTTGTGGAGAGGATAATAATAGATAGGACATTATCACACTGGGAAATTGATATTGGTAGAAACTACCACCTTATAAGATTTCACAGATTGTCCATTTTGAAAATTATCAGAATCAAAATGGAATCACTTACCTCAAACCCTGGCAAAATTGAGCCAGGGGTCCATGAAGGGAGGATCTTCATGAATGTATGCCTAAAAACAAAACTGTTACAACTGTATTAGTCTGTTTTCACACTGTTATAAATTGCTACCTGACACTAGGTAATTTATTTTAAAAAAAGAGGTTTAATTGACTAATGGTTCCAGAAGCTTAACAGGAAGCATGTTTGGGAGACCTCAGGACATTTCAATCATGGTGGAAGGTAAATAGAAAACAAGTAAGTCTTATAATGGTGGCACAGGAGGGAAAGAGAGGGAGAGAGAGAGAGAGAGCAAGTGGGGAAGTGCCACACACTTTTAAACCATCAGATCTCATGAGAATTCACTGTCATGAGAACACCATCAAGGAAATCACCCCCATGATCCAATCACCTTGCATCAGGTGTCTCCCTCAACATGTAGGGATTGAAATTTGACATAAGATTGGGGTGAGTACAGAGACCCAAACCATATTATTCTGCACATGGACCCTCCCAAATCTCATGTTGTTCTCACATTTCCAAACCAATCATGTCTCCCCAACTGTTACCCAAAATCTTGACTCATTCCAGCATTAACTCAAAAGCCAATAGTCCAAAGTCTCATCTGAGACAAGGTAAGAACCTTATGTCTATGAGACTGTAAAATCAAAAACAAATTAGTTACTTCCAAGATACAATGGGAGTACAGACTTTGGGTAAATACTCCCATTCTAAATGAAAGAAATTGGCCAAAACAAAGGGGCTATAGGCCTTACGCAAGTTTGAAACCCAGCAGGGCAGTGATTAAATCTTAAAGTTCCAAAATCCTCTTTCACTCCATGTCTCACATCTGGGGCTCACTGATGCAAGGGGTGGGCTCCCTAGGCCTTGGGCAACTCTGGCCCTATGGCTATGCAGGATACATCCCCCTTGGCTGCTTTGACAGCCTGGCATTCAGTGTCTGCAGCTTCTCCAAGTACATGGTATAAGCTGTCAGTGGATCTACCATTCTGGGGTTTGGAGGATGGTGGCCCTCTTTTCACTGTACCACTAGGCAGTGCCCCAGTGGAGACTCTTTGTGGGGTCTCCAACCCCATATTTCCCCTCTGTACTGTCCTTGTAGCATTTCTCCATGGGGGCTCAGCCCCCTGCGGCAGACTTCTGCCTGGACATCCAGGAGTTTTCATACATCTTCTGAAATCTAGGCAGAGGCTTCCAAACTATTGCCTTCTGCACACCTGCAGGCCCAACACCACATGGAAGCCACAAAGGTTTGGGGCTTGCACCCTGTGAAGCAATGGCCCAGGTGTACCTTGATGACTTTTAGCCACAGCTCTAGTTGGAGCTGCTGGGATGTAGCGTGCCATGTCCTGAGGCTGCATAGAAGAATTGGGCCCTTGGCCCAGTCCAGGAAACCATTTTTTCCCCTTGGCCTCCAGGCCTGTGACTGGAGGAGCTTCCATGAAGATCTCTGAAATGCCCTGGAGACATTTTCCCCATTTTCTTGGCTATTAACACCCTTCTAGTTACATAAGCAAATTTCTGCAGCAACCTTGAATTTCTCTTCAGGAAATGGGTTTTTCTTTTCTACCACATAATCAGGCTGCAAACTTCCCAAACATTTATGCTCTGCTTCCTCTTTTACTTTTCTGTTTTGTTTTTTTTGTTTTTTGAGATGGAGTCTTGCTCTGTCACCAGGCTGGAGTACAGTGGCACAATCTCAGCTCACTGCAACCTCTGCCTCCTAGGTTCAAGCAATTCTCCTGCCTCAGCCTCCTGAGTAGCTAGGACTACAGGCACATGCCACAACACCCTGCTAATTTTTGCATTTTCAGTAGTCACAGGGTTTCACTATGTTGGCCAGAATTGTCTTGATCTCTTGACCTCAGGATCTGCCTGCCTCGGCCTCCAAAAGTGCCGGAATTACAGGCATAAGCCACCATGCTCGGCCGCTCTGCTTCCTTTTATCTTATTTATTTATTGCTTCTGTTTCAAATACAAGTTCCAATTTCAGACCATCTTTTTCTTCACACGTATGAGCAGGCATACACTTTTAGAAACAGCTAGGTCACATCTTGAATACTTTGTTGCTCAGAAATTTCTTCCGCCAGATACCGTAAATCATCTTTCTCAAGTTCAGTGTTCCACGGATCTCTAGGGCAGGAGCAAAATGCACCCAGTTTTTCCTAAGCATAGCAAGAATGACTTTCACTCTAGTTCCCAACAAGTTCCTCACCTCCATCTGAGACCACCTCAGCCTGGATTTCATTGTCCTTATCACTATCAGCATTTTCATCAAATGCATTCAACAAGTCTCTAGGAAGTTCCAAATTTTCCCACATCTTCCTGTCTTCTTCTGAGCCTTCCAAACTGTTCTAACCTCTGCCTGTTACTCAGTTCCAAAATTGCTTTCACATTTTCAGGTATCTGTATAGTAATGCCCCCCTCTCCCAGTACCAATTTTCTGTATTAGTCTGTTTTCACACTGCTATAAAGAAATACCCGAGACTGGATAATTTATGAAGAAAAGAGGTTTAACTGACTCACATTGCCACAAACTACACAGAAAACATGGCTAGGAGGCCACAGGAAACTTACAATCATGACAGAAGGCAAAGTAGAAGCAAGCATGTCTTACCATGGCAGAGCAGGGAAAAGAGAGAGCGAGCGGGGAGACGCTAGACAATTTCAAACCATCCTATCTCATGAGAACTCACTCACTATCATGAGAACTGCATGCAGGAAACTACCCCCATGATTCAATCACCTCCCACCAGGTCCCTCGTCCAACATATAAAGATTACAATTTGACATGAGATTTGGGCAGAAACACAGAGACAAACTATATTAATAACTTTTCACAAAGACTACCAAAACTTTACACCAAAAATACTTCTGTGAGGACATCTGCCCAGTAACTGCCTGTTCAACCTTGTACTCACACCACCCTTGTTACTGATCCTTGTTGCCAAACTTTCCTTCCTTTATCTCCCTAAATATGCCCATAGCTTACTATGGCATCATATTCCACATTGCAATGTTCACTCCCAAAGAAACATATTATCTTTGGAGAATCTCTGTACATCTGTTATTTAGGTTGACAAAATATGTGTGTGTTTGTGTCAGAGAGGAGTGGGTGTGGATGTGCGTTTTGGTCTATGAAGTTTTACCACATCTGTAGATTTGGATAATCCAAGAACAGACAAGATACAGAACAGTTCTATTACAAGGATCCCCCATGCTATCCTTTTATAGCCATATCCACACACACTCCTATCCCTAAGCCCTGGAAAACATTAATTTGTTCTGCATCTTTATAAACTTTTTACCTCAGGAATGTTATATATGTTACTTTGCAAGCTTTTTTTCTTAACTCAGTGTAATTTCCTTGCATTGAATTCAAGTTGCTTAATGAATCAATAGTTTTCTCCTTTTTTATTGTTGGATAGGATTCCATGGCATGAGTATATGATATGGTTTGGTTCTGTGTCCCCACCTAAATCTCATCATGTACCTCCCATAATTCCCATGTATTGTGGGGTGGACCCGGAGGAAGATAACTGAATCATGGGGCCAGGTCTTTCCCCTGCTATTCTCCTGATAGCGAATGAGTCTCACAACATCTGACAGTTTTACAAAGGGGCATTTCCCTGTACAGACTCTCTTGTCTCTTGCTGTCACCATCTAAGAGGTGACTTTCGCCTTCTGCCATGATTGTGAGCCCCCCTCAGCCACATGGAACTATGAGTCCAATAACCTCTTTTTTTTTTTTTTAATTGCCCAGTCTCAGCTATGTCTTTACCAGCAGCATGAAGGTAGACTAATATGGTATATGACAATTTGTTTAGCATTCACCTGTTGAAGGACATTTGGGCTGTTTCTAGCTACTGGATATTAATTAATAAAGCTGCTATCAACATTCCTGTACAAGTTTTTGTGTGAAAATACATTTTGATTTCATTAGGACAAAAGTCTAAGGAGGGAAACTGCTAGATCATGTGGCAAGAGTATGCTTAGTTTTATATGAAATTGCCAAGCTATTTTCTGGAATGGCTGTGTAATTAAGCATTCCCATTAGCAATGAATGAGTGATTCAGTTTATTTTCAAACTCAGAAAAAAAGATCGTGGTGATTTCACTATTTTTTAAAAATTATAACTGTTGTGATAAGTGTAGTAATATATCATTATTGGTTTAATTTATATTTCCTAGTGACAAACAATGTTGAACAAATTTTTTTGTTGGTTTGTTTGTTTTGAGACGGAGTCTTGCTCTGTCACCCAGGCTGGAGTGCAGTGGCAAGATCTCAGCTCACTGCAATCTCTGCCTCCCAGGTTCACGCCATTCCTCTGCCTCAGCCTCCTGAGTAGCTGGGACTACAGGCGCCCACCACCACACCCGGCTAATTTTTTTGTACTTTTTTTATTAGAGATGGGGTTTCACCGTGTTAGCCAGGATGGTCTCCATCTCCTGACCTCGTGATCCACCCACCTCGGCCTCCCAAAGTGCAGGGATTAGAAGTGTGAGCCACTGCCCCTGGACAGTGTTAAACAACTTTTCATGCATTTATTGGCTGTCTGTCCTCATCAGTGAAATACATGTTCATGTATCTTTCTAATTGAATTATTTTTACTGTGCATTGTTTCGAGTCCTATATACATTCTAGACTCTGGCCCTTTGTTGAGTATGTTGCCTGCAAATATTTTCTCTCAGTCTCTGCCTGGTCTTTTCTTTCTCTTCATGGGGTAACTCAGAGATAAGTTAAAAAACAAACAAACAAACTGATGAGCTCTAGTTAATCAATGGTCTTCAACCATTATTTCTTCAGACTCACAGACACACTCTGCTTTTTGTATCCATATTGAACTCTTATCATAAGAGCAGTGAAGCAATTCCATCAATATTGATCTGTTCTCAAATTCACTGATTCTGTTTCCTTTCATCTCTAGTCTACATTTATCCTATCTAGCAAGCTATTTTTTCCTCCCTGTGATTGTATTGTTTAGTTCTATAATTTCCATTTGGTTCTCTTTAATAACTGATGGAATTATTTGATATTTTCTATTATGTCATCTGTTTCAAAAGAATTTTTAGTTGCTTTTTGCAATTAAAGCATTTTTGTGCTGATTGCTCCTAAATCCTTGTCAGATAATTGCAACCTCTGATTCTGCCCAGTGTTGTCACTTGATAGTGTTTTCTCATTCAAGTTGATGATTTTCCTGATTCGCGGTATAAAATTCTGTCTTTTGTTAGAAGATTACAAGTCCTCCTGAAGTCTTTATTTTAGCAGGTAACCACCTAGTCTAAGTTTAGCAAGCAGAGCCTGGCCTACTTTTATGGACTGTGGTTCCAATGACAACTTCATCTTTAGAGTCTTTATGGTGTTATTTTGATTGCTTGTTGGGTGCCTTATGATACCACTGGGCTCTCACTGGTCTTTACTGGTACTGCCTGGTGGCCAGAAGATGCTTTCCCAGGCCTGGACTCATAGTGCCTCGATCTAGAAAAGGGAGTCTCCAGCCTTTAGAAAGAGTCTTTCCCTGGCAGTGCCACTCATTGTGACAGATTTTTCTCTCGTGGGCGCAGCCCAGTGTCTGGTGTTTTGGGTTGGGGAGGGGAGTCTCAGGCACACAAGAACAAGCATTAGTTGTGGCAGAATTTTCCTTGCTGCTTCTGCTCAGTTGACCAATGTCTCTCGGTAAAGAAGTGAGTCTCTGACCCACAAGGATGGATGGCTTCCTGGGCCAGCCTGGTTATGATGGCAAGATCCCCCTGCCAGTGCTTCGAGACCCCCTAGGTTTCCCTTAATGTGTGTGCCTGTGTGTGGCAGGGGTGAGGGAGGAGTGGGAAGCAACCATAGTCCTTGTTCACTAGCCTTGTCTGCTTTGGTCATCAGCTGGTGTCACTATCAGTCTCCATTCCTGATACTGCTGGGCTGACCTGGTGTTATTGAAAGGACTCTTATTCAATCTGGCAGAGGAATGAGCCTACCTGATCTGCCTTTTGATGCAAAATTGGGGATGGGGAAGCGGTGGGCCTGGCTTGCTTTGTTCTGTTGAGTGGGCATCAAAAGACCTGTTTCTTTAATCCTGAGACCTCTAACATCTGCCTGTCTTTCAGAGTTCTCTCTCTCTTTTTATTTTTTCTCTTACAACTTCCAGTGTTTGTGGTTGTACGTAGTTGAGAGGATCAAGAATAAACAGGCCTATCCTAACTTATCTGAACCAGAAATAATTTTATCTTCTTTTAAATTACACTAGGACCCCCAAAAAGCACACCTGCTGGTAGTATCCTTAAAAGTGAGAATAATCTTTACATAAAATGTTGGTTTTATGATCACATAAAATAATACTTAAAGTGGTAGCTTTAATTATCATTATCTTTATTATGTTATTATTGTTGTCATTTTATCATTATTATTAATATATTATCAAAAGTTGTTGAAAATAGTCATAGAATTCTAGATCTTTTGACAAAGTGTAATTATAAAACATTAGTATTGGCCAGGCGCGGTGGCTCATGCCTATAATCCCAGCATCTTGAGAGGTCGAGGTGGGCGAATTGCTTGAGGTCAGGAATTCAAGACCAGCCTGGCCAACATGATGAAACCCCGTCTCTACTGAAAATACCAAAATTAGCTGGGTGGGGTGGTGGGCACTTGTATTCTTAGCTACTTGGGACACTGAGGCAGAAGAGTCACTTGAACCCGGGAGGTGGAGGTTGCAGCGAGCCAAAATCGTTCCACTGCACTCCTGCCTCAGCAAGAGAGTAAGACTCCATCTCAATAAAATAAAATAAAATAAAATAAAACAGTAGTATTATATTAAAGTACATACCAAAAGAGTCTAATTTAATGATAACACAACAGGAACAGAGAAGAGCATATAAATCTCACCTATTATCTATTTAACCAATACTAAAAACAACAGTGAAAATTAAAATATTGGAAGTTCCTAAAATTTTGAAATACTCTGAACAACTTAGAGGAAATTTTAGTTTTCATAAAATAATTAAGAAGTAATACTTATATTAATTTTAATATTTATATTCTTCACCTAATTAAAGCTGAATTATGAAATACAACTGTCACTCAAACATTTTAGGTTTATATTTACTGTATTCATATACGTTTTTGTTTCAGAAATGTTTATTGGAAGTAGTATAAATTTCTATGAGGAAAGACTTGAAAAGTTTTATCTGTGACCCCAAGAAGATCACAGTCAATGTGAAGTAGGCTAAAAATGGTCCAAGAGCCCATTTTAGAAAAATAACAGTCTTTGTTCAAAAAATACCTTGAAATCATTAGATATATTACAAGAAGCCTTAAGTATAGAGTCTGGAAAAGACATTGAAACAAAGACACAGCTAGACTCTTCTGCACAAGTCTTCTGCGTATCAGTCAAATATAAAATGAAGAAAAATAAAGATTGAAAAGCTAAAAAAAAATTGTATGCAATTATATTCCAGATATATTAGGTCTTAATTAATGTATTGATGATTTCAATAATAAAATGCCCATTGTTGTCTAAGCAAAAAACAAAACAAAAAAAACAGCTGTGAAAGAGGCAACAGGAAATTTGTAAAAAGAGTAGATCCCAGGGAATGGAGCAGGAAACTGAAGCTTTTAAATAAGGGAGCCAGTAAGATATTTCTGATAATTGGTTAGGCAAAGTGCTTTTAAGAACTGTGTTAACTAACATTCAACTTGAAGTTTTTTATGATGACATGATGTAAACCTTATTCATTATCCTATTCCATCAATGGACTTAACACATAATTTTGGAGGAATGTGAAAGAATTTTCATAGTGTCTAGAATGTAGTGATTAGCAAACAGTGTATATGGAACATTGTGATAACCCACACACTTAAAACAGTTCTTTGAAAATAGTCTTAGCTGAGATAACTGGGAGAAGCATAATATCTCATTTTTTTCCAAGAATTATTTGCAATAATGAAACAGATACTGGGTCCCTTAGAATACAACATTTGGCATTTTGGTCAATTGCATTTGAAATACACTGTGAAAATTGTTCGGTATTACATGGTAATTCCTGCTACATTGGAATCAGGACCAAGATTATTGGACCATGATAAATGACCTTATGTCTGCTTGGAGAAGTCAAGTTTTTATAGGTAATGCTTCAGCTGAAATTGAAAAGTATGTATGACTCTGTCAGGTAGACAAGGAAAAGGCAAAACGTTTCAGAAAGATAAAATGACCTGACAAAGTGTAGAGGCATGAAAGGAATAGGTATATGGAAGCAGGTAGTTTTTGGCATGGCTTGAGTATAAGAGACAGATGGAGAAGAATGAGAAGTTGGAGCTTGGGATGATAGGAACTCTCAATGTCAAGTTAAGCATGATACAAATAAAACTTTATTTTATAGGCAATAGAGAACTGGAGATCCTTAAACACTTTTAAAGAAAGAAGGCATGTGCCCTATCTTAACTGTTGGAAAAGTAAGTCATGCATGTATATAGTATAGTTGGGAGGAAGGTAATGCCAGCAAAAAATAAGAGTAGACTATGAGAGAATTCCATTTAATTGATGATAGGTGTCTAAAGTAGAACAGAATAGAGCCACAGAAGTAGAAGGAATTGGTGGATGTTGAAACATTGCTAATGAGACTAGAAAAAGACTGTCCACAGAGATCTGAGACAATCTGGAAGATGTTGATGGCTTTCACCAATTTCCAAAATAAATACGTAAGACAGTATAAGCTTTGATGAGGTAGGATGAAAAGACTGAATTCAGCTTGAGGACTCTGTGGAATATGTACATTGTCAGTAATCAGGTGATCCAGAACTGTCTAGGAAGGCTGATGTTTTCTATCCAGGAAAAAAGATAAGTGACTAGTTGTCAGCAGGTAGTTGAAGGTTACAGTCTAAATGAGATGACTCAAGTAGATTTGTAAAGTGAAAAGAAAACTGGGAAGAAGATCAAGCTCTGCTGCACACCAAATGCACCAAAATAAGTATTCTTTCCTGGGCTGGAGATTTGGGAAGGTCTAAAACATAAGGGAAGAAGCAGGAGTAGAGAAAAAACAAAAAAAGCGTGTCAATAATCAAAAACTTGATCAATATATCAGAAGTTGCAGAGAAGTCAGGTAAGATAAGGCCTGAAGTGCACCCTTTGGATTAGTGCATGTAAAGACACTGGTGACTTTATAAAAAAATAATTTCAGCGAAATAGTAAGAGCTGGTTCTGGGATGAAGTATGTTGAGCCATCAAGGTACAGGGAGAAGGTAATGGCAGTGGCTGGTTAATTTCCTAAAGAGCATGTCTATGAGTAGAAAAGATAATTTCACTTCAAATAATATCATAAATGAAGAAATTTTTTTTCTGATATTGCTATCTGAGAGCAATTTGAAGTCAGCAGGCAGAGAGAGAGAAAATGAGAGAGGGAGAGAGAGAGAGAGAGAGGAGAGAAGAGAAGCTGAAGGTATCGGAAAGAAAGGAGATACTTAATGCAGTGTGGTGTGGAGAAGATAACAGTAGATGAGGCCATCCTGAAGGTGGCAGTAAAGATCACAAAGTACCCACATTAAGTTTTAAGACAAACTTGTAAAACCAGAAGGAAGAAAGTCAGAACATTTAGATGTATGTATAATTTGATGTTTAAGAGTTTAGGGTCTTTCCACATTCAAGTCTTGATTTTTACTGTGAAATAGAATAAAAGCAATCTCTTGAAGATGAGGAGGCCAAAAATTATCTACTTGAGAAGAGTGATAAAATTTTGAAATAGCCAGGCAGATGGGAAATACATCTGACAAGGGTGGTATTATAGGATTTGTAGAACAAAACTAAAATTAAATATCATAAAATTGAAGTGGCAGAAACCCACAAAATTATACATTTTTTTCCAACAGCTTTCAGAAGATGGGCATAGGACTGATAAATGCAGCTGGCAAAAGTCTACCACATTTGGGCTTTGTATAGCAAGGACATCAGAAGAACAGCATCGTCAGAAGGGAGGGTACAGTGATTATGGTGGAACTGCATTATAAACTCCAGGCTTTTTGGAAAAACCAAGTTCTTAGACAAAAGAAAAGCTAATAGACATTAAAAGAGATAGAAGTCAAGAGAGTATTGATTAGAGTAAGGGCTGACGTGTAAGCATGGTTGGCAGACCCACCCCTAATATTTAAGGTGCCCGGGGCCAGAATGTTATTAGAGCTCCTTCTATTACTTACCTAAATATTTGAAAGTAGTAAATCAAGACAAATTATTAATGCAATGTGATTGATGCTACTTTGACAATTTATCCTTATAAAAGCATGAAAGAGGGAAGTTCCACTTCAATATGTGGTGGTTCAGGAAGAGCCATTCCTTAGACCCTGATGTCCATTCCTCTCATCCCAGCCTCAGCTCCATCCCATGCTGAGGGAGATCTGACCACACGTGTGTCACGCAGGTTCTTGTGCCCAACATCCTTTACAACCTTCTCAAATGGCTTGTGTCTAAGGACGTGGATACCACAAATGGGTCCTCTGAGGAGAAAAGAGCTTCATAAAAAATCTGTGCAGGCTACAGAGGCAGGAACAAGGCCAGTTAAGCCAGGAATTCCAGCATCCTGTTATTCAGCGTATAATCTGAGAAGGAGGTGCAAGGTCTCCAAGTGAGCACTTATACTTGGCCCCACAAACTCTTCACCCCTCAGAAGGGGTGTAGTATAAAAAGGGAAGACTAAGGCCTTGCAAAGAAGACCCTCTTTTGGGGTCCAAGGGGTAACATTGGTAGGATAAGGATTAAGATTATTAATGATTCCAATGTGGAATACCAGGGTTGAACATTCAATAGGTAGGACATTCATGATAACAGAAAGAGATGTAAGACATGTGTGCTTAAGAGATTGAATCATTAAACTCTATATATTTTATTGAATCATTGAAATATACATATATTTGAATCATTGGAAAAAGGTATATATATATGTATATATATGTATATTTATATCAGGTTACGGCACTAAAGAACCTTCATGAAGCTAGGTCTCCAGATTAATCTACTGTCAGATACTCGAGTCTTCAAGGTGAGAACAAGAGTTTGAGTGGAGAGGACCTGGTGAAATGGGAGCAAAAGACTTTGACAGGTGAGGAGAAATGTCGAGGTTCAGTAAAGGGTGATAATGGGCAGGAAGGGATGACACAACCAAAGTACAGAAGAAGTTTGGGTTAAAGCTGACATAGAATCTTTGCAAGAGACTAGGAAAAGGAAGCTGTCACTGCTTTAGAGTCCTGTCATCATCAGGGCATGGGCAAATAAGCATTCATTATTCTAGGGAGAAGAGATGGGTTTCAGTGAGGGAAAAAACCCAGAAGCAAAGAGGATGAGCTCGAGGAGCAGAGAATTGCTAACACACTTTGGTAGAAGCCATGACTACTTCCACATGTATACATATGTAACTAACCTGCACATTGTGCACATATACCCTAAAACTTAAAGTATAATAATAATAAAATAAAAAAAAGACTTGGAAATGAAAAGAATAAGATAAAAAAAAGGAAGCCATGACTACTCTGTCACTTTCATTACCAGTCCCTGCACAGCACTGGAGCAATATGTATACATAACAAACATTGGTTAAGTTTATGAATTATTTGATATTATTTCTATCAGCCAGATCTTCTCAAGGTTGAACAAAATAGCCTTAAAAAATCATAGTTTTTCCAGTCATAGCCGGCTCTAGAAAATTAGTTCATAGGAAGATTGCAGAGCTCTGGAAAAGAGAAGGTGAGTAGTAGAGGTCTTTTTAGTTCTCTTTCAGAATTTTATGTCTATCATAATAATTTGGGTAATGTAAATTTCAATCACCCAGTATTTAAGAAAACGGAAGAAGATAAAATGTGCTATATCCTTTATATATTTTGCAAATAATTATTGTGGAGCTGGTTTTAACTATTGATTTTGTGATTAATAATAATAATAACTGCATTTAGGTTATGAAATAACACAGAGCCCTACTAGGATTTTCATAGTTGAATTTTTTTAATCCAGAAGAATATGACAACAAAATAATTACTGAAGTAACTAAAAAAAATTATTATTGACTTATATTCTCCCTAGCCAAATATCTATAACAATGTTTTTCTAAATGTAAATACTAATATAATAATGAAGTCATAAAATAAATCTTGTGGGTCATAAGCTGATTTTTAAACTTATAACAATGTATCACAGACTTTAAAATGATGTTTAAAGAGAAATTCTAGCATTCATCTACTTATTTATCCACCTGCATGTATTGAGTGCCTGCTCTAAATGCCAAGTGCTCTGCTGTAATTGGAAGTAGAATGCTGAACCTGGTAAGTAAGGATACTCCTTTTACAGAGCTGAAACCTGCAGCATGCAATACTGAGAGGTGAAGGCAGCTGGACTTCCTGGGTGAGTGGGGACTTGGAGAACTTTTCTGTCTAGCTAAAGGTTTGTAAACGCACCAATCAGCAATCTGTAAAAATGCATCCATCTGCGCTCTGTGTCTAGCTAAAGGTTTGTAAACGCTCCAATCAGCACTCTGTAAAAACTGACCAATCAGCGATCTGTAAAACGGACCAGTCAGTGCTCTGTAAAATGGACCAATCAGCAGGACGTGGGCAGGGCCAAATAAGGGAATAAACGCTGGCCACCCGAGCCCACGGAGGCAACCCACTTGGGTGCTACTCCACGCTGTGGAAGTTTTGTTCTTTCCCTCTTCGCAATAAGTCTTGCTGCTGCTCAGTATTTGGGTCTGCGCTACCTTTATGAGCTGTAGCACTCCCCACGAAGGTCTGCAGCTTCACTCCTGAAGCCAGCAACACCACGAACCTACCGGGAGGAACAAACAACTCCAGAGGCACCACCATTAAGAGCTGTTAACACTCACTGCGAAGGTCTCCGGCTTCACTCCTGAAGTCAGTGAGACCTCGAACCCACCCGAAGGAAGAAACTCCAGACAGATCTGAACATCTGAAGGAATAAACTCCGGACACACCATCTTTAAGAACTGTAACACTCACCGCGAGGGGCCGCAGCTGCGTTCTTGAAGTCAGCGAGACCAAGAGCCCACTGGAAGGAACCAATTCCGGACACAGTATGATAACCCCTAGCCACGTGTGGCTACTGAGCTCTTGAAATATGGCTACTCCAAATTGAGACTTGCTGAAAGCATAAGATAGTCAATTTTTCAATGATAGTATGAAAAAAGACAAAGTATTGAATTGATAATTTTATATTGATTACATGTTGGAATAATTATATTTTGGATATATTGGGCTAAATGACACATTAACTCATTTCATCTGTTTCAATTTAAAAAATACTGCTGCTAGAAAATTTTTAAGGAAATGTGTGGCTTCATTTGTGGCTTGCATTATGTTTCTATTGAACGGATAGCACAGGCTTTGGGTCTAAGGGTAAAACAGATAGTTAAGCAAACAATTGCGATATGGTGTACTAAGTACTATGGAAGGGAAATATAAGCTGTCAATGGGAGAAAAACATTACCTAATTTAAAATAGTAAAGAAAAGCTTTTCAAGAGGTGGAATGTTTAAATATATACTTAAATAATGGGTAAGAATGGGCCAGAAAAAAAAGCTAGGGTAGTATATACTCAAAAGTAGAAAAACAAGAATCAAGAAGCAAAACATCTGCATTTGATAAACTAAAAGAAATATAATGGCTCACACCTGTAATCTCAACATTTTGGGAGGCCAGGGCGGGTGGATCACGAGGTCAGGAATTCGAGGCCAGCCTGGCCAACATGGTGAATCCCCGTCTCTACTAAAAAAAATACAAAAACTAGCCAGGCATGGTGGCGGGCACCTGCAATCCCAGCTACTTGGGAGGCTGAGGCAGGAGAATCGCTTGAAACAGAAAGGCAGAGGTTGCAGTGAGTCAAGATCACGCCACTGCACTGCAGCCTGGGCAACAAGAGCGAAACTCCATCTCAGAAAAGAAAAAAAAAAAAATTATACACACACACACACACACACACACACACACATATATATATATATATATATATATATATATATATATATATATATATATAATGTAGAGAATAATGAATGAGAGTGGTAGGGACCAGTGAGGCAAGAAAGGGTTGGAGCATCAACGATTTTTAGAAGCACTGTAAGAAGACTGGTTTTTATAGTAAGATCAATGAAAAGTCACTGAAGGATTCTAATCAGGTTAAGATATTACCAGATTTCCTTCTTTGAAAGATCATTCTGGCAGTAAAACAGAAAATGGATTAGAGGAAAACAACACTGATCTTTTCGAAGGTACTGAGCATGAGGATGAAAAACATGCCTTTTGTCTTTGTTATTGGTTGAAGGTGGAGGGCAAGGGAGGCAGAGGGAGCAGGAGCAAACCTTTAGAGAAAGCGTTTTTTGTGGTTTCTTCAAGAAGTGGGAGAGAGAGTAAACGGGTTTAGGCTTGGCTAGTTGAATGATTTCAGTGGGCTCTGAATTTCATGGCTGTCTCTATTTGTCTGTTATTAGGCCCTGGAGTGATAGGGCAGCAGAATATCTACTCTGAACTAAGAGCATAACAAAGGAGGTGGAAGAGGCGCCAGGATAGCTCCCATATTTGGAGTGTTATCATTCAAGTACACACTGGCACCAGGGTCCCTGAGGCTTGCTCATTGAGGTTGTCAACACTGCAAGAAGGAGTTTTTGTGGCAGAACAGACATTGATTGGAGATGCTGGCAAGGTAGATAAGTAATGAGTCTGGGGCTCTGTAGAGATATTCAGGCAGGGGACAAAATTATACATGAGCTTTTAATGAGTAAATAGTTTTGAGAACATATATATACACATATGGTTTATGTGTATATATATAATTTATATATAATTATAATTATAACCATACAATATTATATATAATTATAATATTTATGCATAAATATTATATAATTAATAATACATAATATATTATTATTTATATATTATGTATTATAATTATATATAAAAGTATGTATTATAATTATATAAAATTATATATTTATAATTATATAAAATTATATATTTATAACATTAAATACTTATGTATATATCAATAATATGTGATGAAATATTAATATATTGTGTATTAATATATTAGTATATAAATAATATATAATATATTGTTATCAATATATTAATATATAAATAATATATAATATATTGTTATCAATATATTAATATATAAATAATATATAATATATTGTTATCAATATATTAATATATAAATAATATATTGTTATCAATATATTAATATATAAATAATATATTGTTATCAATACATTAATATATGCTAATAATATAACAATATATTATCAATAATATATAAAATATAATAATTATATGTCTGATGATTGTATATATATTGTATATGTATACATACAAGCCATAACTGTTCTCGACTACTCATTGAAAGCTCATGCATAACTATTTTATATATACATAAATATAATTATATATATAATTGTCTAAGAAATGTGGAAAAAAATGAAAGAAAATAAGTCTTAGCCCAAATCTCAAGAATAATTTTAGAATTTTAGATGTTGTTTCTTGATACTATCAGAGCCAATGCTTGTTTTTTTTTTCGTATTAAACATATTGAAATGTTTTCCTTTACTATATAAAACTTAAATACATGGTTAATATAACCAACAAACCTACATAAGGTAACTTTCAAATGTCCCACCTGGCATACACTTAAGTAATAAAACTTTAAACAATTATCTAATTATAGAATCCAACTGATTTGTATATACTGCACATATACATTATGTTTTTTTGCATAGTTTTAAGATAAATGGAATTTTCCAGGTAGAGAAACTTGACTGGGTATCACCATACCTTCTCATGCCTGTCATTCCAGCACTTTGGGAGGCTGAGGCAGGAGGATTGCTTGAGGCCAGGAATCCAAGACCAATCTGAGCAACATACTGAGAGCGTGTCTCTACAGAAAACATAATAGTAAACAAAAGTTGTGTGGCAACTTGAGGAAAATTATTTAATTCAAAACTTCAATATGTGTAGTTCCATCAGTTTGGAAAATCATCCCACCAGTGGCAACACTGTTAGTGGCACTGAATCGCTAACACACAGCTCTATTGGTCTGGTTGATAGGTCTGCGTTCACTGTGATTCTACATAGAAGGGGAAAATCTGGCTTCCCCATTATTTATTTGCTGTGTGTAGACTTTTCCTAGCATTTGCATGTGTGTGTGTGTGTGTGTGTGTGTGTGTGTGTGTATTTTTAGACGGAGTCTCAGTCTGTAGCCCAGGCTGGAGTGCAGTGGGGCGATCTCAGCTCACTGCAACCTGTGCCTCCCAGGTTCAAGTGATTCTCCTGCCTCAGCCTCCCAACTAGCTGGTACTACAGGCGTGTGCCACCACGTTGAGCTAATTTTTTGTATTTTTAGTAGAGACAGAGTTTCACCGTGTTGGCCAGGATGGTCTCAATCTCCTGACCTCATGATCCACCTGCCTTGGCATGAGCCACCACTCCCGGGTACCTTTGCATATCAAAAGATACATTTCATTATAGACTATTTCTCTTTAATTCATTTCCTTTCTGCAGTACTACCCTTGTTTTGCAGGATGTCTAGTTTCCCCCAACCCACTCTCTCAGTGAATGCTGGTAGTCCGACACTATAATTCTTATAATACGTAAATGTACTCCCAACAATTTTCAAAAGCCTCTGCAGGGAGATATCCAACTACTAATTTAGAGAATGTATAGATCTTTTAAGGAGTATTTTTAAATGTAGATTTCATTATTACTCAGGCAGGGTGAAGCCAAGAGACCAGAAGATGATGGTCATTGAAAAGAGATTTTGTTACAGTTCAAGAGAAGCAAGCACAACATGCCATGCCTTCATCTTCTGCTATGATTGTAAGCTTCCTGAGGCCCTCACCAGAAGTGGATGATGGCTTTACCCTTCTTGTACAGTTTGCAGAATGTGAACAAAAGAAACTTCTTTTCTTCATAAATTACCCAGTCTCAGGTATTCCTTTAGAACAAGGCAAAACAGATTGGCCCGGCGTGGTGACTCACGCCTGTAATCCCAGCACTTTGGAAGGCCAAGGCGGGAGGATCACGAGGTCAGGAGATCAGGACCATCCTGGCTAACACAGTGAAACCCCATCTCTACTAAAAATACAAAAAATTAGCTGGATGTGGTGGCATGCGCCTGTAATCCCAGCACTGGGGAGGCTTAGGAGAATCACTTGAACCCGGGAGGCAGAGGTTGCAGTGAGCCAAGATCGTGCCACCGCACTCCAGCCTGGACAACAGAGTAAGATTCTGTCTCAAAAACAAAACAAAACAAAAAAAACAATGCAAAACAGACTAACACAGCATTAGAATAAAAAGACAGCATTAGAATAAAAAGACATTGTTAATACAAAGAGACGGCAAACAGAAGGCCGGAAATGTGGGACTAAAACCAGGAGGACTTGGTCTCCTGGAAGACAAAAGAGGAGATCTTTTCAAGGAATGAGAACCAACACTGTTAGGTGATTTTTAGGGTCAAATACGATAAAGGCTTGAGATGGTTAAACTAAACATAACAACGGGCAGATAATTTTAACCTGATATCAGTATGAGTTGAATTATGAAGAGGAAATCTGATTTCTGAGGTCAGAGAAAAGAGGAAATAGAAACAGTGGGCATGTGCTCTTTTACCCTGAGAATTCTACCTATGCCAGCGAGGGAGGAACTTGTTAGCCAGAACAAACTGCCATGTCCAGAAAAGATTTTTTTAAAATTTGTTCATTTTATTTTTAGTTCAGCTAGAAGGCAAAAATTAAGCATGTGTAAAAGCTTACAGGAAGGAAGACGTTTGTGGAGAGTGGTAGGTTAAATATACAGACAGGAAATAATCGGTTTTCTTCAGAAAATGTGGAAGGCAAGCAATGAAGGGCACACATTTTTTTTTAAGTGAGCTTTCTTCAGTTCCAGGGGAAAATGATTTTATTCTAACAGAAAACAAGAAAAAAACAGATCAGATGAAGGTTCATAAAAATTTGTAACTTTGAGGGCGGGAGACTGAGGGAGTGGTCTTCTGGCAGGTTTTATTTTATTCCTTTTTTCCCCTAAGAATTAGATAAACTCACCAGATAAGAATAAGGTAGGTGAAAAAAGGATCCTAAATTTAAGAAGAATTTAGGAAGTTAGAAATAGCTGTGTGGAGACTGAGAGAGACAGCCAATTAGAGAAATAAATCCCCAAAAGGGTGGAGAGCATCTAAAGAATGTAGTAGGTATATTTAAAATTTTATTACAAGCTTTTTCTGCTTCTTAAAGGATAAAAAAAACAAGTGTACTGAGAATATATCATTTCAAATGAAACAGCATATAAAAGATTTTCATAATAACTGTAAAAAAGATGATATAGTTTTACAGGATTAGGCATCAGTAATGAAGAAGAATATAGGCCAAATCTGAAAGTCATGTCCTCAGGATGAATCTTAAACACTTACAATGTATGTAACTCATTCACATCAAACCCAAGAAGTTAGAAACTGCTTTGAAACAGCACGTCATATAACTAGAATTATGGTTTTTCAATTACAGGGGTTGATTCTTATATTCAATTTTAGTTGTCATGGTGGATTGTTCTCATAGCATATGTAAAAAGGAAAAGAAAATGAATATCCACACCAAATTTGTAGCAGTTGAATTACAATAAGTTTGATGAATTCTGCACAATATTAACCAAAGAATTGTGTTATGTTTGCAAAAGGCTTACACATTTGCATAAACTGACAGGAACAAAGAGACTACCTCTTTATGCATATCCCTATTTTCCTTTACCGATGTTCACATTGAGCAAGGGAATGCAAGCCCAGGGCTCGAAGGAAGGAAGGGCATTATGATAGGTTTTTAAAATAACAACTGCCTCTTTCAGCAGTTATTTTTCTTTAAGGAGCCAAAAACTAAAATTTAAACCTTCATTCTGTCCCAAGCACAACTGAGGAACTTGCCATCACAAATTGAAATCAACAATCATTTAGACACCTGTTCAGTGCTGTGGAGCCACAAAGATGGCAAACCACAAAGAAGCAAATTATGAAATTCTGGAGACAGCAAAGTATATAGACATTATCCCTGAAGAATGCGGGGTTTGGGAGTTCTGACCTCCATGCAGTCAAAGATCCACGTATAACTTTGACTTCGCAAAAATTTAACTACTAATAACCTACTGTTGACCAGAAGCCTTAATGATAACATAAACAGTTGATTAACAAAATGTTTTGTATGTGTTATATAGTGTATTATTACAATAAAGTAAGCTAGAGAACTGAACATGTTATTAAGAAAATCATAAGGAAGAGGAAGTATATTTACTATTTATTATGTGGAAATGGATCATCATAAAAGGTCTTCATCCTGGTCATCTTAACATTGAGTAGAGTAAGGAGGAGGAAGAGAAGAGGCTGATCTTACTGGCTCAGGGGTGGCAGAGGTAGAAGAAAATCCACATATACGCTGACCTTCAGAGTTAAAACCCATATTGTTCAAGGGTCAACTGTATAACTGACAACTACAACCATAACTAAGAATTATAAGTTAGTGATTAAAAAGGTGAGCTTCAGAATTAGGTATAGCTAGTTGGTGTTACCCACTATAAACTGTGTGACAATGGGTAAGATACTTATTCATCCTAAATCTCAGGTTTGCTTGTCTGTAAAATGAGCAGGATAACATTCACTTCCATAAGATAGGGTACCAGTAAGTGAAGTAAGTATTAAAGTGCCTCTTATGATATCCTTCACATATTAGCCATTAACAAATAGAAACTGAAGCAATACATAAGAGTGTTGAAGACATTAATTCAGTCTAAATGCAGTGGGGTGCAGAAAGGAAGGGTGTTTCCTTTCCCAGATCCCAATGCTAGCTAAGGCTAAGTACAAAATCTGTATCATGGGCTAGGCATGGTGTGGCTCACGCCTGTAATACCAGCACTTTGGGAGGCCAAGGCGGGTGGATCACGAGGTCAGGAGATCGAAACCATCCTGGCTAACACGGTGAAAACCCATCTCTACTAAAAATACAAAAAATTAGCCAGGTGTGGTGGTGGGCGCCTGTAGCCCCAGACGCTTGGGAGGCTGAGGCAAGAGAATTGCTTGAACCCAGGAGGCAGAGGTTGCAGTGAGTGGAGATCGCACCACTGCACTCCAGCCTGGGTGACAGAACGAGACTCCGTCTCAAAAAAAAATAAAATAAATCTGAATTATGTCCAATCAAAATACACACACACACACACACACACACACACACACACACACACACACTCCCTCTCTCTCTCTCTCTCTCTCTTCCAAAAACTCAGTTTTAAAGTTGGTGTCGGCTTTACCACATTGAAAAATAAATTCCCTGATGCAGGTCACCTCCCCTGATAAAGGCTTTTTTTTCATTTTGGGAGCTACATATGTACAATTTTTCTATCAGAAAATCCCCCACCTTCAAACATCTAAATTACATCAGCTATAATCTGATCTCTCCTAATTTACTTTAACAGCAACAAAAACCATATTTCTGTCATCAGTGCTTATATCTCTGCCATGACAAATACCAGTAGAAAAAAATAATAGTCTCTTGGATTTAGCCTCAAACTTACAACACATCTCTTTGGGTTCATGACCTAATACAAAACTTGTGAATATAAATTTACTCACAAACACATCTATTACCTCAACAGTCTATCCCTTCCAAATGAACCTGTACAAGTTAAAAACACAAAATGGAAATATATACATATATATCTATCTATCTATATATCTATCTATCTATCTCTCTCTCTCTCTCTATATATATATATATATAGAACTCCAACTATTCCCTTTCTGCTGTGTACTGACAGTTTGTGTCTCATCAAAATTCAAATGTTGAAGCCCTGATTCCCAACATGATGGTATTAGAGAGTGGGGCCTGTGGGAAATACTTAAGTCATGAGAGTGGAACCCTATTGATGGGATCAGTTCCCCCTAACAAGAGATGCCAGAGAGCTTGTTTCCATGTTCTCTGCCCTCTGTCATATGAGGATACAATCAGAAGATTGCTATCTGCAAACTAGGAAGAGTGCTCTCCTTAGACATTTGATTTGCTGGCACCTTAATCTTAGCCTTTTCAGCCTCCAGACCTGTGAGAAACCACTGTTTGTGGTTTAAGCCATCCAGTCTAGGGCAACAGAGACCTCCTTCTATCCTAACTGAGCAATTAGACTTAATAATCTTGAAACTCACTCACTACGTGACTAATGTACCTTGTCTATTCAGTGTATTTCCCATTAGATTTGTTCATATCACTGTCCCCTCTTTAAGTATTATGAACCTAAGAAAAAAATATTTTTGTATGGAAATACAAACTGTGTGATTTATGAAATTATATTTTGACATTTTCCTTATTGTAATCATACAAAACAGTATATACCTAATGTGTGAACCGGCTGTAACTGGGTAGTTAAGCAGGTCACACATAAAAAATAGTAAAAATAGCTCCTAAATCCAAATTTTCAGAGAGAAGGGAGACCACATAATTGCATTCAAATGAAAGTTTAAATGGACATTTTAGTGTGTTGTTCATGAATTTTGGTTACAAGGAGCAATGTAGACACACATTGATTCTTTAAAAGATGGAACCATAGAGGATAAGAAAGAAGGCCGTGGAACACAATGGTAACCCACTCATTTCAAATAGGTGATGGAAAGATGAATTATTCATTTAATAGTGTTAGAAGAATTGGAAAGCCATCTGGAAGAAAATCATTTTGTGTTTTAATTTGCACCAAAATAATTTTAGATTGACAAGTTATCTATATTATATTTGCAAAAAAAAGGAGAAATCTTTAAAGTACAAGAACAAAGATTGAGGATTATTTATTAAAATGTCAGAGTAGGTAGCACTTCAAAAAGCAAAATTAAAAGCTGTAAAAAAAAAGACTACACTTAAATAATTTTATCACAAAGGCAAAAGACCAACAACAAATGGGGTAAAATATTTTTACCTAATATATCAAAAAGACTTGTAGTTTATTTAACACATAAAGAACACCTTCATACAAATAACGAAATCTTAATATATATACACAGACAGTTCATCAAAAATAAAATGCAAATTTTTAAAAAAATACGTATAATTTCACATATGTGTTTCAAATAAAATTGATTTTTACCTCGTACATTGCAAACATCAGAAATAGTTTGATAATTTTTGAGCAGTTGTGGAGAGTCGGGGCGTAGGTATGTAGATAGGGAAAATAGAAATTTCTGTAAGCTGCTGAAGATAATGTAAATTGGCTTGACCACTGTGAGAAGCAATTTGACAATATTTGCCTGGGAATTCAATGCAATGTTATACCCTCATCTATATTATAATATAATCTTACACCCTCATCTATATTTTGAAAAATGACATTCTGTTATTTTTGTAGTATCTCTCATGGCTGTTACTAGTGGGGATGAGATGTCACAGAGACTCTTTGCTTACATTTCTGACCCTATCATCTACACCTGCTCAGAAAACATTTGAAAATCCGCTGTCTTTGGAGTCAGAAAATATGTTTAATTTCTAGAACAAGTAAATAATACTCTCTTCACTTTATTTTTTTCATCTTAAAATTTAGAACATTACAATTTTTCACATTACTGCTGTATTAAGATAAAATATATAAATTGGTATGTAGTATTCTTCATATTTACCTAATAATTCATTTTTTATTCATTCATTCACCAAAGCATTTTCAACATGAAGATCCAGCTAATGCTCATTATCATTCGTCATGAAATAGAATAATCTCTACACTTGAAATAAAAGAATTCAATACAAAATCTTAAATATTACTTCTCAATTTCATAATGTATGACTGTACTAGAGTTCCTAAAGGTTGGCATTCAGGATTTCATGCAATGATAGCAATGTAGTAGAGTTTTTATTATAATCCCTGAGACGTTATTGGCATTTTGTAGGCAGGAGCCAGAGGTGCTGATTTTCATTCAGTGTGTGGGGTCAGAACCAACCAATGAAGATTTATTCCATTGAACGTGCTAATAGTACACATGTTGAAACATGCCTATAGACAGACCATTTCAACTGAAAAATGTAAAAGATATATATTATCCAGAGATGTTAAGGAATTTGTCCAGGTCACCTACTGAGTCAATTGCGTACTCCAAGATGAGAATCTGATGTTCTTGTCCAGCTCATGAATGTTCAAAAAAACTGTTTTATTAATCGTTTTCCTCCCTCCCTCCCTCCCTCTCTCCCTCCCTCCCTCCCTTCCTTCTTTCCTTCCTTCCTTCCTTCTTTCCTTCCTTCCTTCCTTCCTCTTTCCTTCTTTCCTTCCCTCTTTCCCTATCTCTCTGCTTTCCTGTCTCATTTTTAACTCCTCAATTTCTTATTTTCTTTCATTTTTTTCTTCCTTCTTCTCTCGAATTTCAAATTTATATCGTACAAAAACACAAAAACACTTTTCTTTCATTTAGCAAACATAAAAGATACCTTTCATTTATTTAGAAAGAAAGAAATGAGGAGCCAGTCCCGGTAGCTCATGCCAGTAATCCCAGCACTGTGGGAAGTCGAAGCAGACGGATCACGAGGTCAAGAGATGGAGAACATCCTGGCCAACATAGTGAAACCCTGTCTCTACTAAAAATACAAAAATTAGCAGGGCATGGTGGTGCGTGCCTGTAATCCCAGCTACTTGGGAGGCTGAGGCAGGAGAATCACTTGAACCCAGGAGGCGCAGGTTGCAGTGAGCCAAGATCATGCCATTGCACTCCAACCTGGTGACAGAGCTGGACTCTGTCTTGAAAAAAAAAAATATATATATATATAGAAACAAAGGAATGAGTTGCACACAGTGGCTCATGCCTGTAATTCCAGCACTTTGGGAGGCTGAGGCGGGTGGATCACTTGACGTCAGGAGTTCTAGACCAGCCTGGCCAACATAGTGAAACCCCGTCTCTACTAAAAATACAAAAATTAGCCAGGAGTGGTGGCACATGCCTGTAGTCCCAGCTACTCAGGAGGCCGAGGCAGGAGAATTGCTTGAACCTGGGAGGCGGAGGTTGCAGTGAGCTGAGATTGTACTACTACACTCTAGCCTGGTCCACAGAGCAAGACTCCATCTCAAAAGAAAAAAAAAAAAGAAATGAAAGGTTTCTCTTATGTTTGCTAAATGTAATTTCTGTTACTCTCACTACAATTGACTGCCATACAAACCAATTGTCTTAGTATCAAAAGACAGACAATTGGTTTGTATGGTAGTCAACTGCAGTGATAGTAACAGAAATGAAAGAAATTGCTCTGAGAGGCTGATTGTAGTCCTGTACTTCACCTTTTCCAATCTTCTGCTTCCTCACAGGTTTATCTCTCCATCCTCCTAAATTCAGTTGCTTATTCCCCAGAATACATGATAGGACATCTGTGGTGGCTTCTTCTGAGATTTATTTAGCCAGACTTTCATTAAAATAGCAACTGAATTGACTCAATAAAATGTTGCTTATCTTAATAAAGCTCTTTAGAGCTTTGCAAATTTGCATTTAATACTCTTTAGTGTCATTATGGCATTAATAATCTGTGCCCAAAGAGCAATAAAAAAAAACTTTATACTTTGTATTTAATAGAGGTAGCTTCATAACCCTTCATTTTCACGCAACTTGGGCTTTTAAATTACCAGACAGAAAAAGGCAGAATATTCATATGCAAAATGTGGTCAAGTCTCAACGATAATACTACTTAGGCTGAATGAATCTGAGGCTTCTAGGATATCAGCCTCCTTATATTACCCAATTGAAGAAAATAATCCATATCCATTTTCGCAAGCTTGTAACATGCACATCAACATCTCTTTAAGAAGAAATTGCTTTAGAGTCTCTTGAAATATTCTCATTGCTCTTAAGAATGAGATAGGAAGAGAGCAAAGAGAAGTAGGGATGAAGCTGTAAGTAAATGAGATGATATATTGGCTGATGCTTTAAGATAAGTCTTTCAAACCCATATGCTTAAATAAATTATTAAATGGAATAAGAAAATGTTATGACTGACTTTGGCACCTTGCTCCCATCTCTTTACATCTAGTTTCTCCTGGCAGATTCTATTGGCATTTGTAGCATAAGTGAAAATGAAAGAAATATTGAGAAATATTTCAAATCTAGATTTCAAATAGCCACAGTTTGGTGACAAAACTCTCTCTTTGACCCAGCTGTAGCCAGGCTCCTCTAAGCACACTTACAGAGTAGGCCTTGACCTTAGCCGCCTATCCTTGTCTGATATGCATAGTCCAGTCTTAGCAAGGTTCTCCTTAGTTTAGAAAGAATCCCTGACCTCTGATACCGGATGACTCTCCATATCTGATCAGGTTTCTCATCTGCCATCTTTGTTGTCTATGTCTTTGGCCTGCCCTTCAGCAAGAATCCAATTAAGTTGGTTTAGCAAGAATTCCTCTATCTTTGATGCCTCCTCTTAGCAACTTTCCATCCACTGACCTTCTCACTCTCCTCTTTAGCTATAAATATCCAGCTATCTTTACTACAGTCAAAGTTGACCCCCATTTCTTTCCCCGATAGCAGTAGTCTTGAATAAACCCTTCTTTACTGTTTTAATTACTGTCTGAATAATTTTTGGCTTCCCCATTTCCAGAAGCAACTGTGTTAAGGTAAATATGTAGTTATTTAGATGTACTGAGCAGACCAATATGGTGGCCAAGAACGCTGATGCAGGATGTCTTATATATGCACAGTCTTAAAGTTGTTTTACAGTGTAGCCAAAAAACAATTCCAGGAAATATTTGTTACTTTCCTGGGCTGTAGAATACAGTATAGTGGGAAAGTCCTTTACATCGCCTAGAGTTTAAAGTCCATTTAGATGAAAATCAAGGTGTGTGTTTAGAAACAGGAGGGAATGCTTAGAAAGCTCCAGAAATGACACAACCCCCAGACTCTGCATTTGTTAAGTGTGTCATGTATGTTGCAACACAGGTTTTCCCTGGACTGCACTTGAAACAGCCACCATCTCAGGTTTGCTATGAGATCAAGGTGGATTTTTCCAAATGAAAGATGTCTAATGAAAATGGAGATAAACCCTTGTAGCCACACTTCTTAACACCTACAGAATACCATCTCCAGCAAATCAACCAGAAGCATCTGCCAGTAAAACAACAGAGACGTGAGAAAAACAAAAAAAGACTCAAAAAACAAATTTGAAGGCAAATACCTCAAATTTGGACCAGGACAATAAAAGAACATGCTTTTTACATGCAAAAAAAATAAATAAAAATAAGGCCAATGTACATGGAGATGTGCACAGCAAGGGTGTGAGCTGAAGGAAAACAATCTTGACATTAAGCAGGAGTGTGAGTGAAGAACACGTCTATGGACTGACTATAAGGCAGCAAAGGCTGAAACAGGTTCAAGTTCCCACTGTGGGAGAGCTCCCTGACAGAGGAAAGGCAGTTTCTGGTGTTCCACGGAAGAAGGAAGAAAACAAAACCCTCGTTGAAGCAGGATGGCAGGAGCCAGTGACGAAAATCAGAATAACTTGCAGCAATATTTTTTTTCTTTTTCCTTTTTTAAAATAGCCGCTCTAAAGCAACTTTTCTGACAAGCAGTGTACGGAAAGGCATAGAAGAGGATTAAATATTTTCTAGACCAGTATCAATTCAGTTAGATACAAGTTGAGAAAAATATGATGCTTTGACCCACATGGTAATGTTTATTTTGCACTATTAATTTTTGCACTATTAAAGCATTTACTTATATTGTAATACTTGGCGACAAAACTCTCTCTTTGACCCAGCTGTAGCCAGGCTCCTCTAAGCACACTTACAGAGTAGGCCTTGACCTTAGCCGCCCATCCTTGCCTGATGTGCATAGTCCAGTCTTAGCAAGAGTTCTCCTTAGTTTAGAAAGAATCCCTGACCTCTGATACCGGATGACTCTCCATATCTGATCAGGTTTCTCATCTCCCATCTTTGTTTTCTGTGTCTTTGGCCTGCCCTTCAGCAAGAATCCAATTAAGTTGGTTTAGCAAGAATTCCTCTATCTTTGATGCCTCCTCTTAGCAACTTTCCAACCACCGACCTTCTCACTCTCCTCTTTAGCTATAAGTCTCCAGCTATCTTTGCTACAGTCAAAGTTGACCCCCATTTCTTTCCCCGATAGCAGTAGTCTTGAATAAACCCTTCTTTACTGTTTTAATTACTGTCTGAATAAATTTTGTCTTTAACATTGACCCTATTTATATTTCTAGTGATGTGTTGAAAAAGGACCTCAAAATGCCTGCCTGGCAGGATTTCAGAATTGTCATTTGCAAATGTGCAAATCCCATTTTCCGCATTCTTATTTGTTTTTTGTTGTTGTTTGTTTGTTTTGTTTTGAGACAGAGTCTCACCCTGTCACCCAGCAGGAGTGCAATGGCACAATTTCTGCTCACTGCAACCTCTGCCTCCTGGGTTCAAGGGATTCTCCTGCCTCAGCTTCAACAGTAGCTGGGATTAGAGGCATGCGCCACCACACCCAACTAATTTTTTGTATCTTTAGTAGAGACGGGATTTCACCATGTTGACCAGGCTGGTGTTGAACTCCTGACCTCGTGATCCGACCACTTTAGCCTCCAAAGAGCCGAGATTACAGGCGCGAACCACCGCGCCTGGCCCCATTTTCCTCATTCTTAATGAGACTGTTTATTGCAGTTGTGATGACTCTTTTCTATATGTGTATACTAGGCATGTGAGGGTAGAAGGTGGTGAGGGGGATATGGCTAGAGAGAAAATACAACCTTTTTATTTGTTGGCTCCACAGAATAAAATAAGTTGTGTGGAGACTACCATAATACCCTAGATTTAGACCCTAGTGCTGTAACTGAATTGGGTTTTTCTTGGGGGGTGAAGGGAGGTGAATAGAAAGGAATTTGCTTTTCACATGTAAAGGAGACTACATTGAACATTTGAGACCAGAAGACTAGACTTTTGGTAGTCTACACAGATTGCATTTTGGGTGTAAATTCCGAATTCCCATTGCTGGGGAATAATTGTACTTTTCTCCTTGCTGGCCCCAGTTCTGGCTGTATGTCTTGTTTTGCCTGGGGAATGGTGAGCAAAAATGATATGTACCACCTCTGCCAGATGGTGAAGAGCCAGTATGTAGCTTGCCATGACTTTCCTTCGCTGGCTATAGTGTATGGAAGGAGGTATATTGATGGAGCTCAGGGCACACTGCTCCAAATTACAGCACCTTGGCATTTAAGAAAACAGCAGAAGCAGGAAGGTTACTTTCACTTTTCTTCCCTGAAGGAGGGCATAAGCTTAGGAAAGATTTTCTGACATTCCCCTAAAGAGTGCCATGAGACCCTTATGCCAAAGGGCTTTCCCTATACCGGGAGGAAAGGAACATCCTTATCTATGAAGTCACAGGATCAAAGAGAAGAATCTAAACAAACAGGCCACTTCATAAACCTAGCATAAAAATAAGCAAATTTAACTTTTTCTTCTGGTCTTCATTTCCTTAGGGAGGCTTCCATGTCATACAAAACTTATATTAAATAAATGTATATGCTTGTATCCTGTCAATCTTGTCTTTTGCTGAAGAAGTCTCGGCCATGAAACTAGCATGAATGAGAAAAATATATTTTTCTTCCCCTAGATTATCAAAGTTAGATGTCTATCAATAATATCTCTGAACAACAATGATAAGCAGAGGGCCTTGCTGGACCTAGTTAAACATGCTTCACTTGCAAAGAATAAACCTTGTCTTATAAACCAATTGGATTTGGGGGTTGTTTGTAATGCAACAAAATCTCTTACATCCTATATGATCCAGAAAGAAAATATAGATAATTCACCATCAAATAGAATGCCTTAGAGGTTTGAGAAAAGATAATCAGAGTATAAAATGACAGTAAATATAAAATAAATGTACATAGCCTACTCCTTAATCTTTTTGTTCAATATCCAAACCTTTCCTCATAATATTGGTGTGTGGATAAATTTAAAAAAGAATACCATTCAAAACTGACAGCTTTTCAGGATCATGCTATCCTAGCATCAGGTCGTCTGGACTTTAGAGACCAAAATATTAATAATGGAATTCTGGATATCAGATAATTCTAATCAGTGAATTAGTGATGAAGACAGTGAATTAATCACGAAAAATATTCAATCAATGTCATTAGAGTTTAGGTTGAGAGGTAAAAAGTACTTAAAAGAGAATGCCAGAGTTGAAATGGAGCAAGTTAATTAATAAATAATAATGATACATCAATAAATAGGAATCCCCAATGCCAATCTTTCTCATGGTAAGAATGGTCAAGATCCATGGGTCTATAATATGTGTGGCCAGAACATCATGGAGAGTTCTTGCTGAAGGTTGTGCAAAAGATTATTGGGCCTTATGTGGAGGTCTCCTATTAATAATTTTAGGAAATGTCACAAGTACTGGAAGACAACATCCAAATATTCATTACATTGAGCTTAAGAACTCTCACTTTTTTTTTTTTTTTTTTTTTTTTTTTGAGATAGAGTCTCACTCTGTCTCCAAGGCTGGGGTGCAGTGGCGCGATCTCAGCTCAGTGCAACCTCCGCCTCCCGGGTTCAAGTGATTCCCCTGCCTCAGCCTCCCAAGTAGCTGGGACTACAGGCGCACACCAGCACACCTGGCACCTGGCTAATTTTTGGTATTTTAGTAGAGATGGGGTTTCACCATGTTGGCCAGGATGGTCTAGATCTCCTGACTTTGTGATCTGCCCACCTTGGCCTCCCAAAGTGCTGGGATTTACAGGCATGAGCCACCGCACCTGGCCAAGAACTCTCACTTTTACATAACAGAAAGTTTTACTCTCTGCATCCAAGGGAGGACAGTTATCTGCTCTTGAGGCCGAGAGAGTAAAGAAAAGAAAGTAACATGAGCAAGTCTAACTCTTCATGCAATTGAGCATAGCAAAAATAACATGTTTGGGTGCTTAAAAGCCCTGATTTTGAATTCATGCTCCAAAACTGTCAACAAATATGCTGAGCTTTACAAAAAAAAAAAAAAAAAAGCTATTCAAGATCCCTTCTTTGAAAATTTAGAAATGCTTTATGCTTCTTTTGTAACTAGTTAAGACACGCTTGCGTATTATTTTGTTATAGTTTCTATTTTCTGAGATTACATTTAAAAAAATAGTGTGAAGGAAGGGTGTGCATCCTTGATAGAACAGTAGATGTAAAGATGCATTCAATTCCTGAGTAGCTATGGAAAAAAACCCAGGCATGTACTTGTCAAGGCAAGAGTTCTAAAGTATTTTGTTTTATTTACCCAATCTCTTAAAACTAAGAAGTAATTGTCTTTTAGGAAATACTTTTATTCTTCAATTAAATAACAATAATAGCTGTATGGAGACAGAAGCAACATTTCGTCATTGAGATTAAGAGTTGCATATAGGGTATTTAGTTTGTTTCCACACAATTCAAGTGAAGTCTGTGAATATGTCTTGGTGTAGGCAAAATGATTTTTCTGTTGAAATAAAGGCTTTTCTTCTCTGATGAACATAGATTTGTGCAGAGCCAGGTACCTGCAGATTCCCAGTTACATAATGAAAATGTGAGTGAAAGGCAGGCTGGTGTTCTGGCTTTTGTTTCATTCCCTGAACTAAATATATCTCTGAAATTATCAACATCTATTTGTACTTATATAATAAAAAATAAAAATTATGCTCTTCTCACCTTCTCAGAAACTAGAGTGATTGTAATTCATAGTACATATAAATGCATAGTACTGTGTACACATGTAATATATATAAAAAGCTGAAACGTACAAAAGATCTTCATCTGTCTCGCTTATACTCACCTGAAATTGAGCTAAAATTAAGGCAAAAGATTGATACAAATATCTATTCACAAAGGCTTGAGTTTTTATAAAAGTTTCAATTCCACTCACTGAAATAGTTTATCTATATGTACACTGGCCAAATCATAAAATCTTATTCCAGAAGCATAATGAGCAAAACCTGAAGATCAAAAATGGATACAGATAATTCTCAAAGAAAGCCAGCAGAGAATATTCATTCTCAGTAGTCTCCACTGAGGCTAGTGTGAACAGAACAACTGTGGAATTAACACTAATACAAATGGAATCAGTCTATTTATAGAGACTGATAAAAACTTCAGCCTAATTAAATTTAAAGGAGTTTAATTGAGTAATGAGCGATTCACAAATCAGGCAGACCCAGAATCGCAGCAGTTTACAGAGACTCCAGCACAGCCATGTGGTGGAAGATCTATAGACAAAAGCGGAAAATGACATACAGAAATCAGAAGTGAAGTTCAGAAACAGCTGGATTGGTTACACCTGGCGTTTGCCTTATTTGAGCAGTTTGGACACTCAGCAGTGTATGAGCGGTTGAAGTACGGCCACCGGGATTGGCCAAGACTCAGCTATCGTTACAGGTGCATACTCCTAACTTACATTTTCAATTCTGTCTACCAATTAAGCTAGGTCGCAGTTCGTCCACAAGGACTCAAATATGGAAGTACAGAGTCCTTCTCGGGCCATATTTAGTTTGCTTTAACAAGACTATTTATAGAGCACTATATAACACGTCCAGCAATCAATAGACTGTTTGGTTTTATTTCTATAGAATGTTTTATTGCCTGAATTATTCCCCCCACCACAACCTGGAACTCCTATGCTGAAGTCTTAATTCCCGGTAACCCAGAGTGTGCTTGTATTTGGAGATGGGATCTTTAAAGTGGTAAGTGAGGGAAAATGAAGTCATATGTGTGTGGGCTAATTCAAATGTGACCCTTGTCCTTTTAGGAACAAGAGATTAGGACGCAGACAACACAGACTTAAGAGGTGATCATGTGAGGATACAGCAATAAGATGACCATCTATAAGCCAAAGATAGGCCTCAGAATGAAATCAACCCTGTTGACACCTGAATCTCCAGAACTGTGAGAAATAAATTTTCATGGCCGTGTGCGGTGGCTCCTGCCTGTAATCCCAGCACTTTGGGAGGCCAAGGCGGGTGGATTACTTGAGGTCAGGAGTTTGAGACCAGCCTGGTCAACATGGTGAAACCCTGTCTCTACTAAAACTACAAAAGTAACCAGGCATGGTGGCTCACGCCTGTAGTTCCAGCTCTTTGGGTGGCAGAGGCAGGAGAATCGCTTGAACCCAGGAGGCGAAGGTTGCAGTGAGCCAAGATTGCACCATTGCACCCCAGTCTGGGGGACAGAGCAAGACTCTGTCAAATGAAAGGAAACGAAAGGAAAGGAGAGGAGGGGAGAGGAGAGGAGAGGGGAGGGGAGGGGAGGGGAGGGGAGGGGAAAGGAAAGTTGTTTAAACCACTGGTCTGAGGTCCTTTGTTATGGAGTTGCTAACCCTCTCACACAAAAGGGAGTTTCTTATCTTTTCTCAACTTTCACAGTAAAATCTTCATATCCACCATTCCTGGGAACACTTGAATAACAATGTTTGAATGAGGTGAAGTATTTGTATTGATTTTGGTATGTTTTTTGTTTATATCTAATATATATGGCATTTTAGAAAACATTTCTTAAAGTTAAGTATTTCAATAATGAAGACATTTCAGTATAACTTGTTGAATGTTGTGACAAGTCAGAACGTCACTTGGTTAACAGCTGTGGTAGATTGCAAAGTCAGGCATAGTCTTGCATCCCTTCTTGAATTCACTCTGTGTTTCCTTCCACTAAGAGATGGAATCTGTACTTCACATTTGCATCTGGGCAGGTCTGTGACTTGCCTTGTCAGAAAAAGTACAGCAGAGATAAGAGTGTGTCGGTTCCCAACATAAACTTTCAGAAGCCCTCTGCACTTCTCTCTTTGGCATGAAAGTTGTCCTCTCCATGAGCGAAAACCTGGATGATGAGACATGTGGCTTAGTCATCCTCTTTACATGAGCCAACCAACTGCCAAGTGCCACCGACCTGAATTAAGCTATGTTGACTTTCCAGTTCCCTCCCCATCCATGAACTGAATGCAGACAAAAATGAGAAAGCCCAGCTAAGATTGCACAAACCTCATCTAGCTCAGAAGAAATATCCAGCAAGCCTGTGGACTTCTGAGCATTAATAAATGACTTTTGGCCAGGCACGGTGGCTCATGCCTATAATCCTAGCACTTTGGGAGGATGAGGAGGGTAGATCACCTGAGGTTGGGAGTTTGAAACCAGCCTGACCAACCTGGAGAAACCTCGTCTCTACTAAAAATACAAAATTAGCCATGTATGGTGGCACACGCCTGTAATTCCAGCTACTTGGGAGGCTGAGGCAGGAGAATCACTTGAACTTGGGATGTGGAGGTTGCAGTGAGCCAAGATCGCGCCATTGCACTCCAGCCTGGGTGACAAGAGTGAAACTTCGTCTCAAAAAATAAATAAATAAAAAATAAATATAATAAATAAAGAAATAAATAAATGACTGTTATCTAGCCACTGAGTCCTAGGGTATTTTGTTACATGGTATAGGTAGCTATTACTGGAGCCAGTTATGCTTTTTATCTGGCATTTCTTTTGCTTTGTTACACTTTTGGGTAGATTTTTATTGTCATCTACTTAAGCTCCTTTATTTTAATGTAATCTAAAAGTCATTATATCCACTTATCTAAAGTTATTTCTATAGCATGACTTAGAATATGTTACTTTAAGTGTATACTAATCCCTTGTTAAAGATGACAGAAATTCCACTCCATCAACGGACCTTTTCTATGTAATCAATTAATCTCCTTTAGCTAAAAGTACACATAGGCACACACATACACACATATCAAAAATAGAAGTTAAATTATTTATTATTTAGCAATATTTAGAAAATGAACTACTGAAATCAATGTTTGAATGATGCTGGGTTGGGTTATAGATCTTTTTCTTTTTTTTTTTTTTTGAGACGGAGTCTTGTTCTGTCTGTTGCCCAGGCTGGAGTGCAGTGGCACAATCTTGGCTCACTGCAACCTCCTCCTCCCGGGTTCAAGCAATTCTCCTGCCTCAGCCTCCCGAGCAGCTGGGACTATAGGTGCACGCCACCATGCCCAGCTAATTTTTGTATTTTTAGTAGAGATGGGGTTTCATCACATTGGACAGGCTGGTCTCGAACTCCTGACCTTGTGATCCAGCCGCCACAGCCTCCCAAAGTGCTGGGATTACAGGCGTGAGCCACGGTGCCTGGCCGGGTTATAGATCTTTATGGGTTATTTTTTTCACTACTAGTTTAAAACCAAGAATCTCTTTAATCATGTTACTATGCACTGTAATTCCTCCCAGAGTTTATTATGCATACTTGAAGCTCAACCAATGTTTGCTTCCTGGATGAATTAATTTGAAAGGAAATGTGAAAAGTACTCTGATTTCTCATTTAGTTTTATCCTCCACGTAAATCATCAGGACTATGAATGCAGTTTGAATTTAATCATGAATCTTCCTTGAATGTATAAATACATGAAAGCTGATGACATGCCCAAGAAACAAGCAGATAAGAACTATGGACCCTTATTTATAAATGATCTTTCTAATGTAGAAGATAGTGGAGGTATCACCCTTCCCAAAGCTCACTACTACTTTGGGTTTGCTTGAAACACAAAGCTTATCAATGGTCAACTAGTCAGGTCCCCAGTCAATATGATCCAGCCTCCCATTAATAAGCTATTTGGATCCCTAAGGTTGAGGTTGGTGTGGGTTCCTCTGTCGTAGATTTGATATACTTTATTTCTGTAGAGCTGTGGAAGTACAAGCCTGGAAATTTCTAATACTGTCTTATTACTATCTCCATGCAACTTAACATTTAGATTTATCCCCCCTTAGAACTTTTCTGCACTCATCCTCCAGTTCATCACTACATGCACTTCCTTAGCTGTGCCCTGACACTGCCTAGTATTTGAAGCTGTCTCCACTGTTACACTCAATATGTTCTTTTCAATTATTAGTCACTGGCTGTATTTGCTAGGGCTGCTCTAAGCACGTACCACAGAGTTCGTTGCTTTAAAAACAGCAATTTATTGAAGCTAGAACTCCAAAATCAAGGTGTTGGCAGGGTTTGTCCCTTCTATGGCCTGCAATGGGAGGGTCAGCCCCAAACTTTGTTCCTTCATTTGTGGATGGTCATCTTAACATTTATTTTGCACTAACAATCTTTGCACTATTAAAACATTTACTTATATTGTACTATTTACTTAGTGACAAAGGCTCCCTCTCTTTAACCAAACATTAGCCATGCTCCTCTCTATGTTATATATTAGCCACATCTTCTCTCTATGTCTCTCTGTGGTCATCTTCTCTCTATGTCTTTACATCATCTCCCTATGTGTGGTTTGATATCTATATTCCCCCTTTTTATAAGGACACCAGTCATGTTAGATTAGGGTCCACATTAACGACCTCACTTTAATTCGATTATCTCGGTGTCTTTACAAGACACTGTCTCCACATAAGGTCATACTCTGAGGTATTGAGGGTTAGGACTTCAACATATGATTTTTAGGAGGGTAAAATTCAGCCCATAACACCGATTATAATTTTAAATTGATGGTACTGATTACATGAACTTGATTTTTTTGTATTATTATTACTGAGATTGAAAAACAAAATAAATGCTAAATAGAAGCCCAATATAATCTAAGGATTCAAAGTGAAAAAATATCAGATATGCTTTTCTCCCACTCTCCTCTACTTTGCCATTTTGGCATACAAAACAGCTCTCTTAATTCGGTTTTGTTTGGTTTTCATGGTTGAAATGCTAAGATCAGAGGGTTAAGAAAGTTAAAATACAAGAAGGTATATAAGTAGAATATCTAAGATCAAGGAAATAAGCAATATATCCTTGAATTGATTGTGATGAATTTTTAAGATTAGAGTTGTTTAAATTTACAGAAAAGTTGCAAGGATACTGTGGAGAGTTTTACCATACACCTCACCCAGAGTCTCATATTGTTAAAATCTTACATGAATTATTACAGAGCATTTGTCATGACTAAAAACTCAACATTAGTACGATAATATCAATGTAGTCTACACTTACTTTGGATTTGACCATTTTACTAGTTTTCCCTTAATGACTGTTTTCTATTCCAGGGTACTCTCAGGAAAACCCATCATCCTTAGATTTCATATATTTGTATTTTCTTCTGGTCTGTAACCATTTCTCAGACTTTCTTGACTTTTACAGTTTTGAGGTTCCTGGTCAGATATTTTGTAGAGCAATCCTCAATGTGGGTTCTTTCCATGTTTCTCTCCTGTTCAGACTGCTGTTATGGGTTTGGGGGACCAATGCCACAGAGGTGACGTGCCCTTCTTGTCACATCCAATCAGGCGTGCTTGCTATCACTATGACTTATGACTGATGGTGTTAGTCTTTATTACTTGGCAAAGGTCGTGACTGATTTAAAAGACTTGCTAATACCTGCTTGGGAAACATTTTATCTGAGGAAATAGGCAAAGTTGTTCTACCAATTATTTAGGTATTTTTAAGCCAACTTTGGTTTTAAATAACCTATTAGGTCTTCAGGTTTAGCTATTTTTAATACCTTAAAATTATTAAGATTTTTATATTATGTTTGTTCTTACAATAAAGGTTGTATTGGGGGTAGGAGATCATGTGAATAATTCTTCAGCATTAACTATTGAATATTATGTTGTTTCCATGGATAAAGTTTTACATATAAATGTCTAATATAAGGTATTAGCAATGTTAGTTGCATCTATCTTAGTAATGTTATGTTTTATTTATTTTAATGAATAAACTTGCTATATACCATTAGTAGGCTTTCATTTCAGAGAGGCAGTAGTGTATAAGAGGTTTAAATGTCAGAATTTAAATCTAATGTACTTAAATCCAATCCTTACTATCTATGACTTACTAACTATGAGATCTTGGGCAGGTCCGTTAATTTATCTGAGTGTATTAGTCACGGTTCTCTATAGAAACAGAACCAATAGTATATAAAAATATAGATTGATTGATAGAGATACGTAAGAGAGAATTTATTACGGGAATTGGCTCACATGCATATGGAGGCTGAGAAGTCCCATAAGCTGCTTCTGCAAGCTGAAAAACCGGAAAAGCCGGTGGTGTAATTTAAGTCCAAATCTGAAGGCCTTAGAACCAGGGGAGCTGATGATGTAACATCCAGTACAAGGCCAAAGGCCTAAAAACCCGGGGGCTGCTGGTGTAAATCCTAGATTGCAGAGGTCCAAGAACCAGTGGCTCCAATGCCCAATGGTGGGAAATGTATGTCCCATTTTCAGAAGAGACAGAATGAATTTAACCTTCCTCCACCTTTTTGTTCTAGTCTGCCTTCAACAGTTGGAAGATGCCCATCCACACTGGGGAGGGTGGATTTTTTTTTTTTTTTTTTTTTTTTTGAGATGGAGTCTCACTCTGTTGCCAGGCTGAAGTACAGTGGTGAGATCTCGGCTCACGCAACCTCCGGCTCATAATATATTATATAATATATAATATATCATATATTATATGTAATATATAATATATCATATAATATATATCATATATGATATATATTATATGATATATTATATATCATATATGATATATATTATATGATATAATATATATCATATAATGTATATTATATTTAATATATATACAAGAATGATACATACAAAAATTGGCAGGACATGATGGTGTGCAACTATAGTCTCAGCAACTTGGAAAGCTGAAGTGGGAGGATCCTTTGAGCCTGGGAGGCGGAGGTTGCAGTGAGCTGAAATTGTGCCACTACACTCTAGCCTGGGTGACTGAGTGAGGCCTTTTCTCAAAGTAAATAAATAAATAAGTAAATAATAAGAAAACAAGATGGCAATAAAAGACAGGCAGAAGGGAAGGTGTGGTGTTTACTGCATTCTTAAGCATATAGATTTTTAAAATAAATTAGGATTAGTCAGACATCTTTAATCTTGTGACTGCTTTGGTTATCCTTTTTTTTTTTTTTCCTTTACACTTTGGTAGAAATAGATTTGACACAAAGTAAGTTGTGAAAGCATGTGGCCATTGCTTTCTCAGGAAAGTTAGATAAAAATAACCTGAATACTTTATAGGAATAGGGTAATAAATGCAGCTGCAGTCTTAAAATAGTGCACATTGCATTTCTGAGCTGTATGTATTCTACTTCTTAAATATGCCTATTAGTTATTATGTAAGTTAGAAAAACAGTAAGCAAAATGCGGCATTGAAAACAGCATAAATTCAAAAGAGTGCAAACTATGGCAATCTACTATAAATGGTAAATAGGGGAATTAATCTTGCTAGTTGGTCATAAGGGTGCTATTTCCAGTGTGCCCTATAGTGCTGGTCCACTTCATTTTGCTCTAGCATAAATCTCTTTCTCAGTGGAAATAATAGCATGCCCTCTCCAAATGTAAGGAGCACCGAGTCAAAAGATAAAGCAAAATTAGCATGATCTGGAGATTAATGTCAAAAGAAGGTAAGAACATATATCAAGCTTGATTTACTCTAAATGATTGTTCATTTTGATTCAGATTAGCACACATGAATATGTGTTGTACTGTTGAAAAGATCAATCATAGAAAGAATTAAGAGACGTGCAATAGAAAAATTAGAAATATGAGAACTGGTTTCTATTGTAAAATTTGGGCCTACATCAACCTGTGTCAAAATCACCATACAAAACCTATAGCTTTATATCTAACTCCATTAGTAAATTTTTAGTTCATCATAGAGCCAAGAGGTAGAAATGCCAGTATTGCTATATTAAAATCTAATACTGATATTAAATATTAAAATATATTATTAATATCTAATATTCCTTCCCATTAAAAGTTGAAGAACATTTTAAACTTTTTTTATCAGAAACTGTGGGTATAAGCAAATTTTCACATATCAGGCCATTTTAGCATGATTAGATATGAGTCCATCTGCCTACACTTGCCAGGTATTCTTTTTATTTTTTCTTTTTTTACTGAGATGGAGTCTCCCTCTGTCACCCAGGCTGGAGTGCAGTGGCATGATCTCTGCTCACTGCAACTTCCACCTCCTGGGTTCAAGCAATTCTCCTGCCTCAGCATCCTGAATAGCTAGGATTACAGGAGTGCACCACCACGACCGGCTAATTTTTGTATTTTTAGTAGAGATGGGGTCTCGCCATGTTGGCCAGGCTGGTCTCGAACTCCTGACCTCATGATCCACCCGTCTCAGCCTCCCAAAGTGCTCGGATTACAGGCATGAGCCACCGTGCCTGGCCGCCAGGTATTCTTTTTAGCTATCCTTTCAAAACTTCAGTCAACATTCTGTATTATTAATGCATAATGCATGCTTGTTCCTAATATCAATTCATGGCTTTGCAAATATGAATTATCTACCATTAATATGTGAACCCCAAATATCTGAGACAGGAGTCAGTTAACTTAGAAAGTTTATTTTGCCAGGGTTAAGGATGCATGCCCATGACAGCCTCAGGAGTTCCCGAAGACATGTGCCCAAGGTGGTCAGAGCACAGCTTGGTTTTATACATTTTAGGGAGACAGGAGACATCAATCAACATATGTAAGATGAACATTGGTTAGGTCCGGAAAGGTGGAGCAACTGGAAGCAAAGGTAGGACTACTTAAAGTGAGGAGAGGGCTTCCGGGTCACAGGTAGATAAGAGACAAATGCTTGCATTCTTCAGAATTTCTGATTAGCTTCTACAAAGGAGGCAACCAGATATGCATTTTACTTACTTATTTATTTATTTTGAGTTGGAGTCTTGCTCTGTCACCCAGGCTGGAGTGCAATGGCATGATCTTTGGCTAATTGCAACCTCCACCTTCTGGGTTCAAGCAATTCTCCTGCCTCAGCCTCCCGAGTAGCTGGGATTACAGGCGCCCACCACCACCCCCAGCTAATTTTTGTATTTTTAGTAGAGATGGGGTTTCACCTTACTGGCCAGGCTGGCCTCTTGGTCAGGCTGGTCTCGAACTCCTGACCTCATGATCCGCCCACCTTGCCCTCCCAAAGTGCTGGGATTATAGGGGTGAGCCATCATGCCCAGCCAGGTATGTATTTTTTTCAGTGAGTAGAGAGGTGACTTAGAATAGAATGGGAGGCAGATTGGCCCTAAGCAGTTCCCGGCTTGACTTTTCTCTTTAGCTTAGTGATTTTGGGGCCCCAAGAATTATTTTCCTTTCACAGATATAAAACCCACACCATAATTCTGTGTCTAAAGGTTTAATAGTTATAAAACATTACCGCAAATGAGGAAAGAAGGTGCAGATTCTCATTTCTGCCTTCATTTCTCTCTTACGAGAGATTCTCAAAATTTCTGATGTATCACACGTGAAAATAGATTGGAGAACATTCTATTTTCTTGTTTTGGATGATGTAACAAGTATAAAAATGCACCATTCACACCTCCTACTAGAGGGAGCAGAATGACAGCCCCAGCTGTCGCTTCTCCAGAACTACCACGGCATTCATGCCAAGGTCAGGCTTTCTGTGGGCAGCTTCCAGTTGATGACTGCACAGTGGAGATACTAACGCAGACCCATTTCTGCAAGACACAGAACTCCTCAAATGGGAGACTTGAGCTTGAGGATTCCTTTATGGGCTTGATCAAAACTTTCCTGAAACTGTGCTGAGGTTCAAGACACTTTCTACTCTTTCCCTCTCCTTCAGTTTTCAGAAATGAAACTCATTCTGATTGTTCTGCTTACCCCTGGCTCCTTCAACATGTTGAACAAGTATTTCCTCCAATAAATCACTTGCATATCTAATTTCATTTTGGATTCTGCTTCTAGAGGAAACCAAACTAACATATCATTTTCAATGTATCAGTCTTCATCACTGATGTATTCAAAATGTATATATTAGGGAATCATACCTTTACCTTAGCATAACTCTGTGAGTCAAGGAAAATCAAGCATTGCATTTAATTTATTCAACTATTCAAACACTCAATAATTATCGAGGCCTTGCTATGTGTTAGACGTAGATAGTCAACGTAGATAGTCTCTCACATAGTACCTTCATAATTCATATGGTCACAGAGTTGTAATTACTGGCATGATAGGAATTTTCAACTCTACTTTTATGAGAATCAAATAAAATCTCAGAGATCTTTTTAAATTTACTTTTTTTGTTGTTTATATTTTCATGCGTAGTTCATTTAGGTAAAACAACAGTTTGGGCGGGCTTCAAACAGTTGCTTCAACTAGACTATGCTCTATTCAGCTCTCATTTACTTGGACTAGCTCACCTAGCAGCACAGTCTTGTTTAGCCAGTTCTTCTGTTCCAGCTGAGAGGTCTCCCCAGTAGAACCATAACTCTTCCATCATAGCTGGGTTCCTCAGGCTCAGCACTAAGGATATTTGCACTAGATGACTCTTTGTTGGTGAATTTCCTCTGTATTTTATAGCATCCTTGGCCTCTACCCGCTAGATGACAGTAGCAACACTCCAGTTGTGACAATCAGAAAGCTTTCAAGAAATTGCCAAATATTCCCGGGGGAGTAAACTTGCACTCCTGTGAGTATCAATCTTTGTAAGAATTCCTTGAACAGGCTGGGCGCGGTGGCTCACGCCTGTAATCCCACAACTTTGGGAGGCCGAGGCGGGCGGATCACGAGGTCAGGAGATGGAGACCATCCTGGCTAACATGGTGAAACCCCGTCTCTACTAAAAATGCAAAAAATTAACCAGGCATGGTGGCGGGCGCCTGTAGTCCCAGCTACTCGGCAGGTTGAGGCAGGAGAATGGCGTGAACCCGGGAGGTGGAGCAATTCCATGAAGAACAATAAAGGTTTAGTTGAGAATGACTGGCCACAATATAAAATAATTATTTGTTAAGTAGTTAAATGTAGTATGAAAATGTATGTGTGAGTATGCGTGTGCCACCTCTGTCTTAATGTATGTGCTTTCTCTGAGTCCGCTCTGCCTGTTATTTGATCCTTAGTTCTATGTCGTGCTCTTAGTTCTGATAGATTTTTGATTTAGATTTTTGAATGGAAACATTAATTCCTACTGGTCTAATCTTTTTTTTGTATCAGGATGAAAAGTCTATCAATAGATAATTCTGCATTTCTGTCTTCATTTCCTCAAGGTTCAGAACTTTAAATACACATTTTTAATCAATTACTTTTATTTCCATTTTTAATTAACTATTAAATTAATGAATACTTACTGAGTTTCGTCAAGGTTCAGAACTTTAAATACATATTTTTAATAAATTACTTTTATTTCCATTTTTATTTAACTATTTATTAAATTAATGAATACTTACTGAATTTCTCTTATGTGCCACTCTGTATCAGGTACTTGGGACACATAGGTGAATGAAAGGAAACAAAATATCTTGTCCTTATCAAGTTTGCATTCCAGTGTACCTGAGAAAGTGTATGCAGATGTTCACTCTCCTCAATGTATGCCAACGGGAAACACATTGAAATTCCAAGCAATGGCTTCTTATTTTGCACTGATCGGGTTGGTGGTGGTGGTGGTGGGGGCAGGTGGGTGATGAAGGCTGGGTTATGGATAAAAAAGGTCTTTAAAAAAAGGGTTTAGTGACCATATTTACTAGAGATGCACACGAATGCACACAAACTTTTGATACGGAAGTGCTGGGAAGGGAAGAGCGTGGTCCCTTTAAATGATATGGAAGGGGGAAGGGAAGTGCTGGGTAGAGGCGGTCATGGTCCCCGGCTAGGGCTCTATCCCAGGGACCTCGGTCTTCGCGCCCAAAAGTGGCATTTTCCAAGACTACCTTGGCCCACCACGCCCCTATCCTGGGCTTATAAAAACCCAAGACCCTAGCAAGGCAGAGACATGAGCTGCTGGACAGCCAGAGGAATACATTGGTGGAAGAAGACAAACAGCTGGACATTGAGAAGACTTTGAGGGGAGCATGCCTGCGGAAGAGCACACCGCCAGATGCCCGGACACCAGCAGGCCACTGACCAACAGGCCATGACCAGCGGAACGATGTGGAGTTTGGCCAGGGCAGATGGAGGAGAGCCCGGGGCCACCAAGCAGCCCAATTCCACGGGAAAACCATCTGTCTTCTGGCTCCCCCATCTGCTGAGAGCTACTTCCACTCAATAAAACCTTGCACTCATTCTCCGATTCCAGGTGTGATCCAATTCTTCTGGTACACCAAGGCAAGAACCCCAGGATACAGGAAGTCCTCTGTCCTTGCAACAAGGCAGAGGGTCTAATTGAGCTGGTTAACACAAGCCGCCTATAGATGGCAAAATTAAAAGAGCAAAACAAAAAGAGCACCCTGTAACACACGCCCACTGGGGCTTCAGGAGCTGTAAACATTCACCCCTAGACACTGCCGTGGGGTCGGAGCCCGACAGCCTGCCCGTCTGTATGCTCCCCTAGAGGTCTGAGCAGCGGGGCGCTGAAGAAGCGAGCCACACCCCCATTGCACACCCTACAAGGGGGACAAGGGAACCTTTCCAGTTTCACTTTCACATTGAGTACTATTTCAAAAGGCCTTGAAAACTCAATACTGATTTTCTGTTTTGCCTTAATTAACTGTATCTCAGCCTCCCACAGCCACTAGCTTTTCTGTGTAACTATTTCTTACATTATTACGCATCAGGCCAGTACATAATAGCAAAAACTGTGATGCACCTGGAGAAAGAAAAGGAAAAACAGACATAGGTTGAAGCCCTCCGGGATAGGACACTTGCCGCTTATTTGCTGAGTATCTACTTTATAATCATGATACTTAAAGTCACGCCTTCTGAAAAGAGGAAGCAGATGTGGCTGCAAGAATTTATGTAAACTACTTTCTAAGAGGCTATGGATACATACATTGTGATGTTTCCATCTCCCATTTAATCCTTGGGAAATCACATCATTTACAGATATTTATGGCTCTTTTCAGCTTTAACATTCAATAATTTAACTAAAATTAGAAGTTAACAAAAGTCACTGAGACTAGAATTTCTTAATTTTATTTCTTTATGTATGAATATTTACTAATATGTAAATTTTCTTGTAAGTTCTGAATCCTACCTTCTTTTTAAGGCACACAGATTTGTCCTTTGTAGAAGAACTGCGCACAAAATAAGGTTATCACAGAAACATATAAGCCAATAGTAATTATGATATAAAATGCTATATTATAAAGGGCTTGGCATGATTTAATTTCTTATTTTTGTATTTTTCAAAGAGTAATATAAAGCATTTCTCTAAGCAACAGAGCATACATGCATTTTACAACTTTGTTTCCTTTTATCAAATGAAAATGGATTCAATATCAGATTTGTGGCATAAAATCTGATAAATCTATGAAGTCTCAATGAACTAAAACGGCAAATCATATTATTTTACTTCATTCCTAAAGAAAAAAGACTCCTCTATCTTTCTCAGTCTTACATTTTATACACACACACAGTCACACATACACACACATATCAAAGCTTTATTAAAAATAAAACAAAATGCCCCCTCAACTTGCCATGTGCAATAAACAAAGTTTATGTCCTCTCAAAATTCTTATGTTGAAATCCTAATCCCCATAGTGATGGCATTTGAGAGTGGGGCTTTTGAGAGGTGATCAAGGCTCTTCTTGAATGGAATTAATGCCCCTATGAAAGAGACCTCAGAAAAATCCCTTGTCTTTTCCAGTTTGTGAAGATACAGAGAGAAAACGTCTGTCTATGTGGAAGGAGGTCCTCTCCAGCGCATCATCTGCCAGCTCCTTGACTTAGGACCCTCCAGCCTCTAGAACTGAGAAATAAATATCTGTTGTGTATTACCAGTCTACAGCATTTTTGTTATAGTAGCCCAAATAGACTGAGACACCAGAGGTTAGTGCACATATAACTTCAGTCCATCCTTTCCATGAATATATGGTGTTTATGGTAAAAATCAATATGAAGCCATGGTTGGTCACTCAATAAAGAAAATAAAAGTAACTGTCTTTTGTAAAATATGCTTGCTAGTTACAGGTTTGGACTTAAATGTTCTACCATCTTTTCAACTTGATTTAAAAGAAAACATTAACAGAAAGTTAACCAGAAAATTTAATTAATATCCCGATTTCTAAGTATCTCCATTTCACACCATTCTCACCACTCTAGAAAGTAGCCACCTAGAAAGTAGTTTACGTACCTTTTGCAGCCACAACCGCTGCCTCTTTTCAGAAGTCAAGACTTTACATATCACAATTCTAAATTAGATGCTCAGCAAAGAAGCTGCACGGGTGCTATCCTGGAGTTTCAACCTATGTCTGCTTCTTTTTCTTTCTCCAGATGCATGGAGGTTTCTGCTATTATGTACTGGCCCAATGTGTAATAATGTAAGAAATAGTTGAACAGAAAGCTAGAGGCTATGGGAGGCAAAGATGAAATTAATCAAGGCAAATGGGAAAATCAGTATTGAGTTGAAAAGACTTTTCATAAGAAAGAAAACATTAACAGAAAGTTAACCAGAAAATTTGATTAATATCACAGTTCCTAAATTTCTCCACTTCATGCCATTCTTTTATCTATTTCAATTGTATGTCATCTTACCATACAATTGAAATATATAAAAGTCTTTACACCTAAATATTAATAGTAAAACACTGCAATTTAAAAGGAAAATGGAAAAAGAGAAAATAATTTGTTCGGAAGAACATTAACTCTCAGAAATAAGAGGCCACAACTATAAAAACAATTCCAGTCCAATTACCAGTTACAATGTTATTAAAAGTGTGGTCCCTTGATCTGAGTGTTGAGATGAAGTTACACGTCTTAAAGTTCAAATAAAAATAATTTTGAAAAGTAACATTTAAAAGGCCCTGGTAAAGCATTATAAAATACTCTATGAGTTTTCAACATTTCTACACAATCATGAGTATATTTAATGTTATATTTCCATGATCTCTTAAAAAATATTTTCAAAACATGGTGTGAGACCTCAAAGGGACAATTTTGTGAAAGTTACATTCCAAACCATAGTTCTGCAGAAATGTGTACTGTTACACTGCTACCAAGTGGCACTTTGGTACTAAAAAGAAAGATTTACCTGAACAATGATCAGTAGTGGTTCAGCACATTGCTTTCAATCAGCAATATTTCTTGAATGACTCTCACAGGACAGACCATGATGCACGGCCACTCTCATACATTATTTTCTGAAGGTAGAGAATAGTTATTCCTCCAAGAAAAACATGCCAAAGGCGAGCATGTAACTGTAACAAACCCAGAGGAAAAACAATTTACAGTGACTCTAGTTTGGTGGAAATGGTCAGATGGAACCTGATTAGAATATGAAATAAATAATTGAGTATGATTTTGTAGTCTACTAAAATACAATAAAGGAACTAAAATGAGTGTGATAGTTAATAGTGAGTGTTAACTTGATTGGATTGTAGGATACAAAGTATTATTCCTGGGTGTGTCTGTGTGGGTGTTGCTGAAAGAGATTAACATTTGAGTCAGTGCGCTGGGGAAGGCGGATCCACCCTTAATCTAGTGAGCACAATCTAATCAGCTTCCAGCAAACATGAAGTAGGCAGAAAAACATGAAAAAGAGAGGCAGGCCTAGCCTCCCAGCCTACATCTTTCTACTGTTCTGGATGCTTCCTGATCTCGAACAACAGACTCCAAGTTCTTCAGTTTTGGGACCCGGACTGGCTCTCCTTCCTCCTCAGCTTGCAGACAGCCTGTTGTGGGACCTTGTGATCATGTAAGTTAACACTTAATAAACTCATATATAAATATATATATATATATATATATATATATATATATATATATATATATATATATGCACCACTGCGCCCAGCTAATTTTTGTATTTTTTGTAGAGATGGGGTTTCACCATGTTGGCCAGGATGGTCTCAACCTCTTGACCTCATGATCCACCCGCCTCAGCCTCCCAAAGTACTGAGATTACAGGCGAGAGCTACCATGCTTGGACAAGACTGACCTTTTTTAATTAGCTAATTCCCATGAAAATTATCCAAGTTGTTGCGCATATCAATAGTTCATTCCTTTTTATCACTAAGTACTATTCCATAAGTTACTTTTTTTTAAAGTTTATTTTATTTTTTTCTTTTTTATTTATAAAATAAATAAAAAATATAAAAATAAAATATGAAATAATATATATATATAATATAAAAAAAAATAGAATCTTTTCTTATACTCCGCCTCCTGGGTTCAAGTGATTCTCCTGCCTCAGCCTCCCAAGTAGCTGGGATTACAGGCATCCGCCACCACACCTGGCTAATTTTTTGTATTTTTAGTAGTGATGGGGTTTCACCATGTATGTATGGGAGTTTATATATATCCTATTAGTTCTGTCCCTTTAAGAGAACCCTGACTAATACAATGAGTATGCTGCCAGCATGAGCTAGTGTAATTAAATAAATAAGATTAATGTGACACAAGAAGCCTTTAAAACTATTTTATCAAACACGTGACATATTTATATTTTCTACTGCAGGAAGCAAATGAAATAACACTTGTTTACCAAGAAATTGTTACAGGATATATGTATCATTCAGGAAGTAGATGTTCAAAAAAATTAATGTTCTTCTTGAATACTAATAAATTCAAGATTTTTAGAAATGTACATTCAGGTTTGTGAGGAATATGACAATCTCCAAAGTTATGATTGAAATTCTCTGATACCAGAAGCTTCTCCCATTCAAATGATATTTCACATACAGCACATAGCCTAGGGCAAGGCCTGGGAAGTGAATTCTTCTCAGCAACTCTTGCTAGTTGTTTGCTTGATGTCTCCAAATAACATATGTAAGTAGTTTTCTTTTTATTTTAATCTTCATACCTACAAAAATATATTTTCTTGGTCAGGCGAGGTGGCTCACGCCTGTAATCCCAGCACTTTGGGAGGCTGAGGTGGGCAGATCACAGGGTCAGGAGATACAGACCATCCTGGCTAACATGGTGAAACCCCGACTCTACTAAAAAAATATAAAAAATTAGCCAGGGGTGGTGGCACACAACTGTAGTCCCAGCTACTTGGGAGGCTAAGGTGGGAGAATCGCTTGAACCCGGGAGGGGAGGTTGCAGTGAGCCGAGATCACGCCACTGCACTCCAGCCTGGGCAATAGCACAAGACTCCATCTCAAAACATATATATATATATTTTTTTTTCTCTATCAATTTCGTCATTCTTATTAATGCCATTTCAAAATTTAGCTGCCATCTATATAATCCCCAGAGATGTATATTGAAATAAAAAATAATTGTGAAAATGACTTCAGCAACTTCATAGCTGATACCACTTTTTGAAAAGTAGAATATCATTAAGACAGGCTATATATTGGCTTAACAGCTACCAACATGTATCCTTTAGAAACACAGCTTAGTTTCAAGCCCATTTATGTAGCAGGGAGAAAATTATTATTATTATTATTATTATTATTATTATTATTATTATTATTATTTTGAGATGGAGTCTCTCTCTGTCACCCAGGCTGGAGTGCGGTGGCACTATCTCGGCTCACTGCAAGCTCTGCCTCCCGGGTTCACACCATTCTCCTGCCTCAGCCTCCCAAGTAGCTGGGACTACAGGCGCCCACCACCACGCCCGGCTAATTTTTTGTATTTTTAGTGGAGACGGAGTTTCACCGTGTTAGCCAGGATGGTCTCGATCTCCTGACCTCGTGATCTGCCTGCCTTGGCCTCTCAAAGTGCTGGGATTACAGGCGTGAGCCATCGCGCCTGGACGGGAGAAATTATTTTTAAGTTATCAGCATGTATTTTTGTTGTTAGAGGCAGATTTTTTGTCTTTATATTTTGTAGCTGTTAAAATATAAAATGTAAACACAAATAAAACATTGGTTGTTTGCACCTTTGGGGTGAAAGTTGAAGTTCATCTCTAGACAGACCCCTTTTTCATTTAAGGGATGGATCACTTTGGTGAGCTGATATGGTAAGCAGACACTATAATTCTCAGGGAAGCTTTAACTGGTGGCTGAGAAAGCTATGTCTTCTATCGTGATTATCTAATGTGCCCCTAAGCAACACAAAACACAGAATAACAATGCCCTCTGAAGGAAGTGGTGTTTCTAAAAATCAGTCATTCAGGGTCAAACCAAGACAGTGGGCTTTACTCTGGGTTAAGGGAGAACTCATTTCTCTTTCCGAATCCAAGGGATGGAGCCTGTACTCCAGAGAGGGCCAAAACAGTTGAACTGGACTCCTGAAGAGTGAAAGCTGACCCTTGGAGAATAGGGGGCGGCTGGAGGGAGTGGAGGGAATAATGAAGCAAAGACAGTAAGGAATCCTGATGAAGGAGGAACAGAGATTCCTCGGAATCAATTGCTTTGCATGTTTTTATTTATTTTTATTATAATTTTATTCTAATATTACCATTTTTTCAGTAGATTATTTTTGTTTAATTTTGCTTTTTATACTACAGTCCTATCTTGGCTTTGCTTTGGGAAGTGGAGCGTGTGTGTGTATGTGTGTGTTTGTTGTGTGCACTCAGGTGCATGAGTATTAAGAGAGGAGGATTCAGGTATGACTTTTCTTGTGATACAATGATATATGCACAGGGACGCTGACTGAGGACATGGTTTCAAAAGAGTACAAGTGAATATCAGAGTAGAAGTGTCAAGCAAGAGATGACAAGCAACTACTTAGGGTGAATTTCTTAAACATATACTCATTCCTGGGATTCCATATGATTACCACAGACAGGACCTTATAGAAGTCAGGGCCATACAGCTATCACACAGGGACATCACCCAAGCTGTGTTCTAAATTACCTGGTTTATAAGGACAGTGGTGGCTTCTGAACATCTTTTAAGAAGACGTCAAAATTAGGCAGAAGAAACTGAAACCCAAAAAGCCATTTGTTCCCCAAGCCCTCCTTCCACTTGCCAATATTTCCCAGAAAATAAGCAACCTAGAAAACCCTGTTCTTGCTGGAATCTTTCTGTTACAACAATTATAAAGTCCACTTTTTCTATAGATCAGCCTGTCTTATTCTATCACTAATACAATAATCAGAAATTGCATCTTCACATGGATTGAGATCAAAATGGGAGGAAACAGTTTTGAAAAAACAAACAAACAATAAACCTGAAGAAGCTTGAGACCATATTTCAACTGCAGCATCGGTTTTTGTTCTGCTTTGCCTTGTGATATTTTTCTTGAGTGTGAGGAAGAATTAGAATCAATAAATAAAACTGTTGACCTGGACTCACATCAAAAAGGCTGCCAGGTCAGCGAACATCATCAGCTAAAGATAAAAGAACTTCTTTACTTTGGATAGGACATTTATAACTGCTTTGTCACCTGTATGTTTTAATCCTGTTTGTGGTTGTTGTTGTTGTTAATTCCCTACTGTGTTACATGTTTTAGGCAGGCAATTTAGTTTAAATTGCTCATCCTGTTTGTTTTGTTATTTTGTGGGCTATGTATGGATTTTAGTCATTGGCAAGGAACTCTGATGTAAATAAGGGAACAATAGAAACCTAGAATAAATTGACTGACATGAAATCATCCGCCAAGGTCACAATGTCTTATATATCACAAAAACAATAAATCGATATGAGTCTGGGCAGGCAAGTTATATGTTTCTATTTGGAGTCAAGGTGTATTGAATCATCCCAAAGAGGAAATTATCTTTAATCTCTGTGGGTTAAAAAATATAAAACACACTCAGGAATTCAAACTAAGTGAAAATGCATTTTGGAGGAACTACGTACATTTCTTCAAATCATTAATAATATTTTAATACTGTGCTAATAAGTTTTAATAATTTTGGTAATTAGGATGATTATCCTGAAAAATACTGCATATACCCTTATTAGATTGCATCTTGAATATTGCTTTATGAATAATCTGTTTATTCTCAATGCTTGAAAAAATTAAACAATGCTTTAAACAAAAATTAAAGGTTTTATTTTTAATTAAAAAAATATTGATTTACAAGATATTCCCAAAATCATGCAGAAAGATCTTGTGTAGCTTTCATTCAGTTTCTCCCAGTGGATACCCAACTATAGTCCAATGTTTAAGTTAGGAAATTGGCCTTGATATCAGTGTTTGTAGCATATGATGCCGCTTTATCACATGTATAGTTTTGTGTAATGACCATATCAATCAAGGTACACTACTACTCCATCACAACAAAGCTCGCTCTTACATGCTTTCTCTTTATACTCACACTCATTTCCCTCCCTTCGCTTCACCCCTGTGGTGGTTAATTTTGTGTGTCAATTTCACTGGGCTTTAGGTTGTGCAAGCATCTGGTGAAACATCATTTCTAGTTGTGTCTGTGGAGGGGTTTCTGGATGAAATTAACATTTGAGTCAGTAAATTGATAAAAACAGATTTCCACCCCCAATGTGGATGGACCACATTCAATCCACTGGGCATTAACAGCCTGAGTAAGAAAGAATTCTTTCTCCGCACGACTGTCTTTAAACTGAATGCCAGCTTTCTCCTGTCTTTGGATTCAGATTCAGATTCAGACTGGAACTATACCCTAAGCTCCACTGGGCTTTCAACTTACCAACTGCAGATCTTGGACTTCTCAGCCTCCATAATTATGTGAGCCAATTCCTTAAAGTAAACCTCTTATCTAGCTAGATCTAGAACCCATTGGTTTTGTTTCTCTGGAGAACCTCAACAGACATAATTTCTGATCCTTAACAATCACTAATCTTTTTTTCCATTTATATAGTTTTTTTTTTTCTTTTGAGACGGAGTCTTCCTCTGCCCCAGGAGTACAGTGGCACGATCTCGGCTCACTGCAACCTCCACTTCCTGAGTTCAAGTGATTCTCCTGACTCAGCCTCCTGAGAAGCTGGGACTAGAGACGCGCGACACCATGCCCAGCTAATTTTTGTATTTTTAGTAGAGATGGGGTTTCACCATGTTGGCCAGGATGGTTTCGATCTCTTGACCTTGTGATCCACCCACCTTGGCCTCCCAAAGTACTGGGATTACAGGTGTGAGACACCATGCCTGGCCAAGACGGACCTTTTTTAAATTAGCTAATGCCCATAAAAATTACCTAAGTTGCAGTGCATATCAATAGTTCATTCCTTTTTATCACTAAGTACTATTCCACAAGTTATCTTTTTTCAAAGTTTAATTTCTTTCTCTTTTATTTATAAAATAAATAGAATCTTTTCTTAGACTAAAACAAAACATCCCAAATTAGCACATTATACACACACACATGCACACTCACACATACATACATAAAGTTCATGCACACACAATAGCATACAGATCCACCTGCCCTTATACATTATTTTGGACTGATTTAATTTATTTTTGCATTCCTAAGTGCTTATATTTTAATTATTTCAGATAGTGCCCTTTTTAAAACTGAGATTTCATTGATTCCTTCAATGGCCATATATCTTATTAAACAATTATAACTCTCTTCAAGATCTGCCCTCAAAATTCCCTAATGACCTTCTGACCAATCATCAACCAATAATGAATAGGGGATATGCTGGGCCTAGTGAGGAAGAATAGGGATTATCCCCTGGAGGAACTTGAGGATGTGGTATCTATCTATCTATCTATCTATCTATCTATCTATCTATCTATCTGTCTGTCTATCTATTTAACTATCTATCTAGATACACATATGAGATAGAAGAGTATTTTTGGACTGAATTCTGTGGTACTAGATAAGTATATTGTAACATAAAGTTGAATTAAAAATAGTTTATCAATATGGGAACATACTCCTTTGACAAAAGTTTTAACATATTAGTAAACATCCTGGGTAAAAGTACTCATGGGCTCCTAGAATACCCCTTGAAAACTTGGAAAATTAATGTTGCACACTAGTTGAAGCAGAATACCATGAGTGTCGTGGCAGTGAAGATAAATTCAAAACTTCAGAGGAGAAAGTTCAGAAACTTGTTGACTGTGTATCAGAGTAAGACTCAGAGGAAGTTCTGCTTACCAAAGCAGTAAAAGATTATCGGTATGGAGGGAACCGAGATTATTGGGAAGTTCAAAAGTGCTTTCTATAGAACTGACAGTAGAAAATGTTATTACATAACTGGGCTCCCTCATGGCAATGTGGATAATAAGATCTCTAAATAATAGAAACTGAATAATGGTGAATACCAGCAGAAATTAGGTGAGTGCAGATATGTGGATGACAAGAATAAGGTAGCATTCAGGAGATTCCCATTCATACGCAACTGTGGAGATGTCTAATACAAGACAGTGTTCCTCAAAGCAAGATACATGGGCAGCCAATAAAACAATATAAAAAAGATACCGAGATTGGGTAGTGGAGAAAACTGAATAAATAATAACCCCCCAAAGAGAAGAGAGAGGTAAAGCAAGACACAATTACAGAAGAAAGAAGGTGAGGTGACCCATGCAGAGAGCTTTGAAAATGGAGGCAGGTTAATGAGCTTCAGAATGCAAGGAGTAGAATTCTAGAAGCTCGAAAAGGCAAGGAAAGAGAGTCTCTCCTAGGGCCTCCTGGGTAAGCTGGTCCGGCACATACCTTGGCTTCAACGTAATTAAGCTAACTTCAGACTTCTGGCTTCCAGAACTCTCAGAAAAGAAATATGTCTTGTTTTAAGTTACTGAGCTTATGGTAATTGGTTCAGGCAGCCGTAGCAATCTAGTACTAATACTCAGAAAGCTCAAGGGAGTCAGAAAATAAAGTCACAGGTTTTTGCCCAGTTTGTAGACTTATCCCACTTTTCAATGCAGAACACAGGGGCTAAAGGCAAAGCTGGGTCTCTATGAGGAAGGAACTTGCAATCCACAAGGCTAGAATGTTCTATAGCAATTCCCCTAATTTCTCAGGGGTATCCATGAACCATTACTTGCTCAAACATAAATTGGGAAAGGAAAACACCCAGATCTTTAGAGGATTTGGGGACAAACTGACATTCACATCAAGAGATACAAAATACTACCATGTCCCCTTTCCTATACTGAGTACTAATGAGCATGAGGTTCAGAGCATAGTGGGTCCCTTTTATCTACAAAACTACCTAGTATTCAGGGCCTTGTTCTCTGAATTATAACAGAAATGGATTAAGGTGATATATAAAAGGTTACTCATATCAGGCTCTTGAGCTGTAAGGGAATAGTTATGTATTCGTCCATTCTCGCATTGCTATAAAGAACTACCCGAGACTGGATCATTTATAAAGAAAATAAGCTTAATTGGCTCACAGTTCTGCAGGCTGTATAGGAAGCATGGTGAGGAGGCCTCAGAAAACTTACAATCATAGCAGAAGGCAAAGAGGAAGAAGTCACATGTTACATTGCCAGAGCAGGAGGAAGAGTGAGGAAGAGGAGGGGCTATACATTTTTAAACAGCCAGATCTCCTGAGAACTCACGCTCACAAGAACAGCAAGGGAGGAAATCTACCCCCATGATCCAGTCACCTCCTATCAGGCCCCTTCTCCAACACCAGGGATTACAATTCAACATGAGATTTGGGCAGGGACACAAATCCAAACCATATAATTCCACCATGGCCCCTCCAAAATCTCCTATCCTTCTCACATTTCAAAATACAATCATGCCTTCCAAACAATCCTCAAAAGTCTTAACTCATCCCAGCATTTACTCACATGTCCACAGTTCAAAGTCTCATCTGAGTTAAGACAAATCCCTTCTGCCTATAAGCCTGTAAAATCAAAAACAGGTTAGTTAACTTCCAAGATACAATGGAGGTACAGGCATTTGTTATAAACACTTACATTCCGAGAGGGAGAAATTGGTCAAAACCAAGAAGCTACAGGCCCTATGAAAGTCCAGAACCCAGCAGGGCAGCCATTAAGTCTTAAGACTCCAAAATAATCTCATTTGACTCCATGTCTCACATCTAGGCCACACTGATGCAAGGAGACGGCTCCTAAGAGCAGCTCCAGCCATGTGGCTCTGTAGGATACAGCCTCTGAAGCTGCCCTCATGGGCTGGCATTGAGTGCCTGCAGCTTTTCCAGTTGCACGATGCAAGCTGTTGGCAGATCTACCATTCTGGGATCTGGAGGATGGTGGCTACCTTCTCACAGCTTCACTAGGTGAAGCCCCAGTGGGAACTCTTTGTGGGGGCTCCAACCCCACATTTCCTCTCCACACTGCCCAAGCATAGGTTCTCCATGAGGGCTCTATCCTTACAGCAGACTGCTGCCTAGACATCTAGGTATTTCCATACATCTTCTGAAATCAAGTGAGAGGCTTCCAAGGCTCAACTCTCACACTCTGCACACCCACAGGCTTCATACCATGTGGAAGCCCCCAAAGGCTTATGGCTTGCACCCTCTGAAGCAAAAGCCTGAGCTGTACCTTAGGCCCTTTTAGCCATGGCTGGAGCGATGAAGGCTGTGATGGATGCAGAGCATGTCCCAAGGCTGCACAGAGGAGTAGGGCCCTGGGCCTGGGTCACAAAACCATTCTTCCCTCCTAGGCCTCCAGGCCTGTGATAAGAGAGGCTGCTGCAGTTCAGAGACATTTGTCTCTGAAATGCCTTCTAGCAATTTTCCCTATTGTATTGGCTATTAACATTCGGCTCCTTTTTATTTAGGCAAATTTCTGCAGCTGGCTTGAATTCCTTCCCACAAAATGGGTTTGTTTTTTTCTACTGCATGGTCAGGCTGCAAATTTTCCAAACTTTTATGCTGTGCTTCCCTTTTAAATACAAGTTCCAGTTTCAGGTCATTTTGCTCATGCATAAGAAAAGTGACCTTTGCTACAGTTTCCAACACGTTCCTCATCTCCAAGCCCTCCTCAACCAGGACTTCATTGTCCATATCACTAGCAGCATTTTCATCACAACAATTTAACAAGCCTCTAGGAAGTTCCAAGTTTTCCCTCATCTCCCTGTCTTCTTCTGATCCCTCCAAACTCTTCCAACCTCTGCCCATTAACCAGGTCCAAAGCTGCTTCCGCATTTTCAGGTACCTTTAATACAATGTCCCACTCCTAGTACCAATTTTCTTCATTAGTCCAATTTCACATTGCTATAAGTAACTACCTGAGACTGGATATTTTATAAGGAAAAGAGGTTTAATTGGCTCACCGTTCACAGGCCATATAGGAAGCATGGCTGAGGAGGCCTCAGGAAACTCATGGCAGAAGGCAAAGCAGCAGGAGTCACATTTTACATGGCTGGAGTAGGAGGAGGACAGAGAAGGTGGAGGTGCTACACACTTTCAAATAACCAGATCTCACACGAACTCACTCATGATGACAAGAACAGCAAGGAAGAAAACTGCCCCCATGATCAAATCACCTCCCACCAAGCCCCTCCTCCAACACAGGATTACAATTTGACATGAGATTTTGGCAGGGACACAAATGCAAAGCATATCAAGCTATAATAGTGGGAAGGCCAAGTGGAAGTTTCTGAAACTTCACACAACCCCAGAGAGTAAATAAAAAACATTTCTCCCAGGAAAATGGTGGAGATTAATGGCACCACTGAAGTCTTCGACAATTAGGGTTGTGATCTCCATCAGATTTTGATTTAATTCACCAGTCTGACACTACTAAAAGTAGGTGGAACACAGCGGTTAACAGTGGACTACTATAAATAATCAAGTAGTAGCCTCCATGAAACTGCTATGTCAGACGTGGCAGGGCAGAAGAGAGCATGGTTTCTAGCATCTGCAATAAGTTTCATGATCTTATGAATGGATACATTTTTATCACTATCAGAAGAGAGCATCAGAAATTGTTCTCAGCAAGGTGAAATTGACAAGAGGATAAATTTATTATATTGTTCCATGTCTACATTCTCACTCTTTGTTATAATTTAGTCCTGTTATAATTTAGACTGAATAGTCCAGAGAGCATTACAATAGGTCACTATATTGATGACACGATGTTAATTAAACCAGATAAGCCAGAGGTAACAAAATGTTGGAGAACTTAGTAAGAAACATTGGCTCTAGAGTGTATGGATGATGGACTAGCACTTAAGGTGGCCCTTGGGATCCTTACCTGATGGTATTTTTGCTTCTTTGTAATCACTTCCCCTTGAGCCTGAGCAGGTCTGAGATTTGCTACTAATAAATAGGACATGGCAAAGGTGACAGGTTGTCAGTGATTACACGTACAAGACTATGTTACATACAATTTTTGGAACTCACTTGCTAAAGACTTTTTTCTTTCTCTTGCTGACTTTGAAGAAGAAATTTGTCAGGTTGTTAGCTTTTTGTGGAGTTTCAGATGCAGGAACTGAAGGAAGCATCTGGTAAACAGCCAGAGAGACACCAGAGCTCTTGGTATCACAACCTTCAAAACCTTGAACTTTCTCAACAACCACATGAGCTCAGAAGAGGACCCCAAGGCCTTAGATGAGACTACATTTCCAGCCAACAGACCAATTATAGTCTCAATAGAGCAGACATCTATGTCATGGCCAGACACCTAACTCCCAGTAAAATAATAAATGCATGTTTTAAGCTGTTAAATTTGTGCAAATACTGTCACTAAGTGACAGATTGTTAATACAGCAGAAGATGAACACTCAAAAGATCTAGTGACCCAACATATTGGTGAGGTTTTAAAAGATCTAGTGATCTTGGGAAGAGGGAGAGATTGACAAACATTTTTATATGAGCCAGATAGCAAATATTTTAGCCTTTGCAATACGTAAGTTCCCTATTAAAACTACTCAATTCAGCTGTTGCAATGCCAAACAAATAGAAAATACACAAGCAAATGAGTGTGCTGGGCATGATGTCCTACCTAAAATAGGGAATAAATGTGTAGGTTTCTCATTTCCCAATGACAAAAAGTCAGCTATATAATATGGTCTATATAGTATAGTCTTGGATCTATATTACTTTGTATAACTCTTCAAGTTCTGAAGGCATCAATGTTCTACAGTTGTTAATAATGTTAAAAAACCATTTACCACATAGCATGAGAAATCCTGGCCCCCAACTTTGTGTGAGGCCTAGAGTAGGAAAGTCCAGTCCAGGTTGCAGTACAAGTAGCCCTGCCTCTTGACCTAAACTTTATATTACTAGAATGTTCTGTGGTTTGAAAGGTGGTAAGTGGAATTTATGAGGTAGCCTTAAATCAAAATGTAGTCCCTTAGGGTTCAAGGCCATGTCATCTGCATCAGAAAAGTATACAACATTTGAAAACCAGCTCCTAGAATGTGGGCCCACGTTCAGACGGAGCACCTAACAATGGATCATTAAAATACTCTGCAGTGGAGAATACCATAGGAGCTAGTTCTGTTAGATCCACAAAGGCATAGATCAAATGGGTAAGATACAATTCAGGATTTGGTAGAAGTGTTATATCTGGTGTCAGACATGAGCAGAACCATGGGGCCTAGGTATCATTTGTAGCAGGAACCCCACATGTCACCATCGCTGCTTCACTAGTGCCTCTACCACTGCTCATTTCCATGGCTTTATAGGAGATGCTTTATGACCAGATGATGGAGGATGTAAAAAACCTAGCTTGGCACAAAGATGAGTCAATAAGTGTGTGTAATCCATAAATAAGTGTGCGTAATCCATAAGCTCAATAAGTGTGTGTAATCCATAAATGGATGTGGTTGTACTACAGCTCTCACTTGGGAGAACTTGGGAGACTGCTGTGGGATTATGGCTTCCCAAGGTGCTGTGATGAGCAGTGCATTTGGTCATCAAATATAGAGGAAAAGACAACAGGCACATGGTAAATATATAAATACACTGACTGGTAATAAATAGTGCCCTGACCAGTTGGCCATAGACCTTAAAGGAGAATTAAAGATTAGAAAAATCCAGGAAAATAAAGTAAGAGGAGGAGTCATATTAGATGGAATTGTGAAAATATTCATGAAGTGTGAATATCTTTTTAGCTCATTTTTTTATAGACACCTGAAATGATTAACCAGAAGAAAGCAATAAAAAATTAGTCAGGATGTCAGGACAACTTATTTATTTGACATCAGCCAACTTCTATCATCTGCCACCACATGTGCCATAATGGGTGAGTGAATGAAATAATTATTATGTCATAGATGAAGACATAATAACCTGTGCTTACTCACCAAGACTAATCTAGTTGTTGATACCACTGAATGTTCAACCAGCTATCCACAGAGACCAACCCTTAGTCCCTAAAATGAATGTTCGTCTTTGAGACAAACTATCTACTCACTAGCCAGTTGATTACACTAAACCCCTTCAACACTGGAAATGATCATTTACTATTTTTACTGGAAACAACTTGTATTCTAGATACAGGTTTTTCTTTCCTACCTGTAGCAACTTGCTTAGTTCTACTAACTGAGGAATTACAGAGAGTTTTGCTCAACAACCCAGGATTCCACATAACATCGTATAAGATTAAGGGATCCATTCAACAGCAAGGAGAAGGGAGAGGGAGTTTTAGGTAGGTAGGTAATCATGGAGTACTTGATCCAGTCATATTTCATATCACAATGTATCCACTTGTCTGTTGGAACACTGAAATGCCCCCCACTTTTTTTTTTTTTTTTTTTTTTGAGATGGAGTTTCACTCTTGTTGCCCAGGCTGGAATGCAATGGTGCAATCTTGGCTCATTGCAACCTCTGCCTCCTGGGCTCAAGCAATTCCCCTGCCTCAGCCTCCTGAGTAGCTTGGATTATAGGCATGCACCACCATGCCTTGTTAATTTTGTATTTTTAGTAAGGGCGGGGTTTCTTCATGTTGGTCAGGCTGGTCTTGAACTCCTGAGCTCAGGTGATCTGCCTGCCTCGGCCTCCCAAAGTGCTGGGATTACAGGCATGAGCCACCGTGCCTGGCCCCTGAAATGCCCTCTTAAAAATGAAGCTGAAATGCCATCTTAAGGACAACTTGTGATGATCAGGCATCTTCCAGGTTAAACTGTATACCCTTAATTATGAGCCTGTCGATGATTATCTGTTCTACATCTACTATGCAGAATACATGCACCTAGAAATAAAAGGGGAGGGGGAGGAAATGAGTGACCACTTAACATTGATCAAGTGGCACACATGGGGAATTTGTTCTTTTTACAAGTCCAGATTTCTGGTCTCCAGAGGGAAAATGTTTCCACCATTGGATACAATAAGACTCGTCTTAAACTTTTCTAGAAAGGGCCTTAAACCCCTTAGTGATGAAGGCTTGAGTTACCTCAATAGTCATACCACCTACATGAGCAGAGCCGCTAACTCAGGGCAAGTGAAAACTTGAAGTTAGGTGACCAGGCAGGTGATGAGTATCAAAAATGGCTTCAAGATCAACTGCAGCAGCATAGCCTTTAGTCCCTTCCATGAAACATAAGAAAGAAACCTAGAGTAGCTCAGTTTAGGACAAATATTAAAAGATACATGTGACTATGAATGATGCAAGGGGTGGACTATAGTGGATACTCTGGTTTTCTGGCCAGATGATCCTCTTCAGGGCTGACACATCCACACCCCTTCTGTTACTTTTTATTTTTATTTTTATTTTTTTTTTGAGACAGAGTCTTGGTCTGTCGCCCAGGCTGCAGTGCAGTGGCGCGATCTCAGCTCACTGCAAGCTCCACCTCCCGGGTTCACGCCGTTCTCCTGCCTCAGCCTCCGGAGTAGCTGAGACTACAGGGGCCCACCACCACGCCCAGCTTTTTTTTTTTTTTTTTTGTATTTTTAGTAGAGACGGGGTTTCACTGTGTTGGCCAGGTTGGTCTCCATCTCCTGACCTCATGGATCAGCCCGCCTCGGCCTCCCAAAGTGATGGGATTACAGGCGTAGTCACCACGCCCGGCCGCCTTCTGTTATTAATATCAGCTGCCAAAAGCTCTCAGTTGCATCCGTCAACAGAAATTAGCCTTAGCCACAGGAAACTGACTCAAACAATGTTTCATTCCTTCCCAAGGTGGCTTTCAGTCATTGTTTGGCTGATGTTGTGCTATCAAGACCCAGCTGCTTTGCTTCAATTTGAAAAAGACTCTAATCTGAAGAACCATCACAGCTTCAGAGTTGTCAGAACACACACAATTCTTGATTATATTGGTGCAGTTCATGGTGCCCCCAAATAATTAGAATAGTAACATCAAAGATCACTAATCAAAGGTCATCATCATAGATACAGTGAAAAAGTTTGAAAATATTGTGAAAATTACCAAAATGTGACCCAGAGATATGGATTGAGCACGTGCTGTTGGAAAAACTGCCACTGATATATTTGCTCTGTTGTGTTGCCACAAACCTTTAATTTATTAAAAAAAAAAAAAAAAAAAAAAAAAAAGCACGGTATCTGTGAAGCCCAATAAAGACAGGCATGATAAAACTAGGTATACCTGTACTTATTTCTGATGGCTTCAAATAAATTTTTTAAGAAGTATATTGCTCCATTTTTCAGGGTCATGAGTCTAATTTACCAAATTTTAAAGCAAATATTTTATATTCAGCTACACAGATAAATTTAATTTGTAATTTGAAATGCACTCCACAAAATGCTTGTTGATAAAAATCCATTATAAGTTAGTTGGTACCATGTATTTATAAATAAATGGTAGATTATCTCCTTTCTCCATAAATTACCATTTTAATAGAGTATTTGACAACCCTGAGAGATTAAACCGTTTGTATACAATTTTCAATTCTTTGTGATTTTTAGTAATAATTTTTAAAGAAATATTAACAAAATGGTCTTTACTAACTAAAATATGTGCAATACTATTTCTTTGTCTTCTGAAATTAATGTGTAGGGAAGAAATGTCAAATTCCAAAACTATCTTAATCTAATACATTAAGTGATTATTTAAAAATCATTTTAATCAGAATTATCACTCAGTGTATTACATGTCCTAATATCTTCTCACCACCTATTTTTGCCCCCTTGGCAAAAATAAGAAAAGACAGAAAATGAGGTCCTTTTATACTGAAATGAAAACTTCAAAGGTGTTATTGACCGTTTCACATCACATCAAGACTATATTGATTCTGGTCCAGACAAACTATTGGTAATCAAGAGCAAGTTTAGAGTGATTGTAGAAGATGTGAATTTTTCTACGTCAGCAAAAGAAAAAAAAAAGGCGAGTCAGGTTTATTATTTTATTTTATTTTATTTTATTATACTTTAAGTTTTAGGGTACATGTGCACAACGTGCAGTTTAGTTACATATGTATACATGTGCCATGTTGGTGTGCTGAACCTAGTAACTCGTCATTTAACATTAGGAATATCTCCTAATGCTATCCCTCCCCCCTCCCCCCACCCCACAACAGGCCCCAGTGTGTGATGTTCCCCTTCCTGTGTCCATGTGTTCTCATTGTTCAATTCCCACCTATGAGTGAGAACATGCAGTGCTTGGTTTTTTGTCCTTGTAATAGTTTACTGAGAATGATGGTTTCCAGCTTCATCCATGTCCCTACAAAGGACATGAACTCATCATTTTTTATGGCTGCATAGTATTCCATGGTTTATATGTGCTGCATTTTCTTAATCCAATCTATCATTGTTGGACATTTGGCTTGGTTCCAAGTCTTTGCTATTGTGAATAGTGCCACAATAAATATATGTGTGCATGTGTCTTTATAGCAGCATGTTTTATAATCCTTTGGGTATATAACCAGTAATGGGATTGCTGGGTCAAATGGTATTGCTAGTTCTAGATCCCTGAGGAATTGCCACACTGACTTCCACAATGGTTGAACTAGTTTACAGTCCCACCAACAGTGTAAAAGTGTTCCTATTTCTCCACATCTTCTCCAGCACCTGTTGTTTCCACGAGTCAGGTTTTGTAAGACTTGTAGATGATACCTCCTTTGTAATGGCAATTTCAGAAGACATTGTGTTTATAAGTGTGGCATTGCCCAAGCAGCACACAAGAGTGTCAGTGCCAGAGATGTGTCCCCATCACTCACCTGCTTTGGGTGATGAGTTCTGCAGTTTCTATACAGACTAAATCTGCTACAGTCTCCTTCAAAAACCTAGAATTTCCTTGTTGCCACACATAATCTCTCTTTTGGTAGGATGATTATAAGCCTAACACCATAGGAAGTTCCTAATTTTGCAATTACATTATTTTTTACCATGTAAAGTATGACTCAATTATCTACTGAAATGTCCATTTCTGAATTCTCATATATCCTTGTGAGGCAAAGAAATTATAGCACATTAGAGACCCAATATTTAATGAGGTCTAAAGCAATAAAATACCTATAGCTACCTTGTAAAATATGGTAAATTGACTTTATTTTTTTTTTTTGAGACAGAGTCTCACTCTGTTGCCCAGGCTGGAGTGCAGTGGTGCAATCTCAGCTCACTGCAAACTCTACCTCCTGGGTTGAAGCGATTCCTGTGCCTCAGCCTCCTGAGTAGCTGGCATTACAGGCATGCATCACCACGCCCAGCTAATTTTCGTATTTTTAGTAGAGATGGGGTTTCACCATGCTGGCCAGGCTGTTCTCGAACTCCTGACCTCAAGTGACCCACTCACCTCAGCCTCCCAAAGTGCTGAGATTACTGGCGTGAGCCACCGCACCCGGCCTGTAAATTGACTTTAATACTAACATAACATGTCAAAACACTGATAACCGCCAGCATTATTTTACAGATTATACATTATATTATATTATGCTATGTGTCTCTATTAGAGTATATACACAGTAGTATAATATATACAAATATATATGCGTATATTTATACATACATACATATGTACACCTGTTTCAATCATTCATTTATTTTTTATTCATTAAAAATATTTATTAAAATACTAACATGGGACAGGCACTGTGAGGTATCAAGTTACCAAGAAAGCCATGGTATCTGCCTTCACAAAATTTACAATTTAGTGAAGATGATAAGAGTTAATATTATTAGAAAGACTATTACCAGCATATACTCGTCACCGGGTTAAATATTTCCTTGTATTATCTGATATAACCTTTAAAAGATTATTGGTCAATAATATAATTAAATCTTAGAAAGGAAACCTATCTAGAGTCTTTCAGTTAACAAACAGCATGAAACTAGGTTCATATTAACACAGTCTAGGTGCTCATTCCATAAACAAGGTCTATGGTTATTCAGACCAGAGACTGAGAATATTGAGCACCCTGGGCTCAATAATGAGCTCTAATAATATGAGAATATTTATTAAGCATCTTCAATGTACCAGAGACCATAACAGAAACTGGGAATAGAATAAATTAATAAGACAAGTTACTGATTTTTTTAGAACTTATACTCTAAAAAGAAAGATAGAGTAAACAAATAAAAATAATTTCAGGTACGGATACATTTTATGCATGGAATAAAGTGAGGTGAGTGTTAGAGAGATAATTTCAAGAAGGTTATTTTACATAGGGTTGTCCGAGGACTCCTCTGTAAGAGAGTAACATCTGAGAGGAGTCCCAAATGATGTGAAGATAGAATTTCTGTGAAAGCCTTGGTGGAAGATCAAGGAGACAGACCTGGAACTGGGAACAAGTTCCCTGTGTTTAAGGAGCACCAGGAAGGCCAGGGCCAACAAAGGTGAATGAGTGGAGAGTGATTGGAGATGAGCGACCCTCTTCAACACAGGTTAAATCATATTGGGTCTTGTTGACAATGACAAATGGGTTTAGATTAGACTTAGAGTCAATAAGAACCACCATTGATCAATGGAATTGTTATGACATTCAGCAAAAGGCTTAGTTATATCAGGGCAGAATGAAACAGCTATTGATTATAAAAATGGAAGTAAAAAAATAGGAGGAAGAAAGAGTCATGATCAAAATTATATTTCCTGGATTTGTGATAAACATTTCAGATGATTAATAATAAGAACTAATGAAGGTATTAATAATAATAATAACAGTTTGATGGAAACATAAAGTCAATTTATGTTAAAAATGCCATATTATCTTCTTTTGATCACATCATGCATACATGTGAAAAAAATATTTCATGACATTAAAAAAAGTTTGCAATGCAGAGAAGTACAAGATAATAATTTAAAAAACATAAAACAAAATAAAATCTTGAAACAGCAACTGAAGCCTGAGGATGGGGCAAAAGAGATAAAAGAAAACCTTAGAGTCCCACACACTCTGGACTTTCAGTTTTCATGCTCTAGAATGGGGCAGGAAATCTGAGATGGCAAGTAGTTGAAGGCAACTGCTCTTTAAAACTGTAGTCCAGGGCAGCAAAGTAAAGAGAAAGATCTCCCAAAGTGCATGGCCGGGTGTGGTGGCTCATGCCTGTAATCCCAGCACTTAGGAGGCCGAGGCAGGTGGATCACTTGAGGCAAGAGTTTGAGACCAGCCTGGCCAACATGGCGAAACCCTGTCTCTACTAAAAATACAAAACTTTTCCAGGCGTGGCGGTGGGTGCCCATAATCCCAGCTACTGAGGCAGGAGAATAGTTTGAAGCCAGGAGGTGGAGGTTGCAGTGAGATAGCGCCATTGCACTCCACCCTGGGCAACAGAGTGAGACTCAGTCTCAAAAGAAAAACAAAAAGTGCAGAAAGCTAGGGGTGGGATTAGAGAGCCAGAAAAATTCACCAACTACTCACAAAGTGGTTGTGGAGCAGACTCAGTTATAGCCTGTTTTTTCTTGCTTATCATGTACTTTCTTTCTTCTTATTCACCATATGCCTTCATAATACACCAATTTGTATTTTCTGATAAATAATTTTGTTTTTAAAAGAAAAAAAAGAAGAATACCATGTTGCTTGAAACTCTCTGTTATTCTAGCTTTCAGTGTCAAAACAGCATAGAAAAAGGGTTGATCTTCGGTTGGTGTCATATGAAGCTGGATCTATTATCTGTCTCCCAATTCAGGTCAGGTGATAACTCAGTAATATGACGGGCGATGCCTTTGTCTTTTGTTGACTTAGACAAACATTCTAAACCTGGCCACCTGATCCCTGAAATCAAAAAAGGACTCTATTGTTACTGTCTAATGTGTCATGGATTATTTAGATTTCTTGTTCTTGGTGAGATTTGCCTCGATTTTCCTGGCCATAAACCTGCCAGAATCTTCAATGAAACCAAGTTCCAGATACTTCACATGTTTATGTTCTGCAGTGTTTGGGTCACTTTCCTTCTTGTATGGCAGAGAAGGGGCCAGCCGTGGTAGCCATGAAGATTTTCCATTTCATTGTCTCTCAGGACTAGCTTATTATTGAGCTGCATCTTTAGGGCCAGTTAGAAACACTCTATAAGGTTTACATAAGACAAGCACATTGTGATCAAAGTTCTGTAAATATTTACCTGGTAATTCCCCCAAAAAGTGAGAATTAAAAAAATAAACCAGGATATTCTTGCAGTAGGATAATGGGTTATATTCGAGTCCCTCTTACCCTTTCTACTTAAAAAATGTTGTTATTTTGTTTCTTTAGAGTGTCCATCCTCATCTTCGGAGCCTTTCAAACTTTACCGTTATCTTGCATTTCTTCTATTTTGCCTCTTATTGGTAAGGCAGACTGCATAAGGTACACATTGTAATATGGCTTTTCTTATGCTGATTTTAACTTACTTTGTATATTTATATATGAGTATACTTTAACCATTGTGGAATTTGTTTTTCTGTACTGTATGAAATAAATATACATTTCTTTTATTGGAACAAATAGCCAAATTTAGAACTATTGAATGGATCACATGTTGTTCTGATTGGAAATTAAATTTTTATCATTAAATTTTATTCTATACATAGACAACTGATTCTAAACTACTGTTTTGTTCCATTGATTAATTTGTTCCAATACTACTCTTGTTTAGTTATTATTGTGTACCTATACAACACTTTATCATAGTTTTTTAGTATGTTTTTATATCTGATCAAGAATGTTCTTCATTGTTTTCTGGTAATACATCCACTACAAATAAAAGATAAATGTTTAAGATGATGGATATCCCAATTTTCTGATTTAATCATTATACATTGTGTGCAGTTATCAAAATATCACATGTAGCCCCAAAATACGTACAACTATTATATAGCGATAAAAAGTTTAAAAACTTTATATTTGGAAGCTTAAAAAACAAAAGTAAATTTTATTTTTCTTGCCCATTTTCCCCTCCTATGAACATCAACATCATAACAGGGTCTACGAAATTTCTGTCGGGATTTTTAGTAACATTTAATTGAATATACAGTTTGACAGGGAGAAGACTGATTGCTTGAAATTAAAGTATTTCTAGTCACAGACATGACCTATCTCTCCCTCCCAAGAGTCAATTTATTTTTGTCACTTATTAGATATTTATACGTCTTCATATATAACTTAAAGATTTCATATCAAACCTATTTCTAAAAAGTCATCTATTTTTTTTCAACAAATAGGATCTTTCTATAAAAATATATAGGTCATTGTGACTTTTTGTTGTGATGTTTTATTTTGGACATTGATATTGCATCTGACTTATTGGCTGAACTAATTTATAAGACCTACTATTGTGTCAGTTTATTGTTTTTGTAGATATTACATGAAAATTGTGAAAATTTAGCAAAATAACCTAAAAAAGGCAAATAAGAATTCCAAAGGGAAGCAAAATTGTACTGCAACTGATAAATATATTTGGGAAGATTTGATTATCAAGTTTAATTTTGTTAAATCTCTAATTACTAAGGTATTTTGTCCCAAAGTCATAATTTACAAAAAAAAAATTGTGTGAGGGAAAGGTCATTTTTACCAGATGTCACTTAAGGGCAGAGAGTACCTACAGCCCACTTATTCTTCTCTATATCATTTATGAAATGTTTCCCCAGATATTACCTTGTTTCAATTAAATGCTATTAAATATGAAATACTGCAAGAATTTAAATTTGTCTGCTTTGTAAGCGTATACATGTCCATATGTTAATATATCTTTCTAGTTCTTATTCTTCTCTTGATAAAACAACAAAATAATAAAACAGCAATTTGAGGAAAAGCAGAAAAACACAAGTTCATGTGCAAAGCCCTTTCTGCTCTTCGTACTCTTATTAGCCAATCTGTGCAGTCAAAATCATTGTCCCTCCTAAGAGGTGGTAAATGTGTTCCTGTTGTGTAAATAAACCAGGGATGGTGAGGTAACTGAGTCAAGTATTTGTAATGTAGCAACTCCATATTTTGTAGCTCAATTTTTTTAAAAAATTAGATTTTATTTCTAAGTGTCATTTGAATTTTGTGGAGAAAGCAAGCTAATTTATTGGACTTTGCCCCATTCAGTACTGAAAGTTATTTTAATTTCCAAAATCATCTAAAACACTAATTGCAACTGTTAGAGGCTTGCTGTGTTTATTGTTACTGTAAACTCATTTAATTATTAGTTCCTTATAAATTGCAAATATTTATAGGGGTAGATAGCCATCTCTTAAGCTGCCTTTCTGTAGCCAGTAGAATGAACTACATACTATCAAAGGACCCAATTTGCAAAATATAATGAATTTACTATGCATTAAAGAAACTCTTCCTCCAGTAAGTTTTCCTCTGACCTGAAAATTACAAAATATTACCAAAAACATTAAATTATCTTTCATATAATGACCTCCAAATAAGTACTTTTTTCAGACTCTGAAAAATATGCCATTTTGAAAAATGGTTTTTTTTATTATGGTAAAATATACAAAACAATTTACACTTTAACCATTTTTAAGGAGACATTTTAGTGGCTTTGAGGACATTAATATTTTTACAATTAATTCATTTATTTTAATTGACAAATAAGAATTGTACATTCTTATTATGTACATGTGCCAAAGACACTTAAATCAAGATAAAGTACATGTATTATTTCAGTCCATGACACTAAAGAGAGATATTGGTTGGAGGTCTGCTTTCTTGCCTTTATTATTATCTAACACCTTGTATCATTAACATCACCTGGAGCTTATGAGAGCTGCTGAATCTCGAACCCTACCCCAGACCTACTGAATTAGAAACTCTGATGGTAGAAGCAGCAATGTGCATTCCCAACATCCCTACAAGTTATTCAGACAAACAATAAAGTTTGATAAACACTGGACTAAGTAATGATCCACTCTTCATGAAGGAGCTTACATTCCTCGTGGGATGATATAAACAAATGGATACCTAACCAAGAATGGAAGTACAGGCATTACTTCTGAAAGAAAATAGTGTGGAAGAAAACAAAACCTCCTATTCTACTCTAGGTAGAATTCATTGACTCATTAATTTCAGGGGATACTATGATAATAACTACTTATTTATTTATCTTTATTGCTGATTTACAAAGTAGTTTTCAGTTTACAGATGTGAAGGCTCAAAGAATTAAAAACTACATCAATTGCCAAAATCACACATCTAGAAATAAAAGTCAGTGTTTAAAACCCATCACCCCTGGCCCACCCACCTCTTGCAAAGCTACATTCCTTCTGCCAGATTTCAGGGCCTTCACTTCAAGACAAGCTTATGGCAACCTACAAAGACAATTTAAAAGGCCTGTTCAGAATAGATGAGACACTTGTCTGAGGATGGTTCTAGATGATTATGTTATTTATAGTAGATGTATTGTTAGGTTGTTTTTTTCAACACACTTCATTTTCTTATGATTGTCATAGATCCTCAAAATCTCCACATAAAAGATCTAGCGTCCAAATTCCACTAAATTGTAACTGTTTGCTTGTCACTATTTCAACCCAGATCCTTTAGCACTGTAACAATCACTTTTTAAGAAACTAAAAAATTCACTGAGATTTTCCTCCCTTGCAAAAACAATGCATCAACACACACATAAATATGTGTTCAACCAATATTGTTCATAAAAAGGCAGATCAGTTTCCTAAACAGAAAAATTATTGACCACTCTGGGCTCAATGCCTGTGAGGGTGGGGAACTCTGAACCTCACTCTTCTTCTCTTTGTATCATTAGAATTCAATTAGGAGACTTTTTTTTTTTTTTTTTTTTTTGAGACGGAGTTTCGCTCTGTCGCCCAGGCTGGAGTGCAGTGGCGCGATCTCGACTCACTGCAAGCTCCGCCTCCCGGGTTCACGCCATTCTCCTGCCTCAGCCTCCCCTGTAGCTGGGACTACAGGCGCGCGCCACCATGCCCGGCTAATTTTTGTATTTTTAGTAGAGACGGGGTTTCACCGTGTTAGCCAGGATGGTCTCGATCTCCTGACCTCGTGATCCGCCCGTCTCGGCCTCCCAAAGTGCTGGGATTACAGGCGTGAGCCACCGCGCCCGGCCGGAGACTTTTTATTTAATGATATTCCAAAGGGCTCATACGATTTGAATTAGGATTTTTCGGGGTGGATGCAAATCAGTTGGTCCCATCTTCATACCATCTCTAGCAATGTCCTTGTTTATTAATTCCACAATTTCTCACACTCGCTCCCCTTAACTGAGTTTTAGGAAAATGAATTTGTCTTTCCTCTTTTTATCCTTAGCCTAACCCATATGAGGTGCAATACCTTTCTGCTGAGTGAACATTACATAAAATAGTTTAATTCCTATTTTATAATTACTGTAAAAAAAAGAAAATTGAAAACTTCTGCTATTACATTGACAATATTCCTCTTCTACCTTGAGATTTGATGGATATAAAACACAAATACCCAGTGCTATTATGTTCTGATCATTTATACACTTATTTTATCTTTATATCCATATAATGTAGGTACTGTTACCATCTCCATTCTACCAATGAGGAATGGAGACTCAGAATGGCTTTGTATACTGCCCAAGTTCATTTATTCACTAAGCAATGGGGTCAAGATTTAATTTTGGCAGACTTGTTCTAGAATTCGTGAAGATTCTTGTTGGACAGTCAACTTTACAATTCTGCCAGTCTGGAATTATTCTGTTGCCTTCAGTCAGAGCTGGAAATTTGTTGGGTTATTACTTTTTCAGTTATTCAATTTAAAAAATTATTAACATAGTTTAGGAAGTAATTGTTTATTTTTATTAATAAAATATTGTTATAGTCAATAATTATGTTTTAAAAATATTAATGCACTTCTTCATAACCATAAATTTTAATTTCCACCTTAACATACAATATATGGTTTAAATGTTAAGTATAAACTATTATTGAAAATGATGGAACTGAAACACAGCCTTGAAATTCCAATGCCAAAGTGATTTGTAAACTTCTATAAATTACATTAAAAGCACTAACAACTGAATCCATTCACAAAATAGTCAACACAGTGGTTCTATTGCAGTCATCTTCACAATCAATTCAGCCCAATGAGAAAAGACCCATCAATCAATCAGCCAGACATTTAATCAAAACACACAATAAAAAAATATATCAGAACAAGGATCTGAAATGAATTGAACTTTGATTACTTGAATACCAAAGATGCATGAGGTTTGAGAGCTGAGTTGCCGCTTTATCAAACAAAAGATGGAGCTACTTTCTTTTTCTATGAACTGGATTGCCCTGCGTTACTCAGAATGGAGTTTGTATCAACCAATCAATTTTCTAAAAAGCAATTATTTCTCCCCAAATGTTTACAAATAACAAAGTGCATAAGAGAAAACGGTATAATACATATTTTGTTTTAAAAAAGTGTCTGCAGAAACTCATACTTTTTTTAAAGTACAAATTACCAAATGTCAGAAAATACCAAATCAGAAACAAGATGAAATAAAATTGTACTGAAAATATTGATTTCTGGCATGCTCATTTGGCCCAGATTCAGGCAGCAAAGTGTGTGGTTTCTTATCTGAGATCCTAAGAGTCTTACAAGCTTTATTACAAGCTGTACAGCTGCAGGAACATCAACAATTTTGTCACCTCTTTCAAGTTCACTAAATAGTAATAAATTTTTTGTTTGTTTGTTTAGTTAAGAACAGCTTTGTTTTCGTTAAGCCAGTAAGTCCCACAACATTTTTAAGCACTGGACTGAATATCACTCGATAGCTAATCTTTATGGTTAATCACTGAATTAGGAACGATTTGCATTACTTAAAAGCAAGTAAATAATTACCTTCCACTGGGGAAGTAGCTAAAAGTTGGAGGTGGGTTTGGACTTAAGTTTTAAAATATAGTAGGGAAATGAACTGAATTCTGTTGCTGAACAAATTCATCACACCTCTTCAAAAATATATGAGTAACATTGTTTTCTAACTTAATTTTATTATTCTGTGATGGGGTGCCATATTACTTTGAAAATAATTGTCTTCCAAATCCAGCTACAAGAATTAAAGTGCAAATGAACTTCAGCCAAACCTCTAAGGAGAGTCCTATATGAGAGTCAACCATATGAGAGTCAACTACATTTGTGAGTCTGAATCACTAGTTCAAGTTTCATCCATATTTTGTGGAATTCCGACCACAACATCCCATCAAGAAGGTACTAGCACCCTTTCCTTGCAGTGGAGGTTTATGTAAAGCTCTGTCATCCAAACTGGATCCAAGTGAGTAAAGAGTGTTGACAAGTTCCTTTGCTCATACGAATAAGCAATACCTTCAAATAGAAATGTTTTTTTTTTCAGCCTAATGCTATTTCTATTGGGTTTTGGGCTGCTTCTAGTATTTTGAGAATTGGGCATACTTCAGTACGTTGGTTGTCCCCAAAATCTCATTCCCAATATAGTTAGCATAGACATATGAGCACCTTCTTTCACTGTTGGTCAGTCAATCGCACACTTTCTGTTATAAGATAAATAAGTTCTGAGATCTAATACACAGCCATGATAATTATAGTTAATAAGGCTTTATTGTTTACTTGAAATTTGCTAAGAGACTAGAGCTCTAGCATTCTCAATACACATATACAAAATATATCCATGTGTCGTGATAGATATGTTGATTAATTTGATTGTGGCAATTATTACACAATGTATACAGATGTCAAATCATCATGTGGTACATCTTGAATATATATAATTTTTTTTTGTTGATTATCCTCAATAAAGCTGGAAAAAATTGAAAAAAAAAATGTAGTCAACCAGGAACAATGGCTCCAACAGAGCACCCAGAAAATTTAGGCAAAGACTTCTCCTTCCTTCACTTCTTTTGTCCTTCCTCCACTTCTTTTGGTAAACATTTTCCTTCACATATTTTCCAGTAGAGAACACTATTCTTGTTCATCCCAGACCAAAGAAATAGCTTGAAAACTTGATATGCTGCTTCCTACTGATACAGACAGGAAAACGGTAAATACTGGGTAGAAGTGGGCCATTCCCTGGCAAAGGCCCCACCCTTAAGCCTGGACTCCTGTGACCCCAAATGGGAACAGGCATTCCTGTTTTTGTACCCAAAAAGTTACCGGTTGGCCCCCCATGACTCCGTATCCTGTACCCATATACCCATATAAACTGCAAAGCCCAGCTCCAGAAGGGGATAAGAAGATGAACAGAAAAGCAGAAGAATGGCAGAACAACACAGCAGAAAGAAGAAGTGTCTGAACACCAAGAGGAGTTCAGCTGTGGGCTGTCAGAGAGGAGATTGTCTGCTGGAGGGCCAAACTCTAGGGGAAGATTATCTTCCCACTCCAGCCCCCTTCCAGCTCCCCATCCATCCTGCTGAGAGCCACCTCCACAACACAAAACAACCCTTGCATTCACCGTCCTTCAAGTCCGTGTGTGACCTGATCCTTCCAGGATGCCGAACAAGAGCTCTAGAATACAGAAAGCTGTCACACTGGCCCTCAGAGATACAGAAAGCTGTCACACTGCCCCTCTGCCCTTGCAAAAAAGCAGAGGGTCCACTGAGCTGTTTAACACTTAAGCCATCTGCAGACAGCAAAACTAAAAGAGTGCACTGTAACACTGCCCACTTGGGCTTCGGGGGTTGCAGCACCTACTCCTAGATGCTACCATGGGGCCAGAGCCCAGAAGTGCTCACCCTAGCTCCCGTTCCTGCCCATCTGCATGCTATCCCTTCTATAAGGAGTTTGAGCACTGGTGGTGGCCTAATAAGCGTCACCCCTGTTGAACATCCTACGACTGGGGTCAGGGAACTCTCCCATTTCACTACTAAACCTATCAGACAAGAGTTTCTCTATTATTGCTTTGAAAACATACTAGTGAAGGGTATAGCACTAAGCAGGGAACTTTGAGGCAAAGGAGCGACCCATGATTAGAGCTACAAAGAACTAAATTATACTCAGCCAGAGACAAAAGTCATATCGCAGCCTTTTGCCTTGGATCTTACCCAAATGCCCAGCATCCTTTTGGCCCTGCCCCTATTTATTTTATATTTTTGACATATTTTTATTCTGAAAACCTCATCCACTGCTGAATTCTGGATCTGGCTTCGGGAAAGTTCCCAACCTTCTCTGTGCTTCAGGGTCACCAATAGTAAAATAAGAGTTATGATGTTACCAGCCTCCTAGGTGATTTAATAAATGTAACCTGTTTCAAACAATACCATAGTAAGAATGATTTCAATCAACATTAGATAGTGCCAGTTTTGTCTTTTACACTTGTTGAAGCATCCAGCAAATATGAGTGATCAGATTACTATACAATTGTTAAAACTTGAGTATCATGGACATTGACCTATTGACCAAAATAAGCACTTCATTCTCAGAGAATTCAAATCACTGTGATTTGCCCAAGTGACCAGAGCTCCCAAATGGAGAAAATGAGACCAAGTATCTTTATGTTTAGTCCAAATCTCTTTCTAGAGTACTCTGTTAAACCAATATATTAGACATTTTCTACAGTTGCCAAGAGAACCAATCTGTGAGATTTACTATAGGTTCACACTTTGATTCTTTGGTGTCAGACTGCCAATAAGAGGGAAGGTGCAGGTTCTCTAATACCTTCTTGTGGATGAGTGTTAGTAGCACTAGTGATAGTAGTGGCAAAAGTAGCTATCTTACTGGTCTTAGGCATCATGTCCTTTATGATAATCTCACAACTGATGCTCAGAATGACCTTGTGAGGTGTATGCTATTACTACTTATCAAATAGGAGACTGGAGTTTAGGAAGGCTAAGTAACTTCCCCACAGTCAAATCTGTACAATGGAAGCCTCTAAGCCTTGATGGGGTTTCAAGGTTTCTTATTTCTCGGAGCTATTTTTCACAGATATGGAAAATCCCTGAAAATGGAAAAGGATGTCTAAGGTAAGGGATTTATCTGACTATAAGACTGTAAAATTCCTATTAAAATCATAGGATTTAGATTTGAAAAAAAATGAGTGAATCATGATTCTCAACTTTTAATTTGGTTAAATGGAACATAAAGGTAGGAAAGATTGAGCCATCTGTACAGGGTCACCCACCTAATTAGTAATAGAAGCAAAATTACAATATATATTCTCTCTTCTTATGTAAGTACTCCCTCTTTATTATATTTCTTCCTTCCCTACTCCCAAAATCAACTTTTTCTATTTCTATGGAAAGCAAGTTTTTGCTTTTGTGGATTTTCACAGAACATGACTCAAGGTAGAATTAAAGTCACTCCAAAACCAAAGTCAATTTTTGACTTCTAGACTTAGTCTATGGGTTTCCTTTTTTTTTTTTCCCAAAGCCTTCCTCCCCTCACTAACATCCATATACAGTGTGAAATCCTCTTCAAGATTGTTTACCAGACACATCTCTATATGTCAAGCCTCAAACATGTAGCCCCAATCCAGATCTAGAAACAACCCATGGTTTCTCAAAGATCCACAATATAGGTGTGCAAACTAAATTTTAAAGTAAGTGTCACAATGAAACTGGACCCCTATCTCTCACCATATACAAAGTTACCTCAGGATGAATTAATGACTTAAATGTAAGACTTTAAACTCTAAAAATACTAAAAGAAAACCTAGGAAAACCTCTTCTGAATACCGTCCAACACTCATGACTGAAATGTTGAAAACAAGCGCAGCATAAACAAAAACAGTCAAATGGGACTTTAAACTAAAAAGCTTCTGCACAGCAAAAGAAATAATCAGCGGAGTGAACAGAGAAGCTGCACAATGAAAGAAAATATTTGCAAATTATACATCTGACAGAGGACTAATATCCAGAATCTACAATGAACTCAAACAACTCAACTAAGAAAACCAAAAAACCCTATTAAAAATGAGACAAATGACATAAACAGACATTTTCAAAAGAAGAAATACAAATGGCCAACAAATATTTGAAAAAAAAATGCTCAACATTGCTATTCATCAGGGAAAAGCAAATTGAAACCACAATGAAATATCATCGCTTACCAATCAGAATGGCTATTAATAAAAAGTAGAAAAAAAATAACATGTTGGCAAAGATTGAGAGAGAAGGAAACAGTCATATACACTGTTGATGGGACTGTAAATTAGTACACATTCTATGGAAAAGAGCATGGAGATTTCTTAAAGAACTAAAAATAGAACTACCATTTCATCCAGCAATCTCACCACTGTGCATATACCCAAAGGGAAAAAAAAATACTAGCACTCGTATGCTTATCACAGCATTATTCACAAGAAAAAAATTATGGAATCAACTTAACTGTCCATCAACAGATGATTGGATAAAGAAAATGTGGTATATATTTATATACCATGAAACACTAATCAATCATAAAATAAGAATAAAATCATGTGTTTTGCAGCAACATGGATGCAACTGGAGGCCATTATCTTAACTTAAAAACCCACAGAAACAGAGCATCAAATATCGCATGTTCTTACTTATAAAAGGGAGCAAAATAATGTGTACACCTAGACACAGAATGTAGAAAAACAGACATTGGAGACATGGAAGAGTGGAAGAGTGTGTGCTTGTGGGGGTGTGGGATAAGAAATTACTTAATATGTACAATGTGCATTATTTGTGTGATGGTTTCACTAAAAGCATGGACTTCACCACTGTGTAATATACCCATGTATCAAAACTTTACTTATACCCCCTAAATATATATAAATACAAAAAAAATTCTAAAAACTCAGTTTCAGGAGATACGTTGCTTGAATTTAGAAAATAGAATTCATTCTACTATATTTCATAGGTTAAACAATGAAAGAAGAAAGCAAATATAAATTCAAAACACCTTCATATGCAAGTATAGGTAGAAAAACATGACTATACATAAACTGTAGAAATCACTACAGGGAGGGCAATGAAACTAATGCCATGAAAGAACAGTTTATTTATTATATTTACTTTAAAATGGTCAATGTTTGATGTAGAATGTAAGACCTTGCCTACATTAGGAATATGAAAAAAACTGTTCTGCAAAAGAAGAAGGAACAAATAGTTTGTTCTTCCAGAGAGAAGAGAAGAGAGAGGATAAACAAAACTCAGAGACATAAAGCCAGTTGGATGGCAGAAGACTTCAGGCTACAGTATTGGACCATTTCCCTATGTTACCATCTTCCCCAGTCAATCTGTAAACTCATAAAATTCTTGAGGGTAATGATTTCTGGAAATAAAAGATATCAATCCCTCACTGAAATTATTATGCGGTAGAACAGTGGAATATGAGCACATAAAGTCAGAAAGAAACACGTACAACTAACCTAGAGAATTTAACTGTAACTGCTACAAAGCCACAGCATTGAGATATGGTCAGTTCTCAAAGAAACACATGGTAATTCTCAGAGAAACAAGAAGCCCCCCTTCAAGAGTTTTCTCCAAGTTGAAAATTCATTTATTGCATCAGAAATTAAGACTATGAGCTCTAGAGAGAGACCCTCTGCATTTTAATCCTGACTCTGCCACTACTGATCTGTAAAACCTTGGTTAATGTTCTTAAGCTCTATGTACCTCTGTAAAATGGAAATAATAACAGTCTCTTCATTTTAAGGTTCTTTTAAGTATTAAACAAACCAATGAGAGAGAAGGCAGTTAGCGGCTGGCTAGGCAGGTAGAGAGGAAGGGTCTCGGGAGAGAAAAAGCACCTATGGGATCGCACCTCCACCACCCCTGTAGCTAGTAGGAGGAAATGTGGTTAAGAATTTCCTCTTAAGCCAAAATGTTTGCTCAGAAGGGACTGTCCCAACTTAGGCGCAGGTGCAATAAATCAACTAAATGTCCTTATCTTGACCTAGAGCTAATTAACATATCACTAGCATTGCAGCTTTAGCCCCTCCATAGGTTTCCCTTAGGCACTCAAGGGTAATAACCAAGGTGGAGTAGCTATGGCCAACACCAGGCATGCGCAGATGCAACACTCCCGGTGGGGAACTTAATCTTTCCTATTCAGGCGGAACCCAAAGAAGACTTCCTCGCTTCTGCCACATAAAATACCCAGAACTCAGCCCCATTTCTGGAAACCATCTTTCAGTTCCTCTCATTGCTGAGAACTTTTCTGTCACTTAATAAATCCTACTGTACTCACTCTTTGGTGTCCCTGTGCCTTAGTCTTCTTAGTTGTGGGTCAAAAACTTGGAATTCACTAAAGGAGTAAGAAGGAGTAAGAAGACTGTTAACAACCACATACTGCATTTATAAGAGTGTCTGGCCCACTGGGAGGCCGAGGCAGGTGGATCACGAGGTCAGAAGATCGAGACCATCATGGATAGCACAGTGAAACCCTGTCTCTACTAAAAAAAAATACAAAAAATTAACCGGGCGTGGTGGCCGGTGCCGTAGTCCCAGCTACTCGGGAGCCTGAGGCAGGAGAATGGCGTGAACCCGGGAGGCAGAGCTTGCAGTGAGCCGAGATTGCTCCACTGCACTTCAGCCTGGGCAACAGAGCAAGAGATTCTGTCTCAAAAAAAAAAAAAAGAGGGTCTGGTGCAGAATATACTAAACTTGTTAGCTATTATCATTAATAGTAAATTTTCCAACACCATTTTATAACCTGTTTCCCTACAACTAGCAATTTGGCATACAGGAGTTCAGGCCTCACCATATTAGGTCAATATTCCAATTTAATGGTATCTTATCCTCTGATTACACACTTTAGCCTATGCAGCTGTGTCACATGGTTACCATGTTATTCAGCTTCCAGATTCCTGCCTCCTTATCAATCCCAAATGTATTAAATATATTTTCTTCCTCTGTTCAGTCTTTGGATTTGCAAATTGCTATGTGTCTCCATTATGGTCAGACAACATAATACAGTTTCCCAGGCCAGCTGGGAGGATTGTCACACTGCCTTGTTCTCTAGGATCACCTCTACAAGAGTAAAAAATAATAACAACATCTATCCTTCATTTTTCTTATATATTTCTCAAGATTACTTTCCCCAATTGTCACTTTCTTTCACACATGAATTCTCATTTATGACCTTCATGTCTGCTGTTTTCTTTCAGTAACAATCAGATCACAAAACTTATCAAGATCACCCAACCTAAGAATACCTCCTCAATCTAATTTCTCTCCAGATAACATTTTACTATTATAGTTTTCAATAGGATAGTCCATTCACCTTTCTTTGCCATCAAATTATTTGGCATGTTGAAATCTGATTTCTATATCAGTAACATTTAGACAGTTGTTAAAACCCGTTAGAAAAGACCATTTGTGTGTATAGGGGTGTGTGTGTGTATGTGTATGCATGAGTGTATGTGACATGAGTACCTGCATATATGTGTTTCCTTGTCTCTTATCCTTTTATATCTGTGACATGTGTCATTGTGGACTCAACTGTCCTTTTTGAAACTCTCTTTCCCTTTGACATCTGTGACACCAAATATTTTTCTCTCTCTCTGACTTCTTTACTTAGACTTCAGAGTGATGAGTTTATTGTAAATCTGCTCCTTACCTTGCTTACAAGATTGATTCTTATTTTGACACCTTCCTTATCTTTTTTAGGTTAATGCTTACTATTGGTTTGAATCATCTTTATATTTTTATCTTAATCACTGAAAAGTTTTGATATGGCTATTCACTGTTAAATACATTTTGCTTGACACATTTTTTTTACTTTATTCAGTCTCCTCCTGAAACTAGAGCTCTGAGTTACCTGTACCATGGATTGTTAATAGACCACCTTGTTATTCAGGATATGGTCCAAGAGCCATCTGGGAGACATAGCCCAGGATCCTGACAGTTCCCATCTTGGATGCTGACTCTAGAATCCTAGTTCCAGACACCACTGAACATCCCTTGCAGGCATTTTAGAAAGTGACCAGAAAACTAGAAGATCTGGTGTGGCTGCTAAGACATTCACATCCAAGGGAATCAGCAAACGCTTTATATTAACATGTGTGGCTTTTATTTATTTATTTATTTTTTGAGATGGAGTCTCGCTCTGTCGCCAGGCTGGAGTGCAGTGGCATGATCTCAACTCACTGCAACCTCTGCCTCCTGGGTAAAAGCAATTCTCCTGCCTCAGCCTCCTGAGTAGCTGGGACTACAGGAGCGTGCCACCAAGCCCAGCTACTTTTTGTATTTTCAGTAGAGACGGGGTTTCACCATGTTGGCCAGGATGGTCTCGATATCTTGACCTCATGATCCTCCCGCCTAAGCCTCCCAAAGTGCTGGGATTACAGGCACGTGTGTGTGTTTTTTAAAGATTGTAAAGATGTGAATGAGTTTTCATTTATCATTTTTGAATATACAGGAAAAGTAAATGAATTTATGCTGTGCATTGTCAAAGGAGAATTCTCATAAAAACACAAAACCTTTTCACAATCCTAATGAAAGAACATTAAGTCTGATTCCATCATTTTACCACAAAGAAGACAGAAAATTTCCAAAGTCCTACTGTTAGTAGATATTCTAGCTGACTCAGTTCAGTGTTGCTATGATTAAACAAGAGTGAGTTCCCTAAAAGTAAATGTTATAAGAAATCTTAAGTATTATTTTCTTATGTTTCTAGCCTAATAAAGTGCTTTTATTAAAGCACTTTATTTAAAGGCATTATTGATATTTCATTATGTTCAACAGATGGAGTTAATGTGAATGTTTACTCTTCAGATATCTTTTCATTTAATATACAAAGATATAGAAAACAGAAGAGAATTGTGGGAAAAAATGTATATTACAAATGAAATTTGAGTTGGCTTACAAGGAAAGCATAGATAAGACCTATACTCGCAGGAGAGGTTAAGTCAAAACCACACAATAAAAGGCAGTTGTAGAGAAATGGGCAGTGATACTAGGATCACTTAGCTAAGCAAAGCAGTAACGGATGAGTAGAGAACTAGTCTGAATGTGCCTGCAATCACAGTACTAGAAAAAATCAAGTCAGTTGAATGGTATATATTTTGTGCAAGGTACAACAGCTTGATGAAAGCAGCATTTTTTTTTTTAACAACATTGGAGTTAGTCACCAAAAATATTGATCAAAGTAACAATATTGTCATTAACAACACTTGGTCTGAGAAGCTTATGAATTTTTTTGAATTTTACAAAAAACAATCAGCATGTAGCTTTTTCATAAATTGTCCTTTAATGAAATACTGATATGATGGTGTCATGAGGTAGGATCATGAAGGGAATTGTTAGTTGTTCACTACTGTGATCAAATGACAAGGATCAAGTATCTTTCTCGGATCACTACTTTCAAATTGAATGTTGCTTCAGTTGGTGTTCTGAGAAAAGTAATTGACATGGTTATTAGAACTAAACTTTCCAGGTGGGTGGGCTGGACTTACATAGACATCAGAGGGAATGCCTGAAGGGAAAGAAGACTTTCCTCAGAAAGCAGTTGTTGATGAGCTCCCAGCTCACATCCTTGCTTAAACTCTGGGTAACATAAATAAAAGGCTACAGCTTAGAGTACGGAAGAGCTTCTTTTGTCATTTTGCAGAATAATGAATCTCAATTAGTCACTGAGGTGGAAGACCATAACAGTTCAAGTGATGATTGTTCATTTGTTTTAATAAAAGGCTGGACACTTTATGGCCAAATCTGATATTCTTGACTTCATAGGCATTTGTGCCATTAGTGGTGGCCCTTGTTGGAACCTGATTGACACTAGTTTTTATTAGGTCCTGAGGACTGAGAATAAATGGAGCTTCATCAGTCACTCTGCACTTGCTAATTCTGTGGGAATATGTCAGCCAACTTTGAGAAAACCTGGTTAATTGTTAGAGACTTTCTGTTGAAAAATGATTTCAGTTGGTTACAGCTAGAGATAATATTCACTGAGAACAGTCACTGAACCTGGATTTGGGTAGAGGATCTTGAAAAGTTAAAAGAAGAAATTTCTTATTAAAAAAGATTATCTTCAACTAATAAGATTGTATTTTATTTTATTTTATTTTATTTTATTTTTGAGCTGGAACCTCGCTCTGTCGCCCAGGCTGGAGTGCAGTGGAGAACTCGGCTCATTGCGAGCTCCATCTCCTGGGTTCATGCCATTCTCCTGCCTCAGCCTCCAGAGTAGCTGGGACTACAGGTGCCCGCCACCACACCTGGCTAATTTTTTTGTATTTTTAGTAGAGACAGGGTTTCACTATGTTAGCCAGGATGGTCTCGATCTCCTGATCTCATGATCTGCCTGCCTCAGCCTCCCAAAGTGCTGGGATTACAGGCGTAAGCCACCATGCCCAGCCCAAAAGATTGTAAATTGTTCTTCCGACTATAAAGTTTACTAGTCAGCAATAAATGAATTAGATTTCTTTTTCTTTGATGAAGTGACTCAGTATTTTTACATATGCTCCAAATAAAAAATTCAGAAAGTAGTGTAAATAATCTTTCAGAAAGAAGGCTTTTCAAAAGCAAAGATACTACAATGAAAGTAGTATTGGCAATAGTGCTCTGCTTTCACAGATTTCTGTGTAGGAATATTTTCAATCAAGTAATATTTTTATGAGCTCCTTTCAAGTATTCATCAATTTAAACTAAATCCTAACTAGATTAGAAAATGCAGTGTATTTTAAAGTTATTCTCAATTCTGCAATCTTTGCTTGAGATTCTGTTAATTTTTTTAAACTTCTGAGTTTTACATAGAGTAGTAAATATATCCTGGCTATATTATACCATTAAAATTGTAATATTGGAGTATAAAAATTAAAATCCTTGGGATCAGACACTAAATTTCATAATAAAATATCCTTCCTAGTAGCAATGTGTAATAAGAAAGCATTTTTAACCTAGAGAGATTGTTTCCCAGTGTTGTTATCTTCTTCATTTTGGAAGGAAACCATATCAGCACAAAACATAATTCAATGCTCAGTTTATTGAAAGTTATTTTATTTAAATTAAATATATGTGTAATAATTAATGATTAGCAAATTAAATGATCATTAAAATAAAATTTTAATCTATTTTATTTTGAATGATATGAAACATGCTCCTTACTTAATGTTAAGTGAAGAAAAGAGAGTACAGAATGACATTTTAACCATAGCCAACCGTGGGAATAGATAGAATTGTTCTTTTCTCCTTTCTTTTTTCTATCTCTTCTAATTCTACCTTAATGAACTTAATGGCTTAGTAGGTGTAAAATGATGATCTTGTGTTTGTTATAGTAAAAGTAAAAACCTATCAATGTACTTTTTAAAAAGCATCCTATGTTTATGAATATAGTCTCATTCCAACTGGGTCTCACATATATTCACATATTTCATTTTAGAAATTGTTCCCACATCTTCTGAAAATTAGAGATTGTGATTTATATGAGGTTAGACAGGCAAAGCAGCTATGTATAATTCAATATATTGTTTACCTTACAAGAGCACCCTGCCCTTCATCCACCTGTGAAACCACAGGTTTGCATCTACCCAGGGAGATGAAGGGGAGAAGTGATTTTTGATAATTTGTACAAAGGCACAGTATAAACTGGTGGGAGCCTTGTAAACAAATATTTTCTCTATATTAATATACACTTCTTTTTTTTTTTTTTTGAGACAGAGTCTTGCTCTGTCTCCAGGATGGAGTGCAGTGATGCAATCTCAGCTCACTGCAACCTCTGCCTCCTGGGTTCAAATGACTCTCCTGCCTCAGCCTCCTGAGTAGCTGAGACTACAGGTGTGTGCCACCACACCCAGCTAATTTTTGTATTTCTAGTAGAGACAGGGTTTCACCATGTTGGCCAGGATGGTCTTGATCTCTTGACGTCATGATCTGCCCACTTTGGGCTCCCAAAGTACTGGAATTACAGGCGTGAGCCACCGCGCCTGGCTGATTTGCATTTCTTTCATGACCAGTGATGATGAGTTTAGAATGGCAATCATTAAAAAGTCAGGAAACAACAGATGCTAGAGAGGATGTGGAGAAATAGGAATGCTTTTACACCGTTGGTGGGAGTGTAAATTAGTTCAACCATTGTAGAAGACAGTGTGGCAAATCCTCGAGGATCTAGAACCAGAAATACCATTTGACCCAGCAATCCCATTACTGGGTATATACCCAAAGAATTATAAATCATTCTACTACAAAGACACATGCACACATATGTTTACTGCAGCATTATTCACAATACCAAAGACTTGGAACCAACCCAAATGCCCATCAATGATAGGCTAGATAAAGAAAATGTGACACATATACACCATGGAATGCTATGCATCCATAAAAAAGGATGCATTCATGTCCTTTGCAGGGACATGGATGAAGCTGGAAACCATCATTCACAGGAAACTAACACAGGAACAGAAAACCAAATAGCACATGTTCTCACTCATAAGTGGAAGTTGAACAACGAGAACACATGGTCACAGGGAAGGGAACATCACACACCGGGGCCTGTCGGAGGGTGGGGGGCAAGGAGAGGGTGAGCATTAGGAGAAATACCTAATGTAGATGAGGGCTTGATGGGTGCAGGAAACCACCATGGCACGTGTATACCTATGTAACAAACCTGCACATTCTGCACATGTATCCCAGAACTTAAAGTATAATGAAAAAAAAATTAAAGTAAAAAAATAAAATATTGAAAAATAAAAAAAGATACATTTGCAGGATGACACTTGTCAAAGTGTACACATTTTCCAGTTAATACCTGCAAAATGCTAAAAATATAATCCTTTAAATGTGAATTTAAGATGTGGAAGTGTTGGGTACAAGTAAAGTTGAATCTGCCTTCACCTCTCACACTCACCTGCATCAGAAGGACTACATCTTCCAACTAAAAAGAAAGGATATATTTCTGATCTCTGTTGAGCTGCTATTTAAATTCATTTTCTGGGAGGTATGTTTTTGAAGGTGATTTTTAATGTCATGTACAGAGGGTAGAGAAAAGTATTAGAGTCATCCAATTTACAAGGATGGATTTGATGAGAATTGTGTTTATAATAAGGATTATGTTAAGCACATCACATGCATCCTACTACTGTTCTAATATTTCTAAGTCATTTTTATACTTATTACCAACATGTTTTCTTAATATTTTCAAATCAACGTAGTTGAAACGCTGAGGATGGTAAGCATTTGCCCACATGCTTATTTCCAATTTGTCTGGCTCATCCCATCTTTCTTTTCAGAATTTTCGATTATTATAGACATCACACAAAATGTGAAGATAGTGCCCCACAGTGTATTGTACTCTGTGCTTGCTAACACACAATATCTACAGAAGGTATAAATAAAAATTGATTAGGAAGGGTTTTACCTGCCATCTGGAAGTCCACTATCAGGCTTCAATGAATAGCTTTTAACACTTACAGACTCTAATATCCTGGCTCTTTATGATAATATTCTAAGGGCAAATATAGTTCATAGTTTCTTTTTTTCCCTTTTAGTCTATTAACCTATTACAGTTTTGATTTCAATTACCTTGTAATGCATATAAAAATAAATTACAGAGAGAAAATATTACAGAGAGGTTTAACAAGTTAATGGTAAATTAAATTCATACTCTTCTTCATTATGCAAATTTGCAAGCTGCGGAACATTTAGCACTCTCTCCTGGATAGCACTCAACATTTTACATGCAGATAAGTCAGCAGCTCTAATGAACTTTTGCCTTTCCCACGCATTAATTCAAGAAATACATACTGAAGTTTTTCCAATTGCTTTACAAACTATAGGTAGGGTAAAAGCCAGCTCACTACTTCATACAGAGCATTAATTTCTAGTCATGTGAGTTAGAGTGTTCCTTCTGAAAAAAGATTATTGTGATGAGAAAAGAAATGCTAGTGTTAATTTAAAATTAAAATTTTTGAATGCACTCACTTATTTCTCATTAGAGATTATAAGATCATTGAGCAAACACACACATTTTCTTGTCATAATTAATAGATATTACTTTCTTATCTTGCAATAGTTTCCACTTATATACTTTAATTCTGGTAGTATCAAAACATAATAAATTAGTTTCTATTTATTAACACTGAAATTTTCCAAGCAACAATTGTTTTTTCAAACTAACAATCTAAATCTTATTCTAAATCTACTTTTTCTCAAATTGGCTTATAGGTTGAGATGCAGAATCATCTTATACTTCTATCAATTTGAAAAATGTTGGTTCTAAATTGCCTTAACGAAGATAACCTTAACATTTTCTGTATAACTTCAATTAATTTCTTAAAGTTTAATCTCAAAGTCTTCGAAGGACATTCAAGCAACTTGAAAGTATAATAAAGGTTAGTATATTCAGAGGTAAAAGTAGAGCAGAAAGAACATTTTTTTTCATGGATATTGTAAAAGAAAAATTAAACAGGGAAAAATGAATGAAAGAGAAAGAAAGAGGGAGGGGGGAACAGGAAGGGAGGAAGGAAAAGGAAAGAGGGAAAAAGGGAAATGAAGGAGTGAAGGAAGAAAGGGCAGAAGAAAGGATAGAAGAGAGGGAGGAAGGAAAAGGAAAGAGGGAAAAAGGGAAATGAAGCAGTGAAGGAAGAAAGGGCAGAAGAAAGGATAGAAGAGAGGGAGGAAGGCAAGCTCTTTCAAAGTTACTTTTAGTTTTTAAAAAGTAAAACGGATAAATGTAAATGAAGATAGTTATAGTTACAGATATAGATATAGATGTAATTTTAGCTAGAGGATCAGTTACTCTAGGTTCAGAAAAAAACAAAACAACAACAAAATAACATGAAAAAAACCCCTGCTTTTTCTATTGCATACTTTTACTCCCATGGAGTAAAAACTGATTTTTACCATTATCTCTCAATAAGATTACCCTCATATCCTTAGTCAATACAACTCCATTTTGGCAAAATATACATACTTATACTACCTTTCCTGATGTTTGCAGATCTTTAGAGCTACCCAAATGAATACTAGTTGTAGTTCTATATATCATTTTTGATTTTGATTACCTACCAAAACTATATCACATTCCACTTGATAAGGTAGACATAGTAGAAGATGGGCCTAACTATTTGAATGTACAGCCAACATTTGTTTGAAAATTAACTTTACTTTGTCTAAAACACACCAAAAAATTGTGGTTCTCCAAATTTTAAGCCAAAAAGTACAGTTTAAAAGCTAATGGCCATAATTATCAATTTTTGGCCAAAATTATCAGTTGAGTTATATGGGTTCTCTAAGTAATTCTCTGAGAATGATTAGTTTTGGAACCGATTTTTTTTTCCTGACATTAAAAAGCTCATGCTAGAACATACTTCCATGGAATTATTAGCCATTCTATATGGAGTTTTTAGGCTTTAAAAGTGTTTATAAAACAGAATATATATATCCTCTAATCTCAAGTGTCCTTTGATTCTAATTGTTAAGAATTCTGAAGGCGTCACAGGGCATGGTAGCTCACACCTGTAATCCCAACACTTTTGGAGACTGAGGCGGACGGAGCACTTTAGGCCAGGAGTTTGAGACCAGTCTGGCCAACATGGTGTAGCCCCCTTCTACTAAAAGTACAAAAATTACCTGGTTGTGGTGGCGCACTCCTGTAATTCCAGCTTCTCGGGAGGATGAGGCATGAAAATCACTTGAACCCAGGAGGCAGAGATTGCAGTGGGCCGAGATTGCATCACTGCACTCCAGCATGGGAGACAGAGTGAGATTCTGTCTCAAAAAAAAAAAAAGAAAGAAATTCTGAAGGCTCTAACTAACCTACTTTCAAACTCAGTTAGCCTGCGACACTGCTACAGTTTCATGGAAGCTGACAGAAGACATGAGATTCCTGGCTCTGGTTTTATTATTCACAGCAAAAGAAGTAACTAAAGTGAAAGCATATTCACGTCCATTCTGAGACCCAGTTCCCACAAAGAGAATGAAGTTCAGCCTAGACATTTACACACACAGTGGGCTGTGTCACAGGAAGAAACATTTATCTTAGGGAATCTGCCACTTTGCAGCATTGGGTAAGTAAGCCTCTTTGTCAGAGAAGGAGAAGATGTTACTTCACCCTCAAGATTGCTCACTGCAAACACAACCTTGGAAGTGTCCCAGGTAGAGTGGTCAGAGACTTACCTTTAATTCTCCAAATTAAAAGAAAAACTTATATTGTCGACTCTGCTACAAAATGTAAAGTATATAACATTATTCTAACATGAAAGTATCTTGCTGTTTCTTCTGACACGGAGACCAGAAGTAGATGAAGACCAAATAGAAAGTAAGAGAGAGAGGTAGACTGAGAATGATCACACTTGCTATAATAAGGCAACCATTAGTGGAAATCTCTAGGGATTCTGGAGATCCATCTAAAAGGAGAACGAATACTGTCCAAGAGTGATGGCAACAATTGTGTTCTAATACTTTTTATGGAAGTATTCCAAAGTACCATGAATTATTTATTACATGCTAGCTACCTAATTATAGTTAATTCTGATGTTTCTTTTTTCAAAATCTGTATGAAAAATATATTGATGTCAGTTTTCAGTTCTTAATATGGTGAACAAAACTAGAAGGAAAATAAAATAGTTTTTCAAAGTTGCTTATTTGGAAATCTATAGCTCAAGCTGGGATTGAGTTTAGCACTTAGAAAGATACACCTGCATTTTTGTATTATAGCACAAGAGTTGCTGTGTGGGTTGGAAGCTGGCAGAGCTGAATGCTTAGGCATGTCTACAATTAAGGGCAGTAAGCTCTTTTACTGCCTGGCTTTTTGGACACTGTGTATAATGATGCACGTTTAAGCCAATTTTCAAGTCAGGTATTCATACTTGTTTACGTGATGCTCTTCACACAGAAAACTAACAACTTTATTGCCTTTCTTCATTGACCTACTTTTTTTCCTCCCATTTATCCGCCTGAATGAATTGAAAAACAGGTAGAAGAGGCATACATCTCTGAAAACAAAGGACTTGTGTTTCATCTTAAGTGTTATATTGTTTATAGAATGCAGACAATAATTTAACCTCTTTCCAGTAGCACCAACCTAACTTGCCCCCAGGACATGAAACATTGAAGCACAAGATGAAATTGTATTATTGTGGAACCACTCATGACTGAATAAGCCTGCAAGCCCCTGCATTCACTCCACTGCTTTATTTTGATGCTTTGTTATGAGCTTTGAAGTGGAAAAGAAAATGAGCTCTTTGAAAAATACAAGAAACTGAATGTCATTAACCTCGTCACTTTATGAAATAAATTCCCTTCCTTCCATCCTCCTTTCCTTTCCTCATTCCTTCTTTCCTTTGTTCTTTCTTAAATGAAGGTAAAATAAAAACTTAAATGCCGGAAGAAAAACAACCTTTATTTATTAAGCCTAATAAGACGCAAATTCACATGTGTACCTCACTTAATTCTCAAGCTGACTGTATCTGATTCATCCTTATCCTTATTTCTTAAAGCTGAGGAAAGCCAAGCTCAGAGATATTTTGTAACTTGCCAAAGTGACACAGTTTTGTGCAAACGAAGGTCATCCTAACTCCATGTAAAACATAGGACTGTATGGGGTCCAGACGCAGTGGCTCACGCCTGTAATCCCAGCACTTTGGAAGGCCAAGGCAGGTGGATCATGAGGTCAGGAGATCGAGACCATCCTGGCTAACACGGTTAAACCCCGTCTCCACTGAAAATACAAAAAAAATTAGCCAGGCGTGGTGGCAGGTGCCTGTAGTCCCAGCTACTCAGGAGGCTGAGGCAGGAGAATGGCGTGAACCCCGGGAGGCAGAGCTTGTAGTGAGCCGAGATCGCGCCACTGCACTCCAGCCTGGGCGACAGAGCAAGACTCCTTCTCAAAAAACAAACAAACAAACAAACAAAAAAACCATCGGATAGTATGATGTGATGCTAAAAATACCTAAGGAAGAAAAAGAAACAATAGTTTCTATTTAACAGGATAATTTGAATTTATCACATTTATTTTCATATCATTCTGACGGGAGTCACTGTAAGATTTCTACTCAACTCCAACTTCTTTGTGATATAAATTTCACTTATTCTCAAATAAATTAGTTTATCGTACAGCTGCACATTTTTTTTTAAATTTTTGTTTCAACCTTTCCTGCTACTTCCTTGAAATATTCTCCCGCAGTGGAATTAAAGGGAGAAATCATTTATAAACACGCATACAAACACACACACAAAATGCCAGAAGAAAGAATGCCTTCCTTGGCATACTCTTTAACAGTTTAACTTTTTCCTGGTTAGAACATACAATTACCCGTAATTTTGGCAATTATGCATTAATATAGAAAATACATAAGGGACAACATAAAGATATAGGATGATTGTTTTTCTCCTCTTCCAGTGTTTCTAGGAATTATTTTTAAAAATTAATATATTAACTTATGGCATATTAGGGTTATTGACAAATTACTGTTACATTTAGATATAATGCTTCTACAAAGAAGACAATGATAAAAATTATCCAGGGTAAACATAAAACGTTCCTTCTTATCGGGCAGGGAGCGATGGCTTACGCCTGTAATCCCAGCAGTTTGGGAGGCCGAGGCTGGCAGTTTGCCTGAGCTCAGGAGTTTGCGACCAGCCTGGGCAACACGGTGAAACCCCGTCTCTACTAAAATACAAAAATTAGCCGGGCGTGGTGGCGGGCGCCTGTAGTCCCAGCTACTCGGGAGGCTGGGGCAGGGGAATTGCTTGAACCCAGGAGGCGGAGCTTGCAGTGAGCCGAGATCGTGCCACTGCACTACAGCCTGGGCGACAGAGCGAGACTCCGTTTCAAACAAAACAAAACAAAAACAACAAGTTTCTCCTTATCATAAAGGATAGTTTAAATTTATTGTATTTATTTCTATGATATAGTATTGAGAAATATGCTCTTTAAAATATGTCATGTGTATGTAATTTTCATCTAAAAATCTTGAATTAGGAAATATTTCCTGTCTGGTAGACCAAATGGAATCTTTCCAAAGTAGTATTTTGGAAAAGGAGAATATATGAAATTCAGCAAAATTTGAAGGTAAATAATATTTCCTTGTAAAAAAAAAAATTGCTGCAAGAGAAAGAAAAGGCAGTTTGCTCGTGGTCCTTTTTTAGCTGCTGGCTCATTATTTTTCACAGCAATAATGACAATGAGAATTCAGTACAGTCCGCTTTGTGTTTGCCTTGTTTTCCCCGCCAGGAGTTTTCTGAACAGAAGTCTGATGCAGTGAGGCTTCTATACTATTATTTTTGAATAAATAGTATATTTCATTATAACCAGCCATCACTAAGGTGAATGGGACTGGAGTACTTCAATATCTGATAAGACTACAAATATACCTCAGAACTTATAATTTTATGTTTTCAGTTCTATTAAATAAGCTGTAGAACATCCCCATTCACCTCCAATATACGTGCCTTTGATTTATAGTTTTGAAATTACATTTCATTGCTATGTCTTAAATCAAGTATTGATTTTCTTCTTAAGTTTACCGTGCATTGAATATTCATTATATTTTTTTAGAGTACAGCCATAGTCTTTTATGGTGATTCAAAGAGATTCTAGCAAAAGCCTTCCACGTATTGATGGTTTTTACCCATTATTAAAGACAGAGAAGTAATGTGATTTCTAATTTATTTTCATCTGAAAATCATGAAACTTTTCTTCAATTTTTCAGCACCATTTACTCATGACAGCTTTTATGAAAAGACGAGTTTATATATTCATCCATCAGAACTAGTAGTTGGAGATCACATGATCACATGTGACATTTTCAAGTACTGGGATTTTCTTTGTGCTGGTAATAAATATAGCCAAAGGCCTGTGCCCCAAACTGCCTGTGCCTCTTCTCATACGGTATGGTACTAGCATTTAATAGGATTCAGATTTATGATAAATGATAAATACATGTTTAGTTAAAATAAAGCTACAAGTAAGCTATGCAGTGATTTCCAATAATAAAAAAAATAGTATTTATAACTGCCAAGCCTGGGAATAAATCTACTGTCTTCTGTGGGATTTTTTTCCCCAGGAAACCAGTTTAAATCCTTTTGGGTAACATTGTAAAACAATAGCCAATGTGTTTGTTATTAGTGATTGACTCCCAGCTTTGAACCGACCCTTCATTACTCAGTTCTGTAATGCTGGGGCTGGAATTCTGTAAAACCAAATATTTCTCTTCTGTCAACAGGATCTCTGCTGAGCTCTAGCAATAGGCAGCACTAGGGGGAGACAAAGATCCCCCTTGCCTCTTGTTCCTAAGAGCATTTCCCCAAAAGTTCTTCACTGGAGCAGGAGCAGTTGGCTCCAATAGCAGCAGTTTTGCTGGCATTTTCCACATTTCAAAACGAGTCTCATTTTGCCCCCTGAGAAATGATGCACCAGTTGCCCTGATCCTCCTTCTTAGACAACTTGGTCACAATCCCACTGGGGCCCCTCGAGATTCCCAAGGCATCTGTGCTAGTCAGGCAGCACACCATCCTCAGAGATCTCAGTCCCAGAATCCAGAAAATCCCTCCTTCAAGCACCTGAGGCACAGCCAAGGTGGGCAGTATGATTTTCAGGGGTGGTGGTGGGTTCCTCCAAGCTAATAAATTATAATAATCTTGGCCTATGTCTTTTTTGTTTTTGTTTTTCAGTCCATGGGGCAGATAGGTTTGGCTCTGTGTCCCCACCCAAATCTCATCTCCAATTGTAATCCCGACATGTTCAGGGAGGAACCTGGTGGGAGGTGATTGAATTAAGGGGGCAGTTTTCCCCATACTTTTCTTGAGATAGTGAGTGAGTTCTCATGAAATCTGATGATTTAAAAGTGTTTGGCAGTTCCCCCTTTGCTCTCTCTCTCTCCTGCTCCACCATGGTAAAATGTACCTTGCTTCCCCTTCACCTTCTGCCATGATTGCAAATTTCCTGAGGCCTCCCCAGCCATGTGGAACTGTAAGTCAATTAAAATTCCCCCTTTTTATAAATTACCCAGTCTCGGCTAGTTCTTTATAGCATCATGAAAACAGACTAATACCGGGTGCTTTCTGTCTCCTTTTACTATTTCTCCTGATACCTGTTTCCTGTTTGCCTTTTCACTTCTCCAAAACCTGGTTAACAAATTTTAGATAACTAGTGAAGGTTCTTTTTCCTGATGAATACAGAAATTCATACAGTATCAATAGTGGTCCTAGGAAACAGACCTCCAGATAGTGATTTGGGGATTGATTTATGTCTTTGGGCATGAACATAGTGATGAGATTCTTGCCTAAGAACAATGTGGTGCGAGTAGTTTTTGGCATGTAGTGGCATCAAATTAGTCAAATTATTACCTATGGTTGATAACGATGTATCTGGATGAACAGCTGGCTACTTCATTTGACCATTATGACAGTAACACTAACAACAAGAATTGTAGGATGACATCGATTCAATTGAATGTTTTAGAGTACAATACTTAGAATATGACAATTTCAGGTCTACAAATTTTGAGCTGAAGTCACTGTTGGAGAACCAGAGACCTTCTATGGCATCTCTAAAACAATCTTTTATTTCTTGAAGCAACACAGTCAATTTCACAGAAAAACAGACAAGTAATTTAATTGTGTTGATTGCAGCTTTACAATGTATATTGAATTATCTTGCAAAATGTCCCTTGTGAAAGTTAGGGTATGGTCAGGATAGGAACGTAACCATGTGCCAGCCAAGGCTCAATCAAAGAAAAAGAACAAGTGACAAAAAAGAATTGGCTGATGTGATTATGGGGATTTGATTGCAAGTCCAAAATTCACAGGGCAGGCTGTCAGGAAGAAGAGGCCAGAACTCTTGGTTAGAAGATGCAATTCACAGTGAAATTTCTCGTTCTTCTGGGAATCTCAGTTCTGCTCTTCAGGCCTTTTCATTGATTAAATCATGACCACCCAGGTTATCTAGGAAAGTCTTTACAGAATGTCAACTGATTATGAACTTACATAATATCTACAAAATACCTTCACATAATACCTAGATTTGTATTTGATTTTATAACTAGGAACAATATCTTAGCCAACTAAGCACTTAAAACTCACCATCATAGACTCTGAGATTGGATATGCGGATTTCTAGATTTCCACATAAAAAATGAGGACTTGAACCCTGGAGTTACCCTGAGTCTCTTTGCCAGTTAAGCACCCACCTTCCCCTGTCTGAAGACACTCCCCTCCTACTTACAAGAAAACAAACAAACAAACAAACTGTAATAAACCCACCTGAGGCAGTTGCCTTGTAAGGGCATACCTATTTTTCTCAAGATACATCCTAAGCACCCCTTATTACTTGTAGATCATCAACTGTGGTCAGCTGTGATCATGTTCCAGGGGAAGTCTAACCCTAAAGGAAATAGTTTATACTCCACAAGAATCATAAGACTTTTTCTAATTTATCTTATCAGAAATTTGGGAATTATGTGTGAAAGAAAATAGAACTTCTGGTCCCCAAATTTACCATGCCAAAGGGAAAGTTCAGCTTGGGAAATGAATTATGCAAAAACTGCTTTCCTTTTTTTTTCCCAAATAGTTAGTTGTAATTTCACAATTCTGTGTCATAGCCTCATTTTCTCTACTCTCTGTTTTTACATGTTACTTTATCTTATGTAAAATGTAGATTTACTGAACACAGGACAATGTATAATTGACTTTCCTCAACTGTCTCATTTTACACGTAAAATGTAAAGTCACTGAAGCTAATCAGAGCCTCACAGGAATGTGAGCATCTGCCATACTGCCTCCTTTTCCTCCTTTGTTTTCTTCCTTCTTCCTCTTTCCCCTTTAATGACTGAAGTTCCCAAAAACTCCATTTGAAAAAAAGCACAGGTCACAGATGCTCCTGTGATTTGTATTTTTCCCAGGTGCACCCTCAACCTTAGTTAAATAAACCTCTGTAGATTGAGATCTGCCTCAATCATTTTTTGGTTTACATATGTGTGTGAATGGACTCTGGAAGTGTTTGATTCAGAAAGATAGAATTTATCATTTGCTGGATTGAGATGGATATATTGATATGGGTATACAGCAAAAATTCTAAATGTGGTATATTGGCTCAGGAAGTTTGATGTGCACCTGTCAATTTACTTGGTTGTTTGACTGAAACTTGGATGCAGTTTCACCTACATTCAGTAGGTCTCAGACACTAGATCTTTCCTGGGATAAGGTAGAAACAGGAATACAATGACTTTCTAAAATAGAAATATTAGAGTGAATTTATCACACGTAGTTTATATAACACCAACCCTCCTTCCTCCCACCCCACCAACTCTATCCACTGATAAGACACTTTTTCTCAGTACTGTGTTAAGTAACACATTAATGAGGGCAGCACTAGCATCTTTGAACAGCTTTGCGGTGGATTTCTTCTTTAGCCTAGGTATGAAAGTGGGAGGTGCTGCCATTGAAATAGGCTCTCTGGTTTCAGAGGTGGTTCCAGAGGAGCCTACCACTCAAATCTCACTTCAAAAGAAAATCTATTTGAGGAGTGTGGTTAGTCTCCACTTCCACACTTTGGGAATCCACTGCAGATGTCACACCAAGGACACAATCTTTGCACTTTCTTCCCAGCCAATGACAAAGCAAAGTGCTCTGATATTAGAAAGTAGCTATTTCTGCATTATGTGGAACTCCTCTAATGAGTAATCTTTTCACTGGCTCTACCCATTACCCTGGCCAAATTTTCTCAGAGCTGCTAAAAATATAGTCTAGGGCTCTACTTACTAATTCTTGTTCCTTCTACCTATCCTACCGCAGAGTCTGAAAGCTATCTCTGCCTACTCTGGCTACCTGATTCTTCATGTTTCACAGGTGTTTTCCTCAACAAATCTCTAGCACTCTAATTATATGTTGGCTTCTACTTCCTAAAGACTTAAACTGATGCATATAGGGGGAAAAATGATCCCAGATTGGCAGAGGGTAGTAGCAGTGCTTCCCTAGCAGAGACCTTGCAGGATGATTTATCATAATAGGCATCACAAATAAAGCAACGATGACAGAGATTGGTGGTAGTTAATTGGTTACAATATTCCTCAGAATTCAATGCACAGGCAATCTACTAACATAGTAATGGGAAACCTCGAATTTGAGTGAGTGTTCAAAATCTTGACTTCAGACAAGCTCAATGGTTACTCACTGTCTTTCACCAAGTTTTCAGATCTAAGCCACTTCATAGCCCTGCAGCCCTTTGGCTACAGAGGAGGCCAGGTTATATTAAATAAACTTCCTGAAAGAGATTAATAAGCATATGTCATAAATTTTCTTTCAATCCTCTACTGAAATATCCTAGGATCATTTACTGTTGTGATTATTCACTGAGGCAAGGAAAAAACCTACATTTTTCAAGGATTTCTAGAAAGTTTGTCTGGATGAATGAACATTTCTGGGGATGCTAAGACTGTGGTGGTACATTAGTCAAAGTAGGCATTTATGGCGGCCAGATGATAAATCAAATTTAGGACCAAGATTGAACAACCATAGGTCTCTTAAGTCTGAGAATACATTTTATGTTTATTTCTCTAATTCCTGAGTGTACAATTAGAATAGATTTACTCAGCAATATGCAGAATTTCTAAATAATTTTCTTACCTGTAGTGATAGAATGAGCCAATGGAAATTCTGGGAACTTCCGTTCCCTACCAAGATAGTGTGTCAAAAGTGATGATGTATTTGGAGAGAAAAGCAGAGATTCGTTCACCATCAAAGACTTAAAAGATGAAAAGATAGTGATGCCGATAATATTCCCATTTAATTCACCGGTTTGATACAGATATATTAAAAGTGTTTGTTATCACAAGACAAAATTACCACTCAGTCCAGCTTTATAAACCACTGCCATAAATAATTCATTCAAAGAAACAAATTATAGTTGAAAATGTCTGAGAAAAATGTTGCTTTCCTTTCATAGAGCAATGGTCATAAACTAACAATAAGTTATAACTAATAAATTGCCAAATACCAAGGTAAAAAGAAAACAACAAAAATTTTCAATGATTTAAGAACCAAAAGTAATCCCTTTATAATATTTGACCACTCCCACAATTTAGTACAACTTTTGGGGGTATAATAGGAAATACTATCAAAAGTCTTGTAAACTGAAAATAAAATTCTAAGACCCCATCCAACAGAACAAACAATTCCTTTCTGCCGAGGGCATTCCAAAGCAAACCTGAAAAAGTCTAGTTCAAGCCATGATGTGAATGGGGGAGTGGAAGTGGGGGGATCAGGAATGCCTCATTATAACTGCCCCCCGCCCTTGGAATTCAGATACAGTTGACCATCATTAACATTAAAACATAGGTCTTAAGACTGATAAGACTGGCCGAGTGTGGTGGCTTATGCCTGTAATCCCAGCACTTTGGGAGGCTGAGACAGGTGGAGCACGAGGTCAGGAGATCAAGACCATCCTGGCTAACATGGTGAACTGTTGTCTCTATTAAAAATACAAAAAAATTAGCCAGACGTGGTGGCAGGCGCCTGTAGTCCCAGCTACTCAGGAGGCTGAGGCAGGAGAATGGCATGAACCTGGAAGGTGGAGCTTGCAGTGAGCTGAGATCGCACCACTGCACTCCAGACTGGGTGACAGAGCGAGACTCTTGCCTCAAAAAAAAAAAAAAAAAAAAAAAAAAGCCTGATAAGATGATAAGACAGACTCTTTGCAGCAGTAAGACACCAATTTCCAGCCTGCCTTGATTGTAACATCACATGACAACAGGTCCCGAAAGAAAATGAAGTATTTAACCCAAAAACATATTTATTTGACATTTGAGATGGCCCTGCAAAGCTGACTCTTGTGGGGAAAATCTATATACTGTAGAGAATTTCCTTCCCTTTCCAGGTCTTTTTCCTGATCCAGAAGAATATTAACTGAGTCTGGCATTATTTTAGATCTGATAAGAATTCTGAAGCCTGCTACTTGGAGCTTCATCGCGTGATAAAACCTCTGTCTCCACAATACCTTATCTTAACCCAGACACTTCCTTCTGTTGATTCCAGGTCTTTAGGTAAGAGCATAATAGCGTAACTCTTTCAACCAATTGCTAATCCGAAAGTCTTTGAGCCTATCTATGAGCTGGAAAACCCCCACCCTCCCACCATGAGCAACTCGGATTCAAGTGTTTCTGCCTTTCTGGAGTGAACTAATGTATCTCTTACATGTATTGATTGATGTCTTATATCTCCCTGAAATATATAAAACCAATCTGTCGCCTAACCACCTTGGGCATCATGTTGTCATGATCTGCTGAGACTGTGTCACAGGCCATTGGTCACTCATATTTGGCTGAGAATAAAAATCCCTGGAAATATTTTCCAAAGTTTGACTCTTCATCAATAGTCTTAATATGATTTTACAGAGAAATACCACTGTGAAAATTTATTTAAAACTATCATCAGAGTTTCACCTGGAAACAGTTGGTTCAACGAAGGTATTCAAATGGTATTTATAAAAGCAAGAAACTTGAAACTGTGAACCCAAAATATCTGAGACAGGTCTCAGTCAATTTAGAAAGTTTATTTTGCCAAGGTTAAAAGTGCGTCTGTGACATAGCCTCAGGAAGTCCTGATGAAATGTGTCCAAGGTGGTTGGGGTACACATTTTAGGGAAACATGAAAAATCAATCAATATGTGTAAGATGTACATTGGTTGGTTCAGTAAGTTGGGACAACTCGAAGTTGGCGCTTCCAGATTAGAAGTAGATAAGAGACAAAAGGTTGCATTCTTTTGAGTCCTTGATTAGCCTTCCACTGAAGACACAATTTAGTCTGGCTCACTGAATCTAAACTTGTACATAAACAATAGGGCAGAGGAAGCAAGCAGATATGCATTTGTTTCAGGTGAGCCTCAGAGGGCTGACTGAGTTCTGTCTGTCCTTTGTCCACAAGGAGATTCCCTGTGGGCAAATTGTGACAAAGGTATGTACCTTCTTATCTTTGTAGCTATCTTATTTACAAGTAAACTGGTAAGCAGGTTTGACTAACCTGCTTAACCTCCCAGGTTAACTCCCAGGTTAACTTTTATCTTGCATCAGTGATTTTGGAGTCCCAAGACTTATTTTCTTTCACAAAACAATATAAATGTTCAAAAATAAGATATTGGCCATTTCTATATAACTATAGGTCAACTAATGGCCAAATTATTTTAAAAATGCTTAGATAAGTGAGAAAATATTCACGATATTCTATTAAGTGAAAAACATGCAGCAAACCAAGTATATGTGACATATATGTGTATGGGGGAGTAACATAAGTTTTGACTGCAAAAGTTTCCTGCGTTGCTTTGTTGCCTTTTATTTGTATGTCGGTATGATTTCTCTATAGGTATTTATATTTTTATATAATATGAGAGAGAGATATAAAGACAAAGCAGAATCTCTTCAATGGTTGCCTGAGAGGAATTGGGTAGATATTTGTAAACTATATCATGGTGGGCAAATTTTTCCCTAAGGGGCATGATAATAAATAGTTTAGGCTTTATTGGACAAATGGCAAAATCTAACATATTATGTAAGTATTTATATAATCATTTAATATAAAACTATTGTCAAATATAAAAGACATTCTCAGGTCACAGGTAGTACAATATCTGGAGACTTGCTGAGGGTAGTTTATCATACCTGTTCTACAACAGAAAAGTAAAGTTAATACAAAAATTTATTGTTTACAACAGCATAATTAAGTGAGCAAATTATGTACAATTTGACATTATTTATTATATTTTATTATCCAAATATATTTTCATTGGTTTCTATAATTTTTGCTTTGTTCATTTCAAAATTCCTAGAACTTAACATAGTATTATGTGCATAGAAAGTTCTCAATAAATTGAGTGAGTCAATTAATCAATTAGTCAGTGATAAAATAGGACTCTCAGTTCTCTCTTTGAACTGTCACAGGTATAGCTTTTTTTGGTTGCAAAAGTACCACCACTTCACAAATAACCACTTCCTAACAAAAAAAAAATACACAGAAAAAGCATCTGTGGATGCCCAAATATCACAAATTTGATGTTTCACATTATTAAAAACTACACAAAAATGCATTTTCTGTGGGTAAAATCTACACTCAAAATTATTTCTTGGGAAAAGAGTACACTTCAGTCAGATGAACAAAAATGCTTGGAATATATTGAATTCAAAGGTTTCTGCCCTTTTAGTGGCCTTTACTTAAAATAAATATTTCCAATTTATTAAAAAATAAATCTAAGGTCATACAAATATGACCTTAGATTGTAATTTGAAAAATGTGTCCCATGGCAATGTGTTCATAAATATAAAAGCTATAAATTCTATTAAACAAACATCATGTAATGAAATACATCTTTTGAAGTAACATACATATACAAAAATACACACACATGCTTTTTTCTGAGCTATTTAAAAAGTATAAAGATTCTATGTAATTCTACCAAAATAACATAAAAGATAAATTATAAAGATAAATATAATATAAATATTTAATCTGAAAATTTAACTATTATTCTCAGGGTTTCTTTTCAATAAATTTTTAAAATAATAGTTTCCTATTTATAACCCTTCTATAGTTTGAATGTATCCCCCAGTAAGAATAGTTTGAAAGCTTAATCCCCAATATAACAGCGTTAGGAGGTGGGGCCATGAGGTGATTAGTCCATGAGGGCTCCATTCTCACTAATAGATTAATGCCTTTATGGGGGAGTGGATTCGTGGTAAAAGCGAGAGTTTGGTCCCTCTTTCCCCACCTCCCTCTTTCCTTCTCTTTCATTTCTTCCTTCTGCCACAGGATAATGCAGTTTAAAGGGCTTCACCACATGCTGTCGCCTTGATCTTGGACTTCCCAGCCTCCAGAAACAGGTGCCAGTAAATATCTCTTCATCGTAAATTATCCAATCTGTGGTATTCTGTTATAGCTGTTCAAACAGTCCAAGACAAACCCCATTCATTTCAAAGCACCTAGAAAAACTTTCTAGTAAATTAATTCATAAATCTATAATTTTATATACTATCTTCAAGAATAAAACCAAACATCAATAAGGTTTCTAGAAAAACAGAAAATAATTTGCCCTAGTTATGTTTGATTTATTGTACCAGTTGCTATCCATATAAAGTTTAACCTCTTTATGAAAATGAAAATTCTCAACTGTAGTCATGGAATCTTCACCACTGACACACAATTTAAGCTGTGAAGCTTTGTATAATAAGAAAAGGCCCTAGAGATGAAATTCACATAATACTTCAAGTTATTTCAGAAGACTTATGTTTTACCAAAGGGAGAAAAACATGGCCAAAAAATAATCCTTAATAGTAGTTGAAGTAAATTACTACAGTGCAAAAGAGAACACTTTTGGTGCTTGATTCTGACTCTAATGCCCACAGGGATTTCCAAGAACGGGGAAGAAAATTATGTTGAGAAAAGGAATTTTCCTTTTCAAAGGAAATTCTTTGACAAATTCCATGAGCAAAGAAGAAAAAAATAACAGTTGGAGCACGGTCTTTATTATGTCACTATACCCTAATCATTATTCCTTCAATCTGTTCTTTTCTTTTTTTTCCTACTATTCATGGCCTAGTAACCCCAGTTTCTTTTAAAAACAGAAGTTGAATTCTTACCAGTTCCACAAGAAGAAGGTATTCAAATAAGAGAACTGTAGTCTGCAAAACCAACAATAAATATCTGAAATCAAGGAACTCGCACTCTGGTAAATACTTTGTTGTTGTTGTTGTTGTTGTTGTTTTGATTTTTGAGATGGAGTCTCCCTCTGTCGCCCAGGCTGGAGTGCAGTGAAGCGGGCTCAGCTCACTGAAAGCTCTGCCTCCGGGGTTCACACTGTTCTCCTGGCTCAGCCTCCCGAGTAGCTGGGACTACAGGCGCCCGCCACCACACTCGGCTAATTTTTTTGTATTTTTTTTAGTGGACACGGGGTTTCACCGTGTTAGCCAGGATGGTCTTGATCTCCTGACTTTGTGATCCACCCGCCTCGGCCCCCCAAAGTGCTGGGATTACAGGCGTGAGCCACCGCGCCCGGCCGTAAATACGTATTTTTAACAGTAAATTAGAAGGCATGTCAGAGGTGTGATGGGGAAAATTTGATGTCAATAAAAGCATATGAAGTTTATCGCCAACAGGGTTGACATTTAAATGTAATTAGCATGGGACACCTTATTGAGAAGTGACATTTGGGACAAGCAATTGAGGTTTAAAGACATTCCAGGAAACGGGAACAGCCAGTGTAAAGACCCTGAGAAAGAAACGTGTGCTTTCCAGGCGCAGCAAGGAAGCCAGTGAAGCCAGAACAAAATGAACAAGGGGAAGAATATTAGCATATGAGGCCAGCAGCGTAGCAAAGTTCAGATCGTGTAGACTGTTCATCTGAGTCTACTTTGTGTTGCTATGAATGAATACCTGAGGCTGGGTAATTTACAAAGAAAAAAGATTTGCTTTAGCTCATGGATCTACAGACTATAAAAGAAGCATAGTGCCAGCGTTTACTTCTGGTGAAGACTTCAAGAAGCTTTCCACCACAGCAGAAAGCAAGTGTGGAACAGGCATGTCACACTGTGAGAGAGGGAGCAAGAGAGAGGTGGTACGGGAGCTGCCACGCTCTTTTTAACAACCAGTTCTTACAGGAATTAATAGAGTGAGAACTCGCCCATGACTTCAAAGATGGCACCAAGTCATGCATGAGATATCTGCCTCCATGACCCAAACACCTCCCATTAGACCCTGCCCCCAACCGAGAGGATTACATTTCAACATGGGATTTGGAGGGGCACACATCCGAACTATATCACAGTCTGAAGAGCTCTTATTAACAACAACAAACCAGAACATTATCCTTAAAGTGCCAAACAGAAAACTACTATTCTATATCTATCCAATGTTGAGAAATAATTTTCTTTAAGACTCAAATTGCTGCATATATGCTTACTACCCTTTTAAGAATGTGTATAGAGAACAGTCTTGAAAAGATATAGTGTCTTTTTTTCCAATATCTATTTATGTATATGTATGTGTGTGTGAAATATATATATTCATATATACATATATCTCTATAAGATAATCAAAAGGCAGCCAGTGTCATCATTTTATTGACATAATCTATGTTCAAAATTATAAATTAAAAAATTATTATTATGAATGAATAGGATTATATATTAACGATAAAAAGGACAATTCTCTAGGAAGATCTAATAATCATGTTTGTTCTTAAATGAACTTGTTATAAAATAATACATAAATATATTTGAATAAAATATATATTTGAATGAAAGTAAAATTTCTACATATTAATATATGTGTGCTACTTAATGCCAATATTAGAAGTCATGATCCTTTGTATATTAATGAATTAAGTATTCAAATAATAGTCTTCTATTTAAGTATTATTAGAATGTTTTTCCTAATAATAGTCAATAGTGTTTCTGTATTTAAATAATAGAGGAAAAACAACACAGTAAATCCAAATAATGCCAAAAACAGAAATAATGCAATGTGGAATAGAAATTAAGGATTATAAAATAAAATAACAACAGAGATTAATAATAACTTAAAGGTGGGTTTTTCGGGCAAAACTATTAAGGTAGGTAAACTGATGAACTCATGAGAAAAAGACAGCGGGTTAAATTAGTAGTAAGAAGAATTTAAAAAGTGATCAAAATGAAATTGAAAAGCAAACTTCTAGAGCTTTCCACCTGGGGCCTGGAAATTAGTGTTCTTTGTATTCTCCCATCTTCTGTTATCTAAAATACCACTTACTGCATAGTACGCACTCAACAAATATTTATTGAATAAATAATTTAATCAATGATTAAATGAGTGAATTAAGCAAGAATGTTTTTAAAGAAGCACACTTAATAGAAACACTGTTTGCTTCTACACTTATTAATAGATTTTTTTTTTTTTTTAGAGGGAGTCTTGCTCTGTTGCCCAGGCTGGAGTGCAGTGGTGCAATCCCGGCTCACTGCAACCTCTGCCTCCCGGGTTCAAGCGATTCTCCTACCTCAGCCTCTCCAGTAGGTGGGAATATAGGCATGTGCCACCATGCCCGGATAATTTTTGTGTTTTTAGTAGAGACAAGGTTTCACTGTGTTTGTCAGGATGGTCTTGATCTCCCGACCTCGTGATCTGCCCGTCTTGGCCTCCCAAAGTGCTAGGATTACAGGAGTGAGCCACTGTGCCCGGCCTTCATAGATTTAAATTTTATTATTTTTCCCATGCCACATTGAATTACAATGCTAGAAAGAAAGGAAAATATAAGCAAGAAATAAGCCATGTTAAAGTTGCTAATCTTTTTTTTTCAGTTCCTCATGTTTAATGTTCTCTCCTTTTTTTTTCTTGTTTATGTAGACACCGCAGGCAACTCTCATTTCTGTTCTTATTACCCTTTTTGTTTATCCCAACTTTTCTGGATATATCACTGTGGATATTATGTTCTGCTTTAAAAAATGTGGAATAGGCCGGGCGCGGTGGCTCACGCCTGTAATCCCAGCACTTTGGGAGGCCGAGGCGGGCGGATCACGAGGTCAGGAGATCGAGACCATCCCGGCTAAAACGGTGAAACCCCGTCTCTACTAAAAATACAAAAAATTAGCCGGGCGTACTGGCGGGCGCCTGTAGTCCCAGCTACTCGGGAGGCTGAGGCAGGAGAATGGCGTGAACCCGGGAGGCGGAGCTTGCAGTGAGCCGAGATCCCGCCACTGCACTCCAGCCTGGGCGACAGAGCGAGACTCCGTCTCAAAAAAAAAAAAAAAAAAAATGTGGAATATCTCCTTCTTACGGATCCTTTTAAATACATGATTATGTCTTATCATAACAGTAAATTTTCGTTTAAAAATATTAATTTATTCCCTCATTAGATCAAGAGTTTCCAAAGCTGGGCCTCTTTATCACTATAATAAACAACACCTGGGGATTTGTTGAAAATGCAAATTCCTAATCTTATCCCAGTCCTACTGATTCAAAAACTCTGAGGTGGATCCCATAAATCCTTTTTTATCAAGACTGCAAATAATTTTGATGCATCCTTAAGTGTTAGAATTACTGTGACAGTTCTTTATGATAGAAACAATGGTAGCAATGAAAATCATAAGCTTCTGCATCAGATGGGCATGAGTTTGAGCTCATATCTAAAGGGTAGATAGTAGTTCTGTAACATTAAGGAGCTGATGTAACCTCAGCAAGCCTCATTGTCTCATCTGCAGAATGGGCATGGCAATGCAAAACACAAAGAGCTGTTGTGAGGGATCAAGATAATGTCAGTAAATTGCATGGTTGAATGCACTGTAGTTATTTATCTAACAAGCACTTACTGAGCACAAACTATTCACCAAATGGCTGATTGGTGATTGGGTTTAGAAAGGTAGAATTTCAATTCCCAAGTTATCTAGGTTTGACAATATTGGGACAGAATGATGGGATCCACCATTGGGGAGCATTAACTCATTCTGAGTCCAGAGGAGGTCCTGTCTCTGAGTGCTGTCTCAGTGCAGAGGGAGAGGAAGGAGTAGGCAGATAGCAGGAAGCAGAGCTCTGAGTAATATCGCGCTGCTCTGGAACATCTGTTTCTCCTCACCTGTGTAGAACAGTAGCAAAGAAAAGGAAAAGAAGAAAGAAGTAGAGTATTGATTGTTGAAGCCACTAATCCATGTCCTAACAAGGGAGTGGCATAAGATGTCTCTGAAAGTGACAAAGACCTCAAACCCCAGAAACCTTGGAAGCACTGGTCACAAGATCAGCAAAGAGAATTTTCTTACTGGAGGCCTCTAGACCTGTTCTTCCCTCTATGCATATGAGCACATGCACGTGCACACACAGACACACACACACACAATAAAGGAGAGAAAGCACAACAGGCTACCTAGTTGCTCTATATTTAAAAAATTACTATCTTTAATTTTTTAATGAAATGTTTTAAATTTAAATTAAAGATAATATCTGTCTCAGGACAGTATAGTAAGTCTGTTGTTCCTGGATTTGGCTCTTTGTTGGTGAAAATAAATCTTGTATTCCAGCCTCAAATTTGTACTCCAATGAATGGGATTTTTTCCACTACCCATTTCCTTTGTACTAGTGTTTTGCCCTTGTGCCCAGGTACCCTAACTTCTAAGCAGATCGTATTTGCCTTGCTTCTTTCTTAGAATATGAGTTTTCTGCCTTATGCTCTAGTCCAGTGGTTTGCAACTGGGACTAATTTTCCCCCCGGAGGATATTTGGCAAAGTTGGGTGTTATTATTGTTGCCAGAACTCAAGGATACTAATGGCTTCTACTGAGTAGAGTCCAGAAATGCTTCTAAACATCTTACAATGCAGAGCACAACCCTCTACAACAAAGCATTACGGTTGAGAAACCCTTCCCTAGTTCTGTGATGTGTGGTTTTCCTGTCCTCAAACTCCTCTCCTGTTATGCTACTGACAGCTACACTAGGCTTCCTGGAAGCTTCCTGCAGGTCTACTGTAATGTTGGCATGTACTTTTCTGTCACTTTGACTCCCAATGGGTGAGCATATTTGACTTGGTTGGCAATGTTATGAAGCTACATTCTGATGTTCTCTCTTTCTCTCTCTAATCTTCATGACCTGCTGTCCTGGATTAGCATCAAATCTCTGGGCTCAGATCCCCACATGTAGACCCAAGACCCAACTTATTCATCTAGATTCAGGCTTTATTCACATCTGTGAGTTCCCTTGGTTAGCCCACTAACCTTAAACTAAATGCATCCCAAGCTTGATGTTATGAAATATGATGCATTGGCCTCAGAAAATTGTTAGACCTTTTAGTGAAGATCAGATATAATGATACTAGAAAAGAAAATGATACCCTCTAGTCTTTATTAGCATATGTAGTCCTTCCAAACAAGACATATCACTTCTAGGTGCTTTGCAACTGTCCAGTTGTTTTGTACAATATTCTACACAATTTGTTTACTATGGTCTCAAACCAATTGACTTGAAGACACCAGTAGGCATACTATGACTATCCTGACTTCATTAATTCATATTTGAATCAGATAGAACATTTATACTGAATTAATAACACCAAAATCTCAGTGATTTAGAACAACAAAGGTATCCTTGCTCCTTGCAAAGATGCCATTGTGCTTTACAAAATGCTCAAATTCCCATGCTGAAGGAGGCATCAACCCATGCATTAGTAATTTACAGGACAGAAAAGGGGACATACCAAGTCATGAACTTACTTTTAATGCTATCAATCTTGAAGTGACATCATGTGTGAGTTTACAAGGCCAACACCAAAGTTCAGTCATTGCTAGGAGAACTCACAGGACTCAGCATATACTCACATGTGAGTCACAGGACTCACATGGGCATGATTTATTACAATAAAAAGATACAAAGCAAAATCAACAAAGGAAAAAGTGCATGGGTCAAAACCCAGAGGAAAACTATGCACAAACTTCCACAAGTCCTCTCCCAGGACAGTCACACAGGATGTGCTTAATTTCTTAATCAATAAGTTTGTGATAGGCATGAATTATTTTCTACTAAAAAAACTCCTAGCAGGGTGGAAAACAACTCTTTCTTATGTCTAAGTTCTGAACCAGAAATAGTTGGTGAAAAACACTATGATATTGGTTATTATTTTACTGTGGAGTAAAACAAAATTAAATAGACATAATTAAATTTGATCTTACATAGTAAGTAAATATGCATAGTTATGTTTTCACAATTTAGACAAAAAAGGCCTATAATCCTTACATTTTTCACATTATCTCCTAAGATAATTTTTTGAGGTTTTTTTGTTTTGATTTTTCTGCAATGTCTACCTCTCAAGATTTCAGCCGGAATTAAATTATCTATGGAAATGGTAATTTTTTCTACCCATCAATATTATTTTCCTTGAGAAGTCAGAGATAAATGCCATCTGGACATAGCATTTTATCATTAGATGTTTTACTTTCTTGATCATCTGTTCTGCCAAGATACAGTTTTTCTTCAGTGTTTATTTTTCCTACCTGAGAACTGTTTATTGCTGGCATTTGTTCCTCTTCCTTTCTCTGTTAACACAGAAGCAAGAAGAGCTTTGGATGTTTTGGCAATGTGTCCATCTGCCATGTATCCATCACCGTTGCCATATTTTGTAGCTAGGATCTCTGCAAAGCAGTGAGGCACAGAGCAATACACTGACTGGAGCTGGGTTCAAACCAAAAAGTCCTGCTCTGTATTGGGGAAAATGGTGCAGTGATTGACATCTGGACCTGCTTTGACAGGCTCTTCTCTGCAAATGAAAGTCTTAGAATGGACAAATTTGCTGCTGACATGTGCACTCCAGTTCACCTTTAAGTATGGTGAGACTTGACATTGCTTGAGCTTTCTTGTTCAGGCTCAGTCTTGGTTTCCATTTTTACATATGCAGGGCTTATCATGTTTAGATTTTCACTTCATTGCACACTTGCCTCATTTCAGATATCTTTCTTCCTGCCTCTTGTAAAAATGTTGAAATTCTCATTTGTGCTGTTAACATTTTCTCATTTGGAAATTTGTCACTTCCAGTCCAGCATTTTCCTACCATTACATAAAGAGATGGTGATCACTGGCTTTGTGATTTCTTTAATATAATTTATTGTATCATACTTTTCCTTTTGTCTTGTGTCTTTCTTCCAACATTATTTGGTTTCCCATTTCTCATCAGAGCAAAACACGATTCTTTTAATTTTTAGCTCCTTTTAAAAAGATGCATTTAAACTAATTTGTGAGAAATTTGAAAATGATTCACAATATAAAATACATTAATTCTGATTTATAAAATAATCTAGTGTTTGTTCATTGCTGTGTATCCAAATCAATTTTTGTATATTTATGCACACACATATATGTGTGCAAGTTTGTGTGTGCATGCACATATATCTTGTATATTTGTGTATTTCTATATCTGTTTTGCCCCTTCATTAGAAAGTGTTCATTGTAAACAAAGCCCCCATCACAGCTCATTCTACTCTGACCTTCATGACTTAGTTAAAACACTGAATGTTGAAGGAAACCGTGCCCCCAACTCGACTGCCTGCAAACTGGATTACTTCTGTTGTTGCAAGAACTCATGAAAATGTCCTTCCTCAAGTAAGTCTTTTTGAACTGATTTGTAAAGAGCTTACTGCCTCACTACATAATTCTGAGTTTGAGTATAAAACTTGCATACAATATTTTCTTGATTTCTGTTTGCAAAAATTGATTTAGCCATGCAGTATAAGCTTAATCAGCTCTTACGCTGGACCTATACTCAGGGTAAATACACCAATACTTATTTCACTGTAATGATAACTGCTTAATCAAATATTTACTTATTGTGCAAATTGTTTCACATCTGAGTTTTATGCTTTTAAATGAGGTTTTGAAGATTCTCCAAGAAAACTGGCAATGCAGTTTTTATCTGGAGTTGCCAAGGGTGTTACTAAGGAAATAAGAAGTTAGCTAAGAGACCCTTTCAAAATGAAAAGCAATTTTAAATCAAATACGCTAAGTATAAAAAAGTTGCTTCTTGGGAAGAAAAAAATGAGCAAAGTTTCAAAGATAGCATGAAGCAGGAAAACCTTTTAAAACGAAAGAAATTAAGTTAGTAAGACCCTATGTTCCAAAGTAGTGGGGTATTTTTTTTATCTTCCCTCATGAAGAGAAAAAGCAGAGAAATATTAGAACAAGAGAATTGAAAGAAAATGTCAAGTCTCTTTCCTATCTCCTTAATTAGTTTTTCTTGCTACCTGGACTCGTAAACATTTGGTAAGGTAGAAAAAAGACAATTTTAATGAAGCAGAACAACATCCAGAGAGCGGACTCTGACACTGAGCACACCAAGCAAAATCAAAAAGTTAGGAAGATAATTGAGTCTAGTATTTTAACCTAAAAATGAGGACTTTAAAACTAAACGATAAGAGAGAGAACAATTTTTTAAGAAGAAATATCTCAACATTTCTTTTTGAAACTTTGATTTGTTTTTATTTTTTATTTTTTTTAGACGGAGTCTCGCTCTGTCACCAGGCTGGGGTACAGTGGCGTGATCTTGGCTCACTGCAACCTCCGCCTCCCGGGTTCAAGTGATTCTCCTGCCTCAGTCTCCCAGGTAGCTGGGATTACAGGTGTGCGCCACCATGCCCAGCTAATTTTTGTATTTTTAGTAGAGACGGGGTTTCACCATGTTGGCCAGGTTGATCTCGAACTCCTGACCTCGTGATCCACCTGCCTCGGCCTCCCAAAGTGCTGGGATTACAGGCGTGAGTCACCATGTCCTGTGAAACTTTAATTTTAAAGGCTTGTTTGGCTAAAGATAAAATTTACCTGTTTAAAATTAGGGTTTTTTAAAATATATATATATATATGTATATACATATACATACACATATACGTATACATATAGTTATAATTTATTAACTCAAGCCAAGAAGAAACCTCGGGAAGCCAGTGAAGAAAAATTGTTTTTCATACTGTGTGGTCATGTCAAACAAGACAATGGAGGGAGAGAAGGAGGAGAATGTCAGGAATTGAATATATAGAACTTGTCATGAAGTGATGGCACTTATGTCACTAAAATAGAGTCATGGCTAAGTAAGAAAATATAGCTGAAGAAAGTGTCATTTATTTATTTTTTATTTAGAAAATTATATATATATGTCAACATCACTGCATTTTGATTAATGATAATTAAAGTGTTATATTATTTTTAGACATTGTATAAAAGACATTTACTGGACAGTGTCTTAATAAATCCTCACAACAACCTTATGAAGCATTTATTTTTATTTTTACTCATTTTTATTTTTATTTTGCCACTTTACAGATGAGGTGATCAGGCTTAGAGAGTTTAAATAACTTGCTCAAAATCACATGGTCAATTAAAGCAACTTTTCAAAACCAAGGAGCCTGAATCTACTAATTTACCCATTATGTTCTTCTACATTTTGGTTTGACATGTGAGCTCCTGTAGGGAAGAAAAATAACAGCAATATTAATACAAGATAATTAAGCTAAAAAATGTATTTTTGGATCAAAGATAGCATATACAATAGAGTGGTAACTTAAATTTTTCAAAAAGAAAACTTTATGCTTTACTAAGAAAATTTAAGAGGAATTCTGTGGATTTCCACTACACGCCTACTTACGTGCCAGCATCTATACTCACACATTCTATTGATAAAACTACCCATGCTTCAGTATAAAACCACTTCCTCTGTTAGACACCAGGTAGTATTCTATTTCTCAAGGTTACCGTACTAGTAATTTTTCATTTTCTCTTTTGCATCCTCATTTTTCTTCTCTATTAGAACATTCTCACAATCATAAAATATACTATTTTTCTGTCTCACCATTTAAAAGCAAAACAAAACAAAACAAAACAAAACAAACAGCTATCTTCACCCCACCACCTATCCAGCTATTTCCTCAACTCTCTTTCTTCCCTTTGCAACGATATGCCTAGACAAAGTTGTCTATCATAGCTTTTATTCCTCTATTTCAAACCTCCCTTCTATACCCCCCAAACAGGTGTTTCCTTTCACCATTATGACCAAAAATATTCTCAAAAAGCCACAATGACTTCCTCAAAAATCAAACCACTATTTGCAATCATATTGCATTGCTATCAAAATACATAACACCTACTAAATCGTGATATTCAACATAAACTATCTAAGCTCAAATTGTTTTCCAAACAGCTGACTCCCTGTTAACTCAACATCAACTTACCCCTTCATCAGGGGTGAGGTGTCTTGTTCACGGTGCCTAGAACATGGCCTGATACATAGTACGTGCTCAAAAAATATTTACTGAATATATGCATGAATGAATACATGTGCAATTAAATGAATGAATAATACATGAGCAAATGTGTGACCTAAAGTAGCCCAGTGGATTGTCATTTTAAAAATGTACTGGCAAACCTATGTCAAGCCACAAAATGATTTAATATGTCACAACTCATTTAACCTCTGGTTATGTTCTACGGAAGTCAGTACTGAAGGAAAGATTATTAATGAGATCAATAAACAGTGTTTCTGTGGGGTAGGTGTCCATTCATAAATTTTGTATTTCCATAAACAGTGTTTCCGTGGGGTAGATATTCAATCATAATTTTTATATTTCACGTGCCTTTCACGGTGCTTGTTAAAGCTCAATAATGTTTGCGAAGTGACAAAATGAATAAATACCATTTCAATACTGCAATGAAAATAAAGATACAAGTACATGTAATAACTTTGAAAGTGTTTACTCCTGTAACACACTTGTTTTCCTGTGCAACACCGTTATATTTCAGCTCCAGGTGTACAGTGAATCGGTGTAGAAATCTACTCTCTAAAAGAGATGCAATACATGCCTAGGAAACTAAAGTGCATTTTTTCTATACGGTAGTCCCCCTTATTCCTGGTTTTGCTTTCCAAGGTTTCAGCTAGCTGCAGTCAACGGCACCCCAAAAATATTAATGGAAAATTCCAGAAATAGAAAATTCCTAAGTTTTAAATTGGGTGCTGTTCTGAGTAGTGAGATAAAATCTAGTGTTGCCCTGCTCCACCCCATTCGGGATATTAATCATCTCTTTGTCCAGCAGATCCAAGCTGTCTATGCTACTGGCTCATTAGTCACTTAGGAGCCATCTCCATTATTAGATTGACTGTCACACGTTCTGTAGTGAGTGTGTTCGCGTCCCTTATTTTATGTAATAATGACCCAAAGCACAGAAGTAGTGATTCTGGCAATTCAGAGATGCCAAATAGAAGCCATAAAGTGCTTCCTTTATGTGAAGGTTCTTGACTTAATAAGGAAAGACAAAAATGTCTATTGAGGTTGCTGAGATCCATAGTAAGAATGGATCTTCTATTTGTGAAATTGTAAAGAAGGGAAAATACGTGTGCTACATTTTCTGTTGTATCTTCAAACTGCAAAAAATCCAACCATAGTGTGTGATTACTTTAATTACTGTGTATTGTCATGATTTTTCTATTTTAATCTTAGTTATTATTTTTAATCTCTTACTGTGCCTAATTAATTAAACTTTGTCATAGCTGATGTATGTATAGGAAAAAACAGTATATGTAGGATTGGTACTATTCTCAGTTTTAAGCATACACAGGTGGTCTTTTGAAAGTATACCTCTCCTGTAAAAGGGAACTACAAACGTGCAACGTTCCTCTTAGAGAAAAATGAACTTTCCGGGGAATAATGTACGGACACAGACACAATTTAGGAAGCAGCTAAAATCAAACTGCATGCAGTTTACATGGTAAAGAAAGATTGCTGATGGGATTGGGAGTCTCACACCTTTAGGCCAACTGTGTTTAATTAAACTGATGTTCTTGGCAAGAGAAAGGAATATTAGTAAGAAACCCCATTGGGAGGTGTAGTGGCTGCAGTGCCCCAGGAATTCACTAATAAATAGTACACATGCACTGACAAGATAAGGACAAATGAGAGTGGCTCTGACAACCTAATTATGTATTTTTGTAGACTGGGCATTGCAGAGTTCAGCCGTTCAGAGGAATGTGTGGTAGAACATATTGTGAACACAGAGGCATGATAGGGCCAAGCCTGAACGATGTGGAGCACAGAAGGCCCTGGAATACCAGGCCCCACAACCAATGCTGAGCTCATCACCCAAGAAAGCAATAAATTAATCATGTCCAAAGTACACTGTGTTTCTGTTTTTATGTGTGAAAATGAGAAACTTGGGAATAAAAGTAAATTTTTTGACATACTGATCTCCTGAAAGCAATTCTTTTTGACATTTTAAAGATCCTTATTTTCAGAAGCTATTCTGTTTGAAATCTGAGATTCTAAGACGTCAAAGGTATACTTTTAATAGTTTCACTTGCTATTATACTGTTACTTAATTGAAAAAATCTGTTGTTATTTAATATCTTTCACATTCTTGTTTTCTCTGTAGCTTTTAAACGTAAAACTTTTTTCCTGGATCATGCAAGTTTAAAATTCAAATATCATTACTTATATTCAAGGCATTATTAAAATGAAACATATATTTAAATATTTCATGCAAAACTGAAAACTTTGTAAAGTTTTTTCCTTAAAATGTGTTTCATCATATATATTTATCATGTTATAGTAGTTTAAAATGGATGAGGTTTGTTTCCCCAGTTTTACCTTTTATTTTTCCAAAAAAGGTTAATGTGCTATTATAAAAATAAAACAATTTTTGGCTTTGTCTGCCATGAGTAATAGGACCTGCTGAATTAAATTTTATCTTTGCCCCAGGCACATTGTGAATTTAAAGTCTTTGCAATTTCTCATTTTTCTTTTCAAGTCAGAAATGGGCTTGAAGTTTCATAAGAATTTCAAACTCAGATGAAAACTGTCACACCAGCACCTGCAGCAGCTTTATGCACCATGAAGGATTAATCTTGTGAAATAATCTTACAAGTAACTTTTACCTGTCTGATATTTAAGACCTCACTATTTAAGAAGATACACAAAAAATCTAAATGCAGTTTCCTTAACATTACTATCCATTATAGATAGAAATCCTGTAACAAGTTGAGTCATTATCTGAGAGGAATCATAGTATATCTATCTATTTAGTATATTAATTTTAGAAAAGCTTTTATTGTAAATATTTTAAGAGTTGTTTTTTGAGAATTGTAGCTAAGCCATTTAAAATAGAAATATTTAACATGTAAATGTTACCATTAGATTATCGTTCTATATAGAATGTTTTTAAGAACTGAGATTTTGAAAACCTTAGAGATATATAAGTTGATAATACAGAAGTGGGTCAATGATATGTATACAAAGTAATAAATATAGATTTAAGCAAAGAAAATGTATTGGTTAACAGGAATATCATAGCACCAGTAATTAAAAATATAGAGAGTAACAATGGATAATCATTTATCTATCTACTTATGTGTTCCTCCCTTTTCCCACAAAATTTAGAAAAATTTTACAGATTATTCTAGTAAAGATATAATAAAAATAATGCACTGCAAGAAAACAGATAGGCTTTTTAAAATAAATAAACTTGCTATTATGTCAAGTGCATAAAAGTAAGAGATATTGTAGTTTCTCTAAGAATATAATTTTGCTAAAATAAAATAAGCAGGCACAAACAAATATATGAGCAAAAACCAGAAGTTTTATTAGGAGTAGAAACATTAAATGGTCACAATAGTTAGTGAATTGTAGAAATATGAATTTTTTGCCTTGTTTTCTATCTTCTGTATGGTTTTTTAAATACTAAAAATGACAATTTTTAACATATATCGAAATATAGAAAAAGTCTGCGATACGATATTGACTAAAAACTATGGTATAATGTTAAGCTTCTAAAAATATCTAAAATAGATAAAAATATTGTAAATAACATAAAGATTATAAAGCCAAAAATAAATTAATTTTATTCTTGCTAGAAGTCACCTACCAAACAAAAAATTACCATTGATGAATATGTAACTTCCATACCTTAAGATTTTGTATCCTGAATAAAAATTTGGTGGCATAGTTACATTTTTTTTTTTAATTTACTCATTAGAATCCTCTTGTATTTGTAGTTTTTTTTTTTTGTACCAGAGCTATTTGTCCAAATAAGAACTCTTTGGTTATTATATGATTCCATTAGTTATGTGCCTTTTTTGTGAAACATGTAATAAAAACTTGTTCTTGCTACAATTTCTCCTGTTTAGTAACATTTCTTTAGAAAAAGCAAATAATTTATATGTAATTAATAAACTACTGCGTTCAATAATATTAATTTACTAATATTTGCGATGGACTCCAGCCTAAAACTGTATGTTATTTGTTTTTTCATAAAATTTGAATAGACTTATTATCAATTTAAACCCAAAGTCATTTAATGTTTTAAAAAGAAAAGCAAACTTTTTTGTGCATTTGCTATGTGCTAGGGACTTTGCAACCATTCTCTTATTTAATTCTAATTTAATAGCCCCCTGAGATGCAACTATCATTTACCCCATTTTCTTATAAACACTATCTCAGAGAAGTGCAACAATGTGCCCAAGAGAGGACAAGATGTGCTTGAAAGATGTGAAGCTCAATTTCAAATCGGTCTGAACCTGAATTAAGAGATTTAATCACTATACTCTATAATGGGTACTAACCACACCCCCTTGCCCTTTATCCTTGTTAGTTTACTGCAGTACTTTATACAAACCTTTCTTCTTGTTTCTTCTTGGTGTTTTTATGATGCAGTTAATCCGTTCCCTCATTCAATAAATACCACACTTATACAGTACCTAAAGAAAGCATTCTTTCCTTTCCTTCTCCATGTAATAGTCACCTTGAACCTGAATTTATGCAAATAACTGCATATCTAATTAAAAACCAGAATTTTTCCTTTCACCCGGCTCAAGATTAATTGATTCTGATTTGAAAGACTGCAGTATGGCAAATGTTTGTGTTATGAGAATAAACAAAGACTACCCACCGAAGAACAAACAAGTGAAGCTATTTATTTAGAGGTTACTGTAACAAGGGAGTGGGCTACCATTATCTATTAATATTATCCATGTTTGGCGGAGACTCAAAGACTGACAGACAGTGGAAAAGCTTTTTAGTAATGCAAAAAGAAAAAGAGGCTATGTAGAGACCTTGATGGCAGGTTGTTGTCATGGGAAGGACTGGGACAGGTTACCTGGACACATGTCATCTTATGGAATTGATTTTATATTTGGCTTTCTTTTTGTTCATCCTGATTGAAAGTGAGAACAAATACAGGGAAGTTGGCAGCATTGACTTAGTCCTGACCATCTGAGCTGGTTATTACAAAGGCTGTCATTTGACTTTCTGGATTGATTGCTACAGAAGTTGTTTTTTGGTTTCCTGGGCATCTAATGTGAGTCATCAGCGTTATATTACCATAAGTGGTCTGGCCATTGTCCCTTTGTATATTCAGTCTTTCGGTGGTTATTTTCCCTACTTTTTTCTAACCTTTATCAACTTGGATTTCTCACTCTCTAGAGATCTAGCACTGGGAGAGAGACAACAGCAGAAAGGGGAGCACAGACTTTATAAAGGTAATGCTGGTAGAATCTGCTGTCAGTCTCCTCTTGGTATGGCAGGCACTTGAAGCCAAGTCTTTTTCTTTAAACCTTTGATACGAAGTGTAGTTGTTGAACCAGACACATCAGCCATCACCTTGGAGTTTGCCATAGCTTACCGAATATCCTGTATTGCAGCAAGATACTTAGGTAGTTTGTAAGCACAGTAACATTTAGGAAGCAGTGCTCTAGAATGCCTTTGTGAGTTTTCCCTGGGTTTTCTCAGTGACATGTTCCAGTTGCAATTTTCATGAGGTTGATGGTCCCCCTCCACTGACTGCTTTCTGTTACTCTTCAGTCCACAGGCTTCATTTTGTGAATGTGTCCATTTTATGCTTGGTCATTTTGTCCCTTAGGTTATGTCACTTGCAGTACCTTTCAGGAAAGCTCCAGGCTGGATTAATCAACGTGCTGCACAGAAAACACAGACTCTTACTTCATTGGTGAAAGTGCACTTCTCTCTCGCTCTCTCTGTCTCTCTCTTCCCCCCCACCCCCCTCTCACTCTCTCTCTCATTTCTCTTTCAGACCGGCCTTAACACACACACCCTTGGTTATGAACTGCATGTTCGTGGCTCTCTCAAATTCACAAGTTGAGTCCCTAACTCACAATGTGATAGTATTTGCAGGTGGGGCCTTTGAGAAGTAATTAGGTTTGGATGATGTCATAAGAATGGATCCCCCCTTAATAGAGTTTGTGCCCATATTAAAAGACACCCTCAGCAAACTAACACAGGAACAGAAAACCAAACACTGTATGTTTTCACTTACAAGTGGGAGCTGAACAATGAGACACATGGACACAGGGAGGGGAACATCACACGGGGGCCTGTCCTGTCGGGGGTGGTGGTGGCAAGAAGGAGAACATCAGGATAAATAGCTAACGCACGCAGGGCTTAACACCTAGGTGATGGGTAGATAGGTGCAGCAAACCACCATGGCACACATTCACCTATGTAACAAACCTGCTCATCCTGTACATGTAACTCGGAACTTAAAATAAAATAAAATAATTTTTTTTTTAAAAAGAGGCCAAACCTTACCTTCTCTCTACCATGTGAGGATACAGCAACATGTGAGATATCTTTAACATCTACTAAAATTCCTGGCTCAGATCAGGTGCTTAATAAGTATTTCTAAACAACTAAAAGATTGACTAAACTAATTATGTATTATAATATCAACTAGAATAGGCAGTAAATGAACGTGAGCTTACATTTGCTGCGATAAATTTCTAATTTCTGTTGAGGCATAGCCATTTCAGTATCACGTTAAGGGAGAGAGAGAAAAAGAATGCTATTACAGATATAACTTTTTTCTCAGGATTTTTTGAAAATCAAGATGATGATTTAGCTAAACTTACACATGTATAGATTTTTTTCCCCTCTGCTGTTATTTTGTTTAAGCAACAAAGGCAACACTCAAAATTTAAGAAGGTTTGTATGCCTTCCAGACATATACTCGTACCTTCACAAGTACACAGGCCCACACACTGTTTAAGTAAACACTGACCACTGACGATGGGGCTAATTGACTTTACATAATGAAAGAATCAATATAATGTTTGATTTTCCTAAAGTTAATAGTGTGTTACTTATGATCATCTTAGTTCACTTTTACATGGCCATTTAGAATTTTAAACACAGCCATATATGCCAGGTTTTGCAGAAAACCTATCTGTTGGTATTAAGAATGGTAATTGATTTGTTCTAGCAGATTTAGCCTTTGATACAGCATTTTCAACCATTAACCATCAAATAATTCATTATCCACTGTCAAGTTGTATTAATGCTTTTCACTGGCTCTCTTGAATTGTTCCATTACCAAAAAGTAATTGATAGAACTGCATACAGCTGTCCTGTCATCCATCTGAACTGACCTAATCATGACCGTTTATCACAACCAGTGCCAAATACCTTGAGGATCTTTTCAAAATGATAGCAATGGGTGTTCAACCTTTAATGTTCAGGGATTGTGCAAGTCTGTGTTTGATCAAGATTGTAAACACCTATTGGGAATTGCTATTTGTAGATGGTTGTAATATTAAATATATTAATATTAAAAATGTGTGTGCTCTTGAGCCAAACATATAAGGAGAAAACTTATATTGAATTTATGTGCTGTGGAGTCCATAAGTCATTTCTTTTTAAGGGAGTGGTCAAATTTTTGTTATTATTATAATTAACAATTGTCATCAAGGCAATTGTCATCAAGGCAAGGTATCAAGTTCAAGCCCCAGCTGAGATCTGAGGGTAGTGGGTAGATGAGGGGTAGGGAGTGGGAAGAACACTGACGAGACAGCAGGTAGATGGGACATGGCTTTATTCAGCAGCTCACTCACACTGTGGGTGTTTGCATTTATGCACCTGGCAAACAACAGTGGCTACAAGCCAGGTGATGAGCCCTCCCATACTATGGCTACATAGCTGTGATTATATAATGCACAGAGTTGTGTGCCTGGAGTCCAATCTCGTTGAGTCACACAGGATGTTTATCTTGGCCTATGCCTGCCTGGCTGCAGTGCAGCCATGTTCCTTACACTCCACCCCCTAGGCCAAGGTAGTCCTCTTTGTGGGGACCTGTGCACACAGGGCAGTACCCTGGACCCAGAGGCCACAGCAACAATACAGAGAGCAACAACCTACTACCAATATTCCTACTGTGCTACCTATGATTATGAGAACCCAACATAGGCCAGAGCCCAGAGATGCCCACCATCTCTGCAGGGGGTTGTCAGTAAGGCACTCAACCACCTTAATCTCCTGTGACATCCCTTGTAAATCTGCTGTTGTGTTCTGCTGGTTGTCAGGGATGAATGTACAACACTGTATGCCTACAAGGGAACATAGTAACATCTTGGGCAGCTGTTACTATGTCTAAGGCCATCCAGTTTTGCAGCACCACCTTCCTGATCTGATCAACCTCATCGGTTAACAAAAGGAGGGTAACTTGGGTGTAATTCAGGGCCCAAGCTGTGTGCACTGCAAGGGCTGTAACCTGCATTTCTACATGAATAACACCTGCTCCTGGGATAGTTATTGCTAAGGGGTAGAGCCACCAGAGGGCCCGCTGCACTTACAAAAACCAGGAACGTAGCGCCTTCCAGTTATGTGGATGACAAGGCGATGTGGAAAGCACAGTGGCAGGCACATGGGCCACCCCCAGCAACAATATCCAGTCCAGTTGGCTGGCAGACATGGCCATCCTGTGTTCCCAAATACCCATAAACTCCCAGGGGGCACAAAGTCCATTGGGGCTTGGGCTTGGTAAGGAGACACATATTATGTTTGCACAGGCTGCAGCGGGCAACAATCCCACAGTGACTTCACCGCAGTGTTGCTCTATATATACATCATGGTACCTGCAATGAGAGTACCATGTGCTCTCTCATTAGCCAGCACCACCCATCATGGACACTATAAGTCAGCCGGGGGCAGGCCTGTCATGGGTTTTGCAATGCCCCCTATCCAAAGCTCACCATGTTGCATTCCAACCACTGTCTGTGGGACCCCAAGTTTCTAGCCATGTCTAGTAGTTCTTTTTAGAAGTTGGATGTACATTCCAGGGCAAGCCATCCACAGCTGCTGCTGGAAGGGCAGTGCAGATCCAACAGCTGGAGACATTGGTCACCTGGGCATAGGTGTGGGCCCAGTCCACAATGGTGTTGGAGCATGTCAACCTACGGCCGGAACCGCAAAGGAGGCACAAGTATTAACAGGGGTAAGTCATGTCCCTCAGGCAAAATACGGGCCAAATTTTCATCTCTGGAAAACAACGCAGCCTCCAAGGACTTCTTCTGCGACAGCTTATCAGATCCCTGTGTTTTTTTAGGGTCTTGTAACTGTGCCAAAGTCACAGGGGAGCTCATGTTAGACCACACAGGCAGTACACATGTCCCCCGGAGGAGGGTCCCTTCCCTGGCTGTTCCCCTATGAATGGTTAATCGTGAGGACCACACATTAAATACCCAAGGAGTAACATGTAAGTCATACTGCAGGCCCTCCCCTCTGGGGGCTATGTCAGCCAACCATCAGCAATGGGGGGCTTGGAGGGCCAACACCAGGTTTTCTGTTCTGCATTTGAGGCATTGGGGCAGGCAACAACAGATTACCATTTGTCCCCATAACTGGTCGGTGGAAGTCATCCTTGGTTTGTATCTGTAGCTGGATGGGGGCAGCGGCCCAGTGTCAGTGCCTCCACTGTAGCTGTGCCACCTTTCCATGGCTGCTCATTCAAGTTTTGGAGCGCCAGGTCCAACCTGGAACTCCAGCACCACAAAGACTGGGGAGTAAGAGTAACATGCAAAAGTAAACCATTCTTCAGGAGTCCACTATATCGCTCAATCATGCCAGCGGCTTGTGGGTTATAAGGAACGTGGAACCCCCATTGTATGTCCATCCGCTGTGCCCACTGTTGTACCTGCTGTCCAGTGAAATGTGTTCCCGTCACTTTCAATGGCCAGGGAATGGCTGTATAAGGCACCTAAGTGTTACAAGTCTCGAATGGTGTGTTGCTGGTCAGCCACCCTGCTAAGGTAAGCAAACAACAGGCTGGTGGCTGTGTCTACAGCTGTCAGTGCATGCGTGTAGCCCTGTGATTTTGGCAGTGGTCCAATGTAATCTATTTGCCATCTTGTCAAGGGCATCTGCCCTACACTCACTTGTTGTGTTACACTGAGCAGTGTCTCCATTACACTTGAGTGCATGACGGGCACTTCTCGCAGGCCTCCCAAAAGTCCCGCGAGGGCAAAGACAGACCCCAGCACCTATTGACCTGCCGCATCAGCTTATCTCCCACATGTCTCAGTTTCCTGTGTAGCCACAAGGCCGCATCTCATGTAGATGCCGACTCTAACCAATGGACCTTGACCAAGACATCTGCCTCATCATTACTGGAGGTGGTCAAAGGCATATGACCCTACACATGGTAGACAGTTATAAGGTCTTGCCACATGGTTTGCCCCAAATGGGCCAATGGCCTACAAGCCAATTCTGTAACTTCCAGGTAGTTAACCATAAGGTTAAGCCTCAATAGACTGCTCAACTATCAGTGCAGTTTACCATAGGCATCTGCTCTTTGGTGATCACCATCCACACTGCCCTGAGTTCAGCCCATTGGCAGCTTGGTCCACACCCAGTATCAAACCATACATGTCAATACTAGGCTGGACTGCTGTTGCATTCAAGGCAGCAGTAGTGTCCCAGCTGGACCCATCTGTATAACGTGCCCCATCAGGAATGGGGGGTGCCCTTCCTTAAACGGTGATGGCTCAGGGTCTAGGAGTGCCTCAGGCCCTGTGGCCTTGTCTTGCATTAGGACTACAGGCCCAGTGACCTCTTGTAACTCTGCTGCTAAAGGACTTATACTCTGTGAACTTTGCTGCTCCAATTTAGGTGCCCCACTTTGCTAAAGTGGATGTCTATGCCATCCCAGGGTTGGGGGTCATTACCCATGAGCACACCCCCCCCCCCCGCTATTGGGTAAGCCATCCATAGGATGACCATAGCCCATCCCTTCATGCTCTTGGCTTACAGGCCTGAAGTGTGGCATATGCAGCAGCTAATTGCTTCTCTATCAATGAATATCGGAGCTCCGCTCCTTTCCACAGCTAGGACCAAAAACCTACTGGCATTCTAAAGTGCTCTCTGTGCTGCCATAAGCCCCAGCCAAAACCATCTGTAGTCACATGTACATCAAGTTCAAATGGGCGTCCCTGATCAATCACTTGTAAGGCCTGTGCTTGCTGAATAGCCCACTTGGCTGACAGAAAGTCTGTCTCAGCCTCATCATCCCACTCCCAGGTAGCCCCCTTTTTTGGTCAACCAGTACAATGGTTTTATCATTTGAGCCAAATGGGGCATGAATGGCCAAAAGGCCTACAAAAAGTCTTTAGGTGTAGGCACCTCAAGGGGCCTACAAAGGACTGCAGCTGTCTCACCATGGTGGGTTGGGGGTATGCCTGGATTTTATTAATGATGGCCTCTGTTAAGGCCTTCATCTTACCTGATCAAATAACTCCTAAGAATTTGGCAGACAATCCAGGCCCTTGGACTCTGGATTTGTTGATGGCACAACTGCATACTGCCAAATGTTGCCACAAGAGGGGCGCCGCCACTTCTAAATGTGCAAGAGAATAAGAGGTTAACATAATATCATCAATATAATGGAACAGGTGGACCTCTTTTGGACATTTCCAGGTGGCTAAATCCATGGCCACAAGACCATGATAAACAGTGGGGCTATGTACATAGCCCTGTGGCAGCACAGTGAAAGTCCATTGTTGTCCTTCCCATGTGAAGGCAAATTGTTGCTGGCTCTCTGGAGCAATGTCAATGGAAAATAATGCATTAGCCAAATCTACAACATAGTGGTACTGTTCCAGTTCCATTGTCAAGTGGTCCATCAAATCCACAATGGAAGGTACAGCTGCACACAGAAGGGGTGTTACTTTATTCAGTTCCGAACAATCCACTGTCATCTGTCAAGTCCCATCAGGCTTTCTGACTGGCCATACCAGGGAACTGTAGGGGATATTGGTGTTATGCACTATTTGCACCTCCCCTAACTTCTTAATAGGTTCAGTTACCTCCATATATCCCCCTGGCAAATGGTATTGACGAGTGGAGGTAACCTGTCAGGGTTGTGGCAGAACTTGGGGCCGGTGATATGTATGTCCATGCAGTACCGGCTTTACTACAGGGACTTGAGTCTGAATTCTCTGACCATGGTGTACAAGTCCAGACCATGCAAAATGTCCATCCCCAATATACATTCAGGTACGGAAGAGACATACACAGTGTATGGTGGAGGAGCCAAGTGGCCAATGCCAAGATGCAGAGACACAGGTTTCACCATCACTGACTGGCCCACATAAACATCAATAAATGCAGCTCTGCCCAGAAACTTATCTGGGTTCCCATAAAAAAGATTGCAGTCTGCACCAGTATTTACCAGCGCTAGGACCCATCGTACATTAGTGGCAGACCAGTGGATTGCCAACTCCACGTATGGCCTTCAGTTGCCTGGTTCCCCCGCAACCCAGGTACCTTGGCCAGTTTCCTAATCAAACAGGAAAGGCTTCGTATCTAAGCCAGTCTGCAAATAGTCCTTGAGCTGAAGCGTCTGGGTGGGACTGGGTTGAGCAACATTGTTTTGCCCCCTCTTGGGTATTTTCCAGAATTGTTGCTCTGGGGACAATTGCCTCCAGAGCCAACAGCATTCTGTTGGGATGTCTGTCAATTTTCACTGGAGCAACACAGCTGAAATTAAATCAGTCCACATCTTCATGCGGTTCACCCACTGGAGCCCTCTCTTATCTCGGGGGGTGGGTACCTGTAGATGGAGCATCTTCCTCTTCTTTATGGCACAATTCCCTGGTCCTGTTGATGGCCTTCTGCCTCCTCGAGGGCTACCATAGTAGTAGTCACTTCATATATGCGACACCCCACATACGGGGTGAGGACAGCAGCCAGAGAGGCAAAAGCACTTAGGTGCACTTAGCCCAGAACAAGATTCCTCATATAAGAGACAAAACATTCATCATCTGGCCCCCAGGTATTCAGATCAAACATGGCCTGCCATATACCCAGCCCCTGGAGTACCTGCACCAAATCGGTATGCCACTGCCATCTACTGACAGTTTCTGGTATTTCACTGTCATCAGCCACTCAATCAGTGTGGTCACCTTGCCCCTGTGTTCACCAGCTGTAGCTGCTGAGGAAGGGAGGGGTAAGTTGTAATAGAAACCAGCTTCTCCACCTCAGAGGTGGAGCAGGAAATGCTGTCAGCTCCTTCATCCGAAAGACGAGTAACCAGGCAGGAAGGGGCTCCCCCAAAAGCTGCCCACATTGCTTGCCTAACTCCCGCAGCTCAGTGAGGGTATAAGCACTATAGGAAGTGTGTTCCACCACAGTAGGGGGGCCCTGAGCCCGCTCCTGAGGTCCCATTGGCTGCTCATGTTCTACCTTCTGACAGATCACAGGGCGAGCCTGCAGCGGGGAGCCTCCTGCTCCTCAGCATTAGACTGAACGGGGCAGTTCCCTGCCTGGAGAACAGGCTCAAGGTCACAGTGACGGCTGTCTCACTGTTTCCTGCCATATTGTTATTTGTTTTGTGGTTGTTTCTTCTTTCTTTCCTTTATTCTTTGTTTCCTGTTCCAGGCTGCTTTTCTGGGCCTCTAAATGCCCTGTTTGCACCTGGAGGTCCTTACCCACAGTTTTTGCTCCAAGCTGTGCATTTGAGCCCCCAGGCGCACAGCTTGCACCTGGAGGTCTCTTACCGGCGCAGTGTCCCTTAGGGACTGAACATGTACTTTCTGCAGTGCAGTCAGAAACGCTTATCTGACTCTGCTGGTGAAGGCGAATTCCTTCTCGTGCTGTGTGCTTCCAGCTGCTTCAGTGCTTTCTCCACACCCACAAGGGACCCATCCACAGCCTCCCACACTTACCCTGGAGCGCAGTGGAGCATCACTGCCAACGGGTACCTTATGTGCATACATGACAGGTTTAATCCATGTTGTTGCAAATGACAGGATCTCATTTGATTTTATGGCTAAGTAGTACTCCATTCTGTATAAGTACCACATTTTCTTTAACCATTTATCTGTTGATTGACACTTAGGTTGTTCCCAAATCTTGGCTATTGTGAATAGTGCTGCAGTAAACATGAGAGTACGTACATCTCTTTGATATATGAATCTCATTTCTTTTGTGTATATACCAAGCAGTGGGATTTCTAGGCCATATGTTAGCTCTAGTTTAAATTTTTTGAGAAACACCCATACTGTACTCTACAGTAGTTGAACTAACTTACCTTCCCACCAATAATGTACAAAGGTTCCCTTTTCTCCACATCCTCACCAGCATTTGTTATTGCTTGACTTTTGGATAAAAGGCATTTTAACTGGGGTGAGATGATATCTCACTGTAATTTTGGTTTGTATTTCTCTGATGATCAATGATGTTGAGTACATTTTCATATACCTTTTTGCCACTTTTATGTTTTCTTTTGACAAATGTCTATTCAGATCTTCTGCCCATTTTTCAATCAGATTATTAGATTATTTCCTATTGAGTTGTTTGTGACCCTTGTGTATTCTGGTTATTAATTCCTTGTCAGATGGATAGTATACAAATATTTTCTCCCTTTCTTTGGGTTGTCTCTTCACCTTGATGATTGTTTTCTTTGCTGTGAAGAAGCTGTTTAATTTGATGTGACCCAATTTGTCCATTTTTGCTTTGATTGCTCGTGCTTGCTTGATATAGCTCAAGAAATATTTGACCTGTCCAAGGGCCTGGAGAGTTTCCTCAGTGTTTCACTGTAGTAGTTTCACAGTGTCAGGGCTTAGGTTTAAGTCTTTAATCCATTTTGATTTGACTTTGTATACGGTGAGAGATGTGGGCATGCTTTCATTCTTCTGCATATAGATATACAGTTTTCCCGACACGATTTACTGAAGAGACTGTCCTTTTCGCAGCATATGTTCTAGATGCCATTATGAAAAATGAATTCACTGTAGATGTATGGATTTATTTCTGAGTTCTCTATTCTGTTTCATTGGTCTATGTGTCTGTTTTTATGCCAGCACTATGCTTTTTTTTTTTTTTTTTTTTTTTGGTTACTATAGCTCTATAGTATAATTTGAAGTCAGGTAATGTGATTCCTCCAGTTTTGTTGTTTTTGCTGAGAACAAACTCAGATCATTTATGGTTCCATAAAAACTGTAGGATTGTTTTTGTCAATTTCTATGAAGCATGATGTTGATATTTTGATAGGGATTTAATTGAATCTGTAGATTGCTTTGGGAAGTATAGAAATTTTAAAAATATAAATTCTTCCAATCCATGAACATGGAATATCTTTCCATTATTTTGTTCCCTCTTCAACTTATTTCATCAATGTTGTATAGTTTTCATTATAGAGATTTTTCACTTATTTGGTTAATTTCTAGGTATTTTATTTTTTATTTGTAGTAATTGTAAATGCAATTGCTTTCTTGATTTCTTTCTCAGATTATTTGCTGTTGGCATATAGAAATGCTTCTAATTTTTGTACATTGATTTTGTATCCTGCAACTATACTGAATTTGTTTATCAGTTCTAACTGTTTTTTAGTGGAATCTTTTAGTTTTCCCAAGTGTAAGAATATATCATCAGCAAACAAAGATAATTTGACTGCTTTCATTCCAATTTGGATGACCTTTATTTCTTTCTCTTGTCTGATTGCTCTAGCTAGGACTTCCAGTACTATGTTGAATACCAGTGGTAAAAGTGGGCACCCTTATATTGTTCCAGTTCTTAGAGACAAGGCTTTAAGTTTTTCCTCATTCAATATGATACTAGCTGTGGGTCTGTCATATATGGCTTTTCTTGTGTTGAGGTATATTCCTTCTATACTCAGTTTTTGAGGGTTTTTATTATGAAAGGATGTTGAATTTATCAAACAGTTTTTCAGCATCAATCAAAATTGTCATAAGGTTTTTGTCCTTATTCTGTTGATACGATGTATCACATTGATTGATTTGCATATGTTAAACCATTCTTGCATCCCTTGGATAAATTGCACTTGGCTATGAATAATGATATTTTTAATGTGCTACTGAATTTTGTTTGCTAGTATTTTCTTGAAAATTTTTGCATCAATGTTCATGAGGGAGATTGCCTGTGGTTTTCTTTTTTTGATGTCTCATTGTCAGATTTTGGCATCAGGGTAATACTAGCCTCTTTGAATGTGTTCAGAAGTATTCCTTCCTCATCTATTTTTTGAAATAGTTTGAATAGGATTGTTATTTGTTCTTCTTCAAATGTTTGTTAAAATTCAGCAGTGAGGCCATCAGGCCCCAGGATTTTCTTTGATGGGATACTTTTTATTATGGCTTCAATCTCATTACTTGTTATTAGTCTGTTTAGGTCTTAAATCCTTCATGTTTCAATTGTGGTAAATTGTATGTGTCTATGAATTTATCTATTTCTTCTACATTTTTTAATTTATTGGAATATAGTTGCTTCATAGTAGCCTTTAATGATTATTTGGATGGTTCTAGTGTCTCCTTCTTTTATCTCTGAAATTATTTACTTAGGTCTTCTCTCTTTTTTTCTTAGATAGTCTGGGTAAAAATGTGCTGATTTTGTTTTCTTCAAAAAACCAAGCTTTTGCTTCATTAATCTTTTGTATGTTTTTGTTTCAATTTCATTTATTTCTGCTCTTATCTCTGTTATTCATTTCCTTTTACTAAACTTGGATTTAATTTGTTCTTAACTTTCTAGATCTTTAAGATGACGAGTTAGGTTGTTTATTTGAGACATTTTTTTAACTTTTTATGTTGTAGGATTTACAGCTATAAACTTTTTTCTTAGTAGTGCTTTTGCCTTATCCCATAGGTTTTGGTATGTTGTGTTTTCGTTATCATTTGTTTCAATAAATGTTTAAATATTCTCCTTAATTTCTTCATTAACCCACTCGCCCTTCAGGAGCATATTGTTAAATTTCCATGTGTTTGTGTAGTTTCCAGAGACTCTTTTATTACTATTTTGTACTTTTATTTCATTGTGTTCAATTTTATTAGAAAAGATATCTGATAAAATTTCAAATTTTTAAGTTTAAAAAAAATTATTTTGTAACCTGATATATGGTCTATCCTTGAGAATTATCCATATGCTGAGTAGAAGAATGAGTATTCCGAAGCCATTGGATCAAATGTTCTGTGAGCATCTATTGGGTCCATTTGGTCTACAGTGCAGATTAGGTCTGATGTTTCTTTGTGATTTTCTGTCTGAATAATGTATCCAATGCTGGAAGTGGTGTGTTGAAATCTCCAGCTATTGCTGTGTTGAGGTCTATGTCTCTCCTTTTGGCTTTAATAGTATTTGCCTTATATATCTGGCTGCTCCAATGCTGGGTGCATATATAGTTACACTTGTCATAACCTCTTGCTGAAGTGACCCCTTGCTCATTATATAATAAACTTCTTTGCCTCTGTTTATAGTTTGTGTCTTGAGATCTATTTTATTAGATACAAGTACAGCTACTCTTGCTATATCTTTTTCTATCGTGTTACTTTTTGCCCCTGTGTGTCTTTATGGATGAAGCGTGCTTTTTCCAGGCAACAGATCACCGGGTCTTGGTGTTTTTTTTGTTTATTTTAAATATCTATTCAGATACTCTATGTCTTTTGGTTGGAGAGTTTAGTCCATTATTCAGTGTCATTTATTGATAAGTAAGGAGTTATTCCTGCCATGTTGTTATTTGTTTTGTGGTTGTTTCTTCTTTCTTTCCTTTATTCTTTTTCTTTCTTTGTTTCTTTTTCTTTTTTTTTTTTTTTGGAGACAGAGTCTCGCTCTGTCACCCATGCTCAAGTGCAGTGATGCAATCTCGGCTCACTGCAACCTTCGCGTCCTGGGTTCAAGCAATTCTGTGCCTCAGACTCCCAAGTAGCTGGGACTACAGGTGCACGCCACCACATCTGGCTAATTTTTGTATTTTTAGTAGAGATGGGGTTTCACCATCTTGGCCAGGCTGGTCTTGAACCCCTGACCTAGTGATCCACCTGCCTCGGCCTCCCAAAGTGCTGGGATTACAGTTGTGAGCCATTGCGCTCGGCCCTTTCCTTCATTCTTATATTCCTTTTAGTGATGGTAATTTTCTCTGGTGATATGATTTAGATTTTTGCTTTTTATTTTTTGTGTATGAGTTGTGTGATTTTGGTGTGAAGTTACCATAATGCTTCCAACTATTGATTTACAACCCATTATTTTGAGGTCATAACAACACTTTTTGCCTAAGCAAACAAACAAGCAAAAAGTAAACTAATAAATACTCTACACCTTAACTTTGTTCCCCTGCTTTTTAACATTTTTGTTGTTTCTATTTAAATCTTATTATATCCTCTATGTCTTGAAAAGTTGCTGTAGTTCTTATTTTTGATCACTTCGTATTTTAGTCTTTCTATTCAAGGTGTGAGTACTTTACACATCACAAGTATAGTGTTATAGTATTCTATGTTTTTCTGTGTGGAGAAGGGGTAACCCTCATATAGATGTTGGGTATATAAATTTGTGCAGCAACTTGAAGAACAGCATGGATGTTTCTCAAAAAATTATAACTAGAGCTACCATATGGTCCAGAAATCCCATTGCTAGGTATAATGTGCTAAAGAAAGGAAATTAGCATATCAAAAAGATGTATACATTTTCATGTTTATTGCAGCACTATTCACAATAGCCAAGATTTGGAAACAACCTAAGTGTCCATCAACAGATGAATGGTTAAAGGAAATGTGGTACATATACTCAATGGAGTACATTCAGCCATAAAAAAAATGAGATCCTGTCATTTGCAACAACAAGAATGGAAGCATAGGACATTATATTAAGTGAAAGAAACCAACCTCCAGAAGACAATTTTTGCATATTCTTACTCATTTGTGGGAGCTAAACATTAAAACAGTTGAATTTAGATAGAAAATAGAATGCTGGTTATCAGACACTGGGAAGAGTAATTTGTTGGGGGAAGTGCAGTTAGTTAATGGATACAAAGTAGAGTTAGATAGAACAAATAAGATTTATTAATAATATTAAATAGCTCAACAGGGTGACCAGAGGCAACAATAATTTTTTTGTACATTTAATTTTTATATACATTAAAATTAACTAAAAGATTATAACTGGATCCAGCACTTTGGGAGGCCACGGCAGGTGGATCACCTGAGGTTGGGAGTTCAAGATCAGCCTGATCAACATGGAGAAACCCCATCTCTACTGAAAATAAAAAATTAGCTGGGCATGGTGGTGCATGCCTGTAATCCCAGCTACTCAGGAGGCTGAGGCAGGAGAATCACTTGAACCAGGGAGGTGGAGGGTGCTGTGAGTCAAGATCATGCCACTGCACTCCAGCTTGGGCAACAAGAGTAAAACTGCATCTCAAAAAAAAAAAGATTACAACTGGAAAGTTTATAAAACATGGAAATGGTAAATATTTCTGGTGACAGTTATCCCATTTACCTTGATGTGATCACTATAAATTGTTTACCTTTATCAAAGTATCTTATGTACCCCATAAATATATACACCTACTATGTATCCCTTTGATGTAAAAACTGAAGAAATATTTAGAAAATTTGCTTAGGAAAGAAATAATAATAATATAAATTCAATTTTGGGTTTAATGATTTTCTCTGTGGTTTTTGTATTTTCAACTGTAGTCATTTCTATTCTTAATAAAAGGAAATATATTCTTGGAAAGAAAAAAATAAATTCACATTGATATTTCTACTTTATACTTAATATTACTATTTTTTAGTTAATATATTTGATAATTTTATATTTCTATTCTTAGTTTTACATTGAAATTAGTCATACAGGACACTTCATTATTATTCATTTGCATTTTAAAATAATTTATAGAACTTTTTTTAAGTTACAACTAAAATAAAGTACTTAGTGAATTTATGTTTTTGCTGTAGTTTTTCTGTTTGTTTGCTTGTTTTGTTTTGTTTTGAGACGGAGTCCCGCTCTGTTGCCCAGGCTGGAGTGCAATGGTATGACCTCGGCTTACTGAAGACTCCGCCCCCTGGGTTCAAGCAATCCTCCTGCCTCAGCCTTCCAAGTAGCTGGGATTACAAGTGTGCACCACCATGACCGGCTAATTTTGTACTTTTAGTAAGGACAGGATTTCACCATGTTGGCCAGGCTGATCTCGAACTCCTGGCCTGAAGTGATCCACCTGGCTCAGCCTGCCAAAGGCTGGGATTATAGGTGTGAGCCACCATGCCCAGCTTGCAGTTTTTTTTTTTTTTAGTATATAATTCAGTATAAACGTTGAGACACAATAGCATCTTGCACTTATAAAAAGTCTTGCAATATTTACTTTTTTCTGTACCCTTATATCTTTGATTTGATTATTCAATTACCTATAGTAGATATATTTTTCAGTTTCATTTAAATTTTTACATTTACTTTTTAATCTTTTGCTTTAAATTTATTTTTGCATATATGAAAAATTTGTGTTGGTGATGAAATTATCTGATAATGTTTTTTCGGAAATTCTAGTTTTCTTTCTATTTTATCTGTACTTTTCCTCTTCTTGTACACACTATATTAGCTTTTGGTTTCTGCTTTTAGTGTTACTTTTGCCAATTTAAGGAAATATATACCATTACCTTCTATGAAAGAATGTGTTCTTACCTTATATGTAAGGTACCTTATATGTAAGAATGTAAATTGAGGAAAAAATAATAAAACTTTTATAAATCCAGTTTTTGATTTAATGATTTTCTCCATCGTTTTCATATGTGCAATTATCTTCATATATATTCTCACTTATTAAAGGAAATATGTATATTAAAGGCTGCTTAGGATGTGGAGAAGGGGTAACCTTCATACACTGTTGGGTGGGAATGTAAATTTTATGTAAGAATGTACACTCTTATATATGTTAGCCTAACATATTTACTTATTTACCCTTTGCTCTTTTGATTTAAACTTATATCCTGATGATAACTCTATATTAGTGTATGGAAACCTTCCTCATTCATTTTTACAGCAGCAGATTATTTGTGTGCAGGTATTAATAGTGTACTTAGCGATCCTCTTATAAGCATTTAAATCATTTCCAGATAGGAAAAAAGCACACAGACACTTTCATCTCAGAGTCTGGAGTAAGGGTTGAAGCACAATGTGGACTTTAAATTGATATTTTTCTTCTGAATATATATCAGAAATTAACATCAGCATTTATTAAAATGTGAAGTAAGCAGAAATTCTAGCTTCACCTATCATTAATGAGAATTAGAGAAATTGAATGTAAGTGCATCTGTATTACGTATACATGCATTTTATGAACACATTTATATTTCTGTCTCATATGTACATATACATGTAGATGTTTAGAGATCTAGATATCAATATAGATAGAGATATTTATCACATAATTATTTTTGATAGAATAAAGGTAGAAATTTCTAGGAGTTCAGTGAGAGAGGGCCATGGTTAACTAAAATTTGTAAAAAATTAATTATTGAAAATATTGTGATGGATTTATAGGCATTGATTTCAGGGCTGCATCGAATATATATTAAAATTGAAAACAAAGTCTTATGACATAATAACAGTTTCATTCCATTGTTTACTGTAAAAAAAGTTTGTCCTATGTTTACATGTATTTACGTAAGCAAATATTGACAGAAGCAATGAATGTTTAACAACATCAACCAGTACATGTATATAATCCCATTTTTGGACACAGATCAAATACATCTCAGCTAATATCATAGAAAGTTGTTTAAATTTGCAGTCACACTCCAATATAGCAAACAAGATCATTGGCATGACGTGAAGAACAGAACTTATAAATTCACCACCACTTTCTACCCAGAACTCAGTGATAACAGCTTGTGAGCAAACTTACCTTCTTTGAGTAGGTCACTGGGCTCCCTAAGTTTACTTGGCTCTGATTTTAGGTTGGCAGTCTAAAGTAAACAATAGCACTTCTTTTGAACCAGATAGGGAAGAATGGCTCTGAAATAGTGCATCCTATATGAATCTTTTCTTTGTATCTGTATTTAAGGACACCTGAACACATTACTGTTAATGACAAAACATACCTTGGCCATCTTGGAAATTCTTTCATTCAATAGGTTATGAGTCTGTCATGACATTTAAAATGATAATTTTGATGAAGACATCACATCACAATGATTAAAAAAATTCCAAGACCTAGAAAAAATTAAAAGTTTATTATATTGAAAATTAAAAATAGTTAAGGATAGATTTTATAAAGCATTATTGCACCAAAAAAAAATTCTTGGTCAAACATTATGTTGTAATTCTATAATAGACTTTTCCAGTTTGCCCAAGGCAGTTCTAATTTATACCTGATGTTTCAACACAATAGAAAATAACAGTGCCTTTGACTCTGAACGGAGTGCTATGAATTGAAGAATAGAAATTATATACTCTGTTTCAGCGTGGATACCACAAGGAATGAGGAAATACTTTCCTCTTAACCACAAACCCTCAAAAACACCAACCTTGTTCCTGTTTTGGGAACTCTGTGCTAGACATTATCTTAGTCTAGAATACTTACCAAATTGTCTCAAAACTGCCTCAGGGTTGACAGATTTTTGCTTAAATATAATTTTTCAAAGCTTTTTACTGACTATATTATTTAGGCATACATTCAACTGAAAATAACATAAAACCCAACTAGTATAGCTGAAAAAGTAAGGGATTTACTTGTTCCATGCACCAAATAGTTTAGAAAGGGTTAGTCGGGCTTGAATGGCAGCTCAATTTTCCATCAAGTACTCAAGAATTTTGTATTCTAGTGTGCTTAAATGAGTACACTTTTGTCCCTATTCTTATTGCTTCATGATCTTAAGGTAGCCGCTCCATCTGCAAAATCCATGTTTACAATAGTAAAAGGGTTTTCTCATAGTAAGACTTTCAAATTTTACTTGGGAACGAATGCCATCTTCAGAGACATTCACCTGCCTCTTCTTGACTGGAACTATATTGTATGAACACACCAAGATGAAAGAGAATGAGAGAAGCGGGTATATTTGCATGCAGTCCTGAAAAAAATTGGAATCTGTTAATATGGGAAATAGGGAAACAGATTTGTTGTAAGCAAACGGCAACATACACCACTTTGATCAACCAAACTCAAATATTCTTATCTCAGCTTCTATGGTTTGAATGTGTCCCCCAAAATTCACATGTTGGGAACTTACTACTCATTGCGGCAGTGTTGAGAGGTGGGGCTTAATAGAAGGTGATTGGGTCACGAAGGCACAGCCCTCATGAAGGCGTTCATGCAGTCACTGTGGCTCAGTTATCACAAGAGCGGGTAGTTATAAAAGTAGGCCAGGGCCGGGCGCGGTGGCTCACGCCTGTAATCCCAGCACTTTGGGAGGCCGAGGCGGGCGGATCACGAGATCAGGAGGTCGAGGCCATCCTGGCTAACGCAGGGAAACCCCGTCTCTACTAAAAAATAAAATACAAAAAATGGGCCGGGTGTGGCGGCGGGCGCCTGTAGTCCCAGCTACTCGAGAGGCTGAGGCAGGAGAATGGAGCGAACCCAGGAGGTGGAGGTTCCAGTGAGCCGAGATCGCGCCACTGCACTCCAGCCTGGGCGACAGAGCGAGACTCCCCCTAAAAATAAATAAATAAATAACTAAAAATAAAAAAAAAGTAGGCCAGGACCCTCATGTTTTTTCTCTCATACAAACTCTCTTGCTGTTGTGCGCTGCACCATGGGATGACCTCACTAGATGCCAGAAACGTGTTCTTTAACTTTCTAGGCTCCAGAGCCATGAGCCGAAATAAACTTGTATTTTTTTTTTTTTTTTTTTTTTTTCAGACTGAGTCTTGCTCTGTCGCCCAGGCTGGAGTGCAGCCGCGCGATCTCTGCTCACTGCAAGCTCCTCCTCCCGGGTTCACGCCTTTCTGCCTCAGCCTCCGGAGTAGATGGGACTGCAGGTGCCCACCACCATGGCCGGCTAATTTTGTTTTTGTATTTTTAGTAGAGACGGGGTTTCACCGTGTTAGCCAGGATGGTCTCGATCTCCTGACCTCGTGATCCGCCCGCCTCGGCCTCCCAAAGTGCTGGGATTACAGGCGTAAGCCACCGTGCCCCACCTGCTATATTCTTAATGACTTGATAAGTGTCTAGAATAAATAAATAATTATAGTTTTACATTATATTATTGTATAAATGAATGAGGAAATACATACATGATTGAACAGTCTTGTATTAATTAACATAGTAGATGAGACTATAATTTTGAAGGATATCTACTAATAAATATTCAATTATTTATAGTTTTCATAAAGTTGTAGATTCACTGTAAGTCCAAAAGTTAGCAAATTCTTTTTTAATCATGTTTAATCCTAGAATATTACAGTCATAACTAGGTTGGTGATGCTCTATCCCAGTGGTGTCCAATCTTTTGGCTTCTCTGGGCCACAATGGAAGGAGAAAACTTGTCTTGGGCTACGCATAAAATATATATAACATTGATGATAGCTGATGAGGTTAAAAAAATCACAAAAAAACATAATGTTTTAAGAAAGTTTGCAAATTTGTGGTGGGCTGCATTCAATGTGGTCCTGGGCTGCATGTGGCCCATGGGCCTTGGGTTAGACAAGCTTGCTTTATACATCTACTTTAACAATTAAAAGTAGAGAAAAATTATCATAAATTCTGCTATCCTTTGTAGAATCTCTGAATTCAACATTTACTAGAAGTCTCAAAGTTTGTGTTACACTCAGCATCACATTGAGTGTGACTGCTCAACGGTGGGTCTAATGTGCCACATCTGCATAAAAACCAGAGGTAGCACAGTCACCACCTACAGTTTCTTCTTATCTTTACTCTTTTCGGATCCTCACTAGTAATGATACTTCATATTGTAATGGCTCCACAAGCTTGGCAGCCATTTCTATGGGGCTCTACTTGGTAAATGGGACAGGATAATATATCTATGTCTTGTCCAGAACTAGGAAGAAGTGTCGGGATACCAAGAAGAAAAGGAGGAATTAATGCTTCAAGTATTTCACAATTGCATTCTTAAGCAAGAACACACAACTCATTGTTTTTCTTCACAGTAAGTCCAAATTTTCTAACATCACTCCTTTTCCGTCTCACACATACACACCAATCTATCATCAGATGTGTGTGAATTCAAACAAACTGCCTGTTTTATGAGGTAGTATATTTCAAAAATATTAAGCAATGTCTTTTTCTGTAGTGAGTGTTTTCTGAAGTCATTTTATCCCTACTCTGTTTCTTGTGGTCAAGAGATGGCTAGATGACTTTCGTCTCAGAAAATAGTTAACATTACAGGAAGGGTACAATAAAGTCTCTTTACTTTTAAATTTCGGAAGTTCAGCCACAAGAAGGAACACACAGGACTCCTGTGCACGGACAATGGCTAGAAGAGAAACAGTATGTGAACATGAAAAGCCACATACTTTAAATATTTCCTGTGCCATCAAAAAAGAATGTCAAAGGATAAAAAAATGTAAGTAGATACTGTGGTCCTCCAAGAAAGGGGCTCACTTGCTGGAAGGGGACTCAGTAGAGAAACTAGAATGCCACATGCATTTGGAGTTACCAGAAAATAGATGGTGAATTTCTATATTCGCCTTTTTTTTTTAACGGAGTCTCACTCTGTCACCCAAGCTGGAGTGCAGTGGCGCGATCTTAGCTCACTGCCAGCTCCGCCTCCCGGGTTCACACCATTCTCCTGTCTCAGCCTCCCGAGTAGCTGGGACTACAGGCGCCCGCCACCATGCATGGCTAATTTTTTGTATTTTTAGTAGAGACTGGGTTTCACCGTGTTAGCCAGGAAGGTCTCGATCTCCTGACCTCATGATCTGTCTGCCTCGGCCTCCCAAAGTGCTGGGATTACAGGCATGAGCCACCGCGCCTGGCCTCCTCCCTCTTTTTTGAGTTATCAACTCAAAGCAAGATGACTTCTTAGTAGAAAGGATGACGAGCCAGAGACATCCTTAAAAATTGTGCATTCTCCATCATGGCATTGAAAAATGAAATGTTTCCCAAGGCCCTGAGGAGAGTGCTGATGTTGCAGATGCCTTAAATAATGCCTAAGAATTTTCTTTATCTCAATGTGGTGAGAAGGAGGCAGAAGAATGATGCCCGTGTACCATGAGTGGCATGGGAAGTCCGCAGAGGTAGAAAAGATAAATAGAGCAGGGACCTTAATGGATCAATGACCAAAACCTGGAAGAGTTAGTAGATGCCTCAGAGAACTCCAGCAAGAACAGATAACAGAGTACTAGGTGGGGCACCCCTTGCCGGTCCCCATTGCCTATCATCATTGGATATTAGACACAACCCTGAGGAAAGAAGTAGATGTTAATTAACTGGAAATATGTTTTCACCACCAGGCAAAATAGGATCTGGAAGTATTATGTCTAGTTACAGAAAATATCCATTACATTACTTTTACAGCAAATTTATGGACTGAGATTTGTAAACACTATGGTTTTAAACAACATATTCATTGTTTCCTACTTATACCCAGAAAATTCCAAGAAAGCCATTTGAAAGAGAGATTAGAGCAAGGTATAAGTGAGATGAGAGTATTTTTTTTCTAATAATTTAAGTTTATTCTTAAGGGTACTATGTGTTCTGCCTTTCTGCATCCAGTAAAAAAAAATATTTAAGACATATTTGCTTTGTTCCATATTTCTTTATTTACTTTATCATTATCCCATGAGTTTACACAAAAACTCGAACATATGACAGGGTAAAAAAAATACCGTACCCTTTAAACAGAAGGAGCTTAGAAAATGTTAAGTAACCTTTCACTAAACTTTCTATCATCACATACTTTAAATAATTGTGAAAAATTTTCTGTTGTTTGCCAAGTGCCACCAGATGGTCAGGAGGAAAGAGCCAGCAAGAATCCAGCTTATTCTCTGACAACACCTTTGACAGGTGTAAGCTCCAGATAATCAGAATAGGTACTTCCGTATCTCTTCTCATTCCTCATTCCACGATGTGAAAAGCACATATTAGATCCAACAGTTCTCATGTGTAACATATGTTCTGTATTTTAATATGAAATAGTTTTTTCATGTCCATTATTCAACAGCTTCCTCTCCAATTGCTGTCGTGACAGGTGGTTGGCAGTGGCTCAGAAAGGAATCCAATAAGAAATAAAGAAGAATTAAACAAGCATCAGCCCTATGAGAAGCATGCCGGAAGTATCAGGAATTAACACTTCTAAGAGCAACCTTTAATCAACGACAAAGTAGGAGGCTAAATATCCCATGTTTTATTTTACCCCCATGAGGGACATCTCTGATGTATGCACACGTACACCCTCCTGAAGATCTCTAGCAGGACAGATGCCTAATTGCTAATAGCTGTAACCTGCTATTAACATATCCTCATTAGATTACTTCATTGCCCTGACTTACTTCCTCACTACACTGCCAGTGTTTTCTGAGATCACCTTCCATATAAAGCTTCATCCAAACCCTTACTGCTGTGTCTGCTGCTGGTAGAAGCCAGCTTATATCATCCACAATTTCCTGAACTGAGGCAAATGCAAGTACCTTCTCTGTGGAATATTGTGACTCTTTCACAGTACCAGGGAAACTAGGGTTCCCCTCTAGGTTCAGGGTCCCATTGCCCTTGCGGTTTGCTGTCCATGAATAACAGGACCAGCTCCATGGACCTACATCCAGTGCAATAGCACAGGCTCCCATACTCAGAAAGTGCCCTCATACTTGGTGCTTAGTGCTCTCCATTTGCTGTCTTAAAATTCTTAATAATGCTATGTTTGCACTTGTGTTTTGTTCAATTTGTTTGAACTTTGCATTTTGGGGAAATTGAGCACTTACAGGAGGCTTAAGGGACTTAGCTCAAATGCAGCTGGATCTCCTGCCACTTCTCTGACTCTCCCAGGATGGTTTCTTGGCTGCCAAACCTGTACCCCTGACCCAGACACTGCTGCCAGATGGGCTTAGTAGGGGCCTGGGCTGGTTGCAAGAAATGTCAAGATTGGGTGCTCACCCTGTGCATGCTGAGTTTTCCAGCAGAGTGCAGGCACCTATGAGGGTTTGTACTCATCCTGTGGGCATCACCATACCTAAGGGAGCACGTGTCATTAGATAGCAAATGAAACATCCATGAGAGGTATATTAGTTGCTCATTTGATGCCACAAAAATTACGGCAAATTTAGTAGCTTAAAACAATGCAAATTTATTCTCTTATAGTTATGTAAATTAAGAATCTAAAATGGGTCTCTCTGGGCTTAAATCAAGTTTCCAGGACTGTATTTCTTTCTGGAAGCTCTAAAGTAGAACACATTTTCTTGCCTTTTCCAAGCTCTAGAGGCAGCCTACATTCCTTGGCTTACGGCTTCTTCCATCTTCAAAGGCAGCTATGGCTTGTCAAGTCTTTCTTACACTGTGTCACTCTGACACTGATTTTATGCTACCTTTTTCCACATTAAACCACTTCTGAGATAATATTGAGTTCAACAATATAATCCAGCATAATGCTTCATTTTAAAATTAGCTGATTTGCAACAGTAATTCTTGTTATGCCATGAAAGCAAGATTTCATCAGGTTCTAGGGATTAGGACGTGCATAATTTAGAGAGACAATTATCCTTCCTACCACAAAAGGTTGAGAGAGAGACTGCCGAAAAAGGAAAAAAAATACAAAAAGATATATTTTAAAAATTAGCTGGTTGTGGTGACAAGTGCCTGTGGTCCCCATTACTCCAGAGTCTAAGGTGGGAAAATCATTTGAGCCGAGGTGTTTGAGTCTGCAGTGAGCTGTGATTGTGCCACTGCACTCCAGCCTACGTCACAGAGCAAGACCTTGTCTCCAAAAAAAAAACAATTAAAAAAGGAAAAAACAATTCTGCCATTAAAGCAAGAGACTCACATTATCTTTTGCACTGGACCATGTGTAGCCAACTCTGGAAAAGGCCTAAGTAGACCCTACACTGACTCTTCTCCTCGTCCGCATCTAGTTCACAGGAAACATTCATGCATCCTTTGCTTCCATAAGTCCTGGGGCAGCACCCTCTCCCTTGCTCTATGGATGTCTTGTCTTTCTAAGGCATGAGTTCATACATCAGATTTCATCTCTCTCAATTCAGGACCTCTACATTCTCCCATAGAAGTTTACTCACCAGACTTGCAGCGAAAGAGGTAGCATCCTTTATCCTTGCCTGCTGAGTACTCACAGTGCACAGCAACAGCTCTCACAAGAAATATTTTCCCACAATTCACCGTATCCACTTCGACAGCTTCTGTATATCTTCAATGCACTAGTTTCCTGTGACTGCTGTAACAAATAATCAAAAACTAGGTGACTTAAAGCAAATTGGCTCAGTGTGGTGGCTCACGCATGTGATCTCAGCCCTTTGGGAGGCTGAGGTGCAAGAACTTCTTGAGCCCAGGAGTTCAAGACCAGCCTGAGCAACATAGTGAGACCCATGTCTCTATAATTTTTTTTTTAATTAGCTGGGCTTGGTGGCACATATCTGTGGTCACAGCTATTTGGAAGGCTGAGGTGGAGGATCGCTTGAGACCAGGAAGTTCAAGGCTGCAATCCAGCTGTGTTCATGCCACTAAACTCCAGCCTAGGTGACAGAGTGAAATCCCATCTCAAAACAAAGAATGAAAGAAAAGAAAATAAAGAAACAGAATTTTTTTTTCTATACTTCCAGAATCTGAAATTGACCTAGTGTGGTGGTTCACGCCTGTAATTCCAGCACTTTGTAAGGCTGAGGTGAGTGGATACTTGAGCCCTGGAGTTCCAGAACAGCCTGGGCAACATGGGAAAACCCGTCTTTACAAAAAGATACAAAAAATAGCTGGGTTTGATAGTGTGTGCCTTTAATCCCAGTTACTCGGGAGGCTGAGGTGGGAAGATTGCTTGAGCTTGGGATACAGAGGTTGCAGTGAGTCAAGATTGTGCCACTGAACTCCAGCCTGGGCAAGGGAGCCAGACCCTGTCTCAAAAACAACAGAAGCAAAAGTCAAAAACAAACAACAAAAACTGACATCATTGTCAATGGCTGAAGTTAAGGTACCAACTGGTCTATGCTCCTTCCAGAGGCTCTAGGACAGAATACATTCATGTGTCTTCCAGCTTCTGATGGCAGCCTGAATTTCTTCCCTCATAAACCACATTGCTCCAATTTTCAAGGTCAGTCTCTTCAATTTTTTTTTTTTTTTTTGCTTCTTCTGTCTCTTTTTTAAGGAGACAGGTATTTGCATTTAGGGTTCAACCAAACAACCCAGGATAATACCCTCATTTCAAGATCATTAACTTGACATCATCTGCAAAAACTTTGTCATGTAACATTGACAGACTGCAAGGATTAAGACTTAGATTTTGGGGGAGAGGTTGAGGTAGGGAATTTTCAGCCTGCAACAGTTTATTTGACTCTGTAATGAACATTCAGGAGCTGAAGGGCATATGGCCTGATCATACAATTCTAAACTTTTTAAAACTTAGGTACCAGAGACATTCCTGCAGGCCTCACTTGATGGTTAAGAAATGGATTAGGGGAGTAGTTCTTCCTGGATGACTGTCACTTGCTTATATGGTTTGGCTTTGTCCCCACCAAAGTCTCAACTTGAATTGTAACTCCCATAATTCCCACGTGTTGTGGGAGGGATCAAGTGGGAGGTATTGAATCATGGGGGTGGTTTCCCCTATACTGTTCTCATGGTAGTGAATCAGTCTCATGAGAGCTGATGATTTTATAAGGGATTTCCCCTTTTGCTTGGCTTTCATTATCTCTTACTGCAGCCATCCATGTAAGTTGTGACTTTGCTCCTCCTTGCCTTCTGCTGTGATTCTGAGGCCTCCCCAGACATGTGGAACTGTGAGTCAATTAAATCTCTTTCCTTTATAAATTACCCCGTCTCAGGTATGTCTTTATCAGCAGTGTGAAAATGGACTAATACAGTAAATTGGACTGGTAAAGTGGGGTGCGCCATAAAGATACCCAAAAATATGAAAGCGACTTTGGAATTGGGTAATAGGCAAAGGTTGGAACAGTTTGGAGGGCTCAGAAGAAGATAGGAAAATGTGGGAAAGTTTGGAACTTCTTAGAAACTTTCATGGCTTTGACCAAAATGCTGATAGTAATATCGATAATAAAGTCCAGGCTGAGGTGGTCTCAGATTGAGATGAGGAACTGGTTGGGAACTGAAACAAAGGTGACTCTTGCTGTTTTAGCAAAGAGACTGACAGCATTTTGCCCCTGCCGTAGAGATTTGTGGAACTTTGAACTTGAGGGAGATGATTTAGGGTATCTGGCAGAAGAAATTTCTAAGCAGTAAAGCAATCAAGAGGTGACTTGAGTACTCTTAAAAGCATTCAGTTTTATGCATTCACAGACAGATGGTTTGGAATTGGAATTGGAACTTATGTTTAAAAGGGAAGCAGAGCATTCTGCTTTCACAGGCTGGCACTGAGTGACTGTAGCTTTTTCAGGTGCATGGGGCAAGCTATCAGCATTAACTCAAAAGTCCACAGTCCAAAGTCTCATCTGAGACAAGGCAAGTCCCTTCTGCCTATAAGCCTGTAAACTCAATTGCAAGTTAGTTAATTCCTAGATACAATGTGGGTATAGGCATTGGGTAAATACAACCATTCCAAATGGGAAAAATTGGCCATAAAAAATGAGATACAGGTCCCATGCAAGTCTGAAATCCAGTGAGGCAGTCAAATCTTAAAGCTCCAAAATGATCTTCTTTGACTCCAAGTCTCACATCCAGGTCATGGTGGATTGTATTTAGGAAGTATCTAGGAAGTAACTAACTTGCAATTGATTTTACAGGCTCATAGGCAGAAGGGAATTGCCTTGTCTCAGATGAGACTTTGGACTGTGGACTTTTGAGTTAATGCTGAAATGAGTTAAAACTTTGGGGTACTGTTGGGAAGGCATGATTGGTTTTGAAATGTGAGGACATGAGATTTGGGAGGGGCCAGGGGGAGAATAGTATGGTTTGACTCTGTCCCCACCCAAATCTCACCTTAAATTTTAGCTCCCATAATTCTCATGTGTTATGGGAGGAACCTAGTGGGAGATAATTGAATCATAGGTGCCGTTTCCCCCATACTGTTCTTGTGGTAAGTCTCATGAGATCTGATGATTTTACAAGGGTATCCCCTTTCTGCATGGCTCCCATTCTCTCTTGACTGCTGCCATCCATGGAAGATATGACTTTGCTCCTCCTTTCCTCCTCCTATGATTGTGAGGCCTCCCCAGCCTTGTGGAACTGTGAGTCAATCAAACCTCTTTTCTTTATACATTACCAAGTCTTGGGTATGTCTTTATCAGCAGTGTGAAAACGGATTAATACACTTGTCTACAGTTTCTGTAGCTTAAGTATCAGCGGTGGGGTCTGAGACCTGGGTTTTTGCTATTTACAGGCCTTCCCAGAGATGGGAATAAATAGGAATCCAAGGTGAAAAAAAAAATGCCTTCCACGTTTCTCTAAATTGCTTTTGTAATTTCTTCATATGATGAGGTCTCTCTTTCCCTCACTCTGGCAATTCATAACTCTTCTATTGGCTCCTCAGTCAAAACAGACATAATGAGAGTTCCATTTGCCATTAGTTATTCAGAAGAATAAACTGAACAAAAGGAGAAGCAGGTAGCACTGAACTTTTTTTTTTTTTTGAGACAAAGTCTCACCAGGCTAGAGTGCAGTGGCATGATCTCGGCTCACTGCAACCTCTGCCTCCCGGGTTCAAGTGATTCTCCTGCCTCAGCCTTCCAAGGACTACAGGTGTGTGCCACCATGCCCAGCTAATTTTTTTTTTTTTTTTTTTTGCATTTTTAGTAGAGACAGGATTTCACCATGTTGGCCAGGATGGTCTCGATCTCCTGACCTTGTGATCCACCTGCCTCGGCCTCCCAAGGTTCTGGGATTACAGGCGTGAGCCACCACGCCAGGCCTGAACATTTTTAAATTTATCAATCATCATCACTCAGTTATGATAAGTGCTAAGTGTACAAATAATAACCTGGATAGTAACTTGAGGACACAACTTGAAAAGGTCATGTTACTAATGAATAACTCCATTGGCTAGAGAGATCACTGTCAGGTTAAAAGTTTCAGAAGTATATGTGAATAGTAGTGTCCATAAAATGCAAATGTATGTAGCTAAATGATTTTAGGAATTTCCTGTATTCTCTCAACTCAGTGGTTTTTATCTGGAAATGAATACAATTAATGTTCTTGCAAAGGTAATATAAAAGTGCAAAATGAAGTAAAAACTGTAAAAAGCACTTTGCACTAACTCCTTCAGCTTTTTTTTTTTTTTTTTTTTTTTTTTTTTTTTGAGACGGAGTCTCGCTCTGTCGCCCACGCTGGAGTGCAGTGGCGCGATCTCGGCTCACTGCAAGCTCTGCCTCCCGAGTTCACACCATTCTCCTGCCTCAGCCTTCTGAGTAGCTGGGACTACAGGCACCCGCCACCAGATCTGGATAATTTTTTTTGTATTTTTTAGTAGAGACAGGGTTTCACAGTGTTAGCCAGGATGGTCTCCATCTCCTGACCTCGTGATCCGCCTGCCTCGGCCTCCCAAAGTGCTGGGATTACAGGCGTGAGCCACCGCACCTGACCTGAAATATTTCTAAATATCACAGAAAAAGAAATGTCCAGTGATAATCTAATATATGGTGCTTAGACAGAAAATAAAAGGCACTCACTGGATTACATTTTTCTAAGCAATTTTAGAAGAGTATCGTTATGTATTTTTTCTAGTATTTTAAAATACATGTTTTTACTACAACATTTTTGCAAGAGGCAAGTGTGTATTGGCCCTGTAAAGACTGTGGAAAATTATTTCAGTGTGATTCACTATGAAAATACTAAATCAGCATTACTAGCAGGGGTGCTCCATCAATGGTGCACAAGAGAATGGCTAAGTATTGATTTTCTTCCCCGACAGGGGTCCCAACCTCATTTTACCAATATGCCTGAAGTTCTCCCTTCTGTTTTCTAGTTTGTTCTGCCAAGTTCCATAAAATTGTATTCCATCATATTTGTTCGCTATTACTTCCTTAAATATTTCTATCAGAAAGTCCGTATAGCTTTAGGACATGAGCTTTGGCAATATAAACGTGGTTCAAATTTTAGCTCCATTTCCACTCTTTACTGGTTTGCAACCTGTTGAAGTTACTTAAACTCTCCGAACTTCAACTGCCTCATCTGTGAAATGGGAGTAATCAAAATTTACTCATAGAACTTTGTTAGGATAATAAAAGAAAAGAAAAATGCAAAGGGTGCTGCCCATTGCCTGCCACATGCTAATTATATAATCTAATAAATGTTGTCTTCATTGTTACTCTAATTATGACTACCATAAAATTAGTAGTTTTGCATCATATAAAACTACAGAATCTACAATTAGTTGTGCAAATATTCTACTTCAGACTAGAAGTAAATATACAGAAAATTTCTTTTTCAGTTTAACAATTCAAATGTTAAAAATAACTTTAAAAATCAGAAAAGGAAAATTTACATTTGTGAATTCAATTATGTTCCAAAAACAATAGCTATATATGTTTATCTCAGTGGAATTACTTGTGTATATTTGTACTTTTCCAAGTCATGTACTCCGTTAAAATATTTTGTCCGAGGAAAATGATGGTCTGCAACAGGTGCAATGTCTATTCAACATCATCTATAGTCCAGTCTCTTCTATGCTGTAAATGGATCATGAGCAGACAGATGACAGTGGTAGATAAATTGTGTTTCAATACGTAGTTTCTTTCACATCTCTGGAAGAGCTACTATATAATAATTTTACTACCACCTAACTAAAGGTGTTTGCTCTTATATTTAGAGCACTCACAAATGAAAATGTCCTGAACCTGACCACGTGGATACAATAAATTCAACTAAAATATTCTATATTAGAATATATAATAGGTAAATCATTTTAACCTTCCAAGAATTCAAACAACATTGTTTTATAAAAAGTATTATCTCTTGCTTATAGGAGAGGTATTCTCATGATAAATACTAAATTAGTATATAGATATTATAGAATTATTTCATCAATGTACGATAAAGTGTATTCAAATTTGAGTTCTCAAAAGACTTTTCAATTGCAATCCTTCATTGTGAATCCAGTCTTTCTTGGCCAGAAATATCAGCACTGTAATTAAAACATACGTTTTAGTTAAATGGATATCTGAGGCTTCGAGAGAGAATATATTTCAAAGTTAAGTAAGGAGATTTAATTATTTTTAAAAAGGCAATAATAACAAATTCGCCATAGCTATAGCTTATTCATATGTACGAGTGTGTATTGTTTGTTGAAATCTGTATGAAAAATGGTTTCATGAATATGCTTTAGGAAATTAAACATTTTAGTTGACATATAATAGTCTAAGAATATTATAAAGTGATTATAAATCTGTAAATCAATGGAAACATTTACGTTATTTTGACAAATAGTATAAATATTAAAACTTTGTAGGGCTTAATCAGATAATATTCAATATCATAATGAAGTTCAGTTCATCAATTCAGACTCTATTGCAATATATGAAGTATTCAAAAGAGAAGAGAACCCCAGAATTAGTTGTATTTTAGTTTTGTATTTTCATGTTTATATGAAATATGGGGGCTTAAAATTTTATTGAATTTAGAAAAGTTCAAATGGTCAATTTTTGAAGACTTAAATCAGAACTCTACAAAATTATATTGCTTTCATCTTCCTTGATCTCTGGCTCAACTGAGTGGTTAAAAGCATCACCTTGCAAGTGGATTCAGCACATACCTGAGTTAATCTTTATACATTTACTCTCTACAGGAATAGCACATCCTAATTTTTCTGCAAAAGTGGAGTGTATATGACAGTAGGGTTGGGGGCGGGGATGAATAAATGTTTATAAAAGTACACTGAAATTTCATTTTTGCTAGATGATTTCTATCTGATGAAAGATTTCTACAAGAAATAGCATACCTAAAAAATTATTTTGGAAGCAAACATCAGTAGTTTCATTTGTATGTATTTCTTTTCATTCACATAAAAGACTTTTAATGTTCCTGAGCATGGCTTTGTAATCAAAACTCTTACCATACAGAAAATGCTGTAGATTGGATCCAGAATAAGCATAAACAAATATACTAAAGACTTACGTAAAATGAAGTTGTTTGAAAAAAAATTAATACACCTGAAGGAAAAAGTGTTCTATTTCACATTTAAGTTCTGCTTATGGGAAATAAAATTGTTGATCTATTGCTATATGGTTCCTTAAAATTAATTGCACCTGTTACCAATTATTTGTCATTTCACAAATGTCAACATATAAAGAATATGGTTACAAAATGTTGGAGATGCCAACAAATTTGAGTTACAGCACAAAGGGCCCAGAAACACGATTTTGAATACGAAATACTGTCTTACACTAAATTAGATCTTGCTTACTGTAATTTAAATTTGTCCTGTTTCTCCCCAGTGACCTAAACTTAGCTCTTTTGCTACACATTTCTATGTTGCTTATAGAAAATTTATCGCATATTTTTTGTTATTTTTAATTGTTATCCTGTCTGAATGTAGTGTCTGGAGTGAACAAAAGACCATTTTCACATTGGTTTGTTTTTTGAGACGGGGTCTCACTCTTACCCAGGCTGGAGTGCAGTGGCATGATCTTGGCTCACTGCAACCTCTGCCTCCTGGTACTCGAGCAATCCTTCCACCTCAGCCTTGTGGGTAGCTGGGACTACAGGTGCTTGCCACCATGCCCAGCTAATTTTTTGTGTTTTCTGGTGGAGACAGGGTTTCACCATGTTGCCCATGCTGGTCTCAAACTCCTGAACTCAAGTGATCTTTCTACCTTGGCCTCCCAAAGTGCTGCTATTACAGGCATTAGCCACCACGTACAGCCTCATTTTCACATTTTAAATATTCAACAATAAAAACATAATATCAACTTTTATTTAAATTTGCCATACTGACTTAAATGGAGATACAGATACAAAAGAAACGTCGTGAAACACAGTGACTCATGCTTATAATCTCAGCAATTTGGGAGGCCAAGGCAGGAGGATCTCTTGAGTCCAGGAGTTGGAGACTAGCCTGGGCTGCATAGTGAGACTTTGTCTCTCCAAAGAGCTGAAGGGAGAAAGAAAAAACCTGCACAGATTTGATGAAAAAAGGGGTTTCTTAAACAGAAAAGAAAATAAATTACCTTCCCTCAATTATAGAAGTAGGATTTCTGAACTATGTATTTAGGAACTGCTACATGTTGATATTTCTTGCAGGAGTAAGACAATGTTCAAAATCTGGGAAAGTCAAATGTAGTTAGCAGCTTGTAATAGTGACTAAACTTTCATACAATTCTGAGTGTAAAGGCAGAAAGGGCTTTAGATTTTATGTCAATATGTTAAGGTATAGAGTGAGTATAATCTCTAACATTTATTCATTTAAATTTAACTATTTTAACACACATGCACACACACACACAATTCAGTAAACACATACTAGAAAATTAGAAATGGAAAGAAAAGATGGATTAGATAAAGTAATAAACTATATACTATCAATAAATGTGAGAAACATTAAAAGTGAATGATCAAGTATGTGGGTTATTGTATAAGGAGGGGTCTGGCTGAGGCTCCTGTTTTGCAGTTTGAGTGACTGGGAAACAGTGATATCTCTATTATGATTATTAGACCAAGGTAATGGAAAAATATCTGCAGACTGAGTACAATTAAGAGATTTTACCTCTTTCAGCTCTCACAAGATATTCCAGTGATCAAAAGCAACAATAGATACAGTCCTTTGTCTATGTTCAGTGTTAATAAAATGACCAGATTTTTGTTCATCCAATGTTGGAGGTTGCAGGCTGAATTTTGCATTAGGAAGATTATTGAGAGGAAGAAAAAGGGACAGTCTTTTCATTTTTCAAAAGTAAGAAAAAATGATGAAGGCTGAGAAATCTTGAACCAAGTTGTCCTACTACACCAAACGGTCCCCAGGTATACACTTCTTTGAATTAGAATATTTCAGTGAATATAGAAGTAAAATGTGTGATTTTCTCCAGGCACAATACTTGCTCCAGAGAATAGAGTTGGGCTAGAAAGATATAAATCAACTTGGTTGTCTGTGAAATACATTTCTGCATAAATTATCACCAACTAAAAGCTTAGCCATAATTTGTCACAATTCCATTTGGAGGAATTCAGAATTTGCCTTGATTGTTTATATATAGTTTTATATATAATTATGCTATATTTGTCACGGCTAAGAAATCAGAATTGATACATTACTCTAAACTAAACATGATGCTATATTCAAATTTTCCTAGCTTTTCCACCAATATTTTTTCCTGTTCCATTATTCATTCCAGGATATCACATTGCATTTATTTTTTCATGTCCCCTTTGTCTCCTGTGGTCTGTGATCGTTTCTCTGTGTTTTCTTTCTTCTTTTTGACTACCTTGACAAGTTTTGAAGACTAATGGACAGATGTGTCGTTCCTTACCTTGGACTTAACTGATGGCTTTCTCATTTTTAGACAAGAGTTATGGATTTGGAGGGAAGAATACCATGGAGATCAGTGTCCTTCTTCCCACATCTATCAGTAGGTATGTGGCATCAACATGATGTTATTAGTGATGTCAGCCTTGAACATTTGGTTTAGATACTGTCTGCCAGATTTCTCCAAATAAAGTTAAATTTTTATCCTTTCCACATCATATTTTTTGATACGAAAATCATTATGTCTTGCTGAAATTCAAGGGTGAAAATTTAGCCCCACCTCCTGGAGTGGGAGTATCTATCTATCGATCATCTATCATCTATTCATCTATTTATTTATCTATTATCTATCTATCTACTTATCTATCTTAGTTTTATCAGGCTGTCATAACGAAATAGCACAGATTGTGTGTCTTAAACCACATAAATTAGTTTTATCACAGTTCTGGATGCTGGGAGTCCCAGATCAATGTGCACGCAGGTTCAGTCTTCCCTGAGGCCTCCCTTCCTGGCCTGCAGATGGCTGCCCTCTGGCTGTCTCTTCTGAGGGTTGTCCCTCTGTGTGCAAGCACTTATTTCTCTCTCTCTCTCTCTCTCTCTCTCTCTCTTCTAATCTCTTCTTTTTAAAAGGATACTAGTCAGATTGAATTAAAGCCCACCCTAATGGCCTCACTTTAACTTAATCACCTTTGTAGAAAGAAGCCCTATCTCAAAATATAGTCACATCTGGGGTAATGGGATTACGGCTTGAGCACATGAATTTTTGGAAATCTCAATACAGTCCATAATATGATCTTTCAATTAGCTGTAATTCTTCTGTAAGAAAGAGTTTCTCCTTCTCCTCTACTTATTCATCATTTATTTACATTAGCATGGACTCAATTATTTTACACTTTGGGTTATAGTTCAATGCTACATTATTTATCTTGTTGATCACATTTTTTCCAGCTTCAGATGTCAGGGGTGTGTCCACATTGGCCCTGGGGTTCCCTTGACAAGCCTGCATCTTTTCCAAAAAATGTGTTGAGCACTTCTTTACTTTCTGATACTTGAATTGGTGATTTCTTCATATCAACTTGCGCTACTCCAAATACTGAACAGTGAAAGAAGTAATGTATGTTAATTATACACATGTTTCATTGACCAAAGCCAGTCACATTCCTTCAAGGAATGTGATATGATGGAAGGTTAAGCAAGTATGATGGAGGACTAAGGTAGCTATTCATGTTTCTGAGATAAAAGAAACACAATTATAAATATATTGTACTGAGAAATATGAATTCTATTTTTGTTTGTTTTTCTTCTGGTTACTTTTTAATATTTGTAACTTCTTTGAGGCAACAATGTTCTTACTTTTTAAAGAACATTTTTTAATGAGTTTTCCAAATGACCTTTAACGTAATAATTATTTGATTATTTACCTTTTAAAAACTTCATTTTAGTTTTTACTATCTTTGCCAAGGTTTTGGGGCAGTTGCTTGCAACTAAAACAAGAATTGTGAATAGCTTTAGATAATGGTTTTGAAAACATGTCTAGAATATATGAATCGATTGCTAACTGACAGCAAAGATTATGGTTCTCAATAATAGTATCATAAAAATTAAGATAAAGGTTGAATCATTTTTATGGTTCCATGAATTAAAATTATACTGGAATGATAGGAGACATACATCATTAGTGACTTTGCCATGAACAGAGTTTTAGCATTAAGATGTTAATAGGAATTATGTAGAGGAAAAGAAGGCTTTGTGGTCAAATAAGTGGGAAATTCTAGGTAAAATGAAGTAAGCAAGTTTATTTACTGTTGGATTTCTCAAGACTTCCATTAAACTAAATGTGTTTTATGCATTTTATGAAAAACATTTGTATACAATATTTGCCAAAGTATTTGAATGTATGGTTAGTCTTCATCCAGAAAAAGCAAAACCAAAAACAAAGGTTTATAATATAGGGAGTATATTTCGTAGGTCACCCCAGAGAACAGGAATTGGGAACAGAGAATGAAAAAAATAAAATACAAAGTTTAGTTATCAAGTTGGTTACTAATATGGTTGGCTAATGTTGATCTCACCTGTGACCTTTTAAGAAATAATATTAAATGTATCTTAGAACTGACTGCTAGCAGCATGAAACAAGAAAGATTTGTCCACCAATATATATCCCTATTAGATCAATGATGACTCTATTGGGGTAACTCTTTTGAACAGCCGGGTTCACATATTTGGATGTCAGAGTGCTTCCTAAAAGCAGTCTCTATTTGTTATGTCAGATAAGTCCTTGGGTGAAAAATAGAGGTAGAAGGTCTAGGTCTAAGTGAAAACTGATAAGGTGCACCAGTGTAAAAATAGTTAAAGCCTACTCAGAATTGGTTGCTGAATCAAAGCTAAACATGATCAGATAAAAGTTAGAACACAGGGAATTGATACATTGAAGGACATGTTCCCTGTGCAAACCTAGCACCCTGTAGGATGAAGGTCACCACTTTTGGAAAATCTAATTTCAATAATCTGTAGTAAAATATATATTCTTTGGAGAAAGCTGTAGGAGAATACGCTTTGAGAGTCAACTTAATTTTCTCATGATGGTTAAATTTATTTAAGTAAATCTTATAATTAACACACCATGTAAGTAAAAACACTAATAAAACATAATGAAAATATTGTTAATAATAATCATAACTTTAAAAAATGTTATTAAGGACAGTATATTGAATACCTTCATCTTTACTCAAATTTAGAAATATTTTTTCATATATTTAAATGTGATACTAATGATGAATGATCAAGATGAGTTAATGAAGCAAATAAGTCTTACAAAAATATATAATGAATCTCAGTAATGATGAATCTTCATAGAATTTGCAAGAATAAAAAGATATAAATAAAGTTCTAATTTGGCCTCTGGATGCAGTGAATTGTCATAAACTTTAACGGAGCCATTGCATTATAAAATGACAAAATATTAGTTCTTTAAATGTATGTGTATGTACATATGTATATATGTTTGTATGTAAATACATGTGTACATAGACACAAACACACATTCATTTCTTAGAAATAAACTTATTTGCTATAAGCAAATTCTATAGTAACTTTTTGTTTACTCATTGAGAACACATTCATGATATATAATGGGAGTATTATTACTTTCATAGGCGTAATATCTGTACCTCCATTAAAAGCAAAACTACAAAAAGCCATTTAACAATACAAGTTGTTGTTCACAATGATAAACATCTATCAAGCAATCAGACTATCGAGGTTACTTCAAAAATATGAAAAAAGAAACATCAAAAAGGAAAAGCAATTTAGAAATGAAAGGGAATGAAAAGCTAAAATACTGAGTTCTAATCCCCTGGAATATGCAGGGGTTTGTGCCTTTATGGGTTTGTTGTTGTTGTTGTTGTTGTTGTTGTTTTTGCTTTTGTTTTTTTTGAGATGGAGTCTCGCTCTGTCTCCCAGGCTGGAGTGCAGTGGCGCAATCTCAGCTCACTGCAACCTCCACCTACCAGGTTCAGCCATTCTCCTGCCTCAGCCTCCCGAGTAGCTGGGATTACAGGCACCTGCCACCACGCACAGCTAATTTTTTGTATTTTTAGTAGAGATGGGGTTTCCCCGTGTTAGCCAGGATGGTCTCGATCTCCTGACCTCGTGATCCGCCCGCCTCAGCCTCCCAAAGTGCTGGGATTACAGGCGTGAGCCACCGCGCCTGGCCACGAGTAAGTTTTATTGGCTTCCTGAACCCCTGTTTTCATAAACTAGATTTTGAAAAATACTGTATCTCTATTGAGCTGATGTAAATATTAAATGTGAAAGACATGCAAAATTTCCTAGCATAGAAAAGATATATTCCTGATCTTCAATGCATATTGTGTTTTATCCTGACAATAAAGATTACAGATACTGATATAAGTAAGCACACCAACATAAGGCATTTGATAGTGCCTGACACAAAGTACAGACCCAATGTATTTTCTCTGAGTACATTTATGAATGAATGAACATACTCTTATGTATCCCCTAATGATTTCATCTAATTCCGTGATTGTGTCACCTAATGCAGGTTAACCTAGGTTATAAGAATATTTTCTACTCCATTGCTTGTGTCCATGGACACAAAGGGAAAAATTTACGTAGCAATCATTTAGTTACTTTGACTTACCAAACAGTCCACATGGATTGGATAATTCTTCAACAAATAAGTAAATTGATATTACCCTAAAGCTAATGAAACATAAACTATTTTTTTGAAACGTATCATCTACTTCAGGGTGCTTATAGAGTGTTCATCAGCTTCTCACTGTAAATAAATATATAATCTGTGTTGCTGGAGGATGAGATTTCTATTGTAAAAAAGTTTGGAGAGGCATTCTGGGAAAATATATGGTGAAATCAATTGAAACATTCCCCAAACCTGGCCCCTTCTCCAAATCAAAATGGATAGTACAACTAGAGCAGCAAAACCAAAACCATAGAACATGTACAATAAAAACAGGTGACACATTGCTCCCTCAAACCTTTACGTATGAGTGGGGACTGACAAACTAATGGCAACTAAATGGTTGGATGACTATTAAAATTATGCAGAAGATACAGAGGTAAACAACAACGTGTCTATCCACACCTGAGAAGCTCAGAATGGCCAACAGATACTGTCTTGAAACCTCAGCAGAAAAATTTGAGAAGAGCGCTTGAAACTGGAGGGGAAGAGTATTTCTATATGCTACAGGATCAGGTGAAGGAAAAGAAAAAGTCTCATTTTAGCTAGGTGCGGTAGCTTGCCCCTGTAATCCCAGCACTTTGAGAGGCCGAGGTGGGAGGATTACCTGAGGTCAGGAGCTCAAGACCAGTCTGGCCAACACGGTGAAAACTTGTCTCTACTAAAAATACAAAAATTAGCTGAGTGTGGCGGTAGGCACCTGTAATCCCAGCCACTCAGGGGTCGGAGGCAGGAGAATTGCTTGAACCCAGGAGGCAGAGGTTTCAGTGAGCTGAGTTCATGCCACTGCACTCCAGACTGGATGACAGAGGAAGATCCTGTCTCAAAAAACAAAAAAAAAAGTTTCATTTTTTAGATCAAGAAAGAATGGAATGCCAAACTCTCTTCCAGGACAAAGTCTGATACACAAGATAAACTTCTAAGGATGAAATTAAAATGGAGCAGAACACAATAAAATGAACATGATGAAGAGCTACAGGAATATACAGGAAGCAAGATTCTGAATGTTTTATCATTTCATTAAGACAAACTAAGGGGTTTTCTTAAGATGTGAAGTCACTAAAGAAATTTTGAACCACTGCTCCTCTTTGTATGTACAGGAAAACCATTTTACATAAGAACGAGTAACAGGAGTCAAGATAAATTTCATATGAAGCAATTATAACAGAAAAAAACACAATAACCTTCCTACAGACAACAAATGCATGCTAGAAAGACATGCCAAAAACAGATGAGAACTGTGTTTCAAAACTGCCTAAAATAATTACACAAATATATATAAAAGGCATACCTTTACAACCCAGAAATGAGAGAACAGAACTCAGAAAAACTAAAAATTACAGAAATGTCAAGGTCAGGCATGTTGGCTCACACTTGTAATCCCAGCACTTTGGGTGGGAGGTGAAGGCAGGAGGACAGCTTGAGGTCAGGAGTTTGAGACCAGCTTGGGCTACATAGGAAGAACCCCATTTGTACAAAAAAAAAAAAAACAAACAAACAAATTAAAAATTAGCTAAGCATAGTGGCATGCCCTTGTGGTCCAACATATTCTGGAGGCTGAGGTAGGAAGAAAGCTTGAGCCCAGGAGTTCAAGGCTGCAGTGAGTTATGATGACGCTACTGTACTCCACCCTAGGCAACAGAGCAAGACCCTGTCTCAAAAACAAAAAAATTTAAAATCAGAATTGAAGACAAAAATAAAAGAAGAGATAAGAAAAAAGACAACAAGGAATAAACAAATCAGATAATGCCCATGAGAAATGGCTAACGTGAAAAAATGTCCAAAAGAAATGGAGATAAGTGTGAAAATAAGTTGAGATCAACATAGAACCTAGTCAATGAAGATTCAGTCCATGTAAAATAGGTACTGCTGAAGAGCACCAAGGAAAGAGAAGAATATAAATGCTAAAAATGTTAACTAACAAAAATTACCTTGAAAAGTAAAAGATCAGTCAGTAAAGGAAAATGTCAGTCAGTAGAAATTCATGAGGATTTATATTATATTTATATTTCCTAGCTTAGTCCGCTGGATATACCTAAAGCAATGGCCCATCCTAGTATCTAGATTAAGGTATCAGAATCTTGTTTCCACTAAGCCAAATGAATTGAAAAATTGTCTGCTTCAATGTGGATATAGATTGGCCACAGATGAAAAATGTTGACACTGAAGTGGGTAATAAGTGTAATAAATAAAGCCGCATCAGTCAGGCAAGGTGGCTGACCTCTGTAATCCCAGCACTTTGGGAGGCTGAGGCAGGCACATCATAAGGTCAAGAGATTGAGACCATCCTGGCTAACATGGTGAAACCCCATCTCTACTAAAAATACAAAAATTAGCTGAGTGTGGAGGTGCGCACCTGTAGTCCTCGCTACTTGGGAGGCTGAGGCAGGAGAATCGCTTGAACCCATGAGGTGGAGTTTGCAGTGAGCCAAGATTGTGCCACTGCACTCCAGCCTGATGACAGAGTGAGACTTCATCACAAAACAAAAAACAAACAAACAAACAAACAGAAAACCCATCAAATGTATTTAAATTCAAGAATGCAAAATGATACTTAAAAAATAATTGACTAGTTATTGAGGATTCCAGTAAATCAACTTTTTGTCTTCAAAGTTGGTAAATAAGGGAAAGAATCTACCATTTATTCTGCCTTTCCTATATTAACTGTGTCACTGAATGAGACATAGGCAAAATAAAACACTTTTAAAAGATATATTTTAGTCCTGTGAAGAAGTTTAGTGGAGAAGAAACTTTGGAATTAGGATAATGCTATTTTTGCAACCACTAATGAACGAAGTGAGAATCTGTGGCTGCTAATATTACAAAATGAGAGACAATCAAATATCATATTATTCCTAATTGAAACAATCACATTACATTAAAATCTAACACACTGATTTTATGGGATAGTTCTGCTGTATGCTATAGATAGAATAACTATAAAAAGCTCCTTTAATTTGCATCACTTATTCCCAATAATTATGCATGATTCCTTCTGATCTTCCCATATGGAATCAATTGCTTTTGCTATATATTAACCATATACAGTCTTTTTCTCTAGGACTCTAGAGGATACATATTCTAATGAGATTCAGTAAGTTTTAGAGGCAACGTAATCCAAGCATATGCAGAGAACAATTCATTTTCTCTATTTTAAGGTCCACAATTAACTTTAATGAGTATTTTTTCATTGTCCTTGGAGAACCTACCTGTCAGGTCACCTTATGTGAGGGGGTGATTCAATAGGAGGTTCTTTGGGTACTTCAGTTACCAGATTCCTAATGTTACAATCTAACTTCTACTAGATATTGGAAAGGCTTCCCTGCATTTTATACACTCAATACTGAGTGCATTGGGTAGACCAGCATAGGAACTTCAGTGAATTCCTTTTGTTTACATCAATAATTATTATTCAGTTTCAACTTGAGAATAAAGTAAAGCCGAGAAAGAGATTCGTAAGGCCTTTGTAAACCCTTCTTAAATAAGCCTAGCTATAGGCATCATTAAATACTGACTAACCCAGTTGTACTTATAAAGGCTTAGCTCATTTAATTGTACTTTGCATATATTGTGTTATTTACAAATTGAAGGTTTCTGACAACTGTTTCTCAAGCAAGTCTATTGGCATCATTTTTCCAACAGTATATGCTCACTTCCTGCCTCTGTGTCACAGTTTGGAAATTCTTACAATATGTTAAACTTTTTCACTATTATTAAATCTGTTATGGTGATCTGTGATCAGTGATCTTTGATGTTATGTTACAATTGTTTTGGGGCACCACAAACTGTGCCCATATAAGACCACAAATGTAATCAAGAAATGTGGTGTGTGTTCTAATTGCTCCACTGACTAGCAGTGTTTCCTTATCTGTGTGTGTTTTTGGGTGTGGTAGGGAAAGGGAAGTGATATTGAGCATAGATAATTGCAAGTCCAAATACTCGGTTGCAAAGGTTATCTAGAGCTTTGGGAATTCTGAAGCAAGACAATCTGAATCAAACCCATTTGAAAGGTGTTGAAAGAAAGAAAAATAGAAAGTTTGTCTTTCAGACTTACCCTCAACATGCCAGCACAAATTCTGTCTTCTCTGCTGCCATATAAGATATGACCTGCTCCTCCTTGTCTTCTACCATCGTTGTAAGTCCTCCCCAGCCACATGAAACTGTGAGTCCATTAAACCTCTCTCTTTATAAATTACCCATTATCAGGTATGTCTTTATTAGCAGTGTGAAGAAAAAAAGAGTGAGGGAAAAATAGTAACAGGGATTTTCTCTTGCTTTTCTAGGTTTCCCAATCCAGATACACTGGTTCACTCTTGGCATTCTGGAAGCAGGGATGCCACTCCCACAATACCTGGGGTGGAATAGGTCACCTATTGAAAAATAAGAACAAAAACAAAAAACAAGAAATCATATGAAGATTCTCTCCACACTCACTAGTTTGCAGGACGCCTTTTCCTCCAGTGCTCTCACCAGAAATTCAGGCTGTCTTTGGAGTTTTTGTTAAGTGTGCCTGCTATGTAGTTGATCCATTTAGCCAGTCCCAGTCTCCTCTGCAAATCCAGGACATAAAATAAGAAAAAGGCCAAAGAAAGCTGATAATCACTATATAGTGGTTCTTCAAGTTTAAACTTCTTCAACTGCAGATATTATTTACACTTCAAATACTCAAGTAGTTGCTTTTGTATTTTGTCCGGTCTTTTTAGTTGTAATCTACAGAGGAGATATTGTATTAGTCTGTTCTCATGCCACTAAGAAAGACATACCTGAGACTGCATAATTTATAAAGGAAAGAGAGGTTTAATGGACTTACAGTTCCACATGGCTGGGGAGGCCTCACAATCATGGTGGAAGAAGGAGGGGTAAAGGTACATCTTACATGGTAGCAGGCAAAATAGTGTGCGCAGGGGAACTGCCCTTTATAAAACCATTGGATCCCATGAGACTTATTTACTATCATGAGAACAGCAAGAGAAAGTTCTGCCCTCATGATTCATTTACCTCCCACTGGGCCCCTCCCATGACAGGTGGGGATTATGGTTGCTACAATTCAAGATGAGATTTGGGTGAGGACACAGACAAACCATATTATTTTGCCCTTGGCACCTTCAAAATCTTATGTCCTCACATTTCAAAACCAACCATGCCTTCCCAACAGTCCTCCCAAATCTTAACTCATTTCAGCATTTCAAAAGTCCACAGTCTAAAGTCTCATCTGAGACAAGGCAAGTCCCTTCCACCTATGAGCCTGTAAAATCGAAAGCAAGTTAGTTACTTCCTAGTTACAATGTGGGTACAGGCATTGGGTAAATGCAGCCATTCCAAATGGGAGAAATTGGCCAAAACAAAGGGGCTACAGGCCCCATGAATGTCTGAAATCCAGTGGGCCATCAAATCTTAAAGCTCCAAAATGATCTCCTTTGACTCCATGGCTCATAACTAGGTCACGCTGATGTAAGAGATGGGTTCCTATGGTCTTTGGCAGCTCCACCCCTGTTGCTTTACAGAGTACAGCCTCCCTCCCAGCTGCTTTCTTGAGTGTTTGAGGCTTTTCCAGGTGCACAATGCAAGCTGTCAGTCAATCTACTATTCTGGGGTCTGGAGGATGGTGGGCTTTTTCTCACAGTTCTACTAGGTAGTGCCCACATAGGGACTCTGTGTGGGGACTCCCGTTCCACATTTCCCTTCCATGCTGCCCTAGCAGAGGTTCTCCATGAGGGCTCTGCCCCTGTGGTGCACTTCTGCCTAGGCATCCAGGTGTTTCCATACATCCTCTGAAATCTAGGTGGAGATTCCCAAACCTCAATTCTTGATTTCTGTGTATGTGCAGGCCCAACACCATGTGTAAAATGTCAAGACTTGGGGCTTGCATCCTCTGAAGCAATGGCCTGAGCTGTGCGTCGTTGGCCTCTTTTAGCCATGGCTGGGATGTAGGGCACCAAGTCCCAGGCATGTACACAGCAAGGCAGGCCCTGAGTCCAGCCCATGAAACCATTTTTTGCTCCTAGGTCTCCAGGCCTGTGATGGTAGAAGCTGCTATGAAGACCTCTGACATGCGCTGGAGGCATTTTCCCTATTGTCTTGGCAATTAACATTTGGGTCCTTATTACTTATGCAAATTTCTACAGCAGGCTTGAATTTGTCCCCAGAATTTCTTTTTTTTTGTATTTCATTGTCAGCCTGCAAATTTTCCAAACATTTATGTACTGCTTCCTCTTGAACTCTTCACCGGTTAGAAATTTCTTTTACTAGATACCCTAAATCATCTCTCTCAAGTTCAAAGTTCCACATATCTCTAGGGCAGGGACAAAATCCTGCCAGTCTCTTTGCATAGCTATAGTGACCTTTACTCCCATTCTCAACAAGTTCCTCATCTGCATCTGAGACCACCTCAGCCTGGACTTTATTGTCCATATCAATATTAGTATTTTGGTCAAAGCCATTCAAGAAGTCTCCAGGAAGTTTCAAATGTTCCCATATCTTCCTATCTTCTTCTGAGCTCTCCACACTGTTCCAACTTTGACTATTACCCAGTTCCAAAATCACTTCCACATTTTGGTATCTTTACAGCAGCCCTCCACCACCTGGTACCAATTTATTGTATTTGTCCTCATGCTACTAATAAAGACATACCCGAGATTGGGTAGTTTATAAAGAAAAGAGAGGTTTAGTGGACTCAGAGTTCCACGTGGCTGGGGAGGCCTCACAATCATGGCAGAATGAGAAGGAGGAGCAAAGACACATCTTACATGGTGGTAGGCAAGAGAGCGTGTGTAGGGGAAATGCCCTTTATAAAACCATTAGGTCTCATGAGACTTATTCACTATCACAAAAACAGCATGGGAAAAACCCATCCCCATGATTCAATTACCTCCCATTGGCTTCCCATGACAGGTGGGGATTATGGGAGCTACAATTCAAGATGAGATTTGGGTAGAGACAAAGCCAAACCATATCAGATACCTTCAGTGAACTTACTCTGTGTTAGAGAAAACTAGAATTCATACTAAGGCTTTTTGTTTGCAACCATGCATTTAAAAGTATAAATCGTAAATTTATGTCTTATTTGTATTTATTAATTTGTGTGTATGTGTGTTTGTATGTGTTTATGTGTGTATATATATATATATAAATCATATATATATTCCATAGCATTTATCACTATGTGAGGTGAAAATATACATTTTTATTTTCTCATGTTCTCTTTCTCTAATTCAACATCCATCACCTAGATTAATGATTTGTAATTTTTTTTTCTGTAAAGGGCCTAAAAGTAAATGTTTTAGGCCTTGTAGGACATATTGTCTCTGTAGCATCTTCTCAGCTTTGCCATTGTATCTATCATGAAAGTAAATACAGACAATGAGTAAGCAAGTGAGCATGGCTGTGATCCAACTGTACTTACAAAAACAACTGGTGGGCAGATTTTCCCTCTCAAACCATAGTTTGTCAACTTTGACCTGGAACATTTAACAGAATATAGTAGACATCTAGTAAATACATGCTAAATGAGAGTTCAAAACTTTAAAAAGTTAACTTAAAACTGTAATCCCAGCACTTTATAAGGCTGAGGCAGGCAGATCATCTGAGGTTAGGAGTTCGAGATCAGCCTGGCCAACATCTCTACTAAAAATAAAAAATTAGCTGGGCATGATGGTATGCCCCTCTAGTCCCAGCTACTCGGGAGGCTGAGGCAGGAGAATAGCTTGAACCTGGGAGACGGAGGTTGCAGTGAGTCGAGATCACGCCATTGCACTCCAGCCTGGGCAACAAGAGCAAAACCCTGTCTTAAATGGTTTCTGAATTATATTCAGTGATTCCTTTGGCATTAATATAAATATGCCATTTTTATATAATGGAATCATTTAATATAATGGAACAATTTTATCCTTAGTTTGTCAACATAGTTAATTGTGTGTGTGTGTGTGTGTGTGTGTGTGTGTGTGTGTGTGTGTTTCATATTGGATCCCCTTTTAATTATAAATTGTACTTGTCTGCTCTATATTGCTCTTTCATAATACTGATAAATTTAACTTATTAAATATTAGTTTAGGACGTTGGCATCTATATTCACAAATGAGATCATAACAGTTTCAATTGTTGTGATGAGCTTATTAGTTACTTTGTATTTTTTTTATACCTACTGCTTACCAACTCTCGTGGAATTCATGGATAATTAAGTTCACATTGTTTAAATTGACTAAATACCAATCTAGACAACCCATATTTTCAACATTTGTTTTGGATATTTTTAATGTGGCTAAAATCAGAAGTAAATATGTCATTGGAAATATTCAAAAATCAAATGTGATTTTATTTCAAGGCAAAAAATTAACATACATTTGAGAACCCACTATGTGGGAGATATTCAGAAAAGCATTGAGTATAGATAGAACTAAGACACAGTTTCTATCTCCAAGGAGCTCAAAGCCTAATAGAATTCAGAATCAAGCAGAAGATTGTAGAGAGGCAGAGTTTGTGTTACATACATCTGAAGAGTGGAGCTCTATCAGTCTCATACAATTCACTTCTCTAGAATGAAATATTTCTCATTTCCAAACTTATTATTGCCTCATGTACAAACTCACATCTTTTATTATTATTATTGTTTAATCATCTTCAAGATACATATTAAACATGGAAACTGCACATCTTAATTTTAAGGAATTTCTAAGGAAATGTCTATCCTAATAAATAATATGTATATTTTCTTCTTTGTTAAATGAATTAATTAAATATAAAATACAATAACCAAATGTCAGCTACCCAATCTTTCTGTAGCCTTTTAGCTTGTTTCATCAATTTGTCAGATACATGGTTTTGATTTGGGACTCAGAAAAATCAGTCATTGATGCATTAACATGAGCAACAGGGAGTAAAAGGTGTCCAACTCCTAAGCCTCCGGGACTTTTGTAAACAGAGCTCAGACTACATAACTAGCTCAAATGTGAGAGCTGAGATCCATTAAATTCCATGTATTTAGGTACAGATCAATAGCTCTGCTAAAATATTCCCATGATTTAAGGATTATTTTTATAGTACAGCAACTCCCATATCTTTTTCTGTAAATATGCCAAAAAATAAAATTTAAAGAAGGGGACAAAGCTGAATATTTATAAATGTTTCTTGAGTTAGTTAAAAATTATTCAACATTCTATTTTATTGCTTATAGTTAAAATATAGCCTACCACGAAAGCCATAGCCAGCACAATTAGACTTCTGAATTAAAGGCAAAAATGAGACGTTTTGACAGCTATGGAACATTGCATTTCACGGGACTCATGCACAGCTAGGTAGCACAGGTGTTCCCGTAATTGCAGTACAATGGAAAAATTCAGTGTTCAATGGCCTTCAAATTCTTCACTGTTGTGTGTGATGTGATATAAAGATCCTCTGTCAGTGCTGTCTCCTTTCTCTGTGATGGGATGTCATTATGTGCAATGTAACTGAAAATATTTTAGAGTTCTGGCTCTTCAGAATCTAGATGAAAACTAAATATTTGGTTTCTTTCTCATATACCTATAGTTTCTGCGGGTCTGCCTCTGTGATTTTACAAATATAGAAAAACATTTTTCAAGCCTTTGTTGACAGGAGTTTACATTGTGAGTGATACCTTCCTTTTCTCTCATTAGGATGCTGCACCCAAACTCTGCTATTTCTCAACCAGCTGCAATAATTATCTTTAACAATGTGCTGTATAATATGAAAAGAATTGGGGTGATTTTTTTTCCATTTTACTCACTAGAGTTTTTGCCAATTTCAAGTGTGAATTCCTTAAACATCCTCTCGGTAAACAAGGACATAAGGAGATAGAAGCTTAGGTATGAAAAATAGGATAGATCACATATACCTTTAAAATCATACCGTATTCAAAGTTTTGAAAGAGAACATTTCATATTAGGATAATTTTTGCTGAAAAAGAAATCTGAAAGTTTAATTTTCAAAATCACAATGAAATTGACTCAGTGATCATCTTGATGCAGAGCCATTGGCTCTTAATTGAATTTTTTTTTTTTTTTTTTTTTTTTTTAGATGGAGTTTCACTCCAGGCTGGAGTACAGTGGCCTGGTCTCGGCTCACTGCAACTTCTGCCTCCGGGGTTCAAGAGATTCTCCTGTCTCAGCCTCCCAAGTAGGTGGGATTACAGGTGCCCACCACCATGCCCAACTAATTTTTGTAGAGAGGGGGTTTCACCACGTTGGTCAGGCTGGTCTCAAACTCCTGACCTCAGGCAATCCACCGCCTCGGCCTCCCAAAGTTCTGGGATTACAGGCATGAACCACCATGACCTGTCAACTGAATCCTTAATAAAGATCTTTCTGTCTTTCGAAGTTTGCTTATAATAATTGGGCATGGCAAACTATTTATTTTTATCACTATTTTCAAGCCTTCTTTTGAGTAATTTCACCTTGATCAAATGGAACATACAGAAGAATTTTAGGCAAGTTTATAAATGGTGATTATTAGACATAGAAGATGATATTTCCTTTTTGGATTGTGCATTGACCTTGATTTATATAAGTGACATTAACCTGATTTGATCAAGAGTATCTGCTTTTTGGTTTACAGGCTGATCTCATGGCTCATGGGATTTGATTGACAAGAATGAAATCTTCAGGAAAATTATACCCGAGCTGAAAATGCCCATGTGATTATTTGCATTGAGCAAATCTCTATCAAGGGGCCAGGTACAATGGCTCTTGCCTGTAATCTCAGCACTTTGGATGGCTAATTTGCGAAGATTGCCTGAGCCCAGGAGTTCAAGACCGGGCAATATAAAAAGACCCCATCTCTACAAAAATAAAAATTTTTAAAAAGCATCCAGGTATAGTGACATGAACCTGTCACCAGCTACTTGGGAGGCTGAGGCCAGGGGATTTCTTGAGCCTAGGAGTTAAAGGCTTCAGTGAGCTATGATTGTACCACTACAGTCAAGTCTGAGCATCAGTGAGACCCTGTCTTTAAAGTAAACAAAAAAATAAATAAAAATAAAATAAGGAAATCTCTGCCAATCAAATGACATGCTCGTGTCTCTTGACTAATAGATTATCTACTTGTGGGGCTATCAAAGGTAAATTGCAATGAGAACATTGCTTGATGAGCATGGAAATAGAAGAGCAAGAATTAGGTGGATGGTCTGCATGCTAATATGCCATATGCAGTTATGTATAAATAGATATTTTAGTACTTGAATTAGAGTCTTTTTCTCTTAGTCATGGTGGATATCTATGTACCAGTACTGCATTGTTTGATCCTATTTTTAAGACTAGTGTCACAGTTTTTCTTGAGAAAGTGAATAGTATGTCTCATTCAATACAATACCATAAATAACATTTTTGTTTATTTTTAAGTACTTACTGTTAATTATTCTAACATTTAAGTGCATACTTCATTTCAGCTTGAAATTTTCCTCTTATTAGGCTTTTCGCGAGAATAATAAATATGGGACAAACACACAAATTTTGCATACTCATTAATAGGTTGACAGATATCTTGAAGTTAATTAATGTACTACTAGTTAAGAGTAAGTTCTTAAGGCTTGCTTACTTTCAGGACCAGAACATAATTTGATTTTGTTGTTGTTCCTATTAAATTCAGAATCTTTTAGAGATTTCAAGATACTAAGCAGAGCGGTGGGACTAGGCATTTTAAATACATTATTCCACACCAAATTCAGTGTCAGGCCACACCTAGATCTCATTTTAGGGCAGATAACATCCTTAAACTACAAAGATGGCTTTGCTTATGGTGAGGATGAGAACGAACAACAGACGGTTTCATTAGAGACACCAAAGAAGCAAGGGAAGTATATGACCAATAATTTCTGCTTTGAGTATAGTAAGAAAAGGACAAAAAATAGTCTTGTCCTTGGCGTATAAAGAGTTGAACAAACACTAACACAGTTTCTAACCACTCAAGCCCAAGTCCCTAATGTAACTCTAACCCTCTTATAGTGCCTGCTTGAGAAAATTTAAGGCTGTCCCCCAAGGTTACTGTTTGTTCCAGCCAACACCTATGAACATGGTTTCTATCTCCCAGTCTGCATGGAATACTAGAATCCTAACTTTGATAATTGCCACGTGACAGACACAGCTAGCCTAACACATTTGCACTGACTAATGCTTTCGCTTCCCTAACTATTGAGCCCCTTGTTTTCCCTCCCTATCCTCCTCAATCTCTCTTTAAAATGCCCAGTTACTTCTGCAAAGTTGAAGTTGATTTCAGTTCATGCAACAGTCTTTTTTTTTTTGAGATAGTATATAGCTGAATAAAAATCCGTCCTTACCACTTTAACCAGTTTTTGGCTTTGTTTTTATTTGACACTGGCAATCTGCTCACGTCTAGAAGGCTTAGATATAGCAAAATAAATTTTCTTTTCAAAGGTTGTTAGGCTAAGAGCAGTTTTCTTATATATTCACAGGCCTTTTATAACCAATCAGAAAGTCATCCCAACAGGTAAAAGCAATTCTTATTTGACAAATGTGGAAGGTTCTTTAATCCTTTTTACTCTTCCAATATCAAGGTTAGGTAGAAGGAAAACCATGCATTCTCCACCTGTCCTCCTTCATGCCCCTGTGAGCTCTTACCTGAAGAGAGAAAGTCTTATCCAGTTTGGTCAGAGGGGTGGCCCCAAATCCCAGGTCTATGCGACTCCTTAGCTAGAAGCTGAGTTGCCTAAGATGTGAATTGCCAACCGTGCACATGCCTTCTGGGGTCCTGGAGAACCCTGGGACCTCAGCTGTGTAAGGGCAGCTGTCATTCCTCTTGTCCAATGGCGGCATGGCCAGAAGACTAGCAGAGGCCCAACTTGCCTAGTGGTGCTGGACTCCATGAGGCCACAGTCATGGCAGTCACCATCAGTAGGGTGGGTGTATGGGTGTGGGGTTGGGGGTAGCAGGTGTGTGGTTGTTATCCCTGCCTCTGTCCTTGGACCAGGTGGCAAGTGTTCCAGGCCCACTCAGGAGGGAGTCATGTCCTGCCCCATATCCCATCTCTCCGGCTTACTGGGCCCTTGCAGAAGGTCCAGCTCATCTCTCTCTCTCATGTCCTCCTGCTCTCACTGCACGCTCCGTCTTTATTAAATTGTCAGTTCTCTCTGCTACCTAGATGGCTGGTTACATCTTCTTCTATTATTGATTTTTGTATTGATATACTCTTTGCATATGATATAATTCACCCTTTTAAAATGTATCATCCAGTGGTTTTCGGTATAGTCACAACATTATGCAATCATCACTACTAATTCCACAATATTTTTATCACGTTCAAAAAGAATTCTGTACTGATTAATTTTCACTCCTTATTTCCCACTGTTTCCAGCCTCTTACAAACACTTACCTACTTTCTTAATGGATTTTATTCTGAACATTTAGAATAAATGGCTCATACAAGAAGTAGTGTTTTGGGTCTGGCTTATTTCACTTGGCATAACGTTTCCAATGTTCATCTATGTTGTGGCATGTACCAGTACTTCATTCTATTTTGTGGCTGAGTAATATTCCATTGTATGCTTATACTATATTTTATTCATTCATTCCTCAATAGATGAATATTTATGTTAGGTCCATTTTTTTCCATTATGAATCATGCTCCTGTGAACATTTGTGTACAAGTTTTGTGTGGGAATATGTTTTTCCTGGTACATAAACTAGGTATGGAATTACTGAGTCATAGGGTAACTCCATGTTTAACTTTCTGAGGAACTCTGCAACTATTTTCCATAGTAGTTGCACCATTTTACTTTTCATTTTATGAGTATTTTTATTTGTTCACAGTCATACAGACACTTTTTGTTGTCCTTTTTTTTTTTTTTTTTTTTTTTGGTGTGGAGTTGTCTCTGTCACCCAGGCAGGAGTGCACTGGCGTGATCTTGGCTCACTGCACGCTCTGCCTCCCAGGTTCACGCCATTCTCCTGCCTCAGCCTCCTGAGGTGCCCGCCACCATGCCCGGCTAATTTTTTTGTATTTTTAGTAGAGACGGGGTTTCATTGTGTTAGCCAGGATGGTCTCGATCTCCTGACCTCATGATCTGCCCGCTTCGGCCTCCCAAAGTGCTGGGATTACAGGCGTGAGCCACCATGCCGGGCCCATTTTTTCTTAATTACATCTATCCTAATGGGTGTGAAAGAGTGTCTGCTAGTAGTTTTGATTTGCATTTCCTTAATGACAAATAATCCTGAGAATCTTTTCATTTGCTTATAGGTCACATGGATATTTTCCTTACAGAAATTTCTTTTCAAGTTCATTCCTTATTTCTCAGTGATAGGATTTGAATAAACACCTTTCCAAAAAAGTATACAGATGATGAATAAGCACAAGAATGATGCTCAAGATCACTACACATTAAATATCTAGAAACACATAAAGAACTCTTACAACTCAACAATAAAATAAGTAATTAGGTTATTTGTCTTTTTGTTGTTATGTTGTAAGAGCTCATATATATTCTGAATAGGAGACTCTCATTAGATATATGATTTGCGATTATATTATATAAGTTATAGGTTGTCTTTCCAGTTTTTTGATAGTGTTCTTTGAAGCACAAAATGTTTTAATTTTGAAGTAAAATTTATGTATTTTTTCTTTTGTCATTTGTGCTTTTGGTGTCATATCTAAGAAACAATTGCTTAATCCAGTGACACAAAGGTTTACACCTATTTTTTGAGTTTTATAATTTTATGTATCATATTTACTTCATTGATTTATTTTGATTCACCTTGTTATATGGTGTGAGGTAAACATTGTGATAATGCATTTTATATGTTAACTTTACTGGATAAAGGAATACCCAGATAGCTGGTAATATATTCCTTCTGGGTGTGTCTGTGAGAATGTTTCTGAAAGAGGTTAGGATTTGAATCAGTAGACTGTTGTGATGGTTAATCTTGAGTATCAACTTGATTGGATTGAAGGATGCAAAGTATGGTTCCTGGGTGTGTCTGTGAGGGTGTTGCCAAAGGAGATTACCATTTGAGTTAGTGGACTGGGAGAAGCAGACTCACCCTCAGTCTGGGTGGGCACCATCTAATCAGCTGCCAGAATGCATAGAATAAAGCAGACAGAAAAATGTGAAAAGACTTGACTTGCTTCTGGAGTTTATCTTTCTCTCATGCTGGATGCTTCCTGCCCTCAAACATCAGACTCCAAGTTCTTCAGCTTTTGAAGCTCAAAAGAGTCTCAGACTTAGACCAGTGGTTTGCCAGAGGTTCCTGGGCCTTTGGCCACACACTAAAGGCTGCACTCTCAGCCTCCCTACTTTTGAGGTTTTGGAACGCAGACTGGCTTCCTTGCTCCTCAGCTTGCAGATGGCCTATTGTGGGAGTTCAGCTTGTGATCGTGAGTCAATACTCCTTAATAAGCTCCCTTTCATATATATATATATATATATATATATATATATATATATATATATATATCCTACTAGTTATCTTTCTCTTGAGAACCCTGACTACTAAAACTGTGTAAAGAAAAGATCTGCCATCATCTGTGTGGACATGCATGCATCATCCCACCCAGGTAGAACAAAAAGGCAGAGGAAGGGCAAATTCAGTCTCTCTCTTCTTGAACGGAGACATCATCTCCTCTTGTTCTCAGACATCAGAGATCCTGGCTCTCGGGCCTCCAGACTCAGGCTGAGTTACATCAATAGCATTTCTTCTGCTTACTGATGGCATGTGGTGGGACTTCTCAGCCTCCATAATCACATGAACAAATTCCCATAATAAATCCCCTCTTCTGTATCTATATGTATCCTACTGATTCCGTCTCTCTGAAGAACCTTGACTAATGCAGAGGTCTAACTTCATTCTTTTGCATGGAGGTATTTGACACTCCAGTACTATTAGTTAAGAAAAATATTATTCTTATACTGTAATGTCTTGACATGGGTCAAAATAAATTGAGCAAGAATGTATTGATTTATTTCTGGAAACTCAAATCATATGATCTAACATGTGTATCCTTATGCTAGTAGCATACAGTCTTGATTATAATAGCTATATAGCTCTCCAATATAAATGATAAGATAGTTGTTTTCATGAGTTGGAAGACTTAAGATTGTTAAAATGGCAATACTTTCCAAGTTGGTCTACAGATTGAATGTCATTTCTATTAATCCCTTTGTCATTTTATTCACTATATATTTTTGAAGACTTGCTTTAGTGGTCACTCTGGGAATTGCAATTACCATCTTAACATATTTTTTGTCACTGTTGCTTAAAACTAAACATTTTAAATAACTTAATGTGGTAATGACTGGAATCAGATGCTTCTCCCCACACCGCAGCATTTGTTGCTATTGCTATTTGTTGTTGGGTTGTTGTTGTTGTTGTTTTGTGTAGTAACTTTTCTGAACTAATTATGTATAAGTCTGTTTGTTGTTTGTGGCCACTGAAAGTTCTGCTCAGTTAACTTAGCTTCTACTTAGTTAGCTTAGTGGTCATCTAATGATTAGCTAGAGATTTCCTAAGATGTGTAAGGAACCAATAAACCTCCCAGTTTTTGCTGTCAGGTTCTTTGTGCATGTTGAGACATGCCTCAACACTCAGTCATGTAGTTTACATCTTTGCCTTTTCCTTTGCTTCTTGCTTTTACAGAACTTCAAGATTAGCCAAAGGCAAGAGGACCGTCTAAGGTCTTTCATCCTTGGACACATGCACAGTCCTGTGTATCCAGATGCCATTCAAAATTCTCAAAATGTATTGGAGATTTTCAAACTTCTTATGAACATCTTATTTCTACCTTTTATTTTTAAGCTTTTTGGTTAGCATATATTTTGTCCTTACTGTTATACACTGTCATCAACAGCTATGATATTAAATGATTGGGTCTGTGTATTTTCAAAAGATTCATTCTGGAAACAACTGTTTACACCAGTCAAGCTTTGAGTCATGTCAAATAAAGGTAGCTTTGTGGATGTGGTCTAATGAGGATGTTCCATGGTGAGTGAGCAGGTAAATGAAAGCCTATGCCCAAAAGCTGAGGGAACTGAGAGGTTGAAGAAAGAGACTGACAAATCCTATATCTGTGAAAAAGCTCTTAATAGCGACTTACAAACAGAAACAATATCTCTGGTGGCCAACAGATAGTGGATCTCTGCGCAACACCCTCCAGAGATTATCCTTTATGAAGCAAGTGTTTTTGGTAAAATGCATGCAACCGGTTATGTCTCATACTTTCTTATGAAGCCATAACCACAGAGCAGGTTACACAAGCAACTTTATAAGAGGTTGTCTATGCTATAGACATTGTTTCTTTATGAGGGGCTATTGATGCTACAGAAACACATCTTTTTTCACAGTGATTTTGCTTCCAGATGGCATCATTCTTGCCATGACACAAGCTGTTTTCCTACAAAGAAGCTGCTGGAAAAATAAAATAATGGTAAGAACCTGGGAATGGTAATTCAAGGGAGTTCCAACTCATTCTACTCTTTCCATTGGCTGCCAGTCTATTGATTTTCACTGTGATTGTGGGTTATTGGTGTTCAAGGCTACCAGGAAGCTGGGAGAAGAGAACAGGAATTGGAGAAGTTAGGACAAAACAATACAAATCTCTCTTTTCTTACTGAGATGTAGCTACTCTCTTGAATAAACACTCCTGAATTGACGCAAGTCTTTGCTTAATTTCTAGGACTCCAAAATGTGGATTCTGGGAGTTTTGGCTAGTGTTCTAGTTGCTTTTAAGGAGGAGATAATTTTCACACATTCCACTTCACCATTTCGCTGATGTCACCCTCCATTTAATTTTAAACCACTTTAATCTTGGGTTTCTAACAATAGGTGCTGAGTCTAATCTTAAACAACAGAAAGACAAATGGTAAGAATGAATAATTATATATCCGATTGTGAAAATAAAAAATGCATAATTCATATGAGATCACAGAATGTTATGTAAATTCCTGTGCATGTTTTCTGTCATATATATATATATATCTGATATATATATATATATATATATATCTGATATATATATATATATATATATATCTGATATATATATATATATATATATATATATATATATACACACACACCTATGATATTAATACTAGAAATTAAAGGTTTAATGCATATGTTAGCTCTCATGATCATTAGTGGAGATGGCTGAAATACTACATTGCTGTCTCTGAGTAGGGTCTGATGTCCCGCGTCTAAGTTTCTTCTCTTGTAGTTTTGCTAGTACCTAGCAGAGTGGAAATTCCAGATTCAATTCAATGGTGATGTAAAATTTGGCATTCTTTATTGTGTGTTTGATGATTTTATTTTCTGAATTCAACAACAACAGCAACAAAAGGGGAATCGAATTTTTCTTGTTATTCACTGAAAGCTTGTTTTTAAGATGACATACTTGGATATTTAACATTTTCAAATCATTTATTCTAACATATTTGTAAACAGCCACATTAACAAAAACAGGTGCTACTCTCTTATGATAATATCTGCTTGGGGGGTATATATAAGTGGTCTGTACCATATGTCAGAGGAACCATACAAATCTAGATAGAGTTGCTTTTATAAAATATCATCTTTCAAAAATGTCTTATACCCTGGGATAGCATTTATACTGTATAAATCCATATGGATGAAATCTGAGACTCAATTATCTTCCCTTTGGGATCATTTCAAACTTCCTACCTAATATTTGTGCCATCATTCTATTTTTAAATATTTTAAAATAATAATATCCGACTTACAATAAAAGTTGCTAAAATAATACAAATGATTCTCACACAGCTTTCCCAAATTTCACACAAATTGACATTTCACACAGTTGTTTTATTCTCTCTCTCTTTTTCTCTCAATGTATATTTTTCTTTTCTAATATAAATGAAGAGAAGTCACAGACATGGGGCCCTGTTAGCTCTAAATACCTCATTGTATGTTTCTTAAAACAAGGATAATCTCTTATATAGATAAATATGATTATCAAAATCAGAAAATGTCACACCAATCCATTTTTCTGTTTATAATTCAATATAGCATCAAACGTTGCATTTAATGGTCATGTCTCTGAAATACTGTGCAGGTCTTTAGTCTTGCTTTTTCCTTCATGACCTAAACACTTATGAAGAATACAAGCTAGTTACTTTGCAGAATATTTGTTAGTTTGGGTCTGTTTGATGTTTCTTCACAGTTAAATTCAGGTTATATATTTTTGGCAATAATATCAGAGAAATGATGTGTATGTTTCTCAGTATCTCCTAGCAAGAGGCACAAACTGTGAATTTGGCCCATTTCTAGTGATGTAAACTTTCATTACTTGGTTGAAGTGGTGTCTGCCAGGTTTCTTCTTGTAAAGTTAATGATTTTACCTTTGTAGTTAATAATGTAGAGATGTTTAAAAATGAGAGAAGTATTCTAATTTTCCTTAAATTTTTGCTCACTCTTTTATTATTTATTGGTCATTTTTAATAAGAACAGCATTACTGTGGTGACTCCCAAATTGTATGCCATTATTGTTTAAAGGATAAAATAGTCACATATGTTTTATTCACAGTATAACCAAACAAAATACCATACAAACAAAAGGTAGGTTAAGCTGATTTATTCATTATACTCTATTGCTATTTCACACATTTTAATTGGTTTTATGATTTACGTTCATGGACCAGTTTACGTCTTTCAAGTAGGTTTAGAAAATTTTTCATTCAAAAAATAAGTGGATCTAAAAAGAACAAGTAAAAGCATTTGACAATTTAATTCTGACCTAGGATTTTATCTTTTCCTTTCAAGCTTTAATAATAGTTTTGGGTAGTGCAGTGTTATAATAGAGTCTGTGTCGTTTGGTATCATTGCCATAATTAATTTTTACTTAGAACAAGCAAAACAGTCATCACATTGTAGATGGTACTCATAGCATATCCGAACAGAAGGAAGGCAGTGATTGACAAAATGTTTATGTGACAGTTACAATCACCATATAAATACACATCTGATGAACTTGAAAATTAACTTGCTGTGTGGAACTGAAGTGCATATTTTTAGAATATAGCTTCCCCTGCTCATTTCAGCTAAAAGGAGAGTAAACACATAAAGCTAACAAACTAAAACAAACTTATTTTCTTTTTAAAGTCACTTTTAACAACTGATGGCTGGGAGAGGTAAAGACCAGAACTTCTAAATTCCAATGACATGCAATAAGTGAAATATCTTTTTTTTTTTTAAGAAACAAAGGTTACCATTTGGCTTTATAGTATTATTTAATGATAGCATTTAAAAATATATTTTTATCTTCTTAAACTTCAGAACCAGATATATGGATACAGTGTTTGCCTGATGTTTGCAGCAGTGCTGGATTCCCTACCCTTCTTCCCTGCTCTTCCCTTGTGTTTCCCAGAAACTGATTTCACTTAATCCCTCATGATTCCAAGAATACTTTCTATCCAAATTTCTTCCACCCTAGTTCAGTTTCTCCACCTCTAATCCAATGAATGTCCTTTTTCTGATTCACAGAAAAAAAAAAAAAAAAGCAAGGCCAGGAACCAAAGGCAAGAAAAAGCAAAAACACCCTGCACTAGAGGGAAGGTACCAGGGATACTGCCAAATCTTACAGATGAATTCCACCAACATCTATAGAGTTCCAAAGGATTGAAGTATTGAGTAGAGTTTGCTGTACATTTCAGTGTCAATAAAGAATAAAAAATAGCTCTTGTCATGCTATTATCCCCGAAGTGAGTGATAGAGTTTGGCTGTGTCCCCACCCAAATTTCATCTTGAATTGTAACTTCCATCATCCCCACATGTCATGGGAGGGACCCAGTGGGAAGTAATTGAATCATAGGGGCGGGTTTTTTCAATACTGTTCTTATGATAGTGAATACATCTCATGAGATCTGATCATTTTATAAAGGGCAGTTCTCCTGTACATGTTCTCTTTCCTGCCACCATGTGGGACATGCCTTTGTTCTTCCTTCACTTTCCGTGCTGATTGTGTGACCTCCCCAGCTATGTGGAACTATGAGTCCACTAAACCTCTTTTTCATTATAAATTACCCAGTCTCGGGTATGTCTTTGTTAGCAGTTTGAGAACAGACTAATACTATAAATTGGTATGGGTAGAGTGGGATGCTACTATAAGAATCTCCAAAAACGTGGGAGTGACTTTAGAACTGGGTAACAGGCAGATGTTGGAACAGTTTGGAGGGCTAAGAAGATAGTATAATGTGGGAAAGTTTGGAACTTCCTAGAGACTTGGAGTGCTCAGAAGACAGGCAGATGTGGGAGAGTTTGGAACTTCCTAGAGACTTGTTGAATGGCTTTGTCCAAAATGCTGATAGTGATGTGAACAATAAAGTCCAAAATGATGTGATCTCAGATGGAGATGAGGAACTTGTTGGGAACTGGAGCAAAAGTGACTCCTCTTATGGTTTAACAAACAGACTGGAGGCATTTTGCTCCTGCCCTAGAGATCTGTAGATCTGTGAATTTGAGAGAGATGAATTAAGGTATTTGGCAGAATAAATTTCTAAGTGACAAAGCATTCAAGGGGAAGCAGAGCATAAAAGTTTGGAAAATTTTTAGCATAACAATCCAATAGAAAAGAAAACCCCATTTTCTGGGGAGAGATTCAAGCCTGCAGCAGAAATTTGCATAAGTAACAAGGAACCAAATGTTAATCACCATGACAATGAGAAAAATGTCTCCAGGGCATGTCAGAGACCTTCATGGCAGCTCCTCCCAACATAGGTCTGAGGGCTAGGAGAGAATAATGGATTCCTGGGCCAGGTCCAGGGCCCCCCTAAGGACTTGGTATCCTGTGTCCCAGCCACTCCAGCTGTAGCTAAAAGGGGCCAAAGTACAGCTTGGCTGTGGCTTCAGGGAATGCAAGCTCCAAGCTTTGTCAGCTCCTACATCGTGTTGAGTCTGCAGGCACACAAAAGTCAAGAATTGAGATTTGGAAACCTCCACTTAGATTTCAGAGGATGTATGGAGATACCTGGATGTCCAGGCAGAAGTTTGCTACAGGGGTGGGGCCCTCATTGAGGACCTCTGCTAGGGCAGTGTGGAAGAGGAATGTGGGGGGGTTGGAGGCCCCCCACACAGTCTCCCCTGTGACACTGCCTACTGGAGCTGTGAGAAGAGGGCCACCATCCTCTAGACCCCAGAATGGTAGCTCCACCAACAGCTTGCACCGTGAACCTGGAGAAGCTGCAGACATTCAACGCCAGCCTGTGAAAGTGGCAGGAGGGTGACTGTACCCTGCAAAGCCACAGGGGTGGAGCTTCCCAAGGCTGTGGGAGCCTACCTCTTGCATCAGCATGACCTGGATGTGAGACATGAAGTAAAAATAGGTTATTTTGGATCTTTAAAATTTAATGACTGTCCTATTGGATTTTGGACTTGCATGGGGGCCTGTAGCCCCTTTGTTTTGGCCAATTTCTCCCATTTGGAATGGGTATATTTACTCAATGCCTCTACTCCCTTTGTGTCTAGGAAGGAAATAACTTACTTTTGATTTTACAGTCTTATAGATGGAAGAGACTTGCCTTGTCTCAGATGAGACTTTGGGCTTGAACATTTGAGTTAATGCTGAAATGGGTTCAGAATTTTGAGGACTGTTGGGGAGGCATGATTATGTTTTGAAATGTGAAGACATGAGATTTGGGAGGGGCCGGGGGCAGTATGATATGGTTTGGCTGTGTCCCCCCCCCAAATATCATCTTGAATTATAGCTCTCATAATCCCTACATGACATGGGAGGGACCTGGTGGAAGGTAATTGAATAATGGGGGTGGGCTTTTTCTGTCCTGTTCTCATGGTAGTGAATAATTCTTATGAGATCCAATGATTTTAAAAAAGGCAGTTCCCCTGCACATGCTCTCTTGCCTGCTACCATGTAAGACTCCCTTTGCTTCTCCTTCACACTTGCCATGTGTGGGGCAGATTGTGAGGCCTCCCCATCCACATGGAACCGTGAGGTCATTAACCCTCTCTTTCCTTTATAAATTACCCAGTCTTGGGAATTTCTTCATAGCAGTATGAAAATGGACTAATACAATGAGTTTCAATATTTTTTTACTGGACCATAGATAATGAGAAATACATATTTTCTACAACAATAGCACATAAATATTTTTAGTCAGTTAAATTTTTACAAATAAAATGTATAGATTTAATAAGTTAAATATTAGATTTAATAAGTTAAATCTATAAAAAATGTTGATTTTACAATCTTTATGTTTATTTCAAAATATTCATTAGTTCATTGAATTAAACATGAGAAGTTGTGAGACAGTTGGAGGAAGCGTAGAAGTAGAATGTGCTTTAAAGTCAGGAAGATTTGAATTCAAAGCTTAGTTCTGCAATTTACTACTCTGGGGCCTTAACGGGACTTCATGTTCACTCCAGCCTTAGCTTTCACTTATCTTACAGGCAGATCGTGGATTTTAACAAAGTGAATACATGTAACAGATAATAATCCAAGTTTTTTCTTTTCCCTTTACTTTTAGACTACTTTACACTTTGATAAGAAAGACTCTAAAGAAGGTGGCTGGTGCTATGAACTGAATGCTTGTGGCCCCCCAGTATCTGTATGTTGAAACCCTATCAAGGTGTTTGGAAATGTGGCTTTCGAGGTAGTTGGATTCAAATGAGGTCATGAGTCTCTGATGGAACTGGTGCCCTTATAAGGGGATGAAGAGAACAGAATGCTCTTTATCTTATGAGGATATAGCAAGAAGAGAGCCCTCTGAAAACCAGGAAGAGGACACTTACCACACACCTAATAGACCAGCATCTCAGTCTTGGACTTCCCAGCCCCCAGAACTATAAGAAATAAATGTATGCTGTTAAAACTACCTAGTATTTGTTATAGCAGCCCAAGCTGACTAAGATATTTGGGAATAAACCCTTTCAGTTATCTGAATACAGTTCTTTGATCTAACAGAATTTAGGCTCTACTTTAAGCTCTTTGAGAAAAAACAATGACTCAATTAAAATAATAGAATAATAAACATTCTCTATTTAGATTAGCAAACTCTTCTTGTTCAAAGTGTGTAAAATAGAGAACAACTTCTCCAAACATAGTTTTATTTATTTATTCATTTATTTTTGAGACAGAGTCTCACTCTGTCACCCAGGCTGGCATGCAGTGGCTTGATCAGGGCTCATTGCAGCCTTGACCTCCCAGGCTCAAGTGAGCCTTCTGCCTCAGTCCCCCAAGTAGCTGGGGCAACAGGTATGCACAACCACGTCCTGCTAATTGTTTGTAGTTTTAGTAGAGACCAGGTTTTGCCATGTTACCAAGGCTGGTCTTTAACTCCTACACTCAAGGGATCCACCCATCTTAGCATCCCGAAGTGCTGAGATTGCAGGCATGAGCCATCATGCCCGGATCCCTCCAGACATGGTTTTAACCATGAATTTTTAAGATATTCTCTCATAAAAAGAGATCTATCTTTGTCATGCACATAAACAGAAAACTGAAAAATCAACCCTGTTTCAAAGGGAGAACAGATTTTTAAAAAGAAATAAAGTAAGAGTAAACAGTATTTATTTATTTTAATTAGTTTCAGTGGCTGTTGATGGACTGCTATTATATCCCATAAGAAAAATTGACTAGAGACTCAATTCGTATGTGAACAATAAATTAACACTATTTTAATATATTTGCTATGAGATAGAAGGGAACCAATCTCTCAGCCCCTTAAAATTTTACTTTGCATCTTTAACATTGAAAGACAATAGAAAAGAAATCATTGCTTTACAAGGTTAGCATCCTGGGTCATTGTATTAAAATCTTAGACAGTAGTGTTCCTGGGGTCACAGGTCATTTAGCGCCTCACATCTCTTAAATACTTTGAAGGGATTATGTACACCATTATGTAAGATTTTTTCATCCATTTCGAATAATTCAGTTTTACATCATTTAAGCCCTCCGTTAATTTTGGTGATGTACTTCTAAACTTTTTCCCAATGGGTAAATAAACTTAATTCAGAAAGAAATTGTGGTTTGGAGTTCTAGCTTTCAGAATGGTAGCTCCCAAGAGAAAAATTGTTTTGGAAATGGTAAGAAAGGATCAACCACCTTTAATTCTATCAGGAATTTAATCTTGTAATAAGCCTGAAAATTCCATTTTTGTTAATAGAAAGAGAATCCGCATGAAATATAGAGAGCAAACCGTTTCCACTGGCAGCAAAAACAACTACACTGAGTCATCACACACTCAGCATATAAAATTGATTTAATTATATTGAGGAGAAGGGGGGTGAAAATGGACTGAACTAGCACAGTCAGCCAAATGCAAACAAAGCACAAAACTCAAATTGTGTTACTGATGGAGAGGTAACATTCTGTCAACACTGTGCTGTGCTTTTCATCTTTATGCCATTCTCAGGTGTCCTCGCTAGTAGCAATCCCAACCAGTCTTATTTAAAAATATATGTCCCTTGCTGGGCATCATGCCTCATTTATGATATGGCTTTCTTTGGAAGGATACTTCAATTTTCCTTACAAGGAAAACCAATAAAAGAATTCAATAAGTGACTTGAACATTGTATTGGCTCACCCCTTAATGGTCTTAGAAATCCATTTTTCTATATCAATCTGTAGCATCCTCCACCTCTGAGTCCAGTGTTACTTCACCAGATGCAAATAGAGATCAACACTCACTGGTTTTCCTTAGGGTCCAGGTTGTTCTCTGGATTATCGCTAAAGAAATCTATTACACTGAGAGTGAATCAGGTATGTTTCTCACAGAAAGGCAGCATGGCACTGAGAGGTAAGTCTGGACTGGAATCAGGAGACCTGGAACTTCCTGCCAGTCCTGCTACCATGGTGAATAATTCACTTCTGTTTGCAAAGCTTTCTGAGTGACCTTTCCATACTTACAAATTTCTCATCTGCAAAATAAAAGGGTCCTTGGGAAAATTGACAGAGTTCTCACAGTGCTACAATTCTATGAATTTAACCTGGTTTATTTGATTTATAAATAAGTAAAATCAGTTTAAAGCCATTAGAAATGACATTCCTAAATGCGATTCATTAAGCATCCACAAATTATCTAAAGCAATGGTTAGTATAACAAAAAAAGCCTGTATTTTAAATTATAGTGTTTTTTAGGTTATTATTATAAAAAATAATTGTATAGACCAAAAACATACAGCCAGGTTCAAAATATTACACTGAAAACCCTTTAGTAATATTTTTCAAAAATATTATACTAGGAGTTTATATATTTTCCTAACACCTAAGGAAATGAGTATTAAATAAAACATGAAAATTCATCAATATTATTTCTCACTTCGTGGGTTATCTGAATGATATAAACCATGAAGCAATAAGTAATATTGGTTTTGAATTTTTACCTTTCTTGCTAATGTTCTATATGAATACCAAAATTTTCTTTAATTGTAAGATTATAATAATGTTCAATAGCTAATCCAAACTCATGTGTGTAGTTTTAGTTTCCTCTTAGATTTAGGATTATATTTAATGTGATTCTGTTTGTCTGGCAGTGTTTCCATTATTTTGGCAGCTGGCAAGGAGGATTGGTTATACGAAGCTTTTCTATTTTCCCTGCAATTTCCAACTTGGCTCCAACTTTTAGTAATCGTATTTTTGCTTCCGTTTAAAGGAACTGTATGCAGAATGTCATTTATTAGGTAACCACTTATCTGTGAAAAAATCCTACTTATTCTATTTTTGACAAAGTGATAAAGATAGCTTTGCAGTGAAATGCTGAGTAACAAGCAAATCAGACTGCAACATAGACTCGGGAAAAAAAAATCTCTGCTAAAAAAAGTCAAATCCATCTACCCTTTGAGGGTTAAAAAGAAAAGCATTTCTACCAACGATACTAAAGTTAAAAAAACGTAGAATTTATGATGTTTTCCCTTTAAAACTAGAGAACAAATAATTTATGACTGCTACAGGCCTATATTTTCATTTCAGTGGAATCTTAGTGTCCCCTACTGGTATTCAAAAAATGTAAAATATTAATAATATTTTCTGGTTTTCTTTTTAGAGAAGTATTTTCTATTATAGCAACATGGAAATCTTCCAAAAGCATTGTTTTATTAACCTGACCTTTGTAAAGTTGAGAATGAATGTGAGTTTAGGTTCTACCTTTAGGCAGATTTTTGAAACCTAACTGAAGCTGCCAGTTAAACGCAAAGCAATATTTTTTAAAGTTAACTGATCTGCAGGGTTTGAATTGAGTTGTTTCTGAACCATAAGGTAAACAAGTGATGTATTTTCTTTCATTCTCTCCTTTTGTAAGTTTAATTTTTGTCAAAGTAGTATAAAAATGAATTCAAATGTAATTATAGCCTTTTGGTAGCCTCTAGGACTATAGAGTTTTTAAAAACAAAACAGTCCATTGATTTTTTTCCACCTGTCATTCCTGCTTTCCAGAGGCCACAGAGTTCAAGTCCTCTAGCTATATTCTTAAAAATCTGCCTTTTTATTTCTAAAAAAATCAAGTTTATGCTTCCATTTCTCTCTTGTTGTTTTCAAATTAGCCACTTCTTTTGACTCCCTACAATGAAAGATAAGAATTAAGCTTTTTACCAAAAACACACACACTTACAGGGAGTCACATCCCTCCCCACATATCACACACAACCTTAAAATATCAGTCACAGCTGATCCCTTATTATATAATTATTGCATATAATTTCCTATGTACACTTGCTTGTCCTGAAAACTGAAATAGCCCTTAATCCTTTTCTTTTATATAGCCATCATTAAACACTAGTATATTTCATGTATACATATTTATGCACAGACTTTTTTACATATTAATAACAGTCATACATTCTTTGAAGTCAAAATAAAATGATTGGGTTAATGCGTTTAGTGAATTTACAGAGGGAAGACAGTATCTCTATTTTCTGAGCCCCAGACTAGATTCCAGAGACCAACCTAGTTGCTAGAATTCTGCCACTGACTACCTGTGGAAGCTTGGGTATGTCATTTTACCTCTCCATGCCTCCAATTTTTCATCCGCAAAATAAAAACATTGGCCTATACTTTCTAAAGTTCTCTGACACAATTCTAATATAAAATATTATATGACATTATGTTAAATATAATATGTTTGATGATATTATATACACATAATATAGATTTAAAAATTTGAATAGGGAAACTCAAAAGAGACTGATAAGGCTTATTTGTGTCCAGTTCTACTAGTGAATACTAGTATTTCCTGTGAGTTGGATTGTTTATATGCAGTGCATACTTTATTTTACATTCTAAAAGCCTAGAAGATGGCTTTCAAACTTTAACTTTCATCCATTTATTCTACCTGGGGTCATTATTAAAATGATGATTCTAATTCAGTGGATCTGAGAACAGGCCTGAGATACTGCTTTTCTAATAGGTTTTGCAGTCTCACTTAGAGCAGAAAGGGCCTACAGTTTAATTTCAGCTGGACCCACCTAGAGAACAAACCTGCAGAACTTCCTCCAGTGTGTAGGCCACCAAATTCCTCAACACAGCAAGGGTTGTATTGAAGAATTAGGTATTCTTACTAGGTACAGCAAATTATGTAATGAGATTTTGTTACCAAGTATTAATGTGAAGTATATTTCTTCAATTTATGTAGTCTTTATGGTAGAAATTGCCAATGCCATTCCTGTAGAATATATTTAGCTGTGTATAATATTATCTTTCAAATCAATGGAGACCAATCTATTTATCAGCCCTTCATAGGACTCCAAGCCATCAAAGAAGACGATACGATGCTCACAGAGCCATGAATTTATAAGTTAGCAATATGTGTCTAGATTATTTGCAAAGCATTTCTAATTAGACTATTCATTCCTTTTATTTTTTTAAGTAATGTTTGAATTCCTCGTCAGCCCAGATTTCACCATTATGCAGTATATGCATGTAACAAAACGGCACTTGTACTCCTTAAATGTATACAAATAAAAATAATAACAATTTATCTTTAAATTCTACCATAAAACTACATAAATTGAAGAAATATATTTAACATTAATACTTGTTAACAAAATATCATTACATAATTTGCTGTGCATAGTAAGGAAAACATTCTTATATAAATTATCTCATCTCAAAGAAATGGCCTCCAAACAAAAACAAACAAACAGAAAAAGAATTCTGGCAATTTCTCAAACACCTTTCATACTGCCAGAATAGTCTGCTGTGAACAATTTGTCCCAGCAGCACTCCATCAGAAAGCACTGTATTGCATCAGTAACACTTCTTTCTGTAGTTTATCAGGAAAGACCATGAAAGAGAGTACTTTTAATTATTTTTTCGATTCAACCGACCTGCTTTCTAAGACCATGTCCATAAATCATTGTATTTGACCTCTGCAACCTCATCTCACCACACCAGAGGAGGAAATAGGCCTCCACTCTTTCCTCAAGAAATCACGAGAATCAAAGTCAATTTCCTTTTGAACTCTCCTTCTAAGGCGTCAGAAGAAGTAATCATCTTCTTACAATCCCTCCCACCACCTCCTTTTTAATGCTGACCAGAAACCTGAATAAACTCACATTTGACACCCCCCGCCACAAAATGCCTCTTCTCATACAGAATTTAATGGACACTCCGACCTTCAGAAGAAAGTGGTCCTGATTAAATCAATTAAATATGTTCCCTTCCACGTAAAATGTGCTAGCAAATGGTTGTTATTTTTTTTTAATCTTCTCAAGAAGAAGGAGAATGAGATTCATTTTTTATTGAGTGTCTAGTAAGACACTGGGCCAGCCTTGAAGATAGAGGAATGAGGGAGAGAGATACCATCCCTGCCCCATCCTGAACTTCTGGACACACAATTCATTAGTGGCCAAGCTCAGACTAAAATCAGAAGCCCCAGATGCTTGGCCTTTAACTTTGCTTCCTGACACCAAATTACCTAACAAAAAGTATTTCTAATGTACTGAGTCTCAATTCTTGTGAGAGGTGGAATGAACCGTGGAGCCCTATAAAATAATCTTTGACCCCTACAGCTCATCGAAGTTTAGGTCCAGGTTTCTGTGTTTTTAAATGTCTGCAAAGGAGTTTCTCCAAGTAGAAGGTTTACATGTTACCAGCTGGTGTTTTCTCCAGATATTGTTTGTGTACTCACTTAGGTATTAAAAAATGGTTGGAGGAAATTAAAACAAAAATATGGTTTATAAAATAGCTTAACTAAATTTGTTGGTAGTCTGAAATCAAAATGTTGCGGTACATTTCTGTAGGTGTATAATTTATTGCTGAAAATACCTTTTCCATAAAATGCCTAGTTGGCTGTCATTCTTCCTTTCTCTCTGTTTACTGAGTAAATGGAATAAAATTATGAGATCAGCTCCAAACTATGTTCCAGATCTAAACTTGTATGTTTAACCATAGAAGGATCAATGCTTACTCAAAGCTAAAAGTCTAGACTATTTGTGATCCGAAAGTTTACTGGGTTCAGGAAACTATCGAAGTGGCAGATGGGAGTTTCATATTGTTTTCTGGAAAGATACAGGAAAGAATGAGGTTTGTAGCCAACATACATTAATACAACCAGCTCTGATTCTACTTGCTGTGGCATTGTATACATTCCCTAAAATCCTTTAAGGATTTCAATCTCCAGGTTTAAGTAAGATAAGTCTCAAAGAGCATTTGATGGCAGATTATTTTATTTCATACATGTTGAAACTAATAAACAAAAGTAGAGAAAATGTCACCTACATATTATTAACATAATACACAAGAAACTGCCTAAGGTCGTAGGTAGTTTAACAGGTTAAGCAAAGTGGAATTACAAAATAATATTTTGATTTTCTTCTAGTTTTTAATTTCTAAACAGAATTAGCTGGTTCTTTTGTATAACATTAAATATAATCCATATAATAAAGAATATTTCATTATTGATAATTTTTGTTAAAGTTTAATTTTCAAGGCAAACACAGTGTATCAGAATAGTGAGCCCTCTTCCATAAAAGCACTGTGGAATAGATATTTAGTTTTTCTTGTTGCCATAAACATTTCTTCAAGGATTTGTATCTAACTTTATTACATTTGAAAATATAATTGTATTGATAAACTATATATTTTTTATTTAATATGTCAAAAACATTTGAGGCATATTGAAGTATAGCATCCATCACAAAGAAAAACATCTACTGTTCAATTAACAGAAAGTGGTTTAGAACGTAGACCCAGACATAGGTCATATAGATTTTGGTCAAATTTTAACTCAGCTCTGAGCTAAAGACCTGGTATGTGTCTTTAGGAATGTTACTTAATCTTAGCTCACTGCAGCCTTAAACTTCTGGGCTCAGGCGGTCCTCCTGCCTCATCATCTTCCTCAGTAGCTGGGACTGCATGTGTGTGCCACCATGCACAGCTGATCCTTCTCTTTCTATGAAGATAAGGTTAACATCAATTAATTATAGGTATTATTCTAATCGTTATTTTAAACAGTGGCTTAGTTGGCATAAATTTTTTTTGGAAGTAAATAAAAATGATACTTTCAAGTAGATTTTAACGTTAAAGTCTTTAAAGATTTATCCTCCTGTTCAACCTGTAAAGTCTACTCACTTGATTATATACCCAAGTCAGAAGTTCTGGGACTTGGAATGTGCTTGTTTTGGAATGTTTTTAATCTGATTTTTTAAAAAAATACAGTTTATTTCTCAAAATTTCTAAATGATTTGTTTTCCTAGGTTGATAGAGTTTATTAATTTTGACATTTAGAGTTTTCTTTCCAGAATTTTTAGCTTTTAAGTAGATATTATCTGCATAAAAATGTGTTTCTGGCTTTCACCTTTTCTAGAGTTACAAGCTAAGACATTTCTACATACCAGCCAGTAAGAAAGTCTAAAAAGACTACTCGAAAATAAGGCACATGTCTCCTGGCAAAACCAAATTTTAAAGGGGTTTGGAAAATTGGAAGGGGATTTGTAAAGCTGACCTATCACCGGCTGCCACTTATGTGGGAGGTGGAGGGCAGGCTATTATAGCATTCCTTAAGGAAATTCACAAGTATTGCAATCAGGACCTGTCCATTAGTAGTAAAGACTGAGTATTTCCAACTGGGTGCTCACATATCCCAATACAATCTTAAAATAAACCCATTACAAATCTCAAGCAAGAAAACGCAACATTTGTAGCATCTAAATATGAGTTTTATTAAGTAAAGAGCAGGTAACATTTAAAAAGAATCTTACCAAATTAAGTTTAAAGAACATCATATAGAGACCCATGTTGGTATTACTGAAAAGTAAGATATTTATGTCACTGCGCCAATAGAGTATTCCATCTTGGCTGACATAGGCGAAAATGACTTGCAAACCCGCCAAAAACTGGGAGATTGAGACAAAAGGACTAGAAGAGAAAAAAACAGAATGTAGTCAGAAAATCTCATGGAGAATAGTGAATTACACCTTGAGACTTTGCATCATAGAGCTCATAAAATGAAAACTGTACATTGATTTTTTTCTCTTGGTTCAGCTAGAGAGATACTATATCAAACATTTCTAAAAATAACACTTTCCACTGGTTTTATCTTATTAAACTGAAAATAAAGCAGTGTTTCAGTAAGGTTGTTGTAAACATGCATTAAAGCTATTGTTTGTCAACAGAGGAAGGAACTGAAAAAAATTACAGCACTCCCTCTAAATTATTTACCATAATTACAACATTAACTATAATGAACATAATGCACAGTTGAAAGACAACTGGTATAAATATGGCTAAAATGCCCAATTCATTGAATAATTCATTTTTCTCATAAATATAATATCATGATTCCTGGTCGTTGAAAAATTTATATTTCATAACTATAATAGAATGTTGATAGATTGGGTAAGACCTGAGAGAATTTTAAGATCCTGTCATTAAATCGATATCCTCAGTAACAGAATTTTCTGACCAAATATTACTAGATAAAATGCACACCTCAATCATAATTTTACTCGGCAGATTGGAAATATGAGAGTTCAAACAAGAATCAATTCAGTTCCATTTTCTTCTCAAAAAAGTGTATAAGGGACTAAGCAAGATCATTGGTTCCAAGTGAATACCCAAACTACTTTAGCAGGCATTCCTGCTTAGACACTTTTACTTCTTGCGGCACGTTATCAGTCTCTTTACACTATCACCCCTTAGGAGTCTGGAGTCATTCTGTGAGAATTCTTATCTCCCTTTGTTCAAGCTTACTTTTTCGAGAAATATTCTTGGATGATACTGAATAAAAAGAGCAGTTCTCAGTAATCTCTCATTTCTAACAACTTTGGGGATAAGTCCAGGGTATTAGTTGTAAATACAACACAGAAAACCAAATATCTCAAGTAGGAATGAAGCCTCTGAGTCAGACAAATCTCTTTGAGATTGAAGACAAGCGTGAGACTATTATATTCCCAGATTCTTCTTGTAAAAAATGAGGATAATCATGACACCTATTTCATAAGATCGTTAGAATTGTGGGAATGTATGGGAAATTCTAAATCCTATGTATGATATGTAATAAATACACATTTAAACGCATGCTTCCACCTGCCTTGCTGCCATTGTTATCACATCTGGAAGAGCACAGGGGTCAGTTTTCATGACGTAGTAGAAAACTGGTGTTAAATATCTTGAAAAAATAATTAATGTGGCAAGAAGTTGACTGAGAGACAATATTATATATAATATTTGAGACAAATTACAGAGGAAAAGGGCAAACTGTAGAAAAAGCCATATATATATGAAATATATAAAAAGCCATATATATAACTAAAATATAAATAGCCATATATATATAAAATCTCCAGAAAATAATCATTTCAGCCTCAGATTATAGGCCTTCTGGGCAAATTAAAACCTAGAGAATCTAAGGGAAAAAGGCACTTGATGAGGACGGAAGACATACTAAGTTAGAAGAACATGTTATGTTACTGATACTCTGTTACTTGTTAAATTATCTTCATGTTAAAAGAAGAAGGTTAATGGAAGAGGACACAACACATTCTGAAAGTCTAGAAAATCGAATTTGCCTACCTGTCTTTGACAACAGAAGTTTTAATACAGTCAACAAGGCAGTAATACCTCAATCTTGCACATACTCTGGATTCTACAGTGACTCCTGTGTCCAGAGCGATATCAGACTGACACAAAGCACTCTACCTTTAAGAATTGTAGATTGTGTAAATGCTAATTTGTACTTGTATCATTTTTTATTCACCAACACTCTTGAAAGCTAAGAATAGCACATGATACATAATAACTACTCAGTATAATGGGTTAAATAAATTGACAGAAAATACATACAAATCCAAATATCATTGTATATTTTATTAAAATAGCAAAGCTGTATCTATCTTTGACCTTTTTTCAGCAATTTATCCTTGGGGATATAGGCTTCAAAAACTCTTAGAAGCTCAGGAACAAAAGTGATAAATGGGAAATATAATGCTAAAATTGATTGGAGAACCATCAGGAGAGCGAGATATGCTTTGTCTTTTCAATTGTGAGAATTAGTGCTGGATAGCAGAGTGCAGAGTATATCGAATACTAAAAACATGGTTTTACCTATGTAGTTGAATTGGCTTGGTTTTCCTACTCTCATGGTACTGTATCTATATTACTCACTCATTAGTTTTCACCTCTGACTCTTTGTTTCCATTCATTAATTTAATACATCAAATGGAAAATTGAGTAAGTAGGGGTTTTCCCCCTCATGTTGTGTGTGTATCACATTATTCTTTCATATGGCATGTGGGTACATATACACACACACATACCTATATAAAGTGAGAGAGAGAGAGAGAAAGTAAGAAAAATGAAAGAAAGACAAAGAAAGACAAAGAAAGAAAGAAAGAAAGAAAGACAAAGAAAGAAAGAAAGAAAGAGTGAGTTGAGGACACTTTGAAAGATGAGGATGAGAAATATGCCTAGGTGACATTCATTTATACGGGTTTTTCTGAAGAAACTCGATAATTTACAATGCAAGATTCATCCAGTACTAAAGCCTAAAGATATGTTTTTATTGGCTTCAGACTTTCCAGGACAGATTTCAGATTTTCAAAAGCCCCTGGAAATTGGGAAGGGAAACCCGTTAAAGGAGGTCATGTGGAGAGGGGGAGATAAAATCTGTATATAAACTTTATGGAAATATTGATTATACTCAGAAGTAAAGACTCATGTAAAGGGCATTAAAGAGCTTAGTGGAAAATCAAAGAAGAAAAACCTAAAGTGGTGAACAAATATTTAAACTGCTGGTCAATACAGAGAAGAGAGTTTGCAGTTTGAGTCATGCCAACTGAAGCAGACTCCATAAATAACTAAGCCTTCCCATCCACACATAAGAATTGCTATATCTTAAGGTTAAATAAAACATCCAGTAGCAGAGGAATTAATCCTAAGAGTAAAACAGAATAGTGTTGTTAGAACATAGTATAAAACCAAGCCTACAAAACCTCAGTATGATCAGCTGGTAACGTATTTGCACAATCAAATGAATAAATCCTCTTCTAAAGATGTAAACTAAACCAAAACCTATGGAAACAGACTATGCACAATATCTAGTATATTATAAAAATTAGTAGACATACCAGGAAGGAAGAAAATATGACTAACTGTCAAGACCAAAAAACAGTCAATAAAAACAGACCCTGAGCTTGTTCAAAGGTCAAATTTAAAATAAGGTCTTAACACATTCACTTTTGACATCTTCGAGAACTTAAGGACAAAAAATATCATAATGACCAAATACATGGGTAGGTACTTCAACCTCAAAGAAGAAATTTAAAATAGAAACAAATAGATATTATAAAATTAAAAATATTATATCTGAAAAACAAAAACAGGATGGCTTAGCCATTCACCCTGTAGATAGTTAAAAGATGTCATTTTAATTGAAGAACAACAACAAAAAAAAATGGAAAGCATAATGAGTAGGTCTTTCACTACTTGTAAGACAATGTCCAATTTTCTAATGTAAGTGTAAATGGTCCTTTAAGGAGTGGAAAAAGAGATTGTCCAGGAAAAATAGTATAGTTGAATAAAAAAATTGCAAACTGTCTAAATTTTATAACAATATTAAACCAAAAATACAAGAAGTTTGATAATTCTCAAGAAATGTATCAGAAAGTAAACAAAATAAAAAGTAGTTAGTTATATCATATTCAAATTTCTAAAAACAAAAAGAAAAGATAAAACCTGAATGTCACCAAAATAAAAATAGCAGATTACTTACAGGGGAGCAACAATATGAATTATAGCCAGTGTCTCCTCAGAAAAAATGGTGTAAGAAAACAATAGAAAAATAAGTCTCTCAACTAACAAATATATATAGACAGAAAATATTCTTGAAACATAAATGAAAAATAGAGATTTTTTTTTTTCAAATAAAGCCAAGAGGAGACCCATACTATAGAAAATGTCAAAGGAAATCTTACATTGAGAACAAATGGCATAAGATGGGAATTAGAATGGGCATGAAGTATTGAACATGGAAAACAAAATAAAAATAGCAGAAAAGAGAAAAGGGACATATTGAATTATACTAATGCAATAACTGTTAATAAATAAATAAATAAATAATATCAAGTAGTATAGCTGAAAAGCTAATAGAGGAATCAAAATAGAACAGTAAAATAGTTAATACACCCAAAAGAAAGAAGGAAGAAGATTTAAAAAAATTAATAAGTAGAAGACAAATAGAAAATAAATAGCAAACGGATTTGAGAGAAGATGGCAGATAGGAGACAAAAATGACATGCAGCTCCCATCTGGATGGACAGAATAGCAAGGGGAGACTCACACTATGGACTTTTGCTCCAGGAACCACCACAGAAGTGTACCAAGAAAACCAAAACAAATTACAATTTCTTTCAAAGAAATGGCAGCCTGCTGCAAATTCCTCAAGACAGACAAAAAACTCTGGTGCTCTCTTGAATGTGTCACCTCTTGGCTGGAGACCAGCCAACTCAGGACATTACAGCAACTCAGGACAGAACAACCATGCTCCAAGGAAGGAGAAAACAACAGTTAATTCCACTGCCTGCAACATCCTGGCTAAACAGTTGTCCTGAGTCTGCCCATGTGACAAGTTCACTGCAAGAATAACTGGCATTCAAGAAAGCCAAAACACGAGCATATCTAAAATCAAGGACTCTCACAGAGTCTACTGCACTCCCCTGTTATCTCCAACAGAGCAGGTGCTAGTATCCATGGCTGGGAGACCTGAAGATGGATTGCATCATAGTACTATTTGCAGACATTCCTCAGTACCAGCCCAGAGCTTTGTAGCCCCACTGGGTGGCTAAACCGAGAAGAGGAATAATAATCATTGCAGTCTGGCTCAAAGGAAGCCCCATCCCTAGGGGAAGGGGGAGTGCATCACATCCAGGGATCACCTTGTGGGACAAAAGAATCTGGACAGCAGCCCTTGAGTTCCAGATTTTTCCACTGAAAGAGCCTATTCAAATGAGAAGGAATAAGAAAAGTAATTCTGGCAATAAGACAAAATGAGATTCTATAGCACCCCCAAAAGACCACACTAGCTCCCCAGCAATGGATCCAAACCAAGAAGAAATCTCTTAATTACCAGATAAAGAATTCAGAAGGCTGATTATTGAGCTACTCAAGGAGATATCAGAGAAAAGTGAGATCCAACTTAAATAAATAAAAAAAAATACAGTTGTGGATCAAAAATGCTCCAGAGAATTAGATTTAGAAAAAGCAACAATAACTTCTGGAAATGAAAGGCACATTTATAGAAGTGCATAATGCACTGAAAAGTTTCAGCGATAGAATTGAACAAGCAGAAGAAAGAACTTCAGAGCTTGAAGATAGGCTTTTGAAGTAACTCAATCAGACAAAGACAAAGAAAAAAGAATAAAAAAATGTACAAAGCCTCCAAGAAGTTTGAGATTATGTTAAATGGCCAAACCTCAGAATAATTTGTATTCCTGAGGAAGAAGATAAATCTAAAAGTTTGGAAAATGTATTTGAGAGGCTATGAGGAAAACTGCCCTGGCCTTCCTAGAGATCTGGACATCCAAATACAAGAAGCTCAAAGAACACCTGAGAAATTCATTGCAAAAAGGTAATCACCCAGGTACACAGTCATCAAGTTACCTAAAGTCAGACAAAGGAAATAATCTTAAGAACTGTGCAGCAAAAGCATCAGGTAACCTACAAAGGAAAACCTATCATATTGACAGCAGATTTCTCAGCAGAAACACTAGAAATGGGAAAGAACTGGGGTTCTATCTTTAGCCTCCTCGAACAAAATATTTGCCAGCCAAGAATTGTGTATCCAGCAGAACTAAGCTTCATCAGCAAAAGGGAAAAAAAGTCTTTTTCAGACAACAACAATAAAAAAAAAACACGCTGAGACAATTCACCACTACCAAGCCAGCACTACAAGAAATGCTAAAACGTGTTCTAAATCTTGAAGGAAAACCTAGGAATTCAACAAAATAGAACTGCCTTAAACCATAAATCTCACAGGACTTATAAAACAATGACACAAAGGAAAAAAAAAAGGCATTCAGGCAACAACTAGCATGATGAATAACAATACCTCACATCTCAATACTAATGTTGAATGTAAATCACCTGATAATTTTACCAGGGAGGTATGCTACTATAAGATGTGTGTGTACCTCAAAGTAGAGCTTAACCATCATTGAGGCAAAGTAGAAACAACTAAAGGGAAAATTAGTTCACACTCATAGTTGAATATTTTACACCCAATTTTCAGTAATTGATGAAACTACTAGATACAAATATTAATAAACATATAAACTATTTAAATGACACTGTTTCTCAAATTACTTAAATTAAAATTTATGAACACTATACCCAGCTTTTCAGAATTCACATGGGAATTTCACCAAAGTAGACCAATTTTTGAGGCATATTATGACTTAATGAATTAAAAAGAAAGAAATACTCCATACATTTTCACTGACCATGTGAAATTAATAACAACAGCAAAAAAACAATTAGAACAGATCCAAATATTTGGATATTTTAAATGACCTATGATTCAAAGAAGAAATTACAAAGGATATTAGAAAATGTGAATGAAATGAATTAACAACATATTAAAATTTATGGAATATTTCCACTGCCTTAAATATGTGGCTTTAAAGTTTTATAATATAGAATAAGAAAGGTTTAAAATCACTGAACTAAGTAAGTTTTCACCTTCAAAAACTTGAAAATGAGAAAATTAAACATGAAGTAAGAATAAAGAAGAAAATAATAAAGAGCAGAAATCAATGAAACAAAAGTGAACTATAAGCAAAATTTATTCAAAAAACGTAAAAGCTGATAAGGAGAATAAGGATATACAATGAAATAATAAATACCAAGAATGAAAGAGGTAGGAAGGGTAGAATTCATTCCAAAATTAAAATAATATTATTAAAAATATGAAAAAAGTATGCTAATTCCACAACTTAGATAACATTGATTAATTACTGAAAAACAGAACATATCAAGACTATCACACAAAAAAATAGAAAATCAGAATAAGACTATATCCATTAAAAAATTAAAATTATTTAAAAAAACATAAACAAAAACATCTCCGTAGCCACATGACATCAGATGTAATTATGTGGTTAATTTAAGAAAGTAATGTTGAGGCTGGGCACAGTGGCTCACGCCTGTAATTCCAGCACTTTGGGAGGCTGAGGCAGTTGGATCATGAGGTCAGGAGTTTGAGACCAGCCTGACCAACATGGCAAAACCCCGTCTCTACTAAAAATACAAAAATTAGCCAGGTGTAGTGGGGGGCACCTGTAATCCCAGCTACTCAGGAGGCTGAGGCAGGAGAATCGCTTGTACCTGGGAGATGGAGGTTGCAGTGAGCCGAGATCCCTTCAAAGCTGTATCTACATTATTGCTTGATTGAATAACCAAGGAATGGGAATTTTGGGCTTGTGAATTATACTTTTCTAGAGAGGCATGAGGGAGCCGTGGAAAGAACTCTATTACTGGGCCTGAGGAAATCATGGAAAGGAAGTGTAAAAGGTATCATTATATCAGACAGATAGAATATTCCAAGTGTGAAAGCAGTAAAATATATCTAATAAACACAGTCTCAACAAAAAAATGCTTATAATTAGTATACCAATATCAATATATCTCACACTTTAAAAAAATACTTCTTCAGAAAACTCTAAAGAAGTTATGTATCCCATGACCTGGTAAATGATGACTCAACTATAATAGCAATTTCTTATACTTATGTAGCATTTTATATTTTTTATATCAAATTTGGAATCGTGTAACCTTTAAACTTTTTAAAATCTTTACAAATTTATATATTTTTAAATTAATCCTTCCTTTGCCTTGAAAATAAGACAACCAAAGGAGATATATCTCACAACCAAGAAAAGAATAAACCACGTATTATGAGTACAATTCAAGTTATTTAACATTAGCCAGATGTTCGCATGCGGTGTGCTAGATATATCTTCATTAAAACAAGAATATTAAGTTTTATAACATACTTCAAGCTGACCTGTGTTGTATATAACCAAAACATATAAGATGATTCAATCTTTGGAAGATATAAATGTGGATATCACAGTGAAACAAGTTAATGGACAATATCATGGGGCAAGAGGCTCTTCCAGGGTCATTCCTTCCTAACAGAAAATATTTTAAATATTTGTGTTTTAAAACTTAAACAATTTTTGGTTCTGCATTGTTTTCAAAATTGTTCTATTGATTTATGACCATTGAGATAATATTATTTCAGCTATACATTTTTTAATAACCAAAAAAACAAAACATTTAGGGGAATCCTGAATCTAGTTTGAGATTGTGGTGTAAGCACAAAAATATGAGCAGTTACTGGATGACAGAAGGGAGTTCTCTATGAAAGTATTTGGATCTTTAACTAAATGAGCTAGGATAGACTGTTGGAGTCCTCATCTCTACTCATAATATCTGGCTACCCTGGCATTTAGCTTAGCAAGGTAAAGGCATACAAGGCTGGTAAATAAACTAGACTTGGAAGCTTGAGAAGCAAAAACAAACAAATAGGATGAAATAATTATAAAGAAAACAGTATCTCATTTCCAATGCCAACCAAGAAAAAAATTATTTAAAAAAATGGAATGAATAAAATGTGAGAAGTTTTGACAGAATAATAAATAATTAAAATGTGGTGTATCTTCCACTCTGCACATAGTTTTTTTTGTAAAACAAGGGGAGCAGGTGGTGTGAGAGAGAATTGTGTACAGCAAGGAATAAAAGGACACCCAGCATAAGGGTTGCTTCCAGCAGATTTATACAAGAAAATAAATTGTGGAAAGAATGTCATTATAATTGCTTAAAAATACTTTGCAATTTTGCTTTTCCATTCTCCTTTTCCTATTTCTACTGCCACCCATTTCACCTCTCATAACAACGTCTTTACTAGCTTTTGCTTTTATTACGTGCGACATAAGCTAGGGAAGAATAGTGGAAATGACTATATGAATGAAAAAAAGACATCTATATTTTGACCAAGGGTGACATCATTCTCCATATTCCAACTGGATATGATTCCAAAGGCAGACAGTAAAAAGAAGAAGAATGAGACTTAACCGAAGTATGAAATAAAGAGGAGATGTCAACTGTAGTTTCTGTTCAACAAGGGCTGAAAGTAGATTCTTTTAAACAAAATGTGAGGCATTTTATCAAACAAGCCATTTCTATTTTTGACCGAACTCTATAAATAACAATGTAAAGCAAAAGTGCTCTTTAAGTATAATGTAGTAGATTGGAAAATACTAAAAATCTAAAGGTATATTCTAAAACTACCATTATATAGACTTACTCATATGTAGTTAATATTTTGAATTCTGCACTCTACAACTAACATTAACTTGGAAATGTTTGTATCTGTAAACCACACACTTGTTTTTAATGAGTCTAGTTTCAAAGCAAAACTGTTCTCTCTTTCAAATTATGATTTTAGGAAGTAGTGTAATTTAGTGGTGATTCTTAAAGGAGTTAAGGACAATTGAGCTTATACTTTAGTGTCATACCACTTACTAGCTTGGACACACATGTGCCACAGGTTTCCTATCTATAAGAGAAAGTAAGCTGGGTATATAAGCTAAATAACATATGGATCAGGAACTGTTCTGAAAAACTGAATATACAGTGATGAACAAGAAAGACAATGTGCTTAGACTAGAAACCTAAATTCTCATAAGTGGATAAAACAACAAATAAATGACCAAGATAGATTGTATGGTGTGGCATCTGTTATGAGGTAAATAAAAAAGACAGTTTGTTAAAAGTGACTCTGTGAGGAAGATGTTTTTAATTGGGTGGTTCTGGAGTGCCTCAATGAGTAGGTGACGATTGTAATGTTCCTAAATGGTTAGGAATCTAGGATCTAAAGAAGACCTTTCCTGGTAGATGAAACATAATAGAAAGGCCCTAGGGTATACATTTGCTTCATTGGTAGGAAGAGAAAGAAGGCTGTGGTCGTCCGAGGAAAGTAAGTCATTAAGTAAGTCATTAAGAAAATGGCGTGCAATAGAAATGGTGGAAACAAAGAATGGTTCAGATCACAGAAGGCCTTGGGGACTGTAATGGATGCCATTGGCTTACCCTTTTATATTCATTATCTACTCTGTCATGTGCTTTATGTATTCAGAAATGTAAACTGTATAAATTGCTGCAGTGGGTTGATTTATTTTTGGTTTTGCTGTTGGGTTTGGCAAATAGGTGACCCCAGGAGGATATCCAGAAATTAAGAAGAAAAAGAGGTGTTAGTACTACTTCACTATGACTACGGTCTGAATATTTGTATACCTACAAATTTGTATGTTGAAATCCTAACACCCAGTGTAATCATGGCAGAAGGTAGGGCTTTTGGAATGTAATAAGGTTATGATGGTATAGTCCTCATGAACGGGATTAGTGCCTTAGAAGCCTAAGAGACACCTCTTACCCCTTCCACCATGGGAGGGTCCAGCAAGAAGGCACTGTCTATGGACCAGAAAGTTGACCCTCATGAGACACTGCGTCTGCCACCTCCTTGATCTCGTACTTCTCAGGCTCTAGAACTCTGAGAAATAGATTTTGTGATGTATAGGCCACCCAGTTTATGCTGTTTTGTTATAGAAGCCTGAATGGACTGAGACACATATTGATTCACCCTGGAGCAACAGGATCCCTCTATAGAAAGCCCCAACTCCTATGAGGTAGACCTGTCCAGACAGCTACTCTTTCTGGACACTGTAACAAATCACAACCCTTCAATCATAGGCTTGGTGAAGTCTCCCTCCTGTTGCAGGCCTGAAGCCCTGTACTACTCCCTGCTGGCTCACCTAAACTCTGACTACATCTACAACAATAATCCCATTATTTAGTTATCTTTAATTTGCCAAGTTTCAATGGGCTCTCTATTTCCTGCCGGGACTCTATCTGATGAAAACATAATAGTAAGGATTTGGTTTAATTATAACATGCATATTACATGCAAAATGCCTCATGTCATTACTCACAATTAGAAAACTTAATGCATTCTCAATGACACTATGGGAAACAGTGCTACATTTGCCATCCTCTCTCTTGATCTCTTTACCAGTGACCAACAGTGGACAGACCAGGAGATTGTATTTGTAGCCTTCAAATAGCACAAACTTGAATATTTTCTAGTAAATTTCCTGATTCTTCTCTTGCGATCTCCTGACTTCTGAAAAGGCAGAATGACCTATCAGGAATACCACAGATACTAATGGGCAGGTTGCAGGTAGTCTTAAGAAAATTTCCAGGCTGGGCGTAGTGGCTCACACCTGTAATCCCAGCACTTTTGAGGTCCAGAGTTTGAGATCAGCCTGACCAACATGGTGAAACCCTGTCTCTACTGAAAATACAAAAATTAGCTGGGCATGGGGGTGCATGCCTGTAGTCCAAGCTGCTTGGGGATGGGGGGGCTGAAGCATGAGAATCACTTGAACCCAGAGGCAGAAGTTGCAGTGAGCCGAGATTGCACCACTACACTCCAGCCTGGGCGACAGAGTAAGACTCTGTCTAAAAAAAAAAAAAAAAAAATTTCCAATCCACACCCCTGCAAGAAATGGAAGATGATAAAGAGGGGAAAATGCATAATTAATTTTGCTCTCGTAAGAATCTCCTTAAAAATCTATATGAACAGGCAAAAAAGGCATTGATTGTCTGAAAAATTGGAAGGGATTTTGCAAAATGAACTGCTTGCATGCTTGAATTTTTTACACCTAAAGTATTTCTTGCTTTAAATCATTGTTAAGTCTTAGTTTCTGCTCCTAAAATAAGGAAATATTGAATATTTTAAGACAAAACATCCAATCTAAGTATATGCTGTTCATTTAAGAAAAACACAGTTTCTCTTGAGATGGCTCAGACCTGCTAGTTTTTTTTAAGCAAAATAGATAAATAGAAAGATATTCAATCCAAGTTTAGGTTTAGTGCAAACACAGATAAAACGCTTGAGTTATTCTCCAAAGCTCTAGCAATTTCTTCCCATAAAACTACATCAACATAATACATTCTGTGTTTACACAGGTAAACAGAAGCAGAGGTTTGAACAAGAATCTGGTGATTTTGATCAGCATAAACATCCAGGAACTGAATTATCTGAATAGCTGAGATCAAAATCTCCCTCTTTCTTTCACATCAGGTTTCCATTTATTTATTTAGAACATTTAGCTGATGATTAAGGACACAAGATTTGGGGAAAGAGGGGTTTGAATTTTTTAAAATTAATTTGTGTACAAAGGGAATATAAAGACTTAAACTTTGTTGGGTATTCACCAGATAAGAGCATTTAGCCCTGACTTAAGAAATGTAAATCAAATCTCCACATCACACAGGAGAAAGTTGACAATTATAAAAGAAAATAAAATAATGCAGTATTTTCACTAGGTCCACATTTTCAAGTTGTTTTAAGATAATACTATTTATTTTCATAAAACAGGAGGTTCCTTTGTCAACGAATTCAACAAAGCTGTAAGCAAAGCCAATGGAAGAATATGTCAGATACTGAGTTTATGACAGGTAAGTTGTTTGCTTTTGGAGGTGGTTGTAGATGTTGCTGTCTTAATTAGTATTGAGGGAAATGAGAAGGCTTAAGATACTTTATCCATTTAGAGGTTCAAGGTACCTAGGCCCAAATATTCCAATGAACCACATTTTTTTTTTTTTTTTGAGACAGGAGTCTTGCTCTGTTGCCCAGGCTGGAGTGCAGTGGTGCGATATCGGCCAATAAACCACATTTTTGCATTCAACTACATGAAATGTTGATTAAAGTCTTCGAGAATAAACAATAGCATCAGCAGCAACAACAACCATGAAATATTTCCTTCTCATTTCTAACAGTTATGACTACACTAGGATTTCTCTGTTTATAAATCTTTCCTTTTTGGGCTATCAAGTAGTCTAATCACTCTCAGTCTTAAGCTTTATTTGTTTTTACTCAGCCATTGGTTAATTGGTTCACTCAACAAACACAGTTGTGAGATGCCTACTAAACGTCAAGGTAATACTAAATAATGAGAATATACAGATTTATAACACAGAGACATCATTTCTACTATGGAGGGGGTTAACATTCTTTAATTATTAACCACTAGTATGGTAGTAAAAAGAAAATAAAATTCAACCGTTACTTTACAGTTACATTAGGATTTCAAGTTATTTTTGGTTAGAAATTAAAACAATCATGAGGCATTTAACTGGAACTTTTATATTTAAATTAGTATTTTCTAACCTATTTCTACTAGCGTTTTTGTTTTTTACTAATGATAAAGAGGACCATTATAAACTGGAGGGATTCAGATGTCACAACGTTATTATAAGGTTTGACTTACTGTAAAATTTCCTTACCTGGAAGGTTTAAGTCAATTACAGCCCTGCAGGGGGAGTCTTCATTATTACAAAAGGAACTTGAGAAGGGTATTTATTTGTTCTTCTGAACAAGGGCACCAATATACATATTTTGCTTACAAATGGTAGGTTTGTAATTAGGTCTCTTCTAGTATGAACTAAACTTGAACCTTCTTATTTTGCCTAAGTGTTCTCTAAATTACATGTGTACTTTGATTTTTAGTAATTTACTTCATTGTCTCTCAAGACACTACTAGTGCTTATGATTACCTTTTTTAGCAATTGATGATCCTTAATAACTGATTTTCTAAGTGGAATACTTAAAAATTCTCACAATAAATTTTTAAAGTATAAAAGCAACAACATTTCTGATATACAGGCTCTTCTTTAGCTGCAGGGTGTGTGTAAAACTCAGTAATCTTATCTTGGTATGGATTTGACTTCCTGTAGATTAACTGTACTTTAATCTGCTTATGTTCTGATTCTCATATTTTTCACTATTCCTTCTGATACAGTTAAACAAGCTTAGGGTGCAAAGCTTACAGTGCTATCCCTGAGACAGCAAATTAAGTAATTACTAATCAAAAGAAGAAGATGAAAGGAGAGATAGATAAGTCATTAGCATTGATTTTAACTAGCAATTCTAGGCCACCATAAGTCAAAGAGTGAGTTCTTGGAGAGAAAGATATGGACGCTCCATCCCAGAAACATAGCAGAAAGTGGGATTTTGGGGAAAAGGAATGAGACCCCAATCTTCTAGGTTGTTCAACCCATAACTATAGTAAGTAGAGCACCAGATAACCTAGACTCTTGCTTCCCTTATGTAAAGTTTCATACTCAAATCTAGATGCCCCATAAGGTGCAACATCAGATCTGCACCTTTGATTATAGCCTCCTTTATTCTCATACTGATTCCATTCAGATTAATATCTGCTGTATGCATATTTATATAATGACATAAATATTGACTCTAGTAAAGAAGAAAATCAGATTTTTAATTAAATGATTAATGCTAGTAATAAAATATTTGTCTTTTATTTAAAGTTGTACACAAATGTTGATAAAATAGTTAGCTTTTAAGCTTTCTCCTGTCTCCACAAGCCAAAAGCTTTAGAAGGCTGAAGAATTTAAATATCATTTTTAAAAGCTAGTATATGTTCCAGAATTTATTTATAAAAAGATTTTGTTGTTTTGTGCATCACTTCACAGAAAAATTAACGTCATTGGAGTTACTAAGTCAATGATTCTTGGTAGTATAAATGGATTTTTGTGGCAACCGATATAAATTTACATAGGAAGGACTGCAGAAAGCTCGAGGAAAAACCAACACCAGAAAAAAAAAAAAAAAAAAGCAGAAAAGCCAAAATTTCTCTCCCAGGAGAAGCCATGTGCTATTAGTAGCAATGTAGCAATGCCAAGTTTGTGAAAATTAGGGTTTTGACAAATCCAATGCTAGTGGACCTTGACTGATTTTTCTGTTTTGACAAATAGCATAAGTCATTTGAATGAAGCTAATTCTGCTGACAAAAATTATGGATTTATTTTTTCTGTCATTGTACGTTGCTCACAGGATAAAAAAAAAAAACTACTAATAAATTCATTATGTTGCATTTCTAAGCCTTGAGAATATCCTGACTTCTTTCTATTTTGTTTTTGCTTGAATATTTCAAATGTTGATTGCAAAAACGCCCCCTGCTGACCACAGCTCCCCGTTATGCATGCTGTTTGTACATGTCATTGCAGCTCTTCCCATTTAGAGGTGGACTTGCTTTCTCTATCCCCTGAATCAGAGCTGGCCTTGTGACTTGATTTGGACAATAGAATGCAGGGCAGTCATGGTGTGGCATTCTGAGCCTAGTTCTCCAGAAAGCTGGCATGCTGCCACTCTCTTGGAATGCTGCCCTTTTGCCTTGGACTGGCCAGCTGTAGGATTAGAGACTACAATGAGCAGAGCTGATGCATCTCAGCTAAGGTCATCTTAGACCAGCCAGTTCCCACTGACTCATCTCCAACATCAGCCAAATATGACCTAGATCTGCAGAGCCTTCCAAAGATCAGTCTCATGAGAAAGAATAAAATGATAATAGTTTTAAAACTCTAAGATACCGGTGTTTGGTTACAAAAAATAATTAAAAATTTGAAATGAACTGCTGACTGTCATGGTATTAAATCTCACATATTTATTTAACAAATATTTACTAAAATTCGCCAAGTGCCTAGAACTCTGCAAGGCACTCCAGAGGAAATAAAAATTATATGAAAACAAGACTTTGACCCAATTAACATAATTCTTGAGGAGAACAACACTGCATGCCCTACGCAAGTCTTGAATATTTATGTACACTTCAAATTTTCCTGATTCATGACAATTCTCTCATTTTTAATCTAGGAATACCACCAAGACTTTCTGACTTCCAAGGGGCTTTAGAAATATTCAAATCTTCAGAGGAATCACTTCATGGTAGTCAAATTCTAGAAAACAATGTATATCCTTGCGTTAGGACTAAATTAAAATAATTAATTAAGACATAAATATAACTAAAGTTCCTTTTAAAAGTCCTGCTCTTAAGTAAAATTATGTTAATATTACCCTGCACTAAAATATGAAAAAATAAAGTTATTCATAGCTTATTATATTATTTACTGTTTTAATCTTTCTGTTATGGTTGTTTGAATGTTAAATTTGATGCCTTTGTTTTATCATTGTACCAAGAATGATAGTTCTCAATATAAAGTGAAAGCTGCAAAAAAAAAAAAAAAGTAAGCCTTTTTGTTTTTTCCGACAGGAAATTACTTTCACACAGGCAGACTTACTAGATTAACCATTCATGGCTACCCACTTAAATGGAAAGAGACCCACAGTAGCAGATTGTGGATCGTTCTACAACATCTTTAGCGTAAACTTAAAGGCAAAAGGAATTAGTCTTGACAAACCCCTAAACTGGTCAAGTAGAAAAATGCCCCTGATAGAAACTTCCCTCACTATGTTGTGTTATTAGTGAAAAGAGGACAAGGGAGTAAAACAATGTTAAGAAGGAGGAAGAAAAGAGTGCATATACCATAAAGAGCAGGCAAGTGAACCACAAATGAGGCTTCTCCATTTAGCCCAGTTCCTCCTTTTTAAGCACTACTGAACAAACTAAAGAACTTCTCTAGGCCTCCATGTGCCCTATTTTATAAAATTTTTACAAGAACCCTATGCAACTAAACTTTAAAGAGTCTTAATACTCCCTATTAGAGAAATACGGAATAGGCTGGGCGCAGTGGCTCACGCCTGTAATCCCAACACTTTGGGAGGCTGAGGAGGGTGGATCACCTGAGGTCAGGAGTTTGAGACCAGCCTGGCCAACATGGTGACACCCGTCCCTACTAAAAATACAAAATTAGCCGGGTGTGATGGTGCATGCCCGTAATCCCAGCTACTCGAGAGGCTGAGGCAGGGGAATAGCTTGAACCTGGGAGGTGAAGATTGCAGTGAGCCAAGATCGTGCCTCTGCACTTCAGCCTGGGTGACAGAGTGAGACCCCATCTCAAGAAAAAAAAAAAAAAGAAAAAGAAAAGAAATACAGAATATATGACCTCTTTTGAATTAGATTATTAAATTTTTGTGCCACCTATCACCCCCAAAATGCTATGTATAACATGGTACAGTTAAACCTAATTAAGCATAAACATATTCCATGTGATTTTTTAGCGTTTTATTATATTTAAAGTTGAAAATCATGTGTACATTCTGCACACACATATTAGTATATAACCAGCCAGGCACTGGCTCTGGCTCTAAGGACTTAAGATTAATTAGACAAATGAGTTGTATTATTCTTGTATGTTTATTGGTTTATAACAATGCAACTGTCTCAGGGACTTCAAAATGGATTGAGATAGTCTGGATCACTCCAATTTACATCTTCATTATGTTATCATAGATCACGTTATGAATGTAATTAGCATAAGGGTAGAAAATTTTTTTAAAATGCTGAAGTTCTTAGTGTAATGGATGAAATAAGAAAGAAGGGAAACATGGCTAGGAGAATGAAGTATGCACACTTTTGAAATAATCTTAGGAAAAGCTTACACTTTCTTGATATTTAAAAATATTTTTAGTTCTCGCATATCATTGATTATGTGAATATATAAACACATACAGAACATTTTTGCCTCCCAATTATTTAGAATGCCATTGTTTTTGTCATTTCCTTCGTCCTTAGAGTTGTATTAAACTGTATAGCAATTTATTTCAAGGTACAAATGGTGGTAATTAAGTGGATGATAGATGAGCAGAAACTTGGGTATAATAGAATACATTAAATTTCTAGCATTTACTTCAGTGTCATTTGTCATTTCTAACAAAGAATGATTCACCACGGGATTGTGAGAAATTTTCTATACTGGGTAGATATTGGTATCTTTAGTATAGCTCAGTTTCTGGTAAAAGCAGGAATTAATATGAGGTAATCACTCAAGAAATTTCTAATCTAATTACTATATGATTTAAGGGGTAAAAGTCTCTAAATCTTGGAAATAACCTCTGGATTATATGCCCAAGAGCAAGTTGGCAGTACAGTAGATATTCCAGAATGAACCACTCTTCTATAGTTTACAAAAATTACAGTCACTCATAAGACGCCATAACAACCAGGACTCTAAAGCAGAGTGTAAAATAGTTATGAATGTAGTCAAGTATACATGCTATTTTCTAAAATTGCTTCTGTACATCATGTAATTTCCTCAGGTGAAGTCATCTAACATATTATGTGTGGTACCTAGGAAGAGAACTTTTCATGAACACCATCTGCATTCTGCCATTTTGTGGTCTTAATAAGAGCCTTCGCAATGCAGGGGGTGTGGAGAATTGACAGATTTTGTGCATATTCATGCTTTTTCACCATGTTTGCTATATTCATCAGAATATAAGCTTTCAGGTTTAAAAGATGAGCTGAAGTTCATTTTGCTGTGCAAATCAGCACATTAAGGAAGCCAAGCAGAAAAGCCTTCGAGGTAAACAGAAAACCTGAAAGGGGCTTTGCTCTCAACTATAATGGGAAATAAGATTTAAATGTTAATTTGACCTAAGAGTCAGAATCAAGAAGTACAGAAAAAAAAGTCCTGAAAATGTGTATACAGTTGCACCTTAGAGTGTGAAAAATGACAGAACTTACTTAAAAGTTAAAAAATATTCTATTAAAACTTACCATTCATGTAGGTTAAACCACTGTAACGGAAAGACTCAAAGGGTATTTATTTATTTATTTATTTATTTACTAATAGTATAGGTAGGTGTTCCTGGTTGGTAGCTAGCTCTCTTCCACATCGGGACGCAGGCTACGTTTTTAATAGTACTTTTTTGTCTTCTAGGGCCTTGCCATTGTTCATATCATAAAGCTGGTCTATCATGCCCAGTGCTTGGACAGAAGAAGAAGAGAGCAATGGAGACAGCCCACCTGCTGGGTTAAAGGCTTGAGCATTACAGCAGCACATTCAGCTCTCATTTTATTAAAAAGAATTTGGTCAAATGACCACACTGACTGCAAGAGAGGCTAGTAAAGTAGTTTTGCTGTGCATCCAGGAAGAGGAGCAGAAATGATTTTGTGCTACAGTCATCTACATGTAATACACATCAACAAACAAAAACATGTATGTTTCCAACATATATGTTTGGAGACAGAGTCTCGCTCTGTCCCCCAGGCTGGAGTGCACTGGCACAATCTCAGCTCACTGCAACCTTCCCCTCCCGAGTTCAAGTGATTCTCATGCCTCAGCCTCCCAAGTGGCTGGGACTGCAGGCACGCGCCACCACACCTGGCTAATTTTTGTATTTTTAGTAAAGATAGGGTTTCGCCATGTTGGCCAGGCTGATCTTGAACTCCTGACCTCAAAAAACAAAACAAAGCAAAACAAAACAAAACAAAACCTCAGAACTAATTGGATTAGGATCCCACCATAATAGGCTCATTTTAAATTAATCACATTAATCACTTCTTTAAACACAATTACCGTATTTCCAAATAGGGTTACAATCTGGAGTACTGGCTGTTGGGACTCGAACATATGAATTTTGGGGTGACACAAGTCAACTGAGTACATTCTGTACTCTCCCTAAAATAAAAGAAGTTTAAAAACAATTGCTGTCAGTCATTTGGCTGTGTCATCATCTAAGCTATCTAATGATAAGAGAAACAGCAGTAACTGTTAGCATACCGATTGTATAAACTTGGGGGATATTTATGAATACAACATCAGTGTGAATTACCAGTTTAAGGACTTTACAGAGAAAAAAGAGGAAGGAAATTTATGTCTTCAAGTCCGGATATTTAGATGTGTGCTTGAGTGAGTAGCAATCTTTCTGAACCTCAGATTTCTTTTATGTAAAATGAAACAAACCATATAAATCTAAGTAGAAACTAAATTGCATCATTTGTCAAAATTAAAACAAGATAAAATGTGTGAAAGCATTCTGTAATATTTTAGGTGACACATATTCATACTGGACAAATTGTGAATGATTTCTGCCTTTAAAACTCAAAAAAAAAGGCTAAATTGTGGATGTTATTATTTACTATTTAAATAGTTGAATAATTTAAACTAAGCCTTTCAACAAATAATTGCCTTATAATCAATTATCCATGCCTTCTCTTTTTATGTTTAAAGGAAAATAAAAATATCGTTATTTGCCTTTTTACTTTTATCATTTGCAGCTTCTTTGAAGAAAAATAATCTGTCAAATTTTTGGTCCTAGTATTACAGCAATTCCTTCCAAACATTTTTGGGAGTATATCTCTATCAGTAAAAAAATGATGTTAAGGCCAGGCATGGTGGTTCATGCGAGTCATCCCAACACTTTGGGAGGCTGAGATGGGTGGATCACCCAAGGTGAGGAGTTTGAGGCCAGCCTGGCCAACATGGTGAAAATACCTCTCTTACAAAAATAAAAAAAGAAAGTGAAAGAAAGAAAGAAATATCCTGGTATCGTGGTGCACACCTGTAGTCCAGCTACTTGGAAAGCTGAGGCAGGAGAATCAGTTGAGCCCGGGAGGCAGAGGTTGCAGTGAGCCCAGATTGCGCCACTGCACTCCAGCCTGGGAGACAGAGCAAGACTCCATCTCGAAAAAAAAAAAAAAAGATGTTAAGTTTGCATTATATGTGTTTATATGTGCCTATGTGTGTGCATAGAAATAAATAGAAAGAAAGATATGTGTACATAGCAGTATTATATATCTTAGTGTATACATATATATATGATAAGAAATAGAATCTTTAAACAGATGAGATGAAAAAGGAAATTTTGTTAAATCAGTTAATTTTATTTACTAGAGATAGAGAACCTTTTTTCCTCACTAATATATTGCTAATACATATTGTTTTATAAAATGAAAAGATTACTATTAATGTATGTTTATAATAATAGTGAGAATTATGTTATTCATTTTTATGCCCCCTGAGAATATTGGCTTAATATTTTAAGAGACACATTTTCAAAAGTCTGGTTCCCTTTTACTTCAGTTTTCTGTAGTTTTTAGTGGATATAAGTGTTTAAAAAGATACTTTACAAAGTTACAAAACTTATTACACACATATCAATGGTTTATTGTTCATGGTAGTGGACACAAATACATATTTCAATAATACAATAATATCAATATTTTTATCCATTTATTATCAAGCCTTATTAAGTCATCACTTAATAAGTGATGCCTAAAAAGCTCTCTCGCTAGTAAAAAGAAAACAGTTCTACTTTCTTTTTTTTTTTTTTTTTTTGACCAATACATTCCTTTTTATTCAACAGAGTTTAAGTTGGGTCTTACAGGGAATAAACATGGGTAGATTTTTTTTAACCCATCAACTCATCGTTTACATTAGGTATTTCTCCTAATGCTATCCCTCCCCCTGCCCTCCACCCCACAACAGGCCCCGGTGTGTGATGTTCCTCTCCTTGTGTCCATGTGTTCTCATTGTTTAATTCCCACCTATGAGTGAGAACATGCGGTGTTTGGTTTTCTGTTCCTGTGTTAGTTTGCTCAAAATGATGGTTTCCAGTTGCATCCATGTCCCTGCAAAGGACATGAACTCATCCTTTTTTATGGCTGCACAGTATTCCATGGTGTATATGGGCCACGTTTTCTTAATCCACTTTCTTACTAGTCACCGCTTTCACGATAGTGTTATCTGTGAGCTACAATTTCTATGGGGGACTGTTTTTTAAGACTACTGTTCATTTTAGGAATAAGATTTTAGTTAAAACTAGAAAACTCCACTTTCATAGGCAAACTGTAGTCCCTAGACTTACATTGAAAACAAATGAAAAATGCAAGCAACTCTGTGGAACCTTATGATTTTGAGAAAATCTTGAGTGTTCCCCAGGACATGTTCAATATCCTAATCAATATCTCCCTACTGCACAGGGGACCAGATCAGTTCTTATATTTTATATTCATTAGCATTATTCATTCCTTAAGTTTAAAATAAATTAACTATTTTAAAAATAAGTAATTACAAATGTCACAGTTTTCTACCACAATGGATAGTCTTGCATATACCTGAGTATGTCATCCTCATATTAAGAAACCAGCAATTTTAACTCTCTCGAAAGAACTCTTAGACATCTTATCCTAGTATAAATTTGGGTCACACATTGTGATAAAGAAGAGGAAACTGTTATTAACTCTCAAGTATTGCATGGAATGGAAAATCCATAAATTCAAGGGTGTCTGTTTTTATGCGCATCATAAAAGTACATGACTACTTAAACTCTGTATTTATAATGTTTGCTGAAAAATAGCTAACCTTGTCAGAAAGACATTTAACACTTTTTGAAGGATTCTAGAATTAAAGAAAAACTACTAAACAGGCAATTTTATTTTGAAGTTGAGTGCTTGCCTGAGAAAAGGAAAGAAATGGGAGGAAAATGTATGCATATTGAAATGTCTCAATTGCATGAAAACTTTTGATCTCTTCCTTGCCAAAAAAAAAATCAATATTTCTGATTGCATTATGTATGAAGATCTGGAATATAAGCATTCACTAATTTCACTGTATTTTCATTAATCTACAATCAAATTTCTGAATGATACAAGTTGTCCATATTATATTTGTTTAAAATATTTCCAGAGTATTTTACTCTTTATGTAGAATAAAAAATAACTGGAAACATCTTGCTAAAAGGGCTAAAAATGTATTTTTAAAGAAAATCTTCTAAAATATTCTAAGGTCTATTTAAATGTATGGAACTTATATATGCATATATACAAGTCTTTTTTTTCCTTCAAGAAAATAATTACTTTAAAAACTTTGTTTAGAAAGTTTTTTTTGGTCTTAAGGTTACTTAAAGAAATAAATAGCTTTACTTTCTAACCCAATGCAACAGTCCTCAAAATTTCCCATTGTTAAATCATGAATAAGGTACTAAAACAATTTTTGCTGGAGCAAATCATGAAGAGTTTAGAGTACAAAAGCAAAGGGAATTATCAAGGCAACACTCATAATTCCTTCATTATTACATAGATTAAAATATTTATAGGCTTTGTACTGAAATGTTAAAAAATAATCTTTTAAAATTCTAACATTGTTACAATATTGTGGGAAATGAAGAAAACACTATTGAGCATTCAATACGTGTTGGGCATTCTGCTGCAAATTTTTTATATGCATCTCATTTAATTTTTCCAGCAAGTATATGATGAAGGTAGTATTAGACCCACTTCATCAGAAGGAAGGTTATGTTCAGAAATTTAGTCATTGTGTCAATATCAGGGAGCTTAGAACTTGCAGATAAAAGATTGAAAATTGAGAAATACTTTATCACAAAGCATTTCCTCATTGCAATGTTAAGCAAGACTCAAATTATCTGGTCGTTGGGCAAAAATTTTAAGCTGATGCTATTTTCAACTAGGCCAGGGATTCTCTACTTTACAGCTATTGACATTTCAGGCCTGGCAATTCTTTATTGCTGGACTCTGTGCTGTGCAGTGCGGAAGGTTTAGCAGCAACTTTGGCATATTTTACAGATGTCAGTAACACACCTGACCCAACCCAATTCTAACAAACAAAAATGTCTCCAGACATTGCAAAATGTGTTTTCTGGGGGGGCAAACTTGCCTCTGGTTGAGACCCATCAAGCAGTAGAATAGGATGAGAGTCAGATCTTCATCCTGCCCATATTCTACCCTTCCTTCTTCCCTCTGTGCATGTGCACATTCATCAACACACACAGATGCACACACACAGAATTAGAACTAACATCAAAGAGAGTAAGACTATAACATTTACAACCTAGTAAAAGAAAGCAAAAAATAGTATCTGAATCCACTCACATAAATTATAAATCAATAGTCACAATACAATTTTTTTGAGAATCTGAACAGAAACTTCATGAGAAGAAGAATCATCTCATCAAGAAATCTTCCGCTGCCACTCTAAATTTAGTTTTCAAATCTCAGCATGTCCACTAATTATTTAGGGAGCAAATATTATATTAAAAAATGTATAAAGGGGTGATGACATGTAATGCCCCAAATGGTATGTTGATAAATCCAGAATAAACAAAAATGTTACTAATCTACAAATAATTCATCAGAGATAAATCCAAGAAAATCATTTTGCATCTTACCTTATAGGTAAGTAAATAAATAAATGTTCTGCAATAGTCACAGTTTCTCAAAATACTTAATATTAATCAGATTGACTGGGTGATTTTGAACCCCATTTGGTGAACTGCTACCTGCAAGGAAAAATCAAGGTTCTGGACACTTAGTCACTTCTCATTGACACTGTCTACTTTCCTAACTCTTCTTAAGGCGAAAAATCTCTAGTCTGAATCAATGGCAAAATAAAGTTCTCAAGGACCCACAAAGAGAAGGCAATGAGATGTATACTAGGATATAAAAGTTTTAAAGGGAAGAGTAAATGAGAGTCAAAAGTTCATTTTCTTTCTGCGGGTTTATTTTTCTTTCTCCTATTATTGCCATAAAATATTCAGGGCCAGGGAAGGTTTTAATGGTAGCAATGCTTCCAGCCTCTTTAGGGAAAGAGGACAGAGATAATCAAGCTCACATAAGGGCCAGTCTACATATCACCTATGTATTTATTGCTGATTCACTATGAATTATTTTACACTACATGATCCAAAATGTCACTTTTGTGATCAGATAATTCTAATGCTGGCTATCAGTTTTGAAAACTAAAAAAAAAAAACAACAACAAAAACAAACAACCAAAAAAACAAAACACAAAAACCACCTTTGTGTAAACTTGATTCATCCTTCAGGCCAAGGGAAGAACTCAGCTTCCAAATGGAGGCAGTGGAGAAGGAGACAGTGTTGTTATCTACATGGAATTTGTTAAATTTTATTTCTCTCTCTGTTTTTATGTCTTTTCTTCTTTGAATTTTCCTTCCTACATCATTTATCTTACATATACTCTCCTTCACCTAACTACTGAAGGGATTTTTGTTGCAAACAAATCTGCTCCTTTTTATCTCCTGTCTTTTATTTCCCTGCAGAATTTCCATTTTCCCTCCACTGAAACCTGGATCAATGGCTTCCCACTGACTCTGGATGATTTGCCATACTTGGTGACCTTAACATTTTCTTGGAAGTTTTAGCTCAAACAACAGCCTCTCAGTTCCTTCATCTAATTCCCGCTAGTGACTTTCTCAGCCGTTCCTCATCAGCCAACTGCAGATAAAGTCTTAACTACTTCACCTCAAAAATCACTATCTCAACCTCCTGCTCTCTGACTATATCCATGTATTTATGAAACACTCACTGTTCTCGTAAGAAGCTCTGCTCCACTAACCTCTCTATTGTCACTCACTTAATCAGCTTGGTCCTTCCTTCATTCTACCATCACCTAACTTAGATCCTGTGGTTTATAATTCCTAAAACATTACTGAAAATGTGCAGAAAACTAGTGCTTCTCAAATGATCTGTGATCAAAGACATTGTTTTGTTGTTGTCAGTGATGATGGAGAGGATGGCCTTGTTTATAAATCACGGTGGGACAGCACTTTTATAAAATACAATTAAAAATAAATTATTAAATAATACAGTGTAAAAGTCCCCAAAGGCACACAAAACACTGCTGTCAATTTGTTATTAGAAGCTTCAACCGATAAAATATGTTTAACTTGAAATCACATTTCATAACTTTTACTCTCATTTTCTGGAAAGTGCGTTTCTTGCTAAAGACTGGTAACAAACCATGTGCAAACTAATGCCAGTTTGTGTGCTATTTTGAACAGTGTAGGCTTGACCTCTCTTCCCCCTATAGCTTTTCTTTGCACATGTCTGCCAAACTCCGGTCCCCAGTGATCTGCCTTTCCCTGTGCCTCTGATATGGTTTGGATATCTGTCCCCTTCAAATCTCATGTTGAAATGTAATCCTCAGTGTTGGAGGTGGGGCCTGGAGGGAGGCATTTAGATCGTGGGGGCGTATCCCTCATGAATGGCTTTAGCACCATTCCCTTTGTGATGAGTGAGTCTATGAAAGATCTGGTTGTTTAAAAGTATGTGGCACCTCCGTCCCCACCTTGCTCCTTCTCTCATCATATGACATGTTAGTCCTCTGTCACTTTCCACCATGATTCTAAGCTTCCTGAGGTCTCACCAGAAGCAGATGCCAGCCCTATGCTTCTTATACTGTCTGCAGAACCGTGAACTAACTAAACCTTTTTTTTCCATCATTTATCCTGCCTCAGGTACTCCTTTACAGCAATGCAAAAACAGTCTAATATAACTTCCGAAGAAATTGGAAGTTGGCCAGGCGCAGTGGCTCACGCCTGTAATCCCGGCATTTTGGGAGGCCAAGGTGGGTGGATCACCTGAGGTCAGGAGTTCAAGACCAGCCTGACCAATATGGTGAAACCCCGTCTCTACTAAAATATAAAAATTAGCTGGGCATGGTGGTGGGCACCTGTAATCTCAACTACTTGGGAGGCTGAGGGAGGAGACTTGCTTGAACCCAGGAGGCGGAGGTTGCCATGAGCAGAGAACATGCCATTGCACTCCAGCCTGGGCAACAAGAACAAAACTCTGTCTTAAATAAATAAATAAATACATACATGCATACATACATAAATACATAAATAAAAACAGGAAGCTATTCCTCCTGTTGTCAAAAACCAACTGCTTCACCCATGTTTTGGATCTATCTTAATCTTCTCTGAAATCTTAAACTACTTTCTTTCTAACCTTTCAACTTCTCATAATTAGCTGGCTCCTTCTCCTTGGTTTTCTGGACATACACATATATTTCTCATCTTTTAAAGTAAGTTCCCTTTAATCACTCATTTCCTACCTGCCATCCTATCTCTCTCCTCCGCTTCATGGCGGAACTTCTTGAAATTTGTCCTCTTCCTCTGTGTGTATGTCTTAACTTAGCCCTTCTTATTCAACTTACTCCATTTGATTCTGTTCCCACCACTCAAGCACAATTATTCCTTCTTAGATCACCAAATACTTCTATTTTAATAAATTCTATGAACATTTCAGTAATATATATAGTATTATTGCTTTTTTCTTCTTTCTTAGAACTGTTTTTCTCATTCTGGGCTTCTCTGATACCCTACTGACACAGCACTTTTAAAACATTTTTTTTCTCTGCAGAATCATTCCCCTTTATCCGGATCATTAAATATTAGATTTTCTTTGGCCATTTTACAGACATTTCTTACTCCTTCTCTAAGCTCTCTCCCAAGCCCATCCATGCATATAGCTAAATTACCTACAAATGATTATGAAGTTCAAATTTGCTTCATATTTAATCAATTCTAAGACAAACTTTCCCTCATAGTTTAACATATGATCTGAAAAAATAATGTATCTAACTTAGAATAGATAAAATTTCAGAGTTTAATTGAAATATTTCTTCTTTCTCAGTGATACATTAAAAATATGGATATTAAAATCCATGATTTTTTTAGATTCACTAAAATCCAGTTATATCCAACTTTGATCCATTGGAAATTCGAGCTTATGTAACTACTCATAGTTTCCACTTAAATGTTTTAAATAGTCTTCTTCAATGAAAACTCTGTTGTTGACACTTATTATGTTCTATGTGAATAGTGACCTCTGGGGTTACATTGCCTAGTGATTCTGTAAATATACCCAAAGTCAATTGTACAAAATCGAACACACGATCTCCACCTTCCCATCCACTTCCCAACCACCTCCCAAACTGTGGTGCTCATCCAATGTTCACTATTTTCGTGAATTTTAACTTCACACATTCATTAACACAAACCAGAAACCTAAGTGGCAAACTTCATATTTCCTTCTCCTGAAATGAGGCATCATGTTCTTTTGATTTTATCACCTAAATATTTCCCTAATTTCTCCAGTTTTCCCCATTTCTACCAATACTCTCTCCAGCTCAAGTGAACATCATCTCACCTAAAACTACATAATAGCTTTCTAACTTATATGACCATATCCTTTCTGGCTCCCTTTCTCGTCTTTTCTCCATTCTGTGGTCAGAGTGATGAAGCAATGCTGCCCATGTTTACAACCCATTGATATCTTCCTATGGCTAGTATCCTCCTGGGATGCTTTGTATTTTTGTGCTTTTAATTGATACCTTATGTTGTGCCGTCTTTCCTTTTTTGAGTAATGTCTTATCTTTAATTCTATAATCATTATGGTGAATGTCTGTATTAAGAATTTATGTCTTTGTTGGTAAATAGCAAGAGTGGCTCTGCTATTTCTACACTCCCAGGTTTCTTTCAGTTAGTCTGATATTTTCATTAAATTAAGTCATGTATTAAATCCCAAGCAGTCATATATTAGAAAGGAAAATGTCTCAAATGTGTCAATCTGATTCTTTTTATTAGATTAATGTTACAGCTGTTTTGACAGAATGTAAGAAAATACCATTATTTACAGAGGTATGACATTTAAAATAAGTTTGTTGTATTTATGCACTGATTATTTGTTTTTCAGTGGCCAAACCTTCATAGACGATAAGTTGAACTTTCAAAATATTTAATATATTGTTATCATACATTCTTAAGTACATTTAATAATTGACAAAATAGTAAAAAGGTTGCCTGTTTACCTGGCTCCCTATGCAAGAAAGCAAAGAAACAAGCTTGTAACCACATAATGAGTGCTATATGCTATTGCGTGTTTCAGTCTCACCTTATGGCAAATGAATAATTCCATAAAACTGTTTGACATTATTCTCCCCAAAATCTCTATAAAAGTAGTACCGCTTAATGGTATGCAAATCAGAACAATCTAAGGAATTTAAGATATGCAGGGGGTTTTCATAATAATAAACTGTATCACTTCTTAAGCCTTTCCTTTTGCCTATGACTATATGCCTTTTTCTTTATGATTATGCTATTTTACTTGAGATGAAATAATCTATATCATGAAATTCCCTAGGTCTCTTGTAAGTAGGATAATGGGAAATGCTTCCATACTTTTAAAATGTACGATGTTTATCAAGAATATTGATTCAAATTTATTTAATTTTTCAATGTTTACATTTAAAACATCAAAATCACTCATTTTCTACTTATTGCAGTAAGTTATAAATATTATATATTTCAGTACATGTTATTATAATTTATATTTTGAGTTTGTAAAAACAAAATATCTGATTAATTTTAAATAGTCATCAAGATCCTGTAGAAACTCTGTGTCTGTAGGTTTGTTGCTTATTATGTGTAGCTATAGTATGCCATTGACTAACCTACTTATCCCATTTCACAAGTCTTTTTGAATAAAATATATCTGAAAATAAACCAGTGTTTCTATTTCACTTTAGCATCATCATATAACCACCTCTATTCTATAATCTATAAAACAGAAACAGATTAATAATCAGGACCTGTTCTATATATCTATTCATAAGCCCTAAATCTTCATACAAGAGAACTTCTAATTACTTTTGTGTCAGAAAGTCGAAGTTGAAGCACAGGAAAAAATGTAGGAAGCTTTCTACTATGTTAATGGAAGATTGAGGAGAAGGAGTTGAAAGCCTCACTTTGGCTTCAGAACAGGCTATTTTTCTCTGATATAGCAGCCTTGATTTTGATGCAATGAACTTGATGCTGTAATTCAGTCCATATGTGATGCTGGGTCTCTTTCCCTTATTAATTAGAATCTGTAGAAAACAAGTATTGATACTATACAGTCCGACACTACATATCATATTTTATAATATGATTATATAATCTGTGCAAGTATGATTAGTAGAAATATGTTAAAAATTTTTTCTATTAGATGTATAAATATATTATTTTTATAAACCTCAATAATGTCCTTCACTTACTGTGCTAGTCTGTTTTCACACTGCTATAAAGAACTACCTGAGACTGGGTAATTTAAAAAGAAGAGAGGTTTAGTTGACTCACAGCTCCCCACGGCTGGGGAGGTCTCAGAAAACTTACAATCATGGCAGAAAGCGAAGGTGAAGCAAGGCACATCTTACATGGCTTCAGGAGAGAGAAAGAGAGAAAGAGGAGGCGGCCACACACTTTTAAACTATCAGATCTCATGAGAACTCACTCACTATCACGAGAACAGCAAGGGGGAAATCTGCTCCCATGATCCAGTCACCTCCCACCTCTCTTCCAATTTGACATGAGATTTGGAAGGGCACACAAATCCAGACCATATCACTTATATAACAATGTATGTATGTAAAATTTTTAAATATCAATAAGAACCTTTGAACACTATTTTATAGCATATATGTAATATATAACATGTTTATATATGTACATATACATGTATATGTATAAAATCTTGAAAGAAAAATTCTTTCACCCAGGATTACAAATTAGGGAAGTATGGGTTTGTATATAATCCTAGAATTATATAATTTTATTTATTAGATTTATAATAATGATTTTCTTTGGAAAGTTGAAAAATAATTAAATTATAAAATTTAAAAATAATAAATTAAAATCAAAATTTATCTGTAATGTGCTTTATTTATTAAAAATTAGAAATTAATTCTAAAATATTAGAATAGTTTTTATTTTCATTTTTTATATTTATTTTTAGAAACTATTTTTATTTGAATGTTTATAAACAAAAAGACCAAGTATCTTGAATATTATGCTGATAATATGGGGACAGTCTATTGTATGCAGCTCTTGGTTTACATTTCTCTTAAAAATATAAGCACTAATCTGATATAGTCCAAAGAATGATCAAATGTCTTTTTATTACAGCATTAGAAAATCTCTTTATCTGCTCTTAGAAGTGAATTTTCATTACTGAGCCATATAATATTGCTGCCACAGAACTCCTACTAGCTAGAGATAAATTGGAGAGCCCTGAAAAAAATGACATGAGTAAAATGAAACGGATGATGTTGGTGAGATCACTCCTACAAATCAAGACAGAGTGTGTTCTCTCCTCTTTTTGGCTCACCCCAGTGAGGGCTGTCATCTGACTTGAGTTGGTTCACTAGGATCATGAGTAGAGGTGGTTCCTTTCTCCGACATCAGAGACTGAGGCCAAACATGAGAACCACAGCAGGTATTTCATTACCAGATAGTCACTCTCAAGTGGGTTGTTATGCAATTGATCCAATGCTAACCCTCTTTAAAAGGGCACATTTTCCCTACTTTATTGTTAGAAAAAAGCACATCATGTATTGACATGTTGTACTGATTTTTCTTTTTTTTTTTGTACTGATTCTTCATAAGGCATTTCATCCATCCCATAGTTAACTATAGATCATGAGCCCATTTGACATAAAGTAGGGTCATGTATTTCCTCCTTCTTCTCCCACATTGTTTTAACGGTCCTGTCAGCATAGACTAAAAAGCAATGGTACTAAAAAATCCTTCTCAATACTCTAAATCTTGAAAAGCAAACTTCAATGTAACTTCTGCACTGTATCAATTTTACTGCATTTTTGTCAATGAATTTAACTTCATTTAAAAAAGTGAATTGCAGTTTATAACATGTTGGAATTCTCTATTAACTAGGTTATAAAGACAATTTTGCAAAATATTTCATGCATTTATGATAACTGCATTATTATTGACAAGGGATCATGAACCCAGGGCCTCCACTGACTGGAAAACCTTTCAGAACTCCCTGATAGTCAGCCCTAACCAAGACTCTGGCCCTGGCTATAACAATGTATTCTGCACTATAACTATACCATCTCCATTTTCTTTTCTTTTTTTTTTTTTTTTTTTGAGACAGTCTTGCTCAGTCGCTCAGGCTGGAGTGCAGTGGCGAGATCTCGGCTCACTGCAAGCTCCACCTCCTGGGTTCACGCCATTCTCCTGCCTCCACGCCATTCTCCTGCCTCAGCCTCCCGAGTAGCTGGGATCACAGGCGCCCGCCACCACGCCCGGCTAATTTTTTTTGTATTTTTAGTAGAGACGGAATTTCACCATGTTAGCCAGGATGGTCTCGATATCCTGACCTCGTGATCCACCTGCCTCGGCCTCCCAAAGTGCTGGGGTTACAGGCGTGAGCCACTGCTCCCGACCACCATCTCCATTTTCTATTACATATCTTATGGATTTAGAAGAGGTGTCCCACATATATTACTTTTTATATTAAAAAGTTCTCCCTTGATTTCCAATCTCTGGGTGTCTTTTAAAATGATATTGGCAAATGTTTCTGTGTAGTCATCATTTTAAAAATAGAATACACTATGTATAGTGAAATATATCAGTCTCTTTTATTTATACTGAAAAATATGGCTTGTCTTCATGAGTGAGAAGGACCGCTATAATTACAAGCTTACCTGCACACCTGTTCACCTTGTATAGTAAAAGTAAATATTTCAATTTCATGGGTCAATTAGGCTCCACACATATGTTGACCCACAGGATATGACCTGAAATGAGGTAAAAAATTAACACACCTAGAACCGGACCACATAATCATTTTAAGATCCTGAGTGACAGGTAGGTTAAGTTTGCTCTCCATGAGGATTAAAGGCTTCCAGCTCAAATTTTCACCTGTCTCAAAGTGGAAAAGGCCGTACTGTGTTTCATAAGCCTCTTCTTCAATTGAAAACACAGTAAACATGGAGCATCCCTGAAAAACATAGTTTCAAATCAGGCTCTAAATTCTCAATTTGGGTCATTTGCTTGTTTGTTTGTTTGTTTCCTTGTGAATTGTTTAAGTTCCACGTAGATTCTGGATATTAGACCTTTGTCAGATGGATAGATTGCAAATACGTTCTCCCATTCTGTGGGTTGTCGGTTTACTTTAATGATAGTTTCTTTAGCCGTGCAGAAGCTGTTAAGTTTGATCCGATCCCATTTGCCAATTTTTGCTTTTGTTGCGATTGCTTTTGGTGTTTTCATCATGAATCTTTGCCTGTGCCTATGTCCTGAATGGTATTGCTTAGATTTTCTTTGAGGGTTCTAAAAGTTTTGGGTTTTACATTTCCGTCTTAACAATAATATGAAAAAAAAATAAAAGCTCCACATCACTGATCATTAGGGAAATGCAAATCAAAACCACAATGAGATACCATCTCATATCAGTGAGAATGGCTATTATTAAACAGTCAAAAAACATCAGATACTGGTGAGTTTGTAGAGAAAAAGAAAACCTTTTACACTGTGGGTGAGAGTGTAAATTAGTTCAACCATTGTGGATGACAATGTGGCAATTCCTCAAAGACCTAGAGGCAGAAGTACCATTTGACCCAGCAATCCCATTACTGTGTATATATCCGAAGGAATATAAATCAGTCTATTATAAAAATACATGCACATGTATGTTCATTGCAGCAGTATTCACAATAGCAAAGACTTGGAATCAACCTAAATGCCCATCAATGATAGATTGGATAAGAAAAACGGGGTACATATACACCATGGAAAACTATGCAGCCATAAAAGGGAATGAGATCATGTCCTTTGCAGGAACACAGATGGAGTTGGAAGACATTATCCTCAGCAAACTAACACAGGAACAGAAAACAAAACACCGCATGTTCTCATTTATAAGTAGGAGCTGAATTATGAGAACACATGTACACGTGGGGAAGAACAACACACACTGGGGCCTGTCAGGGGGGTTGGGGGCAGGGAGAGCATCAAGAAGAATAGGTAATTGATGCTGGGCTTAATACCTAGGTGATGGGATGATGTGTACAGCAAACCGCCATGACATACATTTACCTATGTAACAAACATGCACATCCTGCACATGTACCCCTGAACTTAAAAGTTGAAGGAAAAAAATTCTCAGTTGGCATTATTGCATCAGATAGCCTTTCCAAAATAGTGTGAAGCTCAGAGAAACACTAGGTAGAAACGGCTCATAAAACCAGTGGTAGGAGCATAGGGGAGGATAAGGCCAAAGGGTTTCTATCTGTGACAAGAACCCTAGACAGAAGCAAGATAGCATTTATTGATATGCCAGAAACTTTATAAATATTCTCTCCATTAGTAATTAGAAGCAGATATTTTGATTAGGTATTTTTACCCATATTTCTCAGAGTCATTTCTCCAGATACATATTTTTGTAAGCATTTACTACATAACTCCGTCTGAGCTCGCAACTTGTGATGCAAGGAAGAAAACGGTAACCTGCCACAATATGTTTATAGAGAAAGAGGAGAGGCATCTAAGAAGACACAATAATTGGTATAAATCTCAGAAAAGAAGTCTCCTAAACTAGTATGTTCCTCAGAAAATGTGTGTTTGAAACTGCAACCCTATCAATTAAGTACATTGGGATTAAACATTTATTTTATTTTTTTTTTCGAGACAGAGTGTAGGGTGTGGTGCAGTGCATGTAGGGTGGAGTGCAGTGGCACGATCTCCGCTCACTGCAACCTCTGCCTCCTGGATTCAAACAATTCTCCTGCCTCAGCCTCCGGAGTGGCTGGGATTACAGGCACATGCCACCACGCCCGGCTTATTTTTGTATTTTTAGTAGGGACAGGGTTTCACCATATTGGCCAGGCTGGTCTCGAACTCCTGACCTTGTGATCTGCCCTCCTTGGCCTCCCAAAGTGCTGGGATTACAGGCATAAGCCACCGCACCCAGCCAAAATTTTTTATAACAATTCAACATTGCAATGATATCCAAAGGTCCAGTCATTTTTTCTGATGATTCATATAATTTTTATGGATCACATTTTTTCTATCTTACAGAAGTTTTTGGTCCATAATGGATCAGGGTTTAAACAAAGAAAACAACGGGTCTTTCATCACACTATGTTGAGAAGTAACAACCTAATCTAACTGTGGGTAGAATATAGCTATCCAGGAGGAGAGAACAGCTTGGATGGCTCTTGAATCATAAGAACTTACATCCCCTTCAATGAAACAGGTGAACAAAGGGTGAACAAAGGGAGATAAGAACAGCTCAAGCATAGAAATCACCATGTAAAAATGAAATGAGAACCCAAAGTTTAATCCTTTTCCAAATTATGACAATTTGTAAACATTTGAGTCGAGATTCAAAATCAACTTTAACCATACATTTTCTACTTGTTTCACTCACATCGAAGTCCCATAATAAAATTGGTGACTGATGGATAAAGATGTTTCCTTTCCTTCATAAGTAACCTAGAGTCAGCCCTGACCACTTTGATTTTCCAAGACATATTTCACTACTCCTGCTGTTTCTGTTGGAAGCAAAATACAGATAGAAACAAAAGCATATGAGCAAATACAACCCCTTACCTCTGGTGGGTGGAGTGAAGGGCGCTTTCTTAATTGCTGAACTTCCCCTAGAGCAACTTGGCAGTAAAAGTAGCTTTTGACACCCTGACGATCTCTGCGTGTTTACATCTAGTCTCAATTATCGCATTGCTCACAATACTTACCACTATTTGAAATATATAAAAAGGAGAGCAACATTTCAATAAACGTATTTTACAAATACACTACTAAAGACCATTTTTTGTTCTGAAAGGTTAATTTTACAATTGTTTTATATCTCATGAGACATTTTTAGAGAAAGTTTTGTTAGCCTTTGTTTAGTCAATGCAAATCATTTCTTTGGACTCACTCCACCTTTTTTCAAAGAGGTTCCCAAGCACTTTTTCTATGGAGTGTCAGAAATCTGTAATAAGCAAAGTTCAACTCAATTGCTGATTTCACTTGTTCACACTGTCTATTAGCAGAGTCATTAGAGTAACCGACATCCAGTGGCGCATAATTAGCCCTGACTCCTGCAAGTCTTGAAGTCATCATTAACTAAGTAAAGAGCTATTTTGTATTTGCAATTTTAGTCCCTGAACCAAGATAAAAAGATGATTTTATTCATTTTGGGAAGACAGATTTCTTGTAGAGAGTGAGAAGTATTAAATTAACTAGGGAACTGACATCAGGAGCCTAGCGCAGGAGTGGCTACTGAGGGCAGGAAGCTGAGATTACAACCCTTCCTGAGGTTCTAATAAGAGGTGCCCAGTAATCCCAGTGTGTATTTATTGGAGACTTACTCAGAACTCCAAGTAGGGATGTGAATGAACTAGAAGTCATCATGGACTATCAACAAAATAGATGGACTTTGATGCAATATGACCTCATGTGATGTGGTGTAGGTAGAAGGGCCTCCTAGCAGAGTGCTGGATGTGGACTTTGGGGTCAGGAATTGTGAGCTGCATTAAACTCTGAAAGAGTCAGATAATATGGGTGGGCCTTGTGTAGAGGGTTCCCAAATTTGAGCATATCAGAATGAATTGGTTTGCTGGTTAAAAATGCAGCTTCCCTGGACCAACCCTAGAGATTCCTTTTTTTGTTTGTTTGTTTCATCTAAAAAAACAAAAGGGATACATGTGCAGAATGTGCAGGTTTGTTACACAGGTACACGTGTGCTATGGTGATTTGCTGCACCTGTTGACCCATTCTCTAAGTTCTCTCCCCTCATCCTCCAGCCGCTAACAGGCTCTAGTGTGTGTTGTTCCCCTCTCTGTGTCCATGTGTTCTCAATGCTAACTCCCACTTGTGAGTGAGAACATGCGTTGTTTGGTTTTGTTCCTGTGTTAGTTTGCTGATGATGATGGCTTCCAGCTTCATCCATGTCTCTCCAAATGACATGATCACATTCCTTTTTATAGCTGCAAAGTATTCCATGGTGTATATGTTCCACATTTTGTTTATCCAGTCTATCACTGATGGGCATTTGGGTTGGTTCTATATCTTTGCTATTGTAAATAGTGCTGCAGTAAACACACATGTGCATGTGTCTTTATAGTAGAATGATTTATATTCCTTGGGGTATACACACAGTAATGAAGTTGCTGGGTCAAATGGTATTTCTGGTTCTAGATCTTTGAGAAATAGCCACACTGTCTTCCACAGTGGTTGAACTAATTTACATTTCCAACAGTGTAAAAGCGTACCTATTTCTCTACAGCCTCGCCAGCATCTATTGTTAGTTTCCTGACTTTTTAATAATCACCATTCTGACTGGCATGAGATAGTATCTCATTGTGGTTTTCATTTGCATTTCTCTGGTGATCGATGAGGTTGAGCTTTTATTCATATTTTTTTTGCCACATAAATGTCTTCTTTTAAGAAGTCTCTGTTCATATCCTTTGCCCACTTTTGATGAGGTTATTTTTTTTCTTGTAAATAAATATGTTTAAGTTCCTTGTAAATTCTGGACATTAGGCCTTTGTTGGATGGCTAGATTGCAAAAATGTTCTCCCATTCTGTAGGTTGTCTGTTCACTCTGATGATAGTTTCTTTTGGTGTGCAGAAGCTCTTTAGTTAGATCCTATTTGTCAATTTTGTGTTTTGTTGCAATTGCTTTTGATGAACTGGTCTGCTGATTAAAAATGCAGCTTCCCTGGCCCAATTTTAGAGATCCTGAATCAGTAATTCTGAAGTGAGTGCAGGCACCATGACATGAACGAGACTCCAAGGTAATTCTAGTGGAGACGTCTAATAAGTAGCCATAGGGAGGGAGGGAGGGAAATATGAGCTAAAAGAAGTCATAGAAGCAATTTACAACCTGACAGGAAGATCTAGAACAACTATATAATCTACTGAAATATTTCTTGAGGGCACAAAAGGGAAGACAAAATTTACCATGACCACCTTCCCTCATTCAGGCTGAAAAAATTCAGAAGACAGAAGAAATTGCTAAAAATTATTTTAAAATTTTCAATTCAATTTACTGTAACAATCAAATTCAGTGCATGGCAAGCAGTCAGAAAAAGGGGATTTTATTTTAAAATGGAAAAAAGTGGGTTCAAGTCCCCGTTCTGTCCCTTGGTGACAGCATCACTATTTATATGCGACTTAACTGTTGCACACATCAGATTCCTTAGACATAAAATACAAATAATGTACTTGTAGAAAATAATTAATGTGGGAATTAAATTGACAGCCTATGCACAAACCTCTAAAGCTACCCATTTCACAGGGAAGAATCTTCCATTTTTTAAAAAGATCGATGAGTGAATATTATAGAAAAAAACTGGGTAGATGTTTAAGCATTAATTCTGGGTGTGTCTGTGAGGTTATTTCTGAAAGAGATTAGCATTTAAATTGATAGATTGAAGAAGATCTCCTTCACCAATGCTGGTGGGCCTCATCCAATCCTTAGAAGGAAAATTTGTTTCTGTTTGAGCTGGGACATTTACCCTCTATCCTTGGACACAAGCCTTCCTGGTTTTCAGGCCTTTAAGCCGAGACTGAAGTATGGTACTGGCTTTCTTGGTTCTCTAGATTACAGAGAGCCAACTGTGGGACTTCTCAGCCTTCATAAGCATGTGAGCCAATATTTTAATAAATCTCCTCTTAGATATAAATCTGTATCTAACCTATTGGTCCTATGACTTGTACATCCTTCATGTAAAGCATTCACTTGACAACTTAATCATCAACAGAGCCTACCAGTCTTTAGAGCCAATGCTGTTTGATTATAGAGAAAAATTAATTCCTATGTGTCTTCACTTTTGAATATCCTTCCCATCTTCTTCAGTATTTTTGTGACTCTCGAGAGGATGAACTGCCAGTAGTACCACTGAAGTTCCCAACTACTAGGGCTGTCTTCCATGTTAATTCTTCAGTTGGCCTCATTTATAGGCATCACTGTCTCATCTTGATGTCACTGGAAGCCAAACTCTTTGTGACATTTCATTTATTTTGTAGCACATGTTGGACCATACATTAACTTCATTTTCTGTGTAGTTTTTATTGAGAAGTAGAACCATGCACAGTTGGATGGCACTGTGCCTTCCAAATGGGAAGAAGATCAATAATGCAGACTAAAGGGCATAGAAAAGGTGACTTTTCTAATCTGCAACATGCATTTCATGCCATGGAGAGCCCCAAGCTTCCCCCAAAAGTAGAAGAAGTGCTATGATTTAGAAATGGATGGTGCTTCTCTATTTATAAATTGTTTCACACATGACTTAATCTTTATGACAACAGTGTAACCTAGGTTGTACCTCAAGGCTCACTTTGAAGATGTGGAAAACTGAGAATCAAAAAGCATATATAAATTGCCCAAAGTTACGTAGCTAGTGAACTTAACAGCAGGACATAATGCTAAATTTTCCTCCCATTACAAAAGGTCTCATGACTGCAGGGACTGAAAGTATGTAAATAAATAAAGTCACATACATGATCAGACAAGTTTTCTAGCAACAGTCACCCACTCTTATGACTTTTGCATGATTTGATTCAAATAATCATTATGTCTTGTTCTATTCTTATCAAAAGCGTTATTTTATTATCAGTCTCTAACATGTGATTGATCTGTTAAATGATTGCCTTTGCCTCCTTATAGTAGTTGAGTCAAACAGTTCTGACAGCTGTCATAAATTAATGATGCCGTGGAACCATTGCGTAAGTCAGACATGTCTTAGTGCTAGTTGTTTTAATTTACTTGGGTCAAAATACCCTGAATGTTTGGCATACACAAAATTTTGGGTCGTGACAATCAGGAGTTGTTGTGTCTAATTAAATTTGACTTAGTACCTAATGGTATTTGTTCTGAGTAAATTTTGACCATTCTCCAGTTAAAGAGTTCTACAGATAAAATTATCCCATATTTAAATTATCTTTTTAAAGGACTAAATATATTTACTTTTCTGTTTTATGTTATGGAGCTATACATCTTTTACTACAGTAGGTGATAATCACACTAATGATTGTGTGTCTGTATTTGTAATGCTGGGGAGATCTTTAGTTGTTAGTCCTTTCATAGCAAGCTACCTATATAAATGGTCTTGTCAAACAACTTACTATTTTCTAAAAATCCTGTTAACTTCACCACTGAATATTTGATAAATAATTTTAGATACATTTGCAGCCTCAGGAGATTGCTAGAATTCCAGGTAAGATAAACTGGAGCATGAGACCGAGCTTACAGATCAAGCTGAAACCCCAAACACATAGGAAAATGTTATGCAAATTTATTTGTAGGCAAGAAAACACATCCTTTTGCTATCTTCAACCTGCTCCTATGGCCATAGCGAAGGATGTGTTTATTTGCCCTCTTCTTGACACTTCATTTATCAGAAAATGAGTTGTCAAAGCTAGAGGCATTAATTGGACACATTATACCAGAGGGCCACAACCCTTGGGCTGTGGACTGGAACTACTTGTCTGTGGACTGGTAGGAACCCGGTTCCACAGCGGGAGGTGGTCAGCAGCTGAGCGAGCATTACCACCTGAGCACCAACTCCTGTCCCATCTGTGGAGGTATTCGACTCTCATAGGAGCACGAACCCTACTGTGGACTGTGCATGCGAGGGATCTAGTTTGTGCACTCCTTGTGAGAATCTAATGCCCGATAATCTGAGATGAACAGTTTCATTCTGAAACCATCCTTCTCCCACCCCTCCTGTCCATGGGAAAATTGTATTCCATGAAACAGGACTCTGGTGCCAAAACGATTGGGGACTGCTGCAATTTACTATAAGATAGTAACCCTACAGTATGCCTTAAGATTAAAATGCCTTTAAAGAGCTCAAAGAGTCTGCTTTTTCAACCTTCTGCTTTCTGGGTCCATGTGGAATTTAGGCACAGGTAAGGCCTATCTCTTCAGAGTAGGTTTCTCTCTCTCTCTGTCTCTCTGTCTCTCTCTCTCTCTCTCTCTCACACACACACACTGTCTCACACTCTCTATCTCTCTCTTTCTCTCTCTCTCTCCCTCTCTTTCTCTCTCTTCTCTCTCTCTCTCTCTCTCTCATCCTCTTTTTCTGCACATGAAAATGTATAATTTTTAGATTTGGAAGAGAGAAGGAAACATTGCTTGGGTCTCCGGCCCAAGACTTTGCCTAATCAATGTTTGGTTGAATTATTAAGTTGAAAATTTAATTCTAATTAAAACACACTTTGCTTCTCGTTTGCCTATTAAGTTTTTAGTTTGGAGTTACTTCATATCACAGCTATGGACGCTGGCTTCAAAAATTAATGCTATTAAAATAACCTAATACCAAATCTCTAATTGTTAACATAGTTTGTATACATAGCTCTAAATCTTGTCACTGAACCAGTGTTTAATTGTGACATCTCAAAATAATGGAAACGGAATATGAGTTTGGATTTGTAAGTGTATTAGATTCCTAGGACTGCTGTAACAATTTATGACAAACTTTGTGGCTTACAACAACAGAAATTTATAATTTTATAACTCTGGAGGCAAAAAGTCCAAAATTAAAGTGTTGTCAGAACTTCATTCTTTCTAAAGGCCCTGAGAGACCATCTATTTGAGTCTCTCTCCTAGCTTCTGGTGGCTGCTGGCAATCTTTGGCGTTCCGTGGCTTGTGAATGTATCCCTGCAATCTCTGCCTCTGTCTTATAAGAGACAAGGGAGAGAGAATTGAGATTCAGACACAGAGGATAGACCCAGGTAAAACACAAAGGGACAAGGATATGTGAATACCGCTCGTTTTGAGATTCCCAATTTAATTACATTGGCAAAGATGCTATTTCCAGATAAGGTCACATTCACAGATTCTAGTGGGTTAAGATACACACACACACACACACACACACACACACACACACACAGTGGGTTAAGATATATATATATCATATATGTATATATATATATCATATATGTGTGTGTATATATATATATGTATATATATATCACCCACACAGTGGGTTAAGATATATATATATATCTTATATATAAATATCCATATATATTCTTATCTATATTCCTATTTATATGGATATATGTTTATATATATAAATATCCATATACACTCTTATGTATATTCTTATATATGGATATTTATATATGAGATATATAATATATTTATATATGAGACATATATATGTATATATATCTTAACCAACTACACACACTCCCACACACACACACACCCACACACACATTTGAGGGCCATTATTTAATGCACTCTTGAACTATAGTAGAGAATAGTAAAAGCCAGTTCACCACCACTGTCCTGAGCAGTCTTTGGATGTTAGTATTTCCATATACATTTAACTGAGTAGACTCCGAGGTGTGCATTACCTAAATTCTCCCCTCCTTAATGACTATTTTCAAGAAAAGTATTTATAGACTGTTGGAGCTATGTCTAACTTGAGTTTAAAACTGAAAATTAAAACCTGAAACTAATGCTTGTGGGCAGGTAGTTTAATTGGTAAATTATCCCTGGGAGCAAGCAAGAAGAACAGATGGAAGTAAACGAGAAAGAAGAAATCCGGTAAAAGGATGTGTTATTGAGTTTGCAGTTGGTGTTTGATCTTGCACAGATTTTCTCAGGGGCCTTAAGACCGGTGCCTTGGAACTGCCATCTGGGCATAGACAGAAGGGAGCATTTATACGCCAACAACCATCTCCCATTGGTTAGCAATGGCTCAGTTGAAATTAATTTCTCTGTAATTTCAGTTTGCATAAGTCTGAGTATAAATATGTCCCCATTGGTATCTGAAACCAAAACCAAAGAGAATTCCTCAGACAGGAAGCAAGAAGTAAAAGGTTGCTGTGAAGTTGCCCAAAGCTTATGGAAGGCTATATGACAGCATTTGCTGCAGCTAAAGGAGGGGGTGAAGGTGCTTCAAGTGACACACAAAAAAGCATTGTATAGATTTACTTTTTTCTGTCTAGTTGTTTGCATGACTCAACTCTCACTTGTACTTAAACCAGTCCATTACAGTATCTCCTTCATGAGGGCAGTAAGCTTCAATCTAGGAAAATTAACACAAAAAGGTTAATGGGAAAAGCAAGCTAAGGTCCCTACTCTTGCAGTTTGTCTGAATCAAAATAGTTGATACTCATTGCCTTCTTCCTTCACCTCCCATTCTAGATTACTAGCCCCTTGCTAGCAATTAGTTAGTCTGGCTTACTTGCCTGTTGGAGGTAACCCAGATCATCAAAGGGGTATCGATTAGGCTGTGGTTGTTCTTATTATTTGTTCCTACGATAGTTTTGATTAACCTGTCACTGCTCCCAATTAGGAGCATGAGAACATATTGCTCCCAAGATGTAGCAATAACTCTAGCTCCTTTTAATAACTAGTCTTGATTACATTTGCAGATACGGTAATTCACTTGTTTAGCTCTTTTGCCTGCTGGTTCACTGGTATAAAAAGGCCCAAATCACCAATAAGTAGTTGTAGTTTCAAGTTCAGTTAAACCCTTATAGGGTCTCTTAGAGAAATTGTAATTTGGAAAAGCTTAAAGTTGTGAAGATACATTTCACACATGGATTGCTGGAAATGATAATGTAATGGAACAATTTTACATTCATACCTTGTATATTATCTTGTATTGGCCATTGGTTTTCTTCATGCCCCACATTGTAAAAGACAGTGGCCCAATCCTATAGTGTGTTGTCACTGAGAAGGCACTTTAGTTAGAGTTGTTTGTAAAAGGCAACTCCTCCAATCTGAGAGAGCAGGTACTTCTGAGTGGTGACGTATGTGGTGAGACCTTTGTTGTAAAATGGCCCATGATTCAAGGCAATTCTTTGCAGGATATGTTGCCAACTGATAAAGCACCCAAAAATCTTCAGGTGGTATTGCTGATGTAGGAACTGAAGGAAGAAAAGGAAACTCACATCCGTAGTATGGAAAATCCTAATATCACTGGAACCACTCTCCCTACTAGGTCGAAGGGATCTAATCAATCAGTCTTAAGCAGAGGCTGGTCTCCTCCAAGAGTGTCACTATATGGGTGGTTCAATGTCATTCTTTGCTGCTGGCAGGCTGGAGATTAAGCAATAGCTGTAGCTAAATTAGCTATAGTGAGACAGATTCTATGTTACTGGATCAAGTTTTAGTCCTGTTTGATATTACCATAGCCACTTCATTCACAGGTTCATTTTCATATTGGGTCATTCTACTCAGTTTATTTGGTAGATGAGCTCCAGTGGAAATTTACATGCTATATAAAGCTCTGCGTGCTTTATGCTCATCCCCAGAAGTTCACTCACATGCTTCCTCCCAGGACTGCCTGATCTCTAATTTTCCCTAATCTTTCTTCTTCCAGATCCTTGACCAAATAGTTATGACATTTGACATTTCAAAAGATTTATAAGTATCACAACTGCTATCTACTTTTCCCTGTGATATGGTTTGCCTATGTCCCACCCAAATCTCATCTTGAACTATAGTTCCCACAATCCCCACATGTCATATGAGGGAACCGGTGGGAGGTAATAGAAACATGGGGGCAGTTACCTCCATGCTGTTCTTATGAAAGTGAATGAGTTCTCACAACATCTGTTGGTTTTATAAAGGGCTTCCTCTGCTTCATTCTGTACTTCTCCTTGCTACTGCCATGTGAAGAAGGACGTGTCTACTTCCCCTTTCATCATGATTGTAAGTTTCCTGATGCCTCCCTAGCCATGCTGAATTGTGAATCAATTAATCCTCTTTCCTTTATAAATTACCAAGTCTGGAATATGTCTTTATTAGCAGCAGGAGAACAGACTAATACACCCTGTGTACAAAGTGGGTAACCCAGTTTTCTATCTGCACACTGGAGGATTTTCTTTCACCACTGTCTTTTAGGGTTACTACTGAGTGTGGCTATAAAAGTAGCCCTATATGTGTGGCAGCACTACATTTAGGACTAGACCAAACACAGTTACTGCTATAAACCAAGCCCAGTTATTTCTTCCTCTCTCAATTAGACATAGGGATCTCCAGGAAGCCATAGATGTGAGCTAATAGACAGGCACTGGTACAAACGTGTAGCTACCAGTGTAGTCTCAGCCACTGTTTATATAATTACATTGTACCTTTTGGATTTTCTCAAATGCAGTTATGAATTTATAATTCAGTTATGAATTCAAAATAGATGGCTATTGCACCCTACCTCCCATAAAAGTTTGACTCAGTGGAAATCTCCGATCTCACACTTCCAGGCTTTCAGTCTTCACTAAGGCCTAGTTCTACAATGAAAGCCATTTTCAAACGGTAAATAGTTTACACTGTAGAAGTGTAACTGTGCTTCACAAATCTAAAGATCTCTGCCTTCGCTCTCCTATTGGGACTTGTTATAAGGCGATCCAATACAACATCTTTATCCGTTGGATCTGTTGTGTCATGCGACCTAATCAGCACAGCAACTTGTACCATAGTCTGGACTCAAAACTGGTAACCATCTAAGTCATCATAAAGGAATAAGAATAACATTACAAAATGCATGTGTACCTTCTCCAAAATCCAAGTGATATATCTCTTTATTATTCTTAGAGAGTAAAGAGAAACAACTTATTCATTCTTTAGAATAGAATAGACCTTGGCTTGCCCTGCAATATTGTAATTCTTTAAACCTCACTCTGAAACTTGACAGATTTTATCTCCAGTGTTCTGACATGTATGTCTGTTATTATAGGCATCTAGAATACATATCAATTCCTATGCACTTTGTCCAGGAAGTCAAATGTCATCAATAGAGTCAATCACAATAAAGTTCTACAAGAATCTCAAGTTCCCTTTGGATAATATTTTGACAAACAATCTGAGCTTTAACATACCCTTGAAGCTTCTCATACTCTAAGAAGTATTTTTCTTATAGTTCCCTAACCTCCTGTTACTTAGTCTTACTCAGTAAACATATTTCTCTTCAAACTAAAACGTAAGATATTTTAAAGGGAATTTATTTTGAATGGCTTAATACTATGATTCTCTAGGTATGCTTCTTTGTTATATGCTTTTTCTGATTTTTTAAAACTTATTTAGTTACCATCTCCCCTTTACATGTCTTAAGTCATTTACATTTCAAAGCAACAAAATGTTAAACATAAAAGTCTATTAGATGAGGAACTGGGGGAGGTGAAAATAAAGAAAGTAACCAAGAAACTTACATATATGTGGCACTCCTGCCATCTTGTGGGTTTTCTGTGTTTTCCACTGACTTAATTTATTATTTTTGTTTCAGGGAGTTTTTTGAAAGAGCATAGAGGTACATATTGAGAACTAAGCTGTCAATTACCCAAACCTATCATACTCACCAAAAGTTAAAAAAAATTAATTAGGGAGACAAGTTAAGTACAAAATGCAGCTTAATCTCAAATAGTTTTGAAAAATATCAATATTTGTGCTTATGTCTATATCTACCTATACCTCTATCTATAGCTATACCTATACATACACTGACATTTATTCCTATGGAATATGAGACAGATAGTGAGTGAGAAAGCCTAATCATAAACACATGTGGTCAAATTATAATATATGAATCTACGTAATATTCTTGCAACTTTTCCTTAATGTTGAAATTATCTCCAAATAAACAGTTACACACACACACACAGAGAGAGAGAGAGAGGAAGAGAGAACACATTATCTCTCTCTCATCTTTTGCAACTCTGTCCCAGAAATTTCTCCCTCTCCATTTTGCATCATTAGTCTTTCTCTTTCCACCGAATCAGTTTGAAAAGCCTCTCAGTACCCCATGTCTCCCACCAGCTATCGCAAACGTTTTTACCTTTTGGAAGCAAAATTCCTTTAAAGAAGAGCCTATTCTTATTGTCTTCATTTACTCCCTCCTTTGCCAAATTCTGTCTTAAACCTATGACACATATGTGTAATCATGGATAACTAAAACTGAACTCTTGAACTTCCCTTCCAAATGTACTCTATCAGCAGTCATCCCATCGAATTAATGGGAATGTCTTTATTCTCTTCTCACTTGGGTTACTTCAATAGCTGTCTAACTGGTCCCCTAATCTCTATTATTGCTTTTCTATAATTTATTCTCTATACAGTATCCAGTTATCATTTTAAATATAAAATCAAACCAAGTCACTACTTTTGTTTGATATCTTCAATGGCTTCACTTTGGTAGCCTGAAGTCTTTATGAAAGCTCCCCTTATGATCTGATCATCTTTCTGGAACTCTTCTCTCAGGCACATACTCCCTGCTTACTTAGTTGATAACTTAAATCCCTGTTCCACTAGATTCCTCTGCTCTAGCCTCCTCACTGTTTTTGAAATATATCAAACATATTCCTGCCTTAGTGCCTTTGAACTTCCTTTACACTTCCTGAAATTATTTTTCTAATATTTGCATGAATGCACTTTATTAAATACCATTTTTGTAGTGATCAAGCTTACTTTTTTTTTTTTTTTTAGATGGCGTCTTGCTCTGTCACCCAGGCTGGAGTGCAGTGGCGTGATCTCGGCTCCTGGGTTCAAGCCATTCTCCTGCCTCAGCCTCCCAGGTAACCGGGACTACAGGCATGCGTCACCATGCCCGGCTAATTTTTTTGTATTTTTAGTAGAGATTGGGTTTCACCATGGCTGGTCTCGAACTCCTGACCTCAAGTGATCTGCCTGCCTCAGCCTCCGAAAGTGCTGGGATTACAGACATGAACCACCACACCCGGCCAAGCTTACATTTATAACCACTACATCATACACCCTGGAAGCCCCTATCTTGCTTACCCCATTTTGTTTTTCTTCATAGTACTCCACAACAGGCTTATGTATTTACTTACATAGAAATACTTGCATATTAGATATTTGTATATATCTATTTACACCTCTTGGGTGTAAGCTCCCTGTGAGCAACAACTTTGTCTTTTTTATTAGCCTAGGAAACTGTCTGGTTCATTGTAAGTGATCAATAAATACACATTAAAATGAATTACTGGATCCTTTTTGAAAACAGTTGTCTAAGTTGCCTTTTCTGATGAATGAAGCCAAAATAAGTAACTGTAGGTTTATCAGGAAGTTATTTAAAAGGAGACCCATATGCTACCAAAAATAAATGTATTTGGTCAAAGATAATTATTTTCTTATAAAAATTAAGCAATACAACCTATGTCATTGAAATAAAAATTAAGCAATATTTAAAATTAAATTTTACTAAATATCATGACTCTAAGTGTCTTATTTTTTCTTTATATCTCCCATTGTTCTTAATACACTTATTTGTACAATGCTCATTAATTCCTTCATAAAATATTTATTTAGAGTTGACCAATATCTTAATGTTTCTCTAAGCTTGACTAAAATTTTTTGCTTGTTTACTTATTTTTATTGATACATCATAATTTTACATATTTATTAGGTACATGTAATACTTTGATACATGCATACAATGTATCAAATCCAATGGGTAAGTGGAAAATCCATTGTCTCAAATATTTATTATTTCTTTTTGATAGATACATTTCAAATCTCTTCTAGCTATTTTTAAATATAAAATAAATTCTTTTTAACTATAGTCACCTTGCTGTGGTATCAAACACTAGAGCTTATTCCTTCCATCTAATTGTATTTTTGTACTTATTGACCAACCTCTCATGATCCCCCTCATCCCTTTCTCAGTCTCTGCTAGCTATCATTCTACTCACTACTTCCATGAGATCATTTTTTTAACTCCACATATGAATGAGAACATGCAATATTTGTCTTTCTGTGCCTGGCTTATTTCACTAAAAATAACGTTCTCCAGTTTCATACATGTTGCTGGAAATGATAGAATTTAATTATTTTTAGGGCTGAATAACATTCCATTGTGTATATGCACCATATTTCCTTTATCCATTCATCCATTGAGGGATACTTGGGTTAATTTCATACCTTGGCTATTGTGAACAGTGCTGCAATAAACATGAGAGTGCAGCTATCTCTTCAATATATTGATTTTCTTCTTTTGGGTATATACCCAGTAGTAAGATGGCTCTTTTAGATACAAAAAAAAAAAGCAGTACTAATAGGGGAGTTTATAGCAATAAAAACTTACATAAAAAATGTAGACAGATCTCAAAGAAACAACCTAATGATGCATCTCAAAAAATTAGAAAAGCAAGAGGAAATCAAACTAAAATTAGTAGAAAGAAATGTTATAAATATCAGAGCAGAAATAAATGAAATTGAAACTACAAAAACAATACAAAAGAAAAAATGAAAAGTTATTTATAAAAGATAAACAAAACTTACAAATCTTTAGCTAGACTAAGAATAAAAGAGAGTAGTCCCAAATAAATAAAATCAGAGATGAAAAACAAGACATTACAACTGATACCACAGAAATACATAGGATCATTAGAGACTGGTATGAACAAATACATGTCAATAAATTGAAAAATCTAGAAATCAATAAATTACTGGATACATAAAACCTATCAAATCTCAGCCATGAAGAAATAGAAAACCTTGAACATATCAATAACGAGTAATAAGATTGAAGCAGTACTGAAAAATTCTCCTATCAAAGAAAGGTCCAGGACCTGATTTCTTCATTGCTGAGTTCTACAAAACACTTAAGGAAGAAATGATATCAGCTATTCTTAAACTATTTCCAAAATCTGAAAAGAACAGAATACTTTCAAATTCATTCTATGAGGCCAGCATACCCAATCCAGACAAAGGCATAGCTAAAAAAGAAAACCACAGGCCAATATATTTGATGAACATAGATGCAAAAGTGCTCGATAAAATGTTAGCAAACTGTTCAACAACATGTCAAAAAGATCGTTCTTCGTGATCAAAAGAGATTCATTTCAGGAATGCAAGGATGGTTCAACTTATGCAAATCAAGAAATGCGATACATCACCTCAGCAAAATCAGGGACAGAAACCATATGATCATTTCAATAGATGCTGAAAAAATATTTGATAAAATTTAACATCTTTCATGATAAAAACTTTCAAAACATACCTTAAAACAATGAAGGCCAATTATGACCAGACTTTAGACAAGTTTTTCCTGCCTCTAGGTCCCTGAACTCCCTTTTTTGAGCAGTTTACCTTAGAAAACCTCTAATTGTAAACTCTTTCTCTGTTCCTTTGAGATGTAAATCCTTTAAAAAGCCTCTTGCCTGTTTTATAACCCAGGACTGTCATTCCCAAGATCCTGGGAGCCATGTCTGAAACTTAATCATCAAGGAAGATAGACTCCTCTCTCAGTTTCTGCGTGAAGGTAGAAGCCTAACTACTGTGGGTACTTTACTCCAAGTTGTAAAATTGCATCCTTTCATGAAGATAGGAGAAAGTTTATTTTCATTTGGATAAAGACAATTAGCAAACACTGAAAGACTAAGACCCCCCCATCTTCACTTTTAGGACTTCTGTGGCCCTCTATTTCAACAGAGCTGAGTACTAAGACTTGGATTGTGCTCTCTCTTTCTGCTATTGCTCATAATAGTATTAGTATAAAATCAGTTTCTGTTTGCTGGTCTCATCTGATAAAATATTTTTCTTTAACAGAGTACACATTGCAGCCAAAATATAATTAATATAAATAATCTTTGCATATGTGGGAGAAATATGCCAGAAGAAGAAATAATTTAAATCAATCTTGACTTTTTCCCAGAAAAAAATTATACATGTATATGTATATATGTGTATATATGTGTGTGTGCATGCATGTGTGCACACATACATTATATATATTAACATATATACACACACACGTGTGTATGTGTGTGTATATAAAGAATTTCTTGATGTTATTCTTTTAAAGGAAAATATACCACAAAGCATAATATAAATCCTGATTTACTAAATTTTATAATTAAATATAGTTATTATTTTTTATATTGAGAAACTCCATTAATTTAATTATAACATAACAAACCAGTAAAATAATACAAGTATTTGCCAATAGTATTATCTGCACTTATTTGATACTTGGGTTTGCTTTAAAGCATTTGACTAAAAATAACTATTAAAATTAGAAATAAGGTTAATTTAAAAATTGATATGAATATGCCATTTTCTACTTTACCACGTATCTATTTTGCCTATCATGTCATAAAATTTATATGTAAAAATTTCCACTGGCACCATACATTATTTAGGTCATTGATAAGAAAAAAAGACAATGCCAAGCACTATGTTCCATGCAGACTATTTGCCGCACACTGAATTATGTACTCCATCCCTCAAAGAGATGTTGGAGTCCTAATCCCGAGAACCTCAGATTGTATTTGAAGATACCATTTTTACAGATGTAATCAAATTTAAATGAAATCATTAGGGTGTGTCGTAATACAATGTAATTGGAATGACTGGTATAAAAAGGGGAAATTTGGGCACTGAGATAGACACACCCAGAGGCAGGATAATATGAAAAGACACAGAGAGAAGATGGCCATGAACAAGTCAAGGATAGAGGACTGGAACGGGTCTTGTCCTCACATTCTCAGGAGAAACCAATCCTGATGAAACCTTGATTTTGAACTTCAAGACTCCAAAACTGTGAGACAATAAGTTTCTGTTAAGTGGCTTGATTTGTGGTGCTTTGTTAAGGCAGCCCAAGTAAACCAATACATGATTCTTGTCAAATAAAACAAGTTTAAATATGATTATATCATATTAAAAATTAAGTTGGCAATCAAAAGGACTAATTATAAGGAAAAAATAATTTATTGGGAAATTACTCTCCTTTTAGTTATTTCCTGTTAGTTAAAGGAAAGTTAATAAAATAATGAATTTTTATTTTTTGAAATTGATATAAATGGTGGTTATTGATATAAATGGTGCTTATTCATAGACATGAAAAGCATCCATCCCCACATACCATAATTTACATATTAAAATCTAGAAAGCACTAGATTATATGTTGCCATGTTGAAGGAGCTTCTTTCAATTTTCTTCATTTTTAAACATATTTCCCCATTTATTGAATTTAGCATTATAGAAAATAATTTTCAAACTTGTTAGCATCAAATCCTTGGTGATTATTTTGTGAAAATCATAAAGTACATGGAGTCTGTATGAAATCTCATTGAGAGATTAAAAAAATATTGAAATGCTTAGGCGCTGTTTTACCACCTTTTCTTTCTCTTCTTACTTTTATTACTCATCTTCAATATAAAACCCCTTGGGCTTTTAAAAACTCTTTGATGTATATATTCATCCTTGAACCCACCCCAGCAGCCAATAATCTCCACTTCTCTTTATATTGCATTCACTTTCATTCGACTATTTGACTTTCATGCTCAAATTCTCTGAAGGAAATGTTTTCTTCATATTTCATTAGGTGATATTGCATGAGTGAATTCACATCCAACATTCCTTTTTAATTCTGAGTTTATAACATCGTAAGTGCCTAGATAATTTCCCTTCTATTATTATCTCTTAATCTCTTAAGGTATTAATTATTTTCAAATGTCCTCTCTTCCCAGCTTTCTTAATTAGAATTTTACTGTGATTTATTTTTTAGCTTGATATTAACCTTAAATTAATTTTTTGCTATTTTTCCAAAGGAGTAAGAAGGGACATAAATATAACTTCTGAAGTCATTAATCTTTGTTTATTACTGATATAAACAAAGAAGATATCCACAAGAAAAATCTTATCTACTTATTTTTATGGTATCATGTTCAGGCCAGAGGTGAGAGCTTTTGCTTAGATAACTTGTAACTTTTCACCTTGGAGGTTTGACTCCAAGTTTTTCTCTATTGCTGACACCTGCAGATATGAAGTATAAGCAGGACTATAAAATGGACACACACATACAAATAAATAAAAAAGATTACTTGGTATTCTGTCTGTTTCACAAATCCAGCTTATGTGTGCCTTTCACTTTTTAGTCATTTTAAAGCTCTGTAAATTGTAGAAAATTGACAATTCAACTGATATTTATCTACAGAAACACTAAATAGTTGTGTACAATTGATTATTGCCTGTGGATAGACCAGTTTGTGCATCCATTAATAAATTAATTTTACCATTCTGGAATGCATACAAATGTGAATATTCTAATTTTGCTTTGAACTAGTTGTAACATCTTACTGGTTTCTTTGTTAATTCATGAATAAAATACAATCACTGATGTGTTCTTTTAATATTTATGTGTGTCATGATTATGCCCTCTTTAAGAAAATTATCCTTTAAAGAAAGGCAAGGCTTCGCCTTATATTAAGACAAGTCACTTTGACCTATGGAAACATGTTAGCCATGGATGATTCATAATTTTTCCTGCAATTCAATTTCCTGTAATTCCCTTCTCCTAGTGGCCTCTACCCCTGTGCCAGAAGGTAGACAGATTTCAACTGTCCAACCGTTATGAAAAGCTTCAATCACTTTTGACATTAGAGAGAGAGAGGGAGAAAGAGAAAGTGTGTGCATGTATGTGTGTGTGTTGGCATGTATCTGTGTATGTGCTTTTACTTGTTACTGAAAAGTATTAGGAGAGATGAAAGAGTATTTTACAAAAGCTACTCCAATTATACAATCTCGTAAAACTCCAGTCGATTTTACTGGTTTCTTCTAAAACGTTTATTGAAATCCTACCAAAGGAGTCATCTTTCCTTTCTGACCTCTACCGCAAAGCAATCAGTCTTGCCCAAGATTTTCTCCATTTTCCCTTCTATCTAATCCTTCAATCTTTATTATGTAACTTTCTCCTCTAGTCAAAAACTTAAAGCCAGCCCAATTTCCAAACTCTGGAGGCTTCATGCATCCCATGGAGAGTTTGTGCAAGCATCTTCCAACAAAGATGTAGTGTTCTTCACAGAGGTAAAATTCACTAGAATGTAGTTTCCAGCAGTTAGCTTTTTACAGACTCATCCTTAGTTTTGTGTGTCATTTACTCCATTTTTCTTAGTAACAAGATTTATTGCAGAAGCAACACCAATTCATGCCACTGAGCCAGGTTTGAGATAATGAGTACTTCCCCATGCAACAAAATGGTTATCAAACTGATATTTAGCATTTCTTTTTTAATAAGGATATTTACATTGATTCTTTTTAATGACTTAAAAAATACTTCTATTTAGTGGATGAGGAATGTCATCAAAATATCATTCTATCATCTTTCCTTTACTCTCCTGCCTCCCTCTTTCCATTAAGTCTCTAAGAGGTGTCGATTCTGGCTCTCACATATCTCACAGAAACTACTCCGTCTTTCCGTCTTCATCTGCCACTTCATGAAACCAGGCCATCTAGATTTTGCTACCTGTCCTCCTGTATATATCTTTCCGTAGCTCTTCAGGTGCTATTGTCAGTAATTTTCTGGGTTCTACTTTTCTAAAATACATAGTTCAGACTTTTTCATGTGATATATAAAGCCCCTCATGTCATCTTATTTCCATTCCTCTGTTTGTCTACCCAAATTGACTTGCTTTCTATTTCTTCAGTGTATCACAGTTAAAGTTAAAATGGAGATGGGAGGCTGGGCGTGGCGGCTCTCGCCTGTAATCCCAGCACTTTGGGAGGCCGAGATGGGTGGATCATCTGAGGTCGGGAGTTCGAGACCAGCCTGACCAAAATGGAGAAACCCCGTCTCTACTGAAAATACAAAATTTGCCAGGTGTGGTGGCTGCATGCCTCTAATCCCAGCTACTTAGGAAGGCTGAGGCAGGAAGAGCGAAACTCTGTCTTAAAAAAAAAAAAAAAAAGAAGAGATGGGATTAGTACTTTCTTCTGAATAGTACCTTAGAAGAAGGTACTAATCCCATCTCCATTTTAACTTTGACCCAGAGAGGTTAAGTACCTGTCCCCAGATCACACAGGTAGAAAGAGCACCCAGTCCTAATACTTCTAACTCATCACAACTTTCTTCACTTTTCAAATCACTTTTACAAAGACAGACAGTGACCAGAGGAAAAAAATGGCAAATAAGCAGCAGAATGAACTTGCAGTTCCCACTCAGACAAAAAGAACAGCATGTGGAGTTTCGCATTGTGAACTTTTGCTCCAAGAACTACTGCAGGAACATAACAGAAAAGCTGAGAAAATTCACAGTGCTTTTGAAAAAAGTGGCTTGCCACTGCAGTCTCCATGAGACAGCCAAAAAACTGAGTGCCCAAAGTATGAGAGGAAGAATGTCCACCCCCAAACACACATCCTCACTAGGGAAGCTGAAGGTCCAGATCACGGGAGAAAGATTTGGCCTTACCTGGAGACAAGATGAAGTTAGAGTTGAGCAAAATACAGGGGTAGAGGAAGCAGCAGGAAGAGCCCTGTGGGCACTCTTGGCCCCCAGGGAATGCATTTCTGACTTTGCCTCCCAGGGGTCCTTGGTCGGGGCTGCCAGTTGAATTAGGGAAAGACCACAGGGAGAAAGAAACTTTCAGCTGAATTTTGTAACAATTTTGACCAAACACGAATTTTCCTGGACAGAATCTGGGATGGGGGTGAATGGAGGGTGCAGATACAAGCACAGAAACCATGGCAGGTGGGGAGGCGTGAAGCCTGAAATCCCTGCTTGCTTTCTCAGCAGGGAGTCTTGTAGCCTTGGGCAAGATCTCAGCCTTGCTCACTGGCTGTCTGGAAATAAACTCAGTGCTGTTAGGGGGACATGGTGGAGGTGAGACTAGCCCTTTGGGCTGCCTGAGTGCTGGGTGAGGCCTGTCACTGCTGACTTTCCCCCACTTCCCTGGCAACCTGTATGACACAGCAGAAGCAGCCATAATTCCCCTGGGAACATATTCCATCAGCCCGAGAACCACACCCTGATGCTCCTCAGCCGCCACAGCATGCCCTGCCCAAGGAGAGTCTGAACTCAGACATGCCTAACCCTGCCCCTACCTGATGGTCTTTCTCTACCTGCCCTGATAGCTGAAGACAAAGGACATACTCTCTTGGAAGCTCTGTGGCCTCATCCACCACCTGAGAAACCTGAATACTTATCCAGGTGGCCCTAAGACAAGCTTGCATCCTCCTTATACTAGGGCAGCTGATGCTCCCTTGAAAGGGCCACCTCCTGGCTTGAAGCCAACCAACACAAAACCAGTGCACTAACCAAAACTACAACCAAGACCCTCACAGAGTCCACTTCACTCCCCTGCTACTTCCACCAGAGCAGGTGCTGCTATCCATGGCTGAGAGATCTAAACATGGATCACACCACAGGACTCTTGCAGACACTCCCAAGTACCAGAGCCTAGTAGCTCCACCAGGTGGCTAGACCCAGAAGAGCAAAAACAATCACTACAGTTCAGCTCTCAGGAAGCCCTCCCTAGTGGAAGGGTGACAGCACCACGTCAAAGGAAGACATCTTGGGACAAAAGAATCTGAACAACAGCCATTGAGCCCCAGATCTACTCTCTGACATAGTCTACCAAAAATAGAAGGAACCAGAATAACAATTCTGGTAATATGACAAAACAAGGTTCTTTAACAGCCCCAAAAGATCACACTAGCTCACCGTCAATGAATCCAAACCAAGAAGAAATTTCTAAGCTGCCAGGAAAAGAATTCAGAAGGTTGATTATTAAGCTACTCAAGGAGACATCAGAGAAAGGTGAATACCAACTTAAAGAAATCAAAAAAAATGATACAGAAAATGATATGGATAGAAAATCTCCAGATAAATAGACAGCACAAATTTTTAAAAAATCACAATTTCTAGAAATAAAGGATCCACTTAGAGAACTACAAAATACACTGGAAGTCTCAGCAATAAAATTAAACAAGTGGAAGAAAGAACTTAGAGCTCGAAGACAAGCATTTTGAATTAATCCAATCCAACAAAGACAAAGAAAAAGGAATAAAAAATGAACAAAGCCTCCAAGAAATTCGGGATTATGTTAAATAACCAAACCTAGGAATAATTTCTGTGCCTGAGGAAGAAGAGAAAACTAGAAGTTTGGAAAACATATTTGAAAGAATAATGGAGGAAAATGTCCCTGGCCTCAATAGAGATCTAGACATCCAAATACAGCAAGCTCAAAGAACACCTGGGAAATTCATCACAAAAGCATCTTTGCCTAGGCACATCAGGTGATCTAAAGTCAAGATGAAAGAGAATCTTAAGAGCTGTGAGGCAAAAGCAACAGGTAATCTATAAAGGAAAACCTATCAGAATAACAGCAAATTTCTCAGCAGAAACCCTATAAGCTAGAAGGAATTGGGGTTCTATCTTTAGTCTCCTTAAACAAAACAATTATCAGCCAAGAATTTTGTATCCAGTGAAACTAAGCTTCCTAAATAAAGGAAAGATACAGTATTTTTCAGACAAATAAACGCTGAGAGAATTCACCACTACCAAGCCAACACTACAAGAACTGTTAAAAGGAGCTCTAAATCTTTCAACAAATCTTTGAAATACATCAAAATTGAACCTCCTTAAAGCCTACATCTCACAAGACCTATAAAATAATAACTCAAGGGGAAAAAAAAGAATGTATTCAGGAAACAACTAGAAGAATTAATAGAATAATAACTCACTTCTCAATACTAACCTTGAATGTAAACAGCCTAAATGTTCCATTTAAAAGATACAGACTGGCAGGATGAATAAGAATTTACCAAGCAAGTTTCTGCTGTCTTTAAGAGACTCACCTAACACATAAGGACTCACATAAGGTAAAGGACTGAAAAAGATATTCCATGCAAATGCATACCAAAAGCAAGAAGGAGTAGCTCTTCTTATGTCAGACAAATAGACTTTAAAGCAACAGCAGTTTAAGAAAGACAAAGAGGGACACTATATAATGATAAAAGGACTAGACTGACAGGAAAATATCATAATCTTAAATATGTATGTACCTAACACTGGAGCTCCCAAATTTATAAAACAATTACTACTAGATAGTGGGGGACTTCACTACTCCACGGACTGCACTAGACAGGTCATGAAGACAGAAGGTCAACAAAGAAACAATGAACTTAAACTATATCCTAGAACAAATGGACTTAACAGATATTACAGAATATTCTACCCCCATACTGAAGAATACACATTCTACTCATTAGCACATTGAACATTCTCCAATATAGACCATATGATAGGCCACAAGGTAAGTTTCAATAAATTTAAGATAATTGAAATTATATCAAGTACTCTCTCAGACCATAGTAAAATAAAATTGGAAGTCAACTCCAGAAGGAACCTTAAGACCATGCAAATACATGAAAATCAAATAACCTGCTTCTAAATGATCATTGGGTCAACAATAAAATCAAGATGAAAATTAAAAAATTTTTTTGAACTGAACAATAATAGTGACACAACCTGTCAAAATCTCTGGGATACAGCAAAGGCAGTGCTAAGAGAAAATTTTATAGCCCAAAATGCCTCCATAAAAAAGTCTGAAAGAGAAGAGGTAGTCAATCTAAGGTCACACCTCAAGAACCTACAGAAACAAGAACAAACCAAACCCAAGCCAAGCAGAAGAAAAGAAGTAACAAAGATCAGAGAACTAAATGAAGTTAAAACAAACAAACAAAAACATGCAAAAGATAAATGAAACATAAAGCTGCTTATTTGAAAAGATAAATAAAATTGATAGAACATTAGTGAGATTAACCAATATAAGAAGAGAGAAGATCCAGATAAGCTCAATTAGAAATGAAATGGTACATATAATCAATAACACAGAAATACAAAAGATTATTCAAGCCTACTATGAACATCTTTATTAGCATAAACAAAAAACCTAGAGAAGTTGAATAAATTCCTGAAAATGTACACCCCTTCTAGATTAAACCAGGAAGAAATAGAAACTGAACAGACCAATAACAAGCAGGAAGACTGAAATGGTAATATAAAAAACTTGTCAATCAAAGTTCAGGACCGGAAGGATTCAAAGCTGAATTCTATTAGACACTCAAAGAAGAATTGGTACCAATTCTGTTGACATTATTCCAACAGACAGAGAAAGAGGGATTCCTACCTAAATCATTCGATGAAGCCAGTATCACCCTAATACCAAAACCAGGAAAGGACATAACAACAAAAGTAAACTACAGACCAATATCCCTTATGAACTTATAATAGATACAAAAATTCTCAACAAAATACTAGCCAATCAAAACCAACAGCATATCAAAAAGATAATCCACCATGATCAAGTGGGTTTCATACCAGGGATGAGGGGCTGGTTCAACTTACATAAGTCAAAAAATGTGATACAACACATAAACAGAATTAAGAACAAAGATCACACGATCATCTCAATAGACGCAGAAAAAAATTGACAAAATCAAGCATCCTTTTATGATTACAATCCTCAGGAAAATTGGCATAGAGGGTACATACCTTAAGGTAATAAAAACCATTTATGACAAACCCACAGCCAACACTGTACTGAATGGGGAAAGGTTCAAAGCATTCCCCCTGAGAACTGGAACAAGACAAGGATGCCCTCTTTCACCACATGAATTCACCATAGTACTGGAAGTCCTAGCCAGAGCAATCAGACAAAAAGAAAGAAATAAAGGGTATCCAAATTGGTAAAAAAGAAGTCAAACTGTTGCTGTTGACATATGATATAATTGTATAGCTAGAAAACCCTAAAGACTCATTCAAACTCCTAGAACTGATAAATGAATTTAGTAAAGTTTCAGGATAAAAAAAAATGTACACAAATCAGCAGCAATGCTGTACACCAGCAGCTAGCAAGCTGAGAATCAAATCAAGAACTCAACCCCTTTCACAATTAGCTGCAAAACAAACAAACAAACAAACATCACCACCACCACAAACAGCAACAAAAACTTAGGAATATACCTAACCAAGGATGTGAAAGACTTCTAAAAGGAAAACTACAAAACACTGCTGGAAGAAATCATAGATGACACAAAAAAATGTAAACACATCCCATGCTCATGTATGGGTAAAATAAATATTGTCAAAATGACCATACTACCAAAAGCAATCTATAAATTCAATGCAATTCCCATCAAAATACCACCATCATTCTTCACAGGACTAGAAAGAAAAATCCTGAAATTCATACAGAACCAATGAGGAGCCTGCATGGCCAAAGCAAGACTAGGCAAGAAAAGAAAATCTGGAGGCATTACATTATCCAACTTCAAACTATAGTATCAGACCATAGTCACCAAAACAGCATGGTACCAGTATAAAAACAGTCATACAGACCAATGGAACAGAATAGAGATCCCAGAAATAAATCCAAGTACTTGCAGTAAACTAATCTTTGACAAAAGAAACAAAAACATGAAGTGGAGAAAGGACACCCTATTCAACAAATGGTGCTGGGATATTTAGCAAGCAACATATAGAAGAATGAAACTGGATCCTTGTCTATCACCTTACACAAATATCAACTAGAGATGAACCAAATACTTAAATCTAAGACCTGAAACCATAAAAATTCTAGAAGATAACATTTGAAAAAACCTTGTAGACATTGACTTAGGCAAAGACTTCATGCCCAAGACCCCAAAAGTAAACACAGCAAAACGAAAGAGAAACAGATGGAACTTAATTAAACTAAAAAGCTCTGCACAGCAAAAGAAATAATCAGCACAGTAAACACACAACTCACAGTGTGAGAAAATCTTCTGAAATTATGCATTGACAAAGGATTAATATTGATAATTTACAAGGAACTCAAATCAGCAAGAAAACAAACAAACAAACAAACAATCCCATCAAAAAGTGGGCTAAGAACATGAATAGACAATTCTCAAAAAAGATATACAAATGGCCAACAAATACATGAAAAAACACTCAACATCACTAATTATAAGGGAAATGCAAATCAAAGCCATAATGTGATACTACCTTACTCCTGCAAGAATGATCACAATCAAAAAATCAAAAAATAATAGGTGTTGGCATGGATGTGATTAAAACGGAACACTGTTACACCACTGGTTGGAAAGTAAACTAGTACAACCACTATGGAAAACAGTGTTCAGATTTCTTAACAGACTAAAAGTAGATCTACCATTTGATGCAGCAATCCCACTACTGGGTATATATCCAGAGGAAAAGAAGCCATTATGTGAAAAAGTTACCTGCACACACATGTTTACAGCAGCACAATTCACAATTGCAAAATTTTGGAACAAGCCCAAAGGCCTATCAATTAATGTGTGAATAAAGAAAATGTAGTATATATTTACCATGGAATACTACTCAGCCATAAGAAAAAATGAAATAGTGGCAGATACAACAACCTGGATAGAATTGGAGAAGTAACTCAGGACTGGAAAACCAAAAATCATATGTTCTCACTCATAAGTGGGAACTAAGCTATGAGGATGCAAAGTATAAGAAGGATACAATACACTTTGGGGACACAGGAGAAAGGGTGGGAGTTGGGAGATGGATAAAAGTCTACACATTGTGTACAGTGTACACTGCTTGGGTGACGTGTGCACCAAAATATCAGAAATCTCCACTAAAGAATTTATCCATGTAACCAAACACCACCTGTTCCCCAGAAACCTATTGAAATAAAGAATAAAATCAAAAATACATAAGGAAATAAATAAACGTCTTCATTGTACAAGGCCCTCCTCTTGACACCAGACTTTCAAACATGCTATGTTTTCTACGTGGAAGACGATGCTTTCCTTCTTGATTGACTTACCTTAGACTGCCGTCAGTTATCAGCTGAAAGGTTACTACATCAAGGAAACAACCATTCATTCTTTTCAGGGACTCTTGCTTTATACTCTCTCCACTAGAACTTTTCACTATAACTTGTCTGTTTAATTTTCTGTCTTACTTACTTCACTGAGTCTTCTGGGAAAGAAGGAACCTGGTCTAACTTCCTTACGATTGTTTCCCGGCACCTAGCACAGTATGTGACACACAGTGACGTTAATAAAGATTTTCTGAATCCATCAATGTACATAATCATAGGTAATAAACAAAATATCACAAAGCTGAAAATACTGTGTATAAATAAACATAAGAAAGATCTGCTGACTTACAAGTACCTAAACATGTACTTTAATACAAATAACCTCTTCTTATATTACCTAGACAATTTACATAATTTTAATACAATATTGGAACTGAGTGAGAACGTAGCTACTTTTTCATACAAGGGAGGTAAATTAGTAAAATTATTTTCTAAATATATTTATATGTAGTTACAACATTTGTCACCTTTTTCCTAGTAAATCTGCTTTAGAGAGTATATTCCAAAAAAAAATCAAAAAATTATTTTGTTTATGTAGTCAGTTACTGTAGTGTTATCTATAACAATGAAGAATTGAAACAGCTCAAAGGTTTAAAAATAAAAGAATATTGAAAAAGGTCACATATTCGATTCTGTGTAATAAACTATTATGCATGCATAATAATGCAAATTAGCAGGATTATGTACTACCACAGAAAACCGTGCACAGAAAAATATGTGGACAACATATAGAATAACTTGATTATAACTATATAAAATTTTTACATGTATATTTAAAGCAGTTTAAAAGTATGAACAAAAGGAAAGATTAATTCTTAGGTATGGATGCTCAAATCATTTATTGCTTTTGTCTCCCAGATGTGCCGATTTATTAACACTAAAACCTCGCTTGATGTGAATTTATTCTAAACTTTTAAAAGTGATTATTACTTATATTTATGATATTAATCAATGATTCTCATCTCCATGGGAATACCTGTAGTTAATGTCTTTAAAGCATATTTACTTAAGTGATCTGGAGCACCAAGTTGACATTTCTCTTCTACCATATTGTGGCATTTGATTTCTTTTAAAATTGATTAGGTTGTACATACGTGATTTAGGCCATTTTAAATGTATTACGTCTAATATGCCCGTTGGTTTTTAAAGCATTTCTTGGTCAATTCACCATGGGGTCATGTTAGATCAACCAGGTCAGGGCATAAAGTTCACTATCAATTAGTCTTCATATACTGGAAAATTAATCTTAGTGTTTCCTTCAGCCACATCCAACTTCCACTTTTTTTTCTTTTTTTTCTTTTTTTCAAATCTCATTGCTTTACCAGTTTTTCTGTAGAAGCTCTACCAACTGATGTATCACTTTGATCCTCCAGGATGCACATAGAGAAATGAAACCTGAAAGAGACAGGGAGCCAAATTGGCCACCTAATGGCACCAGACCACAATGCAGAACAGAAACTTATGAAAAGAAATGGGAATAAGCTATTACTGTGCAGAAAGAGGATCAGACTGTAAGAAATATCTGGCAGGGTATCAGCCAAGCCAGTTGGAAAATCCAGAGCAAAATTACCATTGAGAAGAGTACTGTATTGGAAAAAAAAAAAAGTCCAAATCACAGTACTCCATCACAGCTGAGATGCTCGGGCTGCCCAGATGAAGTATAATCTTGGCTTGAAAACCAAGAGGAATCCCAAGGCAACATGCATTTAGAGGGTGCCAGCTAAGTGTATTCTTTGTACATGAGAGACAATTTCTTTCTTGAAGCTAGATACCAATGGAGCACCCCTGGCTGCCATACAGTCAGCCCTAGACTTCTGTCCTGTGTGATTTGACACATTGTTTAGATTTGTTCTTCTCCACTGGTCCTTTGCTTACCATGGTTTTTGGCTCATTCCATAGTTCTCTCTCTCTGGTCTGTAAATTAAATATGCTCACACTGGTCTCAGAAATTGGTAGCTGCTCTCAATTTACTAGTTTCAACTCAGCCAAATAAATACATGTTTATTTTGACAAATGAAGAAAGAAACATTGGGACAATAACATTAACACTCTGGCATAAAATTAAATTAAATTAGCCACTGATCACCTTCCACGAGAAGCTGAAACTAATATAATAAAAAAATCCTGGTATCCCTATATGATCTGACATATTTCAAACTATTCACTACCCATCACTATATGTTCTTTATTCCAGAGTCCCTATATACGGAAAAATTACACTTTCTATCTATAACACCAGGGTTGGACATGTGTCTTACTTTATTTAACAAAAAAGTGAGAGAAAATGTTATAACAAAATTCTGAAGTTATGTTCTGAAAGCTATCACACAGTTTTATTATTAGTCTTAATTTATACATTTTCCTTTTCCACAAGACTAACCAATAGTAGGAGCTCAGATAGGAGTTGTCTGTCTGATAAGGACAGAAAAATAAAATAATCTGAAACCATCCAACAAACAAAAAACAAAAGCAAACAACAACAAAAAAACCCTACACAGTTGCCTCACAATAGATAGGGTGTGAGGTACAAATAAACCTTTGTTCTTTAAGCCACTTAATTTTTTTACAGTTTTCTGCTACTAAAAAATAACCTAGCCTAAGACAGTCGATGCTTTCGCTGGTCAACCTTGGGGGTTCAGTGTATGTAGTCTAAATGCGTGTCCTTAGGCTAACTGCTTTACATACTATGTTTCATCTATAACATAGAATAAGAGTAAGCCTTGGTTTTCATGATAAACAAATGATACAAAACATGTAAATGACTGAGAAGAGTACCTAAAATATAACATATGCTGAATAAGTGCTGTTAGCTGTCACAAACAGAATGACTATTGCAACAGCTACTGCTAGTATTACTATTACTACTACTACTACTATAGCCCTATGAGAAACAGTGATTCAATCCCAATTTCTCTCATGTCTACCACTTGCTAGATTTATGGTCTGAGACAATTTCTTTAAACAATATGAGCCTCAGTTTCCCCACATAAATTGCTCTATACCAATGTTTATTTTTTTACATCCGTAAAGTGCTAACAGCATATCAGACTCACAGTCCCCAGCCCAACTTACTTCTAAAAATAGTTTATAGGTCAGCAGTTTTCTTTTTGGTATTAACCTCTAATGGTCCATATCTAGCAATTTCGGTATCTTTTTTTTTTCATTTCCTTTTAAACTGGTAAAGATGATCCACATATTGTTTAACCTTTTGATTCACCTTTATGAATATTCTAATATTACAATTTCATAATATTAATGCATTCTTCATCTAAGTAGAACTCCAAATGAATCATATTAGGTATCAACGTTTCTGCTGTAAAAGTAACTCTACTAAATTTTATGCTAAGTTAGCAAACACTTAGAAATACCTAAGATGAATATAAATTATGGAGCCTCAAGAAACACAGGTTAGAAGCTTCTTTCTTCTGGCATGTTTTCAGGGTTGAAGAATAATATTCTTTTCCATTTTCTTACTGGGGAAATGCAACAAAAAGACAACCTTTGTTTGGAATTCGATAATTCTTATTTCCTAAAATTTTCCATGCCACTCTTTTCTTTCTACACAAAGCATCTTTTGCCATGTGTGTGTGACATTAATTTTCACTGCAACCAATTTTCATGAATTCCACAAACAGATTACATATGCTTTTAGTTACCAACACAACACAAAGCATATTTTTAAAATATACCTCATTTATCACTGAAAGAAATAAAGTAGAAAGGCTTAAGTTAGCTTTACTGCTAAGTTTTTTTAGATGCTAAATTGCCTTCCACTCTTCTCTTTCTGGCTGCCTTGACTTCAATTTCTCTTAAAATTCAGCCCATGCTCTACACAATGGCAAAATTATCTTCATAAAAATTGAATTTGATTATTTCACTTCCCAGAGTACAGCCTTCATAGACTCTCCAAACATTAGTAGAGTAAGGGTGAAATTATTCAGCATGATCTATTTGCTAAGCCTTCTTTCCTGAATCCCCATTTTCCTTGGGTTCCTGTGAAGCTACCTACTTCTTTGTTTCTTCTCTAGCTATTCCCCAGCCTCCTTCTTCTAGACCTATGAAGATGGAATGAACATCTTCCACAATTTTGATCCTTTATGTTTTCATTTCTACTTCTATACCTCCCATAGAGATCTTAACTGCTGTCAAGCTGTTTTCCATGAATACCCACAAATATTTCTTGGAGCCCTGAACACTAGCCCAAAGACCACCCCTGTGCTTTTAATGATTTGGTCAATATCTCCTAATGAGTGATCTAAAAGCACCTCAGATTAATCATGTTTAAAAGAAAATTTATTTTCCATGCATCTATTCCCCTCGCCTATTAGCCCACATGAATATTACCTCCTCTTTCTGCTTTCCTTGCATCTATCAATGACCCCATCAGTATCTTAATTCTTAGGTTGTATAACCACAATAGAACTGTGAAGTTGAAAGAATGTTTATAGATAATTTAAGCCTCCCTTCAGGATGCATAAATTTCCTCTACAAAGCACACTGGCCAAACTCTCTGTGAACCCTTAGTGATTGTAGGCTAGGTTGCGTGTTCATAGATTTTGCTCAGAAGATTGCTAGTATTCTCATGCAGAAGAGTTTAAAAGCCAATATCCTAGACTACTTTTTTTCTCTATTCCTCAACATTTTTATTTCCTCATGCACAAATTGTGTCAATCACTTTAATGTTCCTAAAATGCAAATTTTTTTTCTTTTTATACTTTCCTCAACTTGAGCCGTACCCATGAATCTCCCCTTGCACTATTGCTGCACTTGTTCAAGCATGCAAGATAAGGATGCTGCCAGTCAGCCCTGGAGAAAACCATTTGAGAGACTGAGACACTGTAGCTCTTAGAACTGCAAGCCTGGTTATATTACTTTCCTCTTGCTGTTGTAACAAATTATAAATAACTTTGTGTCTTAAAACAACACAAATTTATTATCTTTATACTTTTATAGGCCAGCTGTCCTAAAATAAATGTATTTCTTCTAGACTCTAGGGGAGAATTCATTTCCTTGCCTTCTCCAGCTTTCAAGGTCACTTACATTCTTTGGCTCATGGTCTCCATCCTCAGATCCAGCAGTGTAGTGTGTAGTATCATCAAATCTCTCTCTCTCTCTCTCTCTCTCTCCTTTTCTGAGAAGATGTACTGTGCACAAGTCCTATGACCTGAACTCATGCAGAAGCTGAAGGCTATGTCTAAGAGAGCAGCAGCGGGGGTCACTACCAGGTGTTTAATTCCTCTTAGAGAAGCTTGGTTAAGGACACTTTCCTGGTAAATTTTGGAACATTTCTGCTAAAGATTTCTGGAACAGAACTTTTGCAGTTGCCATCTTCTAAAGGAAAGATTTATAGCTATGTTAAGAGGTTTATCATTTTCTCAAGATCTTTCTGCATATTCCCTTGCTACATTAGAGAGGTACATATGGTCTCTTCCTCCAGTTCTAAGTAGATAATAATTTCCTCTAGTGTTTTGGTTTGCTTTGTCTGTTCATTTTAATATTACTCTTATCAGCTTCTAACTTTTCTCATGTCTGGGAAGAGTTCCGAATGCCTGACTTTTGGCAAAATGCTGACAACTGAAATAGAATTGTAGCTGAACACTCTTTCCTCAGTATTTCCCAATCCATTGCATATGATATGCCTCTGCTTGTTTAAACTTCCTTGATGAAGTGTTTAACATCACTCTCTTCTTAGGAATCCTTATGGGTTCACTATGGCCAAATAAATCATACTGTAACTCTCTGCCATTGAATTGAGGATCCTCTAGGATCTATTCTCAGACCTAACAGTAGAGACTTAACTTCATATTTCCCTATCCATAATTTATCTCCCATAAAAAGATATCAGAGCTTTTAATGTTGTTCTAGTCAAATTGTTCATGTTTTTAAAAGTACAATGTAAAAACCATGTGAAATCGTTAGTATTAGGTAAGAGTCACTGTTCCTTGCCATACAGTTTCCTCATTAGGTGTAACAATTTATGTTAATGAAGCTTGATAGAGTGACCATAAATAATTGTAAATACTTAGGCGGTCAAATTTTGCTCAAGCCATGGGAATCAGGAACATATATTTATAAGGTTATATATGCAAACCCTCATCAGTTACTCACACCCTTCATTCAAACCTTTGTAGACAAGTGAGGGGTCAGTGCTGCCATAACATAGTCACTTAACAATTGTCTTCATATTCTCTAAATGAAGTCCAGGCTGAAATGGTTTCAGATGAGGATGAGGAACTTATTTGGAACTGGATAAAGGTCACTTGCTATGCTTTAGCAAAGAGAATGGAAGCAATTTGCCCCTGCCCTAGAGATCTGTGGAATGTTGAACCTGAGAGAGATGATTTAGTGTATCTGGCAGAAGAAATTTCTAAGCAGCAAAGCATTCAAGATGTGACCTGACTTGTTTTTGAAAGCATACAGTCATATGCGTTCACAAAGAGATGATGTGAAATTGGCACTTATGTTTAAAAGGGAAGTTTTTCTCTTGTAAATTAAGTTCCTTATAGATTGCTGGTTATTGTGAGATGCATAGTTTGTGAAAAATTTCTCCCATTCTGTGGGTTGTCTGTTTACTCTGTGGACAGTTTCTTTTGCTCTTAAGTTGAATCAGATACCGTTTGTGAATTTTTGCTTTTGTTGTGATTGCTTTAGGTGTCTTTGTCATGAAATCTTTGCCTGTTCGTTTGTCCAGGATGGTACTGCCTAGATTGTCTTCCAGGGTTTTTATAGTTTTGGGTTGTACATTTACATGCTTTTAATTCATCTTAAGTTGATTTTTTTATATGTTGTAAGGAAGGGTGCAGTTTTAATCTTCTGCATGTGGCTAGCCAGTTATCTCAGCATTATTTATTGAATAGGGAGTCTTTTTTCCATTGCTTGTTTTCATCAGCTTTGTCAAAGATCAGATAATCATAGCTGTGCAGCCTTGTTTCTGAGCTCTCTGTTCTGTTCCATTGGTCTATGTGCCTGTTTTTGTACTAGTAGCATGCTATTTTGGCTATTGTAGCCATGTAGTATAGTTTGAAGTCGGGTAACATGATGCCTCCAGTTTTGTTCTTTTTGCCTAGAATTGCCTTGGCTATTTGGGGTGTAAGTTCCATATGAATTTTAAAATTGATTTTTTGAGCTCTGTGATGAATGTCATTGGTAGTTTGATAGGAATAGCACTGAATCTGTAAGTTACTTTGGCAAGTATGGCCATTTTAATAATATTGATTCTTCCTATCCATGATCGTAGGATGTTTCTCCACTTGTTTGTGTCTTCTCTGGTTTCTTTGAGCAGTGTTTTGTAATTCTCATTGTGGAGATATTTCACCTCCCTGGTTAACTGTATTCCTAGGAATTTTATTCTTTTTTGGTGACTTTAAATGGGATTACATTCCTGATTTGGCTATTGACTTTTTTGTTGTTGGTGTATAGGAATGCCAGTGATTTTTGTACATAGATTTTGTATCTGGAAACTTTTCTAAAGTTGTTTATCAGCTGTAGAAACTTTTGGGCTGAGACTATGGTGTTTTCTATACGTAGAATCATGTCATCTGCAAACAGGGATAGTTTGACTTCCTCTCTTCCTATTTGAATTCCTTTTATTTTTTTATCTTGCCTAATTCCTCTGGCTTGGACTTCCAATACTATGTTATATAGGAGTGATGAGTGATGCTATCCTTGTCTTGTGCCAGTTTTGCCCACTCAGAATGATGTTGGCTGTGGTTTTGTCATAGATGTCTTTTATTATTTTGAGGTATGTTTCTTCAATACCCAGTTTATTGAGAGTTTTTTTAACATGAAGGAATGTTAAATTTTATCAAAAGCCTTTTCTGCATTTATTGAGATAATCATGTGGTTTTGGTCTTTAGTTCTCTTTATGTGAAGAAACACATTTATTGACTTACATATGTTCAACCAGCCTTGCATCCCAGGGATAAAGCCTACACGATTATGGTGGATTAGCTTTTTGATGTGCTGCTGGATTGTGTTTGCAAGTATTTTGTTGAGAATTTTGCATCAATGTTCATCAAAAATATTGGCCTGACATTTTCTTTTTCTGCTGTGTTTCCGGCAGATTGTGGTATTGGGATGATGCTGGTGCTGGTCTCATAGAATGAGTTGGAGAGAAATTTTTCCTCCTCAATGTTTTAGAATAGTTTTCCAGTAGAAATGGTACCAGCTTTTTGTACGTCTGGTAGAATTTGGCTTTGACTCCATCAGATTCTGGGCTTTTTTTTTCTTTTTTTTTTTTGGTTGGTAGGCTTTTTATTGCTGATTCAATTTCAGAGCTCATTATTGGTTTGTTCAGGGAATCAGTTGCTTTCTGGTTTAGTCTCCAGGGGGTGTATGTGTCCAGGAATGTACCCATCTCTTATAGGTTTTCTAGTTTGTGTGCATAGAGATGTTTGCAGTAGTATCTTATGGTTACTTATGGTGCAGTCATTGGTAATATCCTCTTTGTCATTTCTAATTGTGTTTATTTGGATCTTTTCTACTTTATTGCTCTAGCTAGTAGTCTATTTAACACATTTTTTTTTTCAATAAACCAATTCCTGGATCATTGATCTTTTGAATGGGTTTTTGTGTCTCAATTTCCTTCAGTTCAGCTCTGAGTTTGGTTATTTCTTGTCTTCTGCTAGCTTTGGGTTTGAATTGCATTTCCTTCTCTAATTCTTTTAGTTGTGATGTTAGGTTGGTAATTTGATATCTATTTATCCTTTTGATGTGGGCATTTAGTGCTATGAATTTATCTGTTAATGCTTCCTTAGCTGTGTCTCAGAGATTCTGCTATGTTGTATCTTTTTTCTCATTAGTTTTAAAGAACTTCTTGATTTCTGACTTAATTTCATTATTTACCCAAAAGTCATTTAAGAACATGTTGTTCAATGTCCATGTAATGACATGGTTTTGAAAGGTTTTCTTAGTCTTCTATGTTTAATGTGCTGTGGTCTGATATTATGTTTGGTGTGATTTCGGCTTTTACATTTGCTGAGGATTGTTTTATGTTCAATTATGTGGTCAGTTTTAGAGAATGTGCCATGTGACAATGAGAAGAATGTATATTCTGCTGTTTTTGGGTGGAGAGTTCTGTAGAGTTCTATCAGATATAGTTGATCCAATGTTGAGTTTGGGCCCTGAATAGCTTTGTAAATTTTCTGCCTTGATGATCTGTCTAATACTCTTGGTGAAAAGTTGAAGTCTCCCACTATTGTTGCGCATGAGTCTATGTCTCTTTGTATATCTCTAAAAACTTGCTTTATAAATTTGGGTGCTCCTGGGTTTGGTGGATATGCATTTAGATACTTAGGTCTTCCTGTTGAATTGAACCCTCTATCATTATGTAATGCAGTTTTTTGTCTTTTTTTTAATCCTTGATTGTTTAAAGTCTGTTTCATCTCACATTAGGAGTGCAACTCCTGCTCTTTTGTTTTCCATTTTCTTGGTAGGTTTTCCTTCAACTCTTGATTTTCAGCCTATGGATGACATTTCCTTTGAGATGGGTCTCATGATCACAGTATACCGTTGGGTCTTAATTTTTTATCCAGCTTTCCACCCTGTGCCTTTTAAGTGGGGGCATTTAGCCCATTTATATTCAAGGTTAGTACTGACATTCATTCATTCTTAAATTCACATTCTGCATCTTGTCACTACTAAAATATTTAAGCTTCATAGGAAATTTCAATGATTTAAAAGGTGAAAAGACTTGAAACTTCTATTATATGTTTCTTGGGCAAGACCTGGTCTTTGAGATAAAATCTTTTGACTGCTCTCTGCAAATGCTCCTATAAGCAATAGATATATACATAAAAATACGTGTTTATTTTTCCTTCATGCTGCTCACAGATCATAGTACAAATTGCCAACACATCATTTATGTCTTTATCTGTACTCACTGGTATAGCCACAACTGAACCTGAGAGAATACTGTAGGTGTTTAGTTTCCCATGTTATTCATCAACCTGTCTGCCTGGAAGAAGAAACTCATTGTTGTAAAAAAAAAAAAAAAAAAAAAAAACTTCAGTTTTTCAGACCTCCAGTGAGACAAAATATCAAGTTCACAAAATTCCAGCAATGTAAATTAGCAATTTCTCCAGCACCTCCTGTTCCACAATAATAAGCACTCAGGGGAGTTCATAAGTGTTCTCAGAAAATAAATGGGAGGTTGGTGACTTCTACATAAAATCTGCTGTTACTTAGAAAATGCAATTTAGTTAAAAATAGTATTCAGTGACTTAGGACTTAGGGACACATTTAGCCTAAACTAATTTAAAATACTTATTTCAATCTAGGGTAAATATGGTAGGTTAAAGAGTAATTCAAAAGGTTTAATTTTCCTCTATAATGTAACACAAATATTTTTAGACTACATTGAAACAATTAAACTCAAATGAAAATTCTCTTTAAGATTTTATTAAACAAAGCAGAGAAGGAGGGAAGAAGGGAAAGAGGAAAAAAGGACTTAAGTTTATCTTAAACAAGATAGACTTGTTTAAGGCTTGCTGTATATCTTAAACAAAATGCTAGTTGTATATTGTTTGCTTTATAAATCATACAGGAACTGAATCGGGTAATAATTAGAGAGTTTTTCCTACACAATCCAAGCACTAAATGATCTTATTTGTATTGATCATGTCCAAAGAGAAGCTGCTACAATCTTTTCTTATTTTCATTACTTCTCATGTGTCTGGGAGAAATAAAAATTAATCAAGGGTAAATTAGAAGGTTAGCAGCTCCAATACATACTTTGAAATTCATCGAAAATACTTCATTCTTTCATCACTGAGCAATAAAAAATAGTTTGTGGACTGGCAATGATTTAAATAATTTCTCTCATAAGTAATAGTCCTTCACGTTCTACCTATGATGGCAGATTTTATGTGTCAACTTGAGTGGGCTAAGGGATACCCAGAATGCTGACAAAACATTGTTTCTGGGTGTGTCTGTGAGGATGTTTCCAGAAGAAAATAGCATTTCAATAAGTAGACGAAGACCTACCCTCACCAGTGTCAGTGAGCATCCTGCAGTCTTTGAGGTTCCATATAGAATGTGAAAACAGAGAGGAAAAAAAAAAGGGAATTTGCTCTTGAGCTGAGACATCTATCTTCTCCTGCCTTTGGACATGAAAGCTCCTGATTCTTGGCCTTTAGACTCAGACTGAATTATAGGACCAGATTTCCTGTTTGTCCTGTTTGCAAATGGAATATTGTTGGAACTTCTCAGCCTCAATAACTATGTCAGACAATTCCCATAATATATACCATTTTATTCATCCATATATATATATATATATATATATACATATGCTATTAGTTCTTTTCCTCTGCGGAATCCTGCTACAGTACCTGAAGGCAATATTTTAATGGATTTTTCAAAACTTTCATAGTGAAAAAGAAAAATAAACTATATTGACAAATCTTTTCTATTGAAGAACTCCTGGAACTGATGCATTGATAAGAATGTTATTTTAAATGTGAAAGAATATATTTTTGCTTATTTGAAAATACTTTAAGAAAGCATTTTTTAAAAAGCAGAGACATATTTAATTTGTATTACTTTAAACATTTGTAAACTCTGTTTAAAAATTCCCCAAAACCAAACAGGAAAAGGATATTTAATAATAAAGAAAATTTTAAATCTTTCATGTATTTCAGGTGTCATTAGCTAAATTTTTGTAGAATAGTTGGACACCTTCTAAGATAAAAAATTTATTGCCTTCTCACTTGTGTAAGTAATAAAACAACCCAACAAAGATAAATCATAGTATATCTTAATCAGATAAACAATATCTTTATATATCACAAGCAAACTTTCTAACTTTTAATCTTTTATCCATAAGTTGTTCACACTTTGTATTTTTAAATTTGATATTTTGTATCCAAAGTACATCTTTATAATATTTATCATTTACTTATTTGTTGTCTAAATAAACTAAAATGTAATAATTTCAAGGAATTACTTATACCAAAGCCTTACAACTGTTTGAAAGGGAAATTTTTATAATCTTTCTGGATTCTACCCATGGTCTTCAAATAATGAAATATAACATGTTTTCATGTGTAAGGATAGAGTTGGCCTTATGTTATCTGTGGTTGTGCTATCTTATCTTTAGAGAAGTCGGGAACCATGGTACTACACGTGGCCAAGAGAAGTATTAAATGTACTAAATATTGATTTCTTATGTGCTATCTACGGTCCATCCAAATCTTCCTGGGAGACACGTACTAGGTTGGTTACATCATTATTAAAAATATACAGATTGACATTATATATATATATATATATATATATTTCAATTTATATAGCCTAGTTTTAGCTGCATGACAGTAAAGTATAAAAGACCCCCTGCGAACGTGTGCTCAAAGTATCTCACACATATCTTAGGGATACTTTTCACACATTCCACTTTATCTTTGTCTAGTCCTTTGTAAGCTCTATGAATCCTTTCAATATCCAATCCTGTATAATGCCTATTATACAGTTGGCACTGTGAACAGGATGAATGAAATTACGTTTGATACAAGTTTGTTTCCTAAGTTACTCAAGCTGATGGGAAGAGAACATATTAGTGAACTGTCAATCAAAAATTTTGTATTTTAGATTCTTTAAGCTGTTTAGGGATCATTAACAGGAAAAAAAAAACCCACAAACAAACGAACAAAAAAACTGCAAGGCTGTCAGTGAACATTTTGTAAAATACGAGACATTATTCCAGAAGGAAGTAAGAAAGCCACACCACTCTTTGATAGTAAGAGGAATTCTTTTTCTGAGGATGCAAAATAAAGAAAAGACTAGCAAATTAGGATTGTTCTAGGACAATATTAACATATACCTTAGTTTCACATCTTTGACCATATTCTTCATGTTTGGCTAAAAGAGACTCCAACTGCTTGGCCTCTTTCTGAACCTACTATTAAGAGGAAAGGATAATGTGAGGCAGGCTAGTATGGACCTGTTTACTCCGATTTCATCAAATGGAGCTTAATGATCAGAAAATACTTAAAATTATTTATAAGAAAGAAGACAAGATTAAAATGATCAATAACTTTGAGACAATAAAATCAGTGAAAGTGTTCATATAGTTCACTTGAAATAAAGAAAGTAATCCTAAAATTTATAAGGAATCGCATGAAAAAACAAAGAGCCAAAGCAATCTTGAGCAAGAGTAAAGCTGTAAGCATCTCAATTCCTGATTTCAAAATATATGACAAAGCCAAACAAACACAGAAACAAATAAACAAATCCTGCATGTTCTGACTTATAAGTAAGAGCTGAACAATAAGAACACATGGACATGGGGAGGGGAAAAACACACACTAGGGCCTGTGAGGTGGGCAGTGGGGAGGGAGAGCATCAGAATAAATAGCTAATGCGTGCTGGCCTTAATACCTAGGTGATGGGTTGAAAGGTGCGGCAAACCACCATAGCACATGTTTACCTATGCAACAAACCTGCACATCCTCCACATGTATTCCAGAACTTAAAGTTATACATGTATATATACATATATATGAAATATTTATATAGTTTTAATTTATTTTTACTTTTTATATATTATAGCTTTGTTATAAGTTACTGTAATAAGAACAGGTTGTTTATCACATCAGACTCTTGGAGATAACATACTGAAACCAGGTGTAGCTCTCAAACACCTAAAATGATTTTATTCGAAAACATGGCCTTGCAATAATAGATACTGGGGACTGCTAGGAGGGGGAGGGAGGAAGGGAAGGAAGGCTTGACAAACTACTGGGTACCATGCTCAGTATCTGAGGGACAGGATCAATCATACACCAAGCTTCAGCATCATGCAATATACCAAGGGAACAAACCTGAACCTGTAACCCCTAAATGTAAAATAGAAGTTGAAATTATTAAAAAAATAAAAAGCAGCCATGGATGATGACATGATTTATGACCTAAGTGATATGTTGAGATAAATCCTGAGATACAATGGGCTTAAAATATCACTGTGTGTCCAACTTATCATCATTGCAAATTTTTTTTTGAGAGCAGAAGGCATAGTCAAAATAAAAAATATGTAGCAAACTAAAATCAATTTTAGTTTAGGAATTATTTGGTGAGTTCACAACAGCCCCAATATTCTCTGAGTGTGCTTATGGAAAGTTCTTTGGGAAAATCCAAGTAAACTATATTTGGAAATTCTTGAGGCCAAGATATATACTCAATATGACTGGGGCCAAGATATATACTCAAACTGTAATGAATTAATAAAATCAATGACAACAACAAAATTGATCAAAGGAGGGGAGGAAATATTTTGCTAGTGATTTACAATAGCTCACTAATGTCCAAAACTCCTCTGGAAGCATTTTGTACAAGTTTGTCTACATTATTTCTTTAAAAATGCCTAGATTGATTATTTACACCTGACTTATGTGGTTACACAGACTAAGTTTAGGTATGTGGAGAATAAAAAAGAAAAGCAGGCAGTGGAGAAAAGAAAAGTGGGTGAAAATGCCCCTCAGTAAACATGTGAAAAGCTATGTTGGGTATATATCTTGGTGCTTGACAATCCTAGGAGAAAGCATGACCTCTGCCACTGAGAACGGACCCTGAAAGCTTTAACTAGATGTTTTGGATGCGTTTGATATTTGCATGTTTGCAGGTGCTTGCTTTCTCCTGCTAAAGCATGCTATTTGCCTTTATTAAAGTTTTATGTAAGTAATACCTGGAGTCTTGTGAATCCCTTTGACTCTCATGTTTTATAAAACTTCTTCATCTTACAAAATTCACTTCTTATACTCTATTGTTCTTTTGTATTTTGGAAATATTTTTGGTATTTTGAAGTTATTTGTTGTATAATACAAAAGTATTAATGTAAACACTCGGAAAAGCACAAGATATAACAAATGATCTATGCTCTTGGTTTTCATAGAACCAGATAAGAATAGGACATCAGTGTGATGTATGAAAGAAGGAGTGGTATTGGAAGCTGTCTATCCTGTTTTTGGTAATGAAAGGGTATGTTATGAGGAGAGAAGTTTAAAAAATAATAAAAGTTACTCTTATTTTTATTATTATTCTTCTTTTTAATACTGTACGTTTTTCTGCTTTTTATTACTCTATAAATAACAATGTTAAATAATGTTTATGATAAATTACTCCTTCCTGTTGGAATTGCCGTAACTCCCACATGGCACGCCATTAGATTCTAGTCCAGCCTTTGAAATTTATTTAATTAGTCATGTCACCTTAAGTCATTTTTACTCCCTGGAATCTCAGTTTCTCTATGTATTGTAGGGAAGACAAAATTTTACCTCTACACTTTTAGGATTTTTCAGCTGGGCCTCAAAATTAAATTAATGTAAGACAAATCAACAGGAGAAAAGCATAGAAATGTATTTAATATAAGTTTTACATGACATGGGAGCCCTTGTAAGGAAATGGAAGACCAAAGGAAACAGAGTCAAACACTTACATTCTGAATTAGAAAAAGAAGATACATTGTGAAAATTTGATAAGACAAAGGGCTTGGTCCAGGATACGTAACTGGGGAGAGAAGTGCCTGGGAAGATATGGGTTGTTGGCACAGATTTCCCTTAGTCTCAACTTCTCATTCTTGATGTTAAGAATGTTACTTTCCTCGTTGTATAGGGAGGGCAACTTTCAAATAGGAATGTCATCTAGCTGCTTTTAAGAAACAGAATGAAGGTCAAAGTGAGCTTTCTGCACCTGCTATTTTTCAAGTTTCTTTGCTTCAAAATAATTCTTATGCTGAAGTGACTTATTTGAGGGTGGTGTGTTCTGAACTCCTGCAGCATGAAATTAGGAAGTTGAAACAAGAAGATGTTGAGGACTCTTCATATTCAAGCATACTAAAATTGTGTTACAAACCTCAAGTATGTCCAACAGATGCAACAGAATGCTGGAAAAAGTATTTTATTCATGACTGCATATCAATGTTGTATTACTAAATAACTTAATAACCTAAGGTCTACACTTTGAAGGTGTTAATATTTTCAAGCCACATTTAAAATAAATAAAAACGCAAGTTACATAAAAAAATGTGTCCTCAATTTTAGGGGTTGAGTTCTGTGCTGAGTGATGAGGGACCCCATGATGTATAACAGACAACCACTATGTTATCTGTCCATATTGTTGACAGAGATAAAAGTCCATCTTCCATGTGCATTTTAATATAAAAGTGATAAGCATAGAAAATGTCAAGTTAAATATAACACTGGTATTTAATTATGTGAAAGTTTTATTTCCTGTTGACTTTAGCCAGGTAGAAAATAATGGTACAAATTGGAGGGAATTTTTAAATATGAATCTGGAAAATTTTACTTAGAATATTCATTTTTATGTGCTATACAAAAGTTGCCTTTAATTATAGATGTACTTATCTTTCGCTTTAGAGTTTTAAATATTGGCTCATTTAGCTTGTTTGGTTTTCTTGATAAAAATATATAAACCAGAGCATATCAACAAATTCTGCAGGATCTCTCCTATACACAGGTTAACAGATTTTGTTTTGTAAAACTCGTTTTGAGAATCTTGTACAAAAATTTCCGAGTGTTTTATTGTTCCAAATTTACCAGAGACTAAATGTTCAAAAGTAAGTGATAAACAATTAAACCTGTGTTTTCTTTTTATCCATTGATTTAAAAAAACAAATTGCTTTTTGAATTATTTTAGACAGAATTATCATTGCTTTTTTAAATAATGTTAAAATCCAGTTTGATGGCTTATACAGCATTTCTATTAATATGAGTATAATAGAAAATCATTTTTAATACAGCAGAAAAAAAAGTCAGTTAAGACATTTCCTGTGACAAATGGAGAATAACTCCAGTTTGATATTTGTAGTCAATTTCAAACATCTACATAACTTTTCATTTGTTTCTTATTTTTTGAGGTATTTGTATTCAATTCAGTTTCTAATATGTCTTTCTATAAAACCTAACAGCACTGAAATAAGTTTTCCATTAGAAAATTATTTAAAGATGGAAATCCTAAAAGAAAGTCAACTTTCTCTCTTCACCCTTAGCTTATCAACTCTTTTTGGTAGTGACGTGAATTTAATTATATTATTAGGAGGTTATGTGTTGAGATTTTTGTCTATTATTTGTCTTAATCATTAAATAGTCTTCTTGATGTCAGATTTTTCGCCAAGTATCAGAACTATTTCTGTAAGAAAAAAAATTACGATTAGAGGCATTTAAGGGTTGGAATTAAGTTTCAGAGATTTTATCACCTTTGAATCACAAAGCACAGGAATTTAATAAAAAATGCTTTGTTCTAATGTGAATGGAATTTTAAGTAATTCATCACTGAGTGAAAATAAATTTCTTTCTTTTTTTCTTTTTGATGATAGTAAACCAGTACTCAAACATCCCCATATAGCTGTTTAATATATTTCAGAGATTTAAAAAAACTCTCCTACCTGAGAAATTTTTCCTATGTCTCTAACATAGACATAAATGCTTCATTTAGATGGAATTATCTTTTTTTCTTCAAAGAAATGAATTTTATATTAATACCACTTACATGTTACTGACAGGTCTGTAGTAGTTTTATCTTTCACTAATTCAGGTTCTTTAAGCATTTCTCCATATACCTTCGCTAGAACCTTGTCCCAATTTTCGCTGATCAATTTACTCATGATTCCGGGTCAACACTAAGTAATTAAGAAATTAACTCACTATTTTGTATTTAAAAGCAAATCTATTTTTTAATAGGATTTTTTTTCCCGTTAAATTGGTTTTCATTTGATAAAATATTCACCTTACCAACACTTCTCTCTTTTATATGTGTTTTTTTTTTTTTTTTTACTTTGAGGTAATAGCCTAATTATTATGTAATAATTTTAAGTATTTTTATGTCAATACCATGAGGGGGAACCTGTGATGAGTTATATCAAAATGTTAGTAAAATAAGTTTATGTTTATGTATAAAAGGACTACAAATGTAAACAATAATTTTATTAGGTATAAAAATGTAGATTTTAATCTGTTGGGAAAGAATAAGAGAAAATATCTGTATACTTTAACGTTAGCATCCTAATGCTTAAAGCTTGGAATCATTTGGGGAGCCTGTGCTGAACACACTTTCAGAATATAAAACCGTAATTTTAACACATTCATATTTGAAATTGAGCCAGCACCTCTGATTCTGTTATTTTTTTGCAAATTAGTGTGCTTATATCTTAGCAGTTGAGACATGCACATTTCTTATTCACTTCTAGTATGAGGATTAGAGCAAATTCTAGTTGAAAATTTCACATAATGACAACTATAAGAACTAATTATCTAATACGCTTTTTTTTTTCTTGCCAGTTAAAGCCTGGGCCATTATGTTATCTGATGGGTACTTTAATTAGAGGCAGACTTATTAATAAAATTTAATGGCTATCATATAGGCAGGCCATAAAAAGCTAGCTATTATTGAAAATAAGACATTCAGCATTACAAATACTAAGACTAATTTTATTCTAATGCTGTGTTTCTTGTTTTTGATATTCTTTACAATTGGCCTAAAACTTTTATCAACAAAATAGAGACTTAGAAAATACATTACTTGTAATGTCACCAAAAATCTGCAAAAACGAACTTTCCACCTTTGAACCAGACACATCTTTAACATTACCATAAAAATATAGAGAAGAAAATTATTCCCAATCTGAAACCAACTTCATTAATACAATAGCATCAAACCTAAGATAACAACTGAGAGATTAGCTCTGCTAACCTTTCAATGTTCAAAAAACTTCAGTTTAAGCAGAAACCTACCTATTTATTTTCAATATTTCCTACATGTTATGCTTCCTAACTCAACTTCTAAATCAAAGTTGTAACAGGCATATAACATCGGGTTTAAAAACATAAGCACATTTAATTGAAATTAGACTATATGATTGAGTAGAGGTATTTGTAAATGCTTTGCTACTTCTCCAGTTGAGAGGTAGAGACAATATTCTCACCCTTGGATTTGGGCTGGTCTTAGAGAGTTGTTAGCCCAAAACAATGCAATAGATGACCAGGCCTTTTAAGAACTTCCAAGCTAGAACTTAAAGGACTTTGCAACTTGGGCCTGGGCTCTCTGAAACATTTTCTTTAGAAGCCCCTAACTGCAATGTATAAATTCTAATTAAGCCATGACTCCCAACTGAGTCTAGCCTGCTAGCCATACCACAGCCTGAGAGTAAACCTGTCTTGGACCATCTAACCCAGCCCATAGGCCAAGTGAATACTGCTTTGTGAATTGCTGTTGGAACCATGTAAAAATAAACAACAAAAAATCCCCCTAGTTTAGCCCTTCCTGAATTCCTGATCCATAGAATCATAAAATAGAATGAATATGTTATTCTTCAATTCCTCTGAGGCTTGGAGGTAATTAAGTAGAACAAGCCACTTCCTTTTTGGGAGGGTGGGAGTGGATTCAGGTTATACAGCTTTAGAGTAGTTCACAGAAATACTTTTATATATCACACCTTTCTCATATTCACAGACAGTTCTAATCACTTTACTGAAATTACACCCCTGTCACAGATCTAACAGATACTGCTTGATTAGGATGAGATCTGGTAGGTTAAAATGTGCCTCAGAAAATAGGTGATGAAAATGTGTGATAAGGATTTTAAAAAATTACACTTAATTCAGAATTACAAAAAGGCAGAATTTTCACATAAACTAATTCCATCCAATTTTTAGATTACAAAGAATGTATACATATTTTGTGTCTAAATACATACAGATACATATGCATATTTTGTAAAATAGAACATTTATATCAAAACTAACTTCACACATTTGAATTATGTGTCAAACAATTGAATTATTGTTGTGACACACACAATCATACATACACATTTTGTATGTGTAGTATGTGCATGTGTGATGTGTGGCTTGTATGTATCATAATAATTTGATGGATTTGTTATACTTGAACACGTATAAAGGTTAGTTTTGATACAAATCTTCTCTCTTACACATACATACTTTCAATTAGTTACTAAGGTTTTTTCTAAGCTGATGTGGATCTTTCTATCCTGGCCTTTATCCATGTCAGTTTCTAGAACTATTCTGCCAACTCAAGCCTCTGTCCCTTTGCAAATACTTGTCCCTCAGTTTAGGGACATAGTTTTCTTCATCATGCTGTGCAACTATACATAGTTTTCTTCATCATTCTGTGCAACAGTTGTTTTCAAAAGGTTTCTAAAGTACATTAACTTAAATAAATTAAGAAAAGTTTAATTTATTTGATATTGGCTATGTATATTGATGCTACTTAGCATTTTTGTGTATAGGGAAGACTATGCAGCTAGTAATTTTGTCTAACTTATATTTATTAAATTTCTTATCGGTCTCCTCCCATCAGGCCCCTCCTCCAACACTGAGGATTACAATTCAACACGAAATTTCAGTAAGGACACAGAGCCAAACCATAACAGTCTGCTTGTTTTTCCATTACCAAACCCTGTCCGAGATTGGTGAGTTTCGTGTGTCAGCAATATAGTATTATTTTTCCAGCCTGCTCTTCAATTGAAGGAGTCGTACTCAGAGAATGTTAGCTCTATGAAGATTGTGCTTTTGCTATAGTTTACTAATTTAAGTTAGTCTCACTTCAATTAGTTTTGAAAATATTTAATTACATATGTTCATTGAAAAAAGTTTATAAACCGTTATATATTATTTATACATCTACTTATAAAGGCTGATGTTGCCAGAACCATCCTCCCCTTCCCTAAAGAAAAATAATACACATCAGCTGTCACTTGATTAAAATGAAACTTAGGATAAATCCAAAACAAAAATGTATTTAAAAGATAATTTTGTTTTTCAAAAACCTTGTTAATTAATTGCTTCCAACTTTTGTGTGCTAGCTCTGCCCGTGGGTTCTATATTTATAAAGTTTCCAGGCTCAGCTGAAGCCCTTTACCACTATTTTGACAATTGATGGTGCAAAACTAAATTTTCAAAATATTGTCAATTGTCTATAATTCAGAAATCAAAAATTACATCTAAGTATAAAAACTGGCATTCTGATATTTTTGAGTGTATCAACATAGCTATAACTTTTTCTGAGTTGAGTTTACATTATATATTCTTCACTCTATCATCTTACTTTTTAAAAAATTTTTTTTGAGACAGAGTTTTGCTCTGTCACCCAGGCTGTAGTGCAATGGCATAGTCTTGGCTCACTGCAACCTCTGCCTCTGGGTTCAAGTGATTCTCCTGCCTCAGCCTCCTGAGTAGCTGGGATTACAGGCACCCACCATCACACTTGGCTAATTTTTGTATTTTCATAACCAAGCATTTTTTTATATCTAGTTATTTATCTAACAGTAAAACAAGATTTTGGAATTAGAGAAAAGGCTCACAGAGCAAGTTTAGCACCAGTTCCCATACCGTGGTTCCCCACGTGGTGAAAGATAGGACTTGATGCCATTTGTGTGTGCAGTAGGGTGGCAATATAGGAAAAAATTCTCTAAGTTATGAAATTTGGAGCTTTTGTAGCATGACAGGTGCATTTTTTGAAGAGAGAGATAAATCCTTTCTCTGGAGTGAAAAACATGAAATCCTCTTTGGGGAAAGGAAGGGAATATCTCTAAGTTTTTATTTTCATTTGAAATACAAGCAAATGTCTCCAGGGTAGAAAAGCTCCAGAAAAATACACCGTCTCTAAATTCCAAGGCTTGTTTTTCGTTAAGCCATACTTTAAGCTTGATTGCCATTAATATAATATTTAACCACGAACAAACTTTAAAATGTTCATGGAGAGTTGTCAGCAAGTCTCCAGAAGAGGGAGTTGGGGGGAAAGAGAGAGAGAGAGAGAGAGAGAGAGAGAGAGAGAGAGGAGAGAGAGAATGCTAAAACAGACAACTCAACTAAAAAAAAATTAAAGTATCAGCACTTAGAAATTGAAATTACCAGACCAGACATGTTATATAACATTAACATGTTTTAAATATTTGGAGTCTATACAAGGTAAAGTATAAAACACTGAGGAAAGAAACAAAAAAGAACACACCCAAAAATGAAAGGGTATTCCATGCCCAAGGAATAAAAAAATTGATATTGTCAAAATGATAATTTTAACAAAGCAACTTACAAATCAATGAAACCCCTAGCAAAATACCAAGAAAATTCTTCACAGAAATAGAAAAAATCTTAAAATGTGCATGGAACCACAAAAGACCTCTAATAGCCAAAGCAATCGGAGCAAAAAGAACAAAGCTGGAGGCATCACCCTACCTGACTTGAAAATATACTACAAAACTATAGTAAGCAAATTAGCACAGTACTGGCATAAAAGCAGACATACAGAACAATGGAACATAATAGAGAACAGATATAAACTCACATGTTTACGGCCAACTCTTTAAAGACAAAGGTATCAATACTATGCAATGGGGAAAGGACAGTCTCCAATAAATGTTGTAAAGAAAACTGGATTACCTTATGTAGAAGAACGAAACTAGACCCTTATCTCTCACGATATGCAAAACTCAAATCAAAATGGATTAAAGACATATCTAGCCAGGTGCAGTGGCTCACGCCTGTAATCCCAGCACTTTGGGAGGCCGAGGCGGGCAGATCACGAGGTCAGGAGATCGAGACCATCCTGGCTAACACGGTGAAACCCCGTCTCTACTAAAAATACAAAAAAAATTAGCCGGGCGTGGTGGTGGCAGGTGCCTGTTGTCCCAGCTACTCAGGAGGCTGAGGCAGGAGAATGGCGTGAACCCGGGAGGCTGAGCTTGCAGTGAGCCGAGATGGCGCCACTGCACTCCAGCCTGGGCGACAGAACGAGACTCCGTTTCAAAAAAAAAAAAAAGACTTACATCTACCACCTGAAGCTGAAATTACCAGAAGAAAATACAGGGGAAACACTCTAGGACATTAGTCTGGGGAAACATTTTTGTGTAAGACTTCAAAGGCACAGGCAAACAAAGCAAAAATGAGATCATCTTCTACACAATAAGAACAGCAGCAGCAACAACAATAACAAAAAAAAAGCAATCAAAAGTGAAAGACAATCCACAGAATGGGAGAAAATGTTTTCAAACTATCCGTCTGTCAAGAGGTTAATAACAAGAACATATAAAGCTCAAACAACTCAGTAGCAAAAATACTAATAATCTGACTTAAAAATGAGCAAAATATCTGAGTAGATATTTCTCAAAAGAAGTAATACAAATGGTCAACAGGTTTAAGAAAAAATGTTAAAACATTAGTAATCATCAGAGAAACACAAATCAAAACCACAAGAAAGTTTCTGACCCAGTTAAAATGGTTTTTATCCCAGGACAGACAATAAGAGATGCGGGTGACAATGTGTAGAAAGGAGAACCCTCATACATTGTTTTCGGGAACGTATTATTACAGCTACTATGGAAAACTGTATAGGAATTCCTCAAAAAACTAAAATAGAGCTATCACATGATTCTGCAGTTCTACTAATGTGTATTTATCCAAAAGAAAGGAAAAAAATTGTCAAAGAGATATCTGAACTTCCACGTTTATTGTAGCGCTACTGACAATAGACAAAAGATGAAATCAACCTAAGTGTCCAAAAGTTGGTAAATAGATAAAAATCCTTAGTGTTATATACACAATGGACTATTATTCAGCCATAATATAAAATGAACAATTCTGTCATTTTCATCAACATGAATGGAACTGGAGGTTGCTAGATGAAGATGAATAAGGCAAGCACAGAAAGACAAATGTTGCATTTTCTCACTCATATGTGAGGGCTTAAATAGTGAATCTCATGAAGCTAAAAGAGTAGTTTGGTGGTTATCAGTGGCAAGAAAGGATAAAAGAAAGGATAGGATGAAGAAAGGTTGATTAGTAGGTCCAAATATACTCTTTGATATAAGAAATAAAACCTAGTGTATGATAGGTAAATAGGATGGCTATAGTTTACCATGATCTATTGTGTGTTTCAAAATACCTAGAAAATAGTAATTCAAATATTTCTAGCATAATGAGAAGCCAAATATTGCATGTGATGGATATTCCAAGTACACTGATTTGATCTTTACAAAATATTTGGATGTGTTAAATTATCCACAGGTATCCTCTAAATGTGTACCTCTAATATATATGGAAACTTCTAATTTAGAGAATTGACAATCAGTTTAAAGCATAAGAATTAAATAGACACCATTTTTAAAATATCAAGCTAATTGTCAAATAGAACTTCTAGAAATATAATTTGTGATCATTGCAATTTTTTAAATGGATGCATTAAATAGCATATTAGAGACAGGTGAAAAAAATAAACCAAAGGGTAGAATAAAAGTAAGTATGCTAAAATCAGAACAGATGAATAAAATACAGAAAAAAATTAAGTGAAATATAAGTTAACAGACTGTAAATGGCACTCTCTGATTAGCTCTAACAAAATCCAAAAGAAGAGAATTGGGAGAATGAGGGAGAAGTAGTTTCAGAAAGATAATAATTGAAAAAAATTTCCGAATTGGTAAAAGACATGGATCCTTACAATCCAGAAGCATAATTATTTTAAGCAGAATAAACCTGAAAAGGATGTCAGGGAAAATCTCAAAACACTTAGGCAAAAAAAGTAGATTTTAAATACAACAGAGAGAAAACACTGATTACCTTCAAAGGAGTAAAAATGAAACTGGTAACAGTTTCACAACTATAACAATAGGAGCCAGTGAAATAGTCTAATAGCCAGTGAAATCATTATTATAAGGAAAAATAACCTAATTTATATGTTTTCTTAGATGTACTCTAAATTTAAAACATATGAAATAGCTATTTTGTTTTGTTCTATGGACACATAAGAGGTACTAATGAAAGGTTATTAGAATCTCTTATGGGTCCATAGAACATACGCACACAAAAATTTGCAAAAACTTTAAATTTGTATATTTCAAGAGCCTGTTTCTTGCTCTAGACGTGCACTCTGCGATTCAAGCTACTTTCGGGAAATGAGTGAGTAATTATCCTACTTTTTTTAGATTTCTTGTAATATATAGTTTATAGTGCCTTTCTTAAGAAAATCAATGGTATTGATTTTGTTAAAGGCATCGTCACTTACTACACACACGTGCTAAGACAATTTACATACAATATTGTTTATCCTTTTTACAGATGGTTCATAGGCATTCCAAACATCCACTAACTCAAGTAAATAATGTTTGCATTAGATTCATACGTAGACATGAAGAAACCTTTTTATAAGGCATAATATCTTGGTTGGGGGAGGAGTGGAATGGATGATAGATTTACTGTCCAGTTACTAGTAATGCTTTTTGACGTTTCAAAATATGTTTCTAAAGAAATTTGTACAGAACAGTGATTCTTTAACTTTAGAGTTCACATACAACTCAGTATGGCAAAGGATGTGTTAATTATCTATAAAACCTCTTCTTTCTAGCTATTGAACATTTTGGTACATGTAATATTTATTTTTTTAAGTGAAATGATCTTTGCTTCAATCTCTTCACCCAAAATTGACTATATGGTGAGAGTTACATAACTGTTGATGACGTTGGCCATGTGATTAGATTGCCTGCCTGATTTGAATTTTAGTTTCACCACTGTCTTGCTTTTGGACAAAGATAGACAGTCCCTAGATAGACATTTTTCTCTATAAATATTTAGCCTCATTTTTTTCCCATACCTAACTACAGAATAAGAATAGTAGAAACCTCTTAGGTTTGTTGTCAGCATTAAAGATTAAATTAATTTTCATCATTTAATTAAGTTACTAAACTATTCAAGAACTATTAACAATCATTATTATTGTTCTAAATGGTTGACCACTGGTGTTCTGTCTCATTTAGAAGAGCTCAGCTACTTCAAAACAGAATTAGTGCTAGCTGAGTGAATTTTACAGGCAACATTATTTGACTAAATCAAGGGTGTATTTATTTATATTACTTACGTATAAACATCTCAATTCTGTACTTTATATAAGTGAATATATGACTTAGAAAAATACTCATGAATGTATTTTGAAAACACATTTAGATATTAAACTAGTAATCTTAAACATATACATCTTTGATTGAAAGACATGTGTTTTGATCTGCATGTATTCACAATTTGTGTTAAATTTCAAACCAAAAATTTCTTGTGTTGTTTTTATTTTGCTTTGAAAATATTTTTTACCAAAATTAAAATGTTATAACTAAGGGTAGTCCTAGTAAATTAAAACTTTGCAAATCTAATAATACAGAGAGCTAGGCTAAAAGAAACTTTGAGCAAAATGTCAGTTTTGAATAGAAATTATACGTCTGCTGGCAACATCCCCGCGTATTCCAAAACCAAGAGACAAAATCATATAGAATTCTGTTCACTTTAAAAATAGTATTTTCTCACTAAAAAGGGAAAATTGGTTTGTGCAAATTACTTCTAATATGATATAATTTTATACATCAGACAAATAAATGCAGTACAAATTTAATGTTAATTTATATAGTCAATTTTTAAAATATTGAAAAATAATGAATATTTCATAAATGTATGGAGATTTAATCTACAGAATGATTAAAATGTTTATAGTTTTTCAGTTTCAAAGATGGATAAAAATATGACAGGAAATAAAAAATAAATAATAGAGATCATCTCGCTGCTCAAACCTCATTTCAAGATATTTCAGGTTTTAACATAAAAACAATTTATGCTATAATGTTGCCTACAGAAAGTAGTTAACTGCTGTGAAGAATGTTTGCAGGTCACATTTCAGGAAATATATTTAAAGGCTTATTCACCAAAGTAATTTTAAATCATGGTCAACATATTTTACTACATTCAATATGAAACATAATTTAACTTGTTCTAGATCATTAAATATCATTACTATAACTATTTATTTTTGCAGTTTCCTTTTTTCTAAACCTTGACCAGTGATTCTCAACTAATTCTGAAGACAATTGCCTTTATATTCATTCTTGCTGTCAATTTATGAATAGTTTTATTGAATGTTCCTTTGTCATTATCTTAGGAGACAAGTGATTACATCTCTTACTGACTATATTATCTTTGGCAGGTTAATTATCCTTTCTGCATTAGAGAGGCAAACTTTATATATGCATGCATGCATGCATGTTTATATGCTGAGTAGTATAAATTACTTACTACTTGACAATCTTTATTCAAACATTCCATACTACTTATCTAATTCCACAAATATTTTAAAAAATATTTTGAGCCAGGAACTATTTTAGATGCTGAGGAGTTATCGGTGAGCAGCTACACTTTTGAACTCATCCAGTATACATTTTAATGGGAGAGGTTTTGGCCTTGTGTGTGTGTCTGTGTGTGTGTGTGTCTGTGTGTGCGTGCCTCTGTGTGTGTGTGTGTGTGTGTCTCTTACGTAGTAATTAGAACTGAAAAATAAAGCAAAAGACAACGGATGGAGAGTGGCACCATTTTAGAAAGGGTGATAAAAGATAAGCACACTTAGGAGGTGGCATTGGAGCAGAGATTTAAATGAAGTGAGTGAATCACATGCATAACAAGGGAAGTAGTCAGAATTGAGTTAGCTGCTAGCCTGATTGAAGGGGTATACACACCGAGGTGGAGAGGAAGGAGGTAGGACCAGAGAAATAACCATGGCTGGTGTCATAGAGGTTTCTGTAGACCATGAAAAGAATTTTGGGGTTTTCCTAAATTTGATAGGAATCTAGAGTGAGTTTCATTAGAAATATTATTAGGGATGCATTGGATTTAATTTATGGTTATTTTCAAGTATTGTGGTTACTGAAAGCAGTCCTACGACAAGGGTAAAGAAGTTACCAAACGCCCCTTTATCACATTAAACAAAATCCACTTGCTGAAATTTAAACTTACTTCCTTTCATTCTAGATTCAGTCAGTTGGAAAACACTTTTTTAGCATCTTGGTCTTCTGTATATAAAGGGTGCTTTTTACTTGAAGGGTTGCAAAGCTTTTTCCTTTTTTTTCCTATTTGATTTCATCCCTTTCTATGCTTTCTTTAATTTAATTTGAGAGGGAGAAAATGTTTGGTGCTAATTAATTCAATTTTGGGTGTGTGGTTTTATTTTGTTTTAGAGCATAGCTTTTATTCTTCTACATGGAAATAACTATGATAACAATCAAGCATCCCTCATCATCCTGTGGGATAATCTTACTGAAAATTTGAATGTCGCTTTGAAGGTAAATTATGATTTTTCATGACTAGAATCCTTGCTAGAACAACCGTGGGGATTTATAGAACTTGCTTTATAGAGATAGTGCCATACTCTCTTTTCCAGAAATATAACATTTATACTCACAAGCAAACAAGTATATTACAAGAAATGCAAGTTTTTTGTTTGTTTATTGCTATATCAATTTTTCCTATAAAAAGACATTAGATTTTTCTTTCTTTAATTATTTATTAAATGTTTGTGATGTTCCACTGTTCTAAGTGCTGGAGAAACAGTAAAAAAACAAAAACAAAACGGGAAAGCCCCTTCTTTTATAGAGATTATATAATTTATACATTTCAAAATACACTGAAACTTTTTTCGGTGAGGAGTGTATATAACACATTTCTGAAAATACTACCATCCTCTCAATTCATTCATAAATTGAACTAATGAACATGAATCTCATTAGTCATCCGCCAATAATAGTATCAACTAGAACATGTATTGTATTCTGAAAACGTAAAAAGTTTTTACAAAATATGCTTCTCTCTCAAAAATTGATGATCTACAATAAAGCTAAAAATTTGCTATTCTATGTAAGAAAATTCAACAGTATCAAGATTTCTGTAATACCCACGAGTCTTGATTTACTATATGTGATGGTCTGTTCAATTGGCTAAGATAAAGAAAGCACCTTAGCAAATTCCAGAACTTTATGAAGAAGAGCAGCTCACTCTGTTTTGTAGAAGAGAGCCAACACTTGATGTTCTCAATCAATGGGAAAGGGATATGAAAACAGGTCACATATGCTTCTGTCCTTAAGCAGGTGGTTAGTACCATTCGGCATTTTCATAGGCTTAATACACATTTCCCTTATCCAGATACTGACAGAAATTATTATAAGTAGTTCTGGGGAGGGCAATTAGAAACCAAAATTTATTCCACTTGGCATTTATTAATCTTTGCTAAACTCAAATGAATCTCTATAAAATGATTATAATTTCTAATTCATAATTTCTGTCAAATTGCATAATGTAAGGGCTTCCTCAAAATTCTATTAAAAGCTATATACCACTTCAACTTGTGCATTTTTTTATTGTAAACTGGCCTTTAAAAATATATTTTTTTCATCTTTTGCAACTTAAAGCTAAAAATCAGAAAGTTCCAGTTCAAGAGGTATAAAATGCACTCTTATTTCTAATATATAGTCATTGCTAGCCCTTAAAACTTGAATTTGTAATTATTGTTCAGTGGGGGCTTTACAGTTTAAGATTCTAAAGATTTTTCACTTCAGGATGGATTCTAGTGGAAGATCTCAGGTAAGAATCTTATATATTTATAAGAAAAAATGTAATAAGCCAAAATGCATTTTTGACCATTTGATTTTAGTTATTAAGACAATGTATTTCCAGTGTGATTTTTGTCAAGAAAATGTATAAATATTCAGGGTAGTAATTTAAGATGCATAACGAATTCTTTCCATAAAACGTGAATTTTTTTTTTTTTTTTTTTTTTTTTTTGAGACGAAGTCTCGCTTTGTCACCCAGGCTGGAGTGCACTGGCGCAGTCTCGGCTCACTGCAACCTCTGCCTCTCGGGTTCATGCCATTCTCCTGCCTCGGCCTCCCGAGTAGCTGGGATTACAGGCGCCCACCACCACTCCCGGCTAATTCCACAAAAGGTGATTTTTATTTAATTCATTGATAGATATACTTTGCTTGTTAAAGTATTATCAAAATAAATATATTTAAAAGTGTTTATTTGAATTTAATTATTCCTTGTGAACATTTAAAGATCAATGAAAGTAGTATAAATTGTTATTAAGCAAAGAAATAAAAAATATTGAAAACAAACACTCTCAAATGTGCACAAAGAGAGAAATTTTTCCTTTTCCAAAATTATATGAAAATAAAAAAGTCTTCATTAAGAACAGATGAACATATTTTTAGGTAGCTATAGGAAAGAATAATTTTTCTAAGCAAACTTTTACGTGAGTTCTAAGATTTCCAATGATATAAGAATTATCCTTCTGCAACCAGAGGTGGTACCAGAATCCAGCTTAGACATTTATCGTATCTTCAGGATCTCTCTGTGACTTTGGTATTTTACAGTAGAGTATACACGTGCAAGAACAGGACCTGTTTATTACATGTTATTTGAAAATGTGTTCAGAGTAATCCTGAATGAGTTGCTTGAAATACACTGATTTAGTTTTTTTTTTTTTTTAACTTTTGTTTTATGTGTTTTAATTTTAAGTGACGATTTAGTTTGGCCAGAATGAAATGCAGGAGAATGTGTCTAGAACGGGAAACATAAAAATTAAAATGTTCAACTTTCTCAATCACATAATCTGAATTGGCTTTGAATGTCTGAGTACGTATTTTTAACTTCGGTGACCATGTACCTCTGAGAGCTAAATTGGAGAATTCTTGAATGTTATTTATCAAATAATTTTAGAAATCCACATAGATCATGAGCATCCATTTATGTTGTTGTTTGCTATGCACTCAGAATCATGGTATTATGTGAAGCAGTATGTATAACTACTATATCCCTTTATAGCTTATAATTAAATTTAAAAAGCATATGTAACATTCTTATTTTATATAATTAATGTTACTTTTTTGTTATTAAATATTTTTCATAGCCTTTAGAAAAGAAAATGTATACTCAATTCATCTAATTTTGCATATATCTTTTTAAAAACAATAGATGTGTGTTTTGGTTTTATGGACAGCCACAGTGGTGTGATTGATAGAAAGTTATTGTCAGACAAAAGCACGTCCATACCTGTGATAGTTAATATTGAGTGTCAACTTGACTGGATTGAAGGATGCAAAGTTAAGGTGTTGCCAAAGGAGATTAACATTTGAGTCAGTGAACTGGGAGAGGCAGATCCACCCTCGATCTGAGTGGGCACCATCTAATCAGCAGGCAGCACGGCTAGGATAAAAGCAGGCAGGGGAAAGTGGAAGGGGTAGACTGGCTAAGCCTTCTGGCCTCCATCTTTCTCCCGTGCTGGATGCTTCCTGCCTTTGAACATTGGACTTCAAGTTCTTCAGCTTTTGGACTCTTGGACTTAAACCAGTGGTTTGCCAGAGGCTCTCCGGCCTTCCGCCACAGACTGAAGGCTGAAGTGTCGACTTCCCTACTTTTGAGGCTTTGGGACTTGGACTGGCTTCCTTGCTCCTCAGCTTGCAGACGGCCTATTGTGGGACTTCACCTTGTGATCATGTGAGTCAATACTCCTTAATAAACTCCTTTCATATATACACCTGCCCTATTAGTCCTGTCCCTCTAGAGACCCTGACTAATACAATACCTAAACTCAATATCTGGCTTATAAAATAGAAAATATAATCTCTCAGGATTAGTCCAAGGATTAAATAAAGTGCCTTGTATGTGACATGAACAATTGATATTTTCCCCTAGAAATAAAGTTTTAGTTAGATAAATAAATATGCTTACTCAATAGTAAAAACGAAAGGCAAATATATGATAAAGGACAGCATAAATGTTTGCCAGGTTTCCACTACTTGTTCTTTTAAAACAGTATTCCATTTAGCATATTTTTAAAATAGCATTTCACTAATTTTTTTAGGCAGACAATAATTTACATTTGGAAATGAACTTGTTTCTCTGACAGCAGATGTATGTTTGAAATACTTCTTCCTTGAATAAAACTTGTGAACAGATTAGGAATCTAACTTACATTCAGATAACAAAGGGCATGAGTGAAATAATACATTCAAATAAAATATAAAGGCATGTTCAATAACTACCTGTAATGTGATAAATAGAAGTCATTAGGAAACTATGAAGCTACAATGTGCTTAGGGTTTCTAGGCATAAAGGGAAGGAGTCATTTGATTTCTAAAACTCAAATAGAAAAGTGCTTTTAATAAAAGAGATGATGATAAATATATTCTCCTCTGAAAAAACTAACAATCACTGAGCGAGAAATAAAGTACCATTTATTTTAATCAAAACAAGGTTTCCTGAGAATCTGATAAGCAACTATAGTTTGGGATAAAACACTGGATAAATGTATGAGTGTCATGCTCTATTTATGTAATAAATACCTTTTGGAAAATGCACATCCACTAAAGTGATTTTGGATGAATCATAGTTTACATACACAAAGGGATTTTTTATTTGAATTGCAAGAATGTGCATTATGAGGCAAATAATTTGCTTTGAGCAAGAATGTCCTTTTTGTTTTCATTTTAAATATGGATTTCACATACTGTGTTTATTTCAAGAGAAACAGACCCATTTTGATGAATAATAGGTATTTCTGACATAACATTCTGACACATTTAAAATACTTATTTGCTAAACAATTATGTACATTATATAGTGTTTTGTACTCATGATTAAAAAAGAATTTCAAGTGATAGTGTATGAAAAAATTACTGGATGCCAAGTAAAGAACATGCTCTAAAAATAGCCTCCTTAATACAGAATTTTCAGTAAGAGACTCACAGAAACAAATAAGCATATTTATTAATATTTAGCAAGAATATTAAGAATAATTAATAATATGTATTAAGACTTATAATAGATAAGACTTATTTTTATTATTTTCCAACTTACACACTCATACAGGTTATTAATTCATTTTTTTCTGATTATTGTCTCTGGTTATTAAGGTTTATCATGTGAGATAATATTCTTAAGCAACAAATATACCTACAGAAAATAGTATAGTTTGTATAAAAAAGAAAATTTTAATTGTGAAAAAGGAAAAGCATAACTGAAATGAAATTATTATATATAAATGTCTTAAGATAATTTAAGATGCTAAATTGGTGTTAATTAAATCATTAAATTAACTTTAGTAATTGAATTAACCATGAAGTAACCCTTATGTAGGTAAAAGTAAGCAATTTGTAATATTTCTGCATTATGAAGAGATTTATAAATAGAAACAATTGCTTTTATTATTATACTAGTTTCTACAGTCCCCCAGAAAGGAGTCAAAGAAAGTTCTCAGGACAAAAAGCCCAAAACTTCTCAATTTTGTTGCTTCATTTAGAGAGCAAAGACTAAGCCTCAAATTTCAGGGGTTTCACTGTATTTTCAGATCTATCTGGTAAGACTAACAGCACATGTAGTTTGGAATGATTATTTTTCTGTCTTTAACAGGCTTTCTTATTCCTTACTGCTATTTGGTACATTTCACAGTTCTTCATGAACATGAACAGTTTTATTTTAATTAGGTAATGGAGCAGTTCTACATCAAGGGGATCCTTCAATCTACTTACATTGAATGATAGGAAATTATCTGCGGAGATCTGGGGTTTAAGTTCAGGGAGTGAGCGTGGCAGCACTGAATCTCATTTTAGACCTTTCCTTAGCTAATTTGTAAGCAAATATGAGATTTCCTTTACTTTTAGAGTCCTAAGTATTTAGTGTCCTCTAATTTTCTCTCGTGTAAAATGAAAGCTTTGCAATAGATTATGTAAATAATTTTTAAAAGTTTCCTCACAGTTTCCATTTAATTAAGTCCAATTCCCTTTCTAAACAGAGACTAGTTTCTGATATCAAATTGTTCCCTGTAGCATTATTATTTATACATTGTCCAAACGATATACAAAATATTTATTTTTTCATGTCATTATTTGCCAGTTTAAAAATTATTTTAACGTTTTGGGTTTCATAATGTACTGCACTTGTTGAATTTAGAGCTAGACGACTAAAGAGTCATATATGGAACCAGCGATATTTGGACCATGAAGAAATATTAAATTAGTAGCAGAAACTAGACTATTTATAGAACCTATCAGTGCTGTCACATCAGAGAAAAACTTCTCTGTACGGTTCTATTGTTTTTTTGACTACTTTTATTTGTATATATTTATTTATTTATTTATTTATTTGAGACGGAGTCTTGCTCTGTCGCCCAGGCTGGAGTGCAATGGCCCGATCTCAGGTCACTCAACCTCCGCCTCCCAGGTTCAAGTGATTCTCCTGCCTCAGCCTTCTGAGTAGCTGGGATTACAGGCACGCGCCGCCCCGCCCGGCTAATTTGCGTACTTTTAGTAGAGACGGGGTTTCACCATATTGGTCAGGCTGGTCTCAAACTCCTGATCTCGTGATCCGCCCGCCTCTGCCTCCCAAAGGGTTGAGATTACAGGCGTGAGCCACCGTGCCTGGCTGACTACTTTTATTTTTGATGAAACTTCATCTACTTTAAAATATCGGCTTTCCATTTTTCAAGGGCCAGTTTACTTTCAGTCCCCATATTGGGGAGACTGAAAACTTGAGTTTAGTAAAATGCCAGCAAATCGTGACTGTGAATATGCACATCTACTTAGAATGCATAGATCATTTTTGTTTAGAAAGGCAAATCAAATTTCGGATTTCTGGCTTTTAGTCTCCTGAATCTTCTTATTTCTTCTTTTTAATTTTGCCCCTAGTTAAGGAACTACTTCTATTTTGGTCAAAGAGTAAGCTATATTTCCACAAAATGTTGACAAACTTCATAGTAGGAGTTATTACGTTAAAACTTTTATATTCAGAACTCCAAAACAGACAGAGTTTTACTTGTACAGGAACATGGTGAAACTTAAATTGCCAAGTTAGCTTTGCATGCATCTTCCTTGTATTTTTGAATATCATATACAACACCTCTTCTCTCCAACGTTAGTATTGAGTAGCGGCCGGGTACGGTGGCTCACATAATCCCAGCACTTTGGGAGGCCAAGGCGGGCGGATCATGAGGTCAGGAGATCGAGACCATCTTGGCTAACACGGTGAAACCCCGTCTCTACTAAAAATACAAAAAAATTAGACGGGCGTGGCGGCGCGTGCCGGTAATTCCAGCTACTCAGAAGTCTCAGGCAGGAGAACCACTTGAACCGGGGAGGCGCAGCTTGCAGTGAGCCGAGATCGCGCCACTGCACTCCAGCCTGGGCGACAGGGCAAGAGCCTGTCTCAAAAAAAAAAAAAAAGAAAAAAAAATTGAGTAGCTTAGCGCAGATTGCAGAAACATTTTTAGGACAAACTATGTGGCTTTAGCTCTTTTCCTACACAAACTGCCTTAATATGAAACTTTTTACCTGGGAAGGTCTTGAACCTGAAAACAGGCAAATATAAAGAAACATGGTGAAATACAAAGAAACAAGTTAGTCTTCCCTAATGATCAGAATGTAACAAAGGAGGTACATTTTTCTTGATAGACAAAGGAACACTTGTAACTACTTAAACCCGATATTTGACATTTTAGAATGTATCTATGTTAACAGGAAAAAAAGCAATGCTTCTGCTTGAAATATTTAGATTGTTCAGATAAAATTTGTTTTTTAAAATTTTTGTCTTCATTTTTCTTGTGTTAAAATATATTTATGTTATTATAATTTTGAACTTTATTCTGTAGATAATGCCTCTAGTAGTTTTTTCTAAGGCTAGAGATATATAATTATTTTTAACTATAAGTATTCAGAGAGTACACTTAAACTGTGATCTCTCTTACCTCTGTCTTGTGAATAACTGTATATACCACAATACTAGCAATATTTTGAATGATTATCTTTTCAGTTGTATTGGTTTGCATCTTAGTTTCATCAGTAAGACAAGTAGATATAAATGTTACTGATTGCTCTGTACCTATTAACATAATTTAAATAAGGAAAAATGAGACCTTTTAGTAACAGTGGTCAATGTCAGTCATTTATATCAATACAGTAATCTATGCGTATATAAGCATAACCAGCATCAAGTGCTATGAGTATATATATTGCAAATTCCCAGCAATCTTTCTGTAGCATATTCACTGGGTAAATTATGTGCTTAACTTTTAAATTATTTACTGAAATCAAGATTCTGTTGGAATGATGTTACATATTCACTGATTCCAAGTCAACAACTTGTTCTGGTCTTTCTGAAATAGCTCCTAGGTTGTTAGCTGGCCAGAAATCCCTGGATTTAAGTTTTGCTTTTCCCATCTGTCCTTCTAATCAGTCAGCTTTCTCTGCCAATGAATGTTTTCCTAGTTGATTTCCCTTAGTTCTGACATTGTGTTATAAGCTGAGGATTTGACATGGCAAAAGATTCCTAAAATGAGGTTCAGGCTTCTTACAAAATAGAGAATAAAACTGAGATAGCTAAGGAAATTTGCAACTGAAAAACGTATATTTCCTCTTGCCTTTAAAGCATCTGTACTGAATTAAGTGAGGTCTGGATGTTACGGGAATGGCATCTAGATTTCAGATGTTATATTGTGTTCATTACTATTTGTGTAGCATTAAATATTTTAGCTCTTTTAGATTCTGCATCCTAAAGAAAACAACTTTACTGTCTATCTTCAGATTTTTATGTTGTGGAAATTAAATAATTATGACAATACTGGCTATATAAATGTCACAGATCTCAATATTGGAAAACAAGTATAGCAAAATGAAGAATAAATATTATTTCATTAAGCAAATCTGTATAGTAGAATAAAATATGATATGATATAAACAAAAAAAGTTTAATATATTTAACATCCTAAAATAATTTTCTGTTTTACTTTTTTATTATAAAACTTAAAATTACATATGTGACCCACTTTCATGTCTCATATTGTATTTGTTTTGGAGAGCTCAGCTCTAGAATGTTGCAGGAGATTGACATAATGGCTGTGAAGATTTTTCTATTGACCTTCAATTCCTTGTACTTACTTGCACTATATATATATATATATAGATATATTTTTATTTTTCTTTTTGGCAAATCACACTCATTGTATGTTAAACTTAGGTTAGTTAACCTGTATGATAATATTAAAAACAACTTGATTTAATCTGAGATTATTATATAAATATCCTACTTGAGATGCAGATACATTTTTGCTATATTTCTTTGAATATGGCTGACATACCTTAAGTTACAGGACAGTGTTCTTCATGCAAAGTTTTATGTCAACCACCAGGACCAGAAGTCCAAATACTTCTGTTCAATTCATCTTGATATTAGAGTCACCAAGGTAAATACAACACAGTCAATCCTGGGATGGAAGAGTGCTTTTACTCACATACACAAAACAGAGCAAGAAAAGTTTCTGTTGCATGCATAGGTCTCCTATGGTTGGTGCCCCCCACAACTCAAAGCAACTACCATACATGCACCCCTCTAAAACCACAGTACAAAGACCTCGACTCATGCTGCATGGAATCTGAAATGCTGAAGTTGAGGGTGTGTCTAACAACCATCGACACACATGTGCAGGCTCTTTATCTGTTGGTGAGGAAGTGTTCCAGGCCCATGGTCTCTCCCTATATGTCTGGGTAACATTCAAAAGACTGTGTACATAAGACTACTCTTCCCTATATGTTTTATTTTCATCTCTCATTTCTTGGAACTAGAAAGGTGAAAGGAAACATTTTACATTCTGCTTTGTGGCTATAGATATTGTAAAAAAAAAAATCTGTTCTTTTTTATAAGATAGTTTTTTAAATGTTTTAATGGTGAAATTATTTAGAATTATACTGGTTTGATACTATTTTAATAAATTTGTTAAGGTGTAAAGTTGCCTATATTACACACACACACACACACACACACACACACACACACACACATTTCAGCAAGAATTTGTTTTGAGCAATCTAAAATCAAATACAACACATGAAATCAGAGTTGTGGGTATGAATGACAAAAGACAAGAAGATAAAAGTAAACCAAAATCTTCTGAATGTAACCATTGTAAGTAGTCATGTCATGTTTTTCTAATGCAAAATTCAAAAAAATATTCCCATGCTTTACACTTGCTGTTCTCTTACAATTTTTTAAATGAGATTTTAAAAGGCAGGTGTCCAGTGTTTTTGGTAAGTGACTTTTATCTATCCTGAAGTGGTTTCAGATGAGTAAAATATCTCAGACAACAAGAAATAATTTTGCTCTTGACTAACAAAAAAAGATGTATTAGAATACTCAGAGAAAATTTTTTTCAAGAAAATTGTTTTTATAAAAAAGGTGTACTACTTGTTCCTATTCTGATTAACTGGATTGTAGCACTGAGACTTCATTCTGTGTGACAGTGGAAATATGCCTAGGTAACATGCTCAGTAATCTATTACTTGGATTTCTTATGACTATTGCTTTTGTTCAGTAAATTACATAGCCAATAAGTATGAGAAAATGGAACTAAAAAATTAATTCATTAAAATAGTAGTTAAAAGGGAATAATATCTATTGTAGCTTTAAACTTTTAGCATTTTTTCTTTGAGATATTGTCCAGCAAATAGAATGTATCTGAGAACGTTAAAATGTAACACTTTAGAAATTAATATTTCTTTGAATAGAAAGTAATAAAAAACAAAAAAGAACATTTCCTTTAATAGAATATGTTATGCTATTATTCAAATACATTAACATGTCCTTTGTAGAATATGTTATGAAAATATAGAAAAGATGTAATGAATACAAGTGTATAGAAGCCATTATATAATTTATTAATATTTATTCCTATTATATATAATTTTGTTCTTGACTACATAGGGAAAAGACAGAATTACTCAACTTACTTCTTTGAGCTTCCCAGCATGAACCCTTTAATTTTGTCCACCTTCAGTCAGGACCTCCCTGCCTCACCCTACCAGCTCCAAATTCAGCCTGTGCCTCCAATCTGGACACTCCGCATTTCTTGCTCCAGACCTCAGACCAAGACAATCACCCATAGATTCCTATGCACTGTTCTGATATGGGAAATCTAACTGTGTACCATATCTGTGTGTAGACTATGTGGCAGTGGTATATAGAAACTATGGACTGTTTTAGCATCTGAGTACATAATCTATGCAAAACCTATATATCCTTAAAAATATAATCTAATAGACCTTCTTTGTCATTTCCACCCAAAAATAATCATTTACTGTGGTCTGTAATTTTTTATGAACTTCTAACATTTACTACTCTTTAAGAAACCTGACGGAATCAATACTGCTGACTAGTAAACTAGACACTGCAGGGGAATCATAACAACAGAGATGCCTGCTTCCATGGAGATTTTATTCCAGTGGGGGAGATAGATAATAAATAAGAAAATGAATTATTACAACACAATTTAACAGTACATTAGACACTGCATTGTTTATAAATTGCAGTGACTCAGGTAGGACTACCAGTAAATTACACCTTAGAATGAAATACTTTAATAAACCAAGCAGATTGCCTTATCCTTAACCCTAAAAAGGGAATAGTGATGCTGAGAATATAAAGATATCAACTGAGCTTGAGGAAGAGAGAATAGTATTCTTGGAACTTAAGGAGCATTAACTAGAATAGGCTGCCACAGCAGTAAGAGAGCTTTAGATAGCCACAGAACACGTTTCAAGAGCCAAAAAGTATTTTGGCCTTTTGATATCATGAGGGATGAAAAAGCCAACATATTGCAAAGTTGTCTAGGAAGTGGCTGAATGAACTTTGCCACTTTACTTTGAGCTGGCAGCAACACCAAGTTGTCACTGAAAATGACTTCTCTTAAATTAGAATTACTACTGCATATTGTTTACTGAAAAATTCTGTTAAAAACAAAACATACTTTATAGAGAATTCATGTAATATTCACTTTTTTATATTCATAAGCATCTCTATAACAGTGTCAGTTTTATATTTATAATAGTTGGATTTTAAAAATTCTGCTCAAGGTCAATTTTTAAGTAAGGGAACTTTTAAATAATTACAACTGAATTATCTGTAGAATTGTCTTCCATAATTTTCTAAAATTCTATTTTAAGACTTCCAAATTCAAATATTAACTTTAAAAGATAAAAAAATTGATTTTGAATAAATATTTGATTTCAGTGATTATATTTGTCATCAGCTCCTCCTTTCAATTAATATCTCTTAGAGAAGCTATCATTATCTCAGTTTTCACATTGATAATGATGAGTAGCTGGATGCAGTTGTTTGGAGACTTCGAGACACTTCTGAAAGGCCTTAGAAGTTTTCATTTAATCTGACAGCTTCATGTTCCTCAAGCTGGTTTTTTTGGAAATTCTGAATAGCCCATCTGGAATTTCTATAGGAAAGAAAATCTTGATAAGAAACAGAGTACTGAACTGTGTTTAGAATTTATTTGTAAAAGATAGTGAACAAATTCCATGAATAGTTCTCTCAAGCATTTGGCAGGACACATTTGCATATAGAATTATTAATGTATACAATAGTTTTAGGTAATAACACTTTTCAGGAAATCTGTAAAACTTTAATGCAGGAAATAATGTACACAAAAATATGATGAATAATTTTTAAATCATTTCTAAACTTTACCTAAAATTCCTGTATCTATACCAAAAAGATATTTTTAACTGTCTTTCTAAGGAGTTGGGATAATAAATTGAAGTGAAATAAATGGTGTACTCAGTTAAACAATCAATACTGATATCAGTTATTAGTAAAACATTGACTTTATTTATCATCACAACTTCTTTTCATTTACCAGTAAAGTTACCCATGAAATTTATTAATAGAATGTATATGTTTTAGAAAATATTTCACTTTTTTTGCTCTAGTGTTTCTAGTTCCAACATTCTAGAGGCAGATTTTAGTAACTAACAGAAATGTGAATATTCATAACATAATTCAAATTTTTTAATTGGAAGCTTTCTTCATGTGTCTGTCAGGTTTTGGTATCAGGCTGATGCTGGCTTCATAGAATGAGTTAGGAAGAAACTTCTTCTTTTAGATTTTTCTGGAATGGTTTCAGTGATTGATATCAGTTCTTCTGGTAGAATTTGGCTGTGAATCTATCTTGTTCTGGGTCTGCTTTAGTTGGTAAATTCTTTATTACTGGTTCAATTTCAGAAATTGATATTGGCCTATTCAAGGTTTCAATTTATGCAAGGAGCGAATCTTTTCCTGATTCAACTTGAGAGATTGTGTGCTAGGAAGAATTTATCCATTTCCTCTAGATTTTCTAATTTGTGTGCATAGAGTTGTTAATAGTACTCTGACGATCTTTTGTATTTCTGTAAGATCAGTTGTAATACCACCTTTGTCATTTCTGATTGTGATTAATTGGGTCTTTTCTTTCTTTTTGTTTGTTAATATAGCAAAGGGTCTATCAATCTTATTTATTTTTTCACTAATCATCAGATAGATACAAATTAAGACGACAATGAGATACAATCTCACACCAGACAGATATGGCTATTACTAAAAAGTCCAAAACCCACAGAAGCTGGTAAGGCTACAGAGCAAAGGGAACACTTATATATTGTTGGTGAAAATGTAATTTAGTTCAGCCACTGTGAAAAGAAATCTGGAAAATTTTCGCAGAATGTATAGCAAAACTGCAGTTCCACCCAGCTATCCCATTACTGGTTATATACCCAAAAGAAAATAAATCATTCTATCAAAAAGACACATGCTCTTGCATGCTTATTGCTGTGCTACCACAGCAGTGAAGACATGGAATCAATCCAGATGCCCATCAATAGTAGATTGGATAAAGAAAATGTGGTATAGATACACCATGGAATACTATACTACCATATAAAAGAATGAAATCATGTCTTTTATGGCCAATGGCAATATAGATGGAGCTGGAAGCCATAACCCTAAACAAATTAAGACAGAAACAGAAAACCAAATACTGCATGTTATGACTTCTAAGTGGGAGTCAAACATTCAGCATTCATGTACAGAATTATGGGAAAAATAGACACAACCAACTTAGAGGGTGGTGGCGGGGGTGGAATTAAAAAATTACCTATCAGGTACTATGGTCACAGCTTAGGTGACAGAATTTTTACCCCAAACTTCAGCATCATACAAAATTTCCATGTAACATACCTGCAGATGTTATGTTAAATAAATAAAAGTTGAAAAAAAAAAAAAAAGCAAAATGTGCTCAGAGGTCTTACAAAGCTGACTTCCAGTCTCGTCTTATTAGTAGGAGATGTGTCACACACACCTCCCCTAAATGGAATGTACTCAGAGAAAAAGAGATTGTGGAAATAAATTAGATCAGTGAGTTAATGGTGTCTGCCATTTCCTAATTATTTATATTAGCTTAAAGTTTCTCTGAACATTTGGGTTATGCCAAACTGAACAGCCAATTAGCTAGTTGTTTAGCATTCCTGAGTCTCACCCATTCTATTCTGGTAGAGGCTTTTTGTCATTGTGAGAACAAAAATGCCTTTGTGCATTTTCAAATAATTCAAAACGTGATGTCATCCACCTTGAAAGTCACTTAATTTCATATGCAGTCATGCAGCACTTAATGCTGGGAGATACTTTCTGAGAAATACACTCCTGGGTCATTTTGCCATTGCTTGAGCATCATAGAGTGTACTTTACACAGAATAGAATGGTACAGTCTACTACACACCTAGGCTATGAGGTATAGACTATTGATCCTAGGCTACAAACCTGTACAGCATGTTACTGCACTGAATATTGTAGGCAACTGTAATACAACAGTAAATATTTATGTATCTAAACATAGTTAAATATAGTACTGTAAAAACATAGTATAACAGATACAAAAATATTATTATTATATGTAGAGCATTTACCATGAATCGAGGTAGCAGAACTGGAAATTGCTCTGGGTGAGTCGGTGTGTGAGGGGTGAGTGAATGAAAAGCCCTAGGATACTACTGTGCATGGCTATTGGCTTTATAAACACTGTGCACTTAGGCTACACTACATTTATAAAAACCTTTCTTTAATAATAAATTAACCTTACTATAGCTTTTTTACTTTATAACTTTTCATTTTTTTAACTTTTAAATTTTTTGTAATAACAGCTTAAAACACAAACACATGATATGGCTGTATACAATTTTTCCCCTATATCCTTACTCTATAAGCTTCTTCCTATTTTTACATTTTTTTATTTTCTACTTTTTAAACTTTTAAATTAAAATTTAAAGCAGAAACAGACATTAGCCTAGGCCTACACGGTGGCAGCATCATCAAATGTCACTGTTTCTCATCTCCACATTTTGTCCCACTGGAAGGTCTTCAGGGGCAATAACATGTCTGCAGCCATCATTCCCTATGATAACAGTGCCTTCTTCTGCAATACCTCCTGTAAAACCTACTTAAGGCTGCTTTACGTTAACTCTTTAAATCTGAGTAGAAGGAGTACACTCTAAAATAACAATAAAATTATAGTAAATAAATACATAAACCAATAACGTAGTTCTTTATTATCAGTATCAAGTAGTATGTACTGTACATAATTGTATGTGCAATATTTTTATACAACTGGAAGCACAGTATGTTGGTTTATACGGGCATCAGCACAAATGTGAATAATGAATTGTGCTATGACTTTACAATGGTTAAGATGTATCTGGGCAATAGGCATTTTTAGCTTCATTATAATCTTACCGGACCACCTTCATATATGTGGTACCTCAATGATGAAAATATTGTTATTCAGAGCATGGCTGTATTTTCAGATCCAAAAAGTAGTTATTATAGTATCTCCTTTCTGTAAAGTGGTCTAGAATTATTTAATACCTGGATTTAAAAAGAACATAAAATAATGAGGCACATAATTGAGGTAATCAGCAAAATAAAGCTAGTGAGACTTAAGTTAATATAAAGTTGATCACTAAGTTTTACCTTAGTTTTAACAAAAAGAATATATCTTGAAACATAAACTAAGCCTTAATTAAAATTTTGGTGTAGACCATGGTTATCTTAAATGCACTTTTTCTCCAACTGCAATTCTTCTCTTCTTCCCACAACTAAACATCAGTAGTGACATGTTGCCTTCTATTTACTCAGTAATGAGTATTACTAGCACTCTTAGTTCTTTCCAAATTCCTCCTTTCTTTTCTCTCCTTTTCACTCATCCTCAATTTTCTCTTTCTTTATTCACCATCCACTAACAGTTTTTAGGAAATTTCCTCTCAGTAATGTTGCAGAATGATTTGTTTTCTTACTTTGTAGTGGATATTATTGACTGAAAAGCAGCCAATCTGTTACTTTTCTCTGGGCTACTAGCATTTCAACAGGGAAGCCTACATATCCACAGGAATAAAAGTGTAGTTGGACGATTTTAGGCATTAGAAGCAAGTATAGCCTGTGCATAAAATTACCTCACTACATTCTGGGTGTTAAGGGTGTGCAAGGAAAGAAAATACTGCTAGCTCTTGGAGAATTGTTTTTAACAACAAAAAAGGAAGGAACATTTTCTCTAATTGTCAGGGGTCTCAGAAAACATGACTTTAGTCTAAGCACTGTTCTTCTGTGACAATAATTGAATAGGAATTGCTGTCTGGATATTAGATCCACTTCTAAACTATCCCCCAGTTTGCCCCACTCCCTAGCTACCTCTTTCCAGATAAATACAGCCATCCCTGTTCTCTTTCTTTCCCATGATATCTGATATTCTTCCCTCCGCCTCAAATCATTGAAATGTTCTCCAGAACTCTTCTTACTCCTTATATTTTTCTTCTCTGCTTGTTCCCCAATTTCTTTTTTTATCTGAAGACAATTTCCCAAAATGTCAATGACTTAGCACTTGGATATCCAGGTCACTTTTTTATTTATTTCTGACAACCTACTCTACTAACTCTTCCCAGCCTGTCTCTTAGTAGGACCAATTATAGATGTCCATGATTCAATAACAAGATATATTAATGAGGCTGCATGGTATTCTCAAACCAGAGTAGAATATATCTTATCACATTTCTTTCTAAAGAGATTATGTCTTCACCTTTTCCAATTCCAATAGAGCTTGTTAATTAAATAATTATGATAGCATTATCCATTAATCCTTTAACATGAAGGATAAAAACAAAGTAACAAAACAGGTTCTTGACCATTTGTTATCTGCTCTGTAATCCCACATCATTTCATATTTTTACTTTCAGCTCTGTGAGTTTATACATTTTAAATATTTGAATACATATTTTAGGGGGATCAGATGACAGTAAAAGGCTTTATAGTTTTTACTTCGTTGTAATTTTTAAGTTCTATCCTTCCTCATTCACAAAGTATGTGTATTCCTACTATAGTGGAATAGGAAGATAATACTGAGATAATATATTTCCCATGCTGGCATTATTTCCTGGCAGAACTAACAATAATAGTTCAGACATGGGTATTATTGAGAAATAGCTGGAAACTAATATAAGCCATACTTTAAGAGAAAAAAAGATTATGTTATACGATAGACCTGAAAGTATATTTTACAACCCTATTTTCTAGATGTGGAAGATGAATCTACTTGCTCACACATTCAGAAAACGACACTTATGAGATTGCATAGAAATTTAATGTCTCTACAGAACCTTGGTGGGAATTGAGGTAACACAAATCAATAGAATTAAACATCTATATGGAGAATAGGAAAGTAAAAATGAGTGTAATAATGTCACATTATGCATGAGAAAATGCATACAATTATCTTAAGTAGAAATTATTTCACAAATAGTTTGTATTTATTGTGTAAAAATAGCCACATATATTTTAATAAACAGTTTTGGACACGGTTTCTTTCCTATGTTTAGGAAACCATTTAATTTGCTGATAGCTATGGTATTATATGAGTCTTGGCACATTAAGTAAGTTTTCTGAGCTAAAGAGAACTAACGAAAATTGGTAGTTTAAAATCAATTAGGAAGAAAATATGATAGGAACTAGCAATTGTGCTTGTGGCATAGTTTCTAAAGCTTAATTGACCTTCGTAAGGTACTCGTAGTAAGTAGGTTGTATCATATCACACTGGTAATAAGAGAAGGAAAATAGCTTAAAATAAGGTTTTAAAATAATAAAATTAGGTGTAATTTTTGTGATAAATTATATTCTAGTTACTTATGTCTACATATATACTTTTAATTGCCCTTCACTTTATTGCACTTTGCAGATATTACATTTCTTACTAATTGAAGTTTATGTCAACCCTGCATTGAACAAATCTGTTGACATCATTTTTCCAACAGCATGTGCTTATATTGTGTCTATGTCACATTTTGGTAATTCTCACAGTGTTTAACACTTTTATTACTATTATAATGTCTGTATGGTGATATATAATCAGTGACTTTTGATGTTACTATTGTAATTGTTAGAGCACCATGACCTACACCTATGCATGATGGCAAACATAATCAATAAATGTCATGTGTGTTCTGGCCATTTCCTTGTCTCTTGCCCTCTCCTCTCCTCAGGCCTCCTTATTCCTGAAGTCACAACAATATTAAAATTAGACCAATTAATAACCCTAAAATGGCCTTGAAGTGTCCAAGTGAATGTGTCACACATCAGTCACTTTAAATCAAAAGCTAGAAATGATTAAGCTTAGTGAGGAAGTCATGTGAAAAGCAGGGATTAACTCAAAGTTAGGCGCCTTGTGACAAACAGGTAGTCAATTTGTAAATGCAAAGGAAAAGTTCTTGAAGGAAATGAAAAGTACTATTCCAATGAACATGTGAATGATAAGTGAAACAGCCCTAGTGTTGCTATAGAGAAAGTTTGAGTAGTCTGAATAAAAGATCAACCTAGCCACAACATTCTCTTAAGCCAAAGCCTAATCCAGACCAAGACCCCAATTCTCTTTAATTCTTTGAAGGCTGAGGGAAGAGAGGAAGCTACAAAAGAAAATTTGGAAACTAGAAAAGGGTGGTTCATGAGGTTTAATGAAAGAAGACCTCTCCATAACATAAAAGTACAAGGTGAAGTAGCAAGTGGTGATGTAGAATCTGTAGCAAATTATCCAGAAGATCTAGCTGTGATCACTGATGAATGTGGCTACACTAAATTGCAGTTTTCAAATATACATGAAACAGCCTTTGGGAAAAGATGCAATCTAGGGTTTTCATAGCTAGAGAGGAGAAGTCAATGCCAAGCTTCAAATCTCCAAATAGCAGGATGACTCTTTCATTAGGGGTTAATGAATCTGTTGACTTTAAGTTGAAGCCACTGTTCATTTACCTTTCTGAAAATTCAAAGACCCTTAATAATGACACTAAATTTCCTCTCCCTGTAGTCCATAAATGAAACAACAAAGACTGGATAAAAGCATATCTATTTACAGTTTGATTTACTGAATACCTGAAGCCCACTGTTGAGACATATTGCTCAGAATCAAAGAATTCTTTCAAAATATCATTGTTCACTGACAACGTACCTGGTCATCAAGAGCTCTGATGGAGATTTACAAAAAGATTCATATTATTTTTATGCCTGTGAACACAACAGCAATTCTGTGTCCCATGTATCAAGGAGTAATGTGGACTTTCAAGTCTTATTTATTTAAGAAATACATTTCATAAGGCTTCCATAAATGCTGATTTCTCTAATGGATTTGGGCAAAGTAATTTGAAAACTTTCTGGAAAAGATTCACTATTCCAGATGCCATAAAGCATATTTGCTATGCATAGGAGGAAGTAAAAATATAAACATTGATATAAGTGTGGAAAAAGTTGACTTCAACTCTCATGTATGACTTTGTGGTGTTAAAGACTTTAGTGGAGGAAGTAACTGCAGAGTTACTTCCTATCTCTGAGTTACTATCATGAGATTACTGCAATCTCATGATAAATCTTGAATTGTTGAGGAGTTATCTTTTATGAATGAACAAAGAAAGTGGATTATTCAGATAGAATCTACTTCTGGTGAAGATGCTGTGAACATTGTTGAAATGACAACAAAGGATTTAGAATATTACATAAAGTTAGTTTGTATAGCTGCAGCAGGGTTGAAGAGAATTGATTCCAATTCTGACAAAAGTTTTCATATAGGTAGGTAGAACTTCTACCAAACATTGTTGCATGCTACAAAAAATATTTTATAAAAGGAAGTCAACTGATGCAGTGAACTTCATTGTTGTTTTATCTTAAAAAATTGCTCAGCCTGGATGACATAGTGAGATCTAGTCTCAGGCAAAATTTTTACTTTTTAAAAGTTAACTGGGCATATTGGCATGCACCTGTTGTCCCAGCTACTTGGGAGGCTGAGGTGGGAGGATCCCTTGAGCTCAGGAGTTCGAGGCTGCGGTGAGCTATATGATTGTGCCACTGCCCTTCAGCCTGATTGACAAGATGTGACTCTGTCTCTAAAAAAAATAATGATAATAAACTATAAAAATCATAGAATATAACCTAGAATATATTCTTCTCAACATTGGCCTTGGCAAACATTTTGTCTTAAGTCTCCAAAAGCAATTGCAACAGAAACAAAAATAGACAAGTGGGACCTAAGTAAACTAAAGAGCTTCTGCACAACAAGAGAAACTATCAACAGAGTAAGCAGACAACTTACAGAATGGAAGAAGATATTTGCAAACTATGCATTTGATAAAGGCCTAATATTCAGAATCTATAGGGAACTTAAACAAATCAGCAGGCAAAAAGTAAGTAACTCCACGAAAAATGGACAAAGGACTTGAACAGACACTTCTCAAAAGAAGACATACAAGTGGCCAACAATCACGAAAAAATGGTCAGCATCACTAATCATCAGAGAAATGCAAATCAAAACCACAATGAGATATCATCTCACACCAGTCAGAATAGCTATTTTTAAAAACTCATGAAGTGGCCGGGCGTGGTGGCTCATGCCTGTAATTCCAGCACTTTGGGAGGCTGAGGTGGGTGGATAATGAGGTCAGGAGATCGAGACCACCCTGGCTAACACGGTGAAATCCCGTCTTTACTAAAAATACAAAAAATTAGCTGGGCGTGGTGGCAGGCGCCTGTAGTCCCAGCTACTTGGGAGGCTGAGGCAGGAGAATGGTGTAAACCCGGGAGGCGGAGCTTGCAGTGAGCCGATTTCACGCCACTGCACTCCAACCCGGGCGACAGAGCCAGACTCTATCTCAAAAAAAAAAAACAAAAACAAAAACAAAAAAAAACTCATAAAGCAACATGCTGGTGAGGCTGCAGGGCAAAGACTGCACATTGTTTGTGGGAATGTAGAAAGCAGTCTTAAGATTGTTCAAATAACCTAAAACAGAGCTATGATTCAACCTAGCAATCCTATTACTATTTACCCAAAGAAAAATAAATCATTCTACCAAAAAGACATGCATTCATATGATCATTAATACATTATTCACAATGGAAAAGACATGAAATTAACTCAGGAGCCCACCAATTGTAGACTGGATAAAGAAAATGTGGTACATATACACCCTGGAACACTACATGGCCCTAAAAAAGAATGAAACTCTGTTCTTTGCAGCAACATGGATGCAGCCAGGGACCATAATTCTAAGAAAAGTAACACAGAAGCAGAAAACCAAATACTGCATGTACTCACTTGTAAGTAGGAGCTAACACTGAGCACACATGGACACAAACATGGGAACAATAGACACTGCGGACTACTAGAGTGGGGAGGGAAGGAGGAGGGCGTGGATTCAAAGACTGCCTATTGGGTACTATGCTCCCTACCTAGGTAATGGGATCTGTACACAGACCTCAGCATCACACAACATTTCTATGTTACAAAGCTGCACATGTAGCCTCTGTATCTAAAATAAAAGTTGAAATAAAAAAAAAACATAGTCATCTTAACCCTCAGCAACAACCACCACCCTGATCAGTCAGCAGTTATCATCAAGACGAGAGCCTCCAACAACAAAAAGATAACTCACTGAAGCTTCAGATAACCATTAGCATGTTTTAGCAATAAATTATTTTTAACGAACATGTCTACATTTTTAGAGATCATGCTATTATACACTTAATAGGCTACAGTATAGTGTAGATATAACTTTTATATGCACCGGGTAACCAAAATATCATGCGACTCATCTCATTGTGGTGTTTAGAAACCAAATTAGCAGTATCTCTGAGGAAGCCTGTATATGGAAATGTACCTGATGACATCACCTTAGGCTTTAACATATATTCAAGTAAGAAATAATTTAAACGATACATATTGCAAAGCATTTCAATAATTCTTGTTTATTTCGATGGAAGATGAGATTTTGTACATTTTTGTATAAAGAGCAGAAGGACTAACACATAGTAGATCTTTGATCAATATTTGTTAAACTAATGAATAAATGTATACACAGCTAAATTGTGACTGTTACAAAATTGGGTAATTTGTATATATAAAAACATTAGTAAGTTTAATAGTTAATGTATTAAAATATATCTCCTTAATATTCTGTGTCAGAGTGGGAAAACACCAACGTGAATTCAGGGAGAAAAAAAGATGATTATTTTTCTGAAAGCAGGTTTTCTCAACCTTGGGACTTTTGAAACTTTGGAGGTGGATAATGTTTTGTTGTGCAGAGATACACACATATCATAGGATGCTTTGCAGCATCCCTGCCTTCTGCCCACTAGATGCTAATAGCACCATCTTTCAAACTGTGACAATGGAAACTGTCTTCAGATATTGTCTTCAATATTTCCAGACGGGGTAATTTTGCCCCTGTTTAAAAAAAAAAAAACAAAAAAAAACCACGTTTCTAAAAAATCATGTGGATGAGAAAGGCCAGGAGTAGCTGAAGTAGGGGTGAATCCAGTATTTAAACTTAAGTTTAAATCAATCTATTTTGACATGAATCAAGAATCATTTGAATATATTATGATAATGTAAAAAAATTTGAATCTGAAACCATACTAGGAACATTCAAATTCTACATTTCTAAATTTCAGAGGTAGATAAAAGGTATCTTAATGTTTTTCATATTTCAATAATTATCAAGATAATAATGATAATTTTATGAATAATTACTGCAAAGATCAGCTCATTCAGACTAACAAAGTGAGTTTCAGAAAAACTAGGGCCTTCTCCTAACCCCACAGATTCTATTGCTATTTAAGCAGATTCTACTGCTTAAATCATCCCATGGCGCCCTCAGGTTCTCATAGGACTTTTTGTTCTTATTCATTTTCTCTCTTCTCTGCTGCTTTTAAAACTCCACAGAAAGATGTTACAGGTATTTTGTTCACTATTCTGTTTTGTTGTTGTTTTTGTTGTTGTTGTTCCTAGTCTAGGCCCATCTCCCAACAAGAGTTGAGTAAATGTTTGATAAGTGAATGAATAGATTAATAACTTTGCAAGAAATGCAAGTGGTTTATTAGGGAAAAATTAATTGTATTTGGGGTAGCTGTCATTCACTGAATACTTAGCTCACCTGGTTTTATTTCTTAATTCAGTACTTATTTAATATACTGAACAGTCATCACGTCTCTGACTTCAAGTCTTCTCAGTTTTTCCATGAATTTCTCTGTAAATCTCATGGTACACTAAATGGTACTTGATCAATATGCCTAACATAGACATCTAATTTTACATTCAAAGAGCATGGTGAATGTCCCATATTTATTATATAATTACAAATAGTTTTTAAAAACCACACCTTCAGCAGGAGTGCAACTATCTTCTGCTTGGATAAAAATACAGACGTTTCAAACTTTTTAAAGTTCTATTTATGTAATTTGTTAAAAAATCTTTCTGTTACAGAAACATAACTGAGAAGGAACAGATAATATTATGGCATTCAAACCATGATATCTATTTGCTTCTTCCTGCCTGTGCTAAATTACTAGCTGAGAGAAACTTCATGTTTGGGCTATCATCTATGCAAACTGAAGGAATAAATATGTTCTGCAAATTGATTTTAGAGAATAGACCCTCAGCTGCTGCCAAAATCTAGACATTATTGTTATTAATTATAGTCAAGTTAAGGTTGCATAATTACAGCGCAGAATAAATTAATACCAAGCTAAGCTGCAGGAAAGAAAGCAAAAACAGTATGTTTTATAATTTTTAAAAAAGTATATATACTTTTGTCTCTGGTGAAATAAAATAGGTGGACTCTCAGTAATGGATCATTATGGAGACATGCCAGAGATAACAGTCTTACGTTCATACATTTGCTACGACAGTAGTTACCTTATAACCACACCTACCATATATTACCTGGTAAATGTGGATACACATTAACTACATTAGCAGATTGAATATTTACAAAGTCAAGAGTAGCAGGACCTATCATATTTCTAATTTTAGAGATGAGAGAAATGAGACAGAAAGATTACCAAATTTACCTAAATTTACACAATTAGCCAAAGTAACTTTGACTCAGTTAAAAAATAATCCATAACATAATTCACTCTTTAATTAACTGATTAGGGGATCAATGTTTATTTGGGGGAGGATAACCAGAAAAGTATATTTTATGTGATTTAGTCCAAGACATTACTGTATAAAACAAATAGGGTTAAAGCATAGAATGCCATAATGCCAAATTAAAAGAATTAATAACAGTTATTGAGTTTCACTTTTATGCTGTTACAAGAGTTGAGTGAAAATTAGTGCAGAATAAAATATAGAATTAATGTCTTAAATTCATTTTAATTATATAATGACAATAAAATAGAATTTGAAATTTAAATATATAAATAATGTTGTTTGTCTTTACAAGTCAGTTTTTCTTATTTTTTCTCAAGAAACTTTCATAAAAACCATTTTAGAATGATTACATTGATATATTAGACTTTCACTATATACATGCTTTAAATTTTCCTCTTGTGTAATATTTAAGATATTACTGATCAACGAAGTGGGTAAAACAGGTAGATAATGGCGGACATAAAAAAATACAGAAGTATTATGTGAACCTCTGCATTATCAAAAATGAATTATGAAACTATTAATTTCATCAGACTTTTTAAGGAGATGTATCTCCAAATAATATCAACCCTTTTCTCATCCAGAACTATGAATTTATTCTTGGATACATATTAGCAAAATAATAATTCACAATGTTTTTTAAATTTATGAGTGCCTTTTCAACATATGATGGAAGTGAATGTCCGAAACTCATATTCTGTTGAAATGTGTCACGTAACTGTTGATCAATGTCTGTGAAAAATCTGTTTATACATATATTTCTAATCTTATGTGAAAATGTCAGAGACAAGTATGTGTCAGAATTAAATTTTTAACACTAACCTTGAATCTAAAGAAATTGGTACTCTAGAAATTCAGTTGACTTACTAGAATAAATATTTTATCAGTAAAGCAATAATAAATTTCAATGCAAACACAATATAGAACACAAATTCTGAAATATGCCACAGAGTGTTTTAAATAAAGAAGGCTTGCAAAAGTGTAAAAGACAATCTGATCCTATGTCTTTCAGTTCTATTCTTAGTAAATGATGCTGCACATCTATTCATCCTGTGAAAGTCAAAGAAATAGGACTATAAAAAAAATTCACCTCCCTGTCTTTCAATGAGATATTTTTTCTGCGTATTGTTATAGGATTTTTCACATTATACCTTTGTCTTCACTGACAAGAAATGTGACTGAGGGTCATCAATTGCGTTTTGCAGTTCTATGCATTGGGTCTCATTTTCCATTTTTTTTCTTTATCCTTCACAGTCACAGTTTCTACAAAATTGCACTAGTCAATTCAATGAAACCTGCAAAGCAGATGAATATGTACCTGGATTTAGATTTCTAAATTAAATTGATGTTCACATTACTTCAAATCAAGGCCATTAGTAGGAAGAACTCCTGGATATATCTGCTTCTAATAAAACTGCAGAGGATCTAAAAAACTAAATTATACTCAGCCCAAAGACTTTTCACTTTTATTTTATGTCAAAATATATAGCATCATTTTCCACAACTAGCATTCATTGCAGAACACCCCTAATTTCCAGGTTTGTCAATCTCAATCAATGGCTGAGTATTTCAATACCCGATGAAAACAATTAATATCAAAATGGTCCATATGGCTACATTCCAGGGCTTGAAATAATGATTTAGGTTAATACTAAAGTTTTAACACATATACTAAAAATGTAATGTACATTTTTAAAGTATTTCAAAATTATACAATTTAGCAGATTAAGGTTGAAATTGTCAAATGAATGTAGTTAGATTCATAAGCCTCTTGCAGGAATCTGTGATAATTTCCCCTTTTTTAAAATAACTGATATTGTTCATATATTTGTGTTTAGAAACCAGTAGATAACATTTCTTTGAGGGTATCTGGTTGGCACAGCTGTATTATAAAACTGAGAAATGAATTATTAACAATTTAATTTGCAATTATGTGAAAGAAAACATTCCACAAAAATAATAAAAATATTAATATTTTAAAACTTTTGTATGAGCATAAATAGTGACATGTTACTGTTGCAAAAGTGAAGCATCCAAGGATTATGTAAAAAGCATTTATAGGTTACAAACTTAAGATTTTTTTAGTAAAAAGTGAATTAAGCAATAATTAAGCTATTATCACAATAATAGCCTACCTAAACTATAAATTCTCTACATTTTTATATCATTGTTTACTCACCAATTTCTAATGTCATGTTTCCAAATGATTTGGACTTAGGGGTGGAGGAAATTAAGCACTATAGAATAAATATTCTATAACACACGGAAGTCTCTATCATGGTAGATATATCCCCATTCACTCCATTTCCAGCAATGGAACTTACTATCTTTCTTTTGGAATATCTAATTTTCACATGGTAGAGTTTCAAATTCTGGAATTTATTGGCTTAACCTTAACAGTTTAAAATACAGAACAAAACTGTAAAAATATTTCCACATAGCAGGGTACAATTCTCCAAAGTTTTGAGCTTATAATCACTAAAGGATTCAAAATTATAGATGTAACCCTATTTTTGAAGTAGAAAGAAACAGGCACACAGGGTGATGAATCATCTTCCCGCAAAAGACTTCTGCAATTTAAACTAATGGTGAAATGTAGACTTGCAAAAGCTAGTAAGTTTGGTTTCTTGAAATCAACAGATTTGCCAAAACTGTGATTTGCTATTAAGAGAATAAGGTCCTTACAAATTTAAATATTACAACTGGAAACAACCGTCTAAGAAATGCGAACGAAGGAAGTGGTTTCTGGATATGCACACCTGTGTGCATTAAATATCCTGGGCGATTTAACTTTTCAAACTGAGACATAATTTTCAGAACAAATCGAATGAAACAAAACTACAAGTATTATAAGACTGTATGAGGTTCAATCAAATTAAAAAATACTCTGTCTTTTTATTAATACAGCGAGTGACAGAGGCAGACACTTAATATTTGCAAGCTTCTAGTACCTGAATTACAAGAAATAAACTATGTATTTTAACATTTTTGTTTTGCCCTTTAACCCCAGCTTCAGCACTCTTCACTCATCTATTTCTTTCACCTCTCTCACAATTGTGAATAATATCTATAATAAGCATGTGAAGAATGGGATAAATAGAAGAATAAAAGTTTACTAGAGTCTGTCCAAAACACCGTAATATAAACAAAACCAGCAAAACCAGAGATCCAGAAAACATCTTCTGTTCCTTGAATGAATGACAGGGGCCGGGGAGAAGTTCCGGTTTACTCTGTACTCAGAGTCAGCAACAGAAAAGATACCGGGTCTCTCATTCAAAAAGCACGACTCCTGTACCTATGGAAAGAGGGGTGGGGGAGAAAACTAAGGTCTAGGAGTGAGAAGGGTCAAAACTGGTATATTTGAAAGATAGCGGGTCTCCCATTCATAAAGCACAACTCCTGTGCCTACAGAAAGTGGGGATGGGGAACAAATCTAAGGTCTAGGAATGAGGAGGGTCAGAACTGGTATATTTGAAGTCATTTTTAAGAAGTGGCTTAAAAATTTGGAAATTACAATTTGGAAAGAGTTGGGCTTATATCCTAATTCCATGACTTAATACTAGATTTATGAATGTAAGTTATATTTTTTTGTATTTTTTTAATAGAGACGGGGTTTCACTATGTTGGTCAGGCTGGTCTTGCACTCCTTACCTCGTGATTCTCCCGCCTCGGTCTCCCAAATTGCTGGGATTACAGGCATGAGCCACTGCCCCCGGCCTGTTATAAATTTTTTTATAATTTTTTAATTAACATATTTATAAGGTATGAGGTGATTTTTGATGCATGTATACACTCTATAAATATCGAATCAGGGTATTTCGTGTATCCATCTCTATACATTTATCATTTCTTTGTGTAGAGATCATTCAAAATCATCTTCTAGCTATTTTGAAATATACAAAACAATATTGTTACCCATAGTCAACTATTGTGCAATAAAACACCAGAACGGATCCCTTCTATATAACTGTAATTTTGTACACATTTACCAATCTCTCCTATCCCTCCTTTCTCCTTATCCTCTTCAGTCTCTGGTAACCACTTTTCTACTCTACTTTTGTGAAATAAACTTTTTCAGATTCCACATATGAGTGAGATCATGCTGTACCTGGCTTATTTCATTTAACATAATGTCCTCCAGGTTAATCCATGTCATTGCAAATGACTTGATTTCATTCATTTTTATGGCTAATAGTATTTAATTATTTTAAACATACACAGAAATGACAACACAATCTAAGAACTGATGGAATGCACGCAGTCACAGTCCACAACTATTATATCTGAGTCACTTGAGCTTCCTAGGTAATTTTATTTCTTAAGAATAGCCCTAATGGTATGGGTTAAATTGACTTTATCAAAGTTGACGTTTAAAATAATAGCAAGAGGTGATTGTAATTTGAGAAACGATAATTAACTACAGCATACCAAATCTTGGGCAGTTTTAAAATACCTGGGCCTGAAATGCAAAAAGTTGTTTTGACTTATTGGTCATTTCCAGGATATTATTTTTATATATGTTATGTATAACTAACTACCCAAGATTTAAACATCTATAAGTTAAATCCATACAATTGAGGATGATAGGGGACTTAAAGAATTAGTATTACCAATAACTGTGAGTATCCTAAATAGCTTACTTAGGTGATGCTACAAAGCTCAGGCTTACAACTTAATCCCCAGGAAAGCTGCTTTTGCGCTGATGAGCTCCACTGATTCCCTCATGTCCCCCTGTGTGTGACTGGTGCTCTAGTGTGTCAACTGAGGGACACAAGTCATCTGAGCATCTTGTTAAAATGTGAGTACTGTATCAGTAGTTCTGGGCCCTGAGATTCTGCATTTCCAATAAGCTGCTAGCGGATTCTGATTCTGAAAGTCCCCAGACCACATTTGGTGAGATTTAAAAAGTTTTTGAGAGAAACACAGACCAACATGGATTCTGGTTATTTTATTTTGATTATACTTTAAGTCTCTGGATATTTGTAAAGGACAATTATTAACCATGTATCAGCTGCCACACAATATAGGCCAATACTTATGTTTTGTGTTTAATAATCAACCAAACCACTGTAGCTAGGTATTGTGAATTTAAGATGTACTTATTTATTTATTTTATTGTGAGTTTGTTGTCTTTATCGTATTTATTTAGTAAGTAAAGTTTCAAAGTTCTCCAAAGAAAAGGGAAAAAATAGTTGATGCTCAAATTTAGGTATGTCTGATTGCACATTTGTTATGGTTAGCTTCTAAATATGCTGTACTCAGATATATAAATCAGATAACTTTGAAAAAGTTATACACTTAGGCTAGCCTCTGGATTTCTACAGCTTCTCCATGTAGCTATAAGACAGGGATTTGAAACTGTAGAGGGTCATGTAACTGAGCTCTTAGCTGATAATCGAAATCACTATCCCTTTTCGATTGTCTTTATTGTGTACGTTGTTGTCCACAGTTTCTGGCCGAGGCCAGCTGGCCACTACTTAACACATCCATGCTCTCCTGCCTTCAGCAGTTGAATTGTGCAGTCACCAAGAGACAGTTGTGAAGATTCCAAAACATATATATTGTTTGTTCAAATATTCCCTCAAATGACAAAATATAAATACAAAAAGAAAAAAAAAGAAATGGGGTGTGTGTGTGTGTGTGTGTGTGTGTGTGTGTGTGTTTTCACCTAGGAAAGCCAAGTAGAAAATTTAGAAAGATTTTATATGGAGATATATATATATATATATGTTTATATTTATATGTATATATGTTTATATATACATATAAATAATTTTTGTACTTTTTACCAAATATCTACTCTTCTAACATAAGGATAAGTTGTTTTAAAAAATGTTCTCAAGAACAGGTAAGGGGCACAAACTAAAATTAAACCATTAAAATCAACAAGAATATGCACTTAGGTGGTTTTCTAAGCATCTTGACATTCTCACTCTACTTTTAAAAAAGCAAAAACATTTAACTATCTCTAAAGGATGTATTTTTGAAATACAATATGGAACTTGGTGCTTAGTGAAAAACACTTGGTCCTGCGTCAAAAAACTGGTGAAAGTATATAATTTTAATAGGCCCTAATTTTTTTAAGAAAGTGTTCATTGAAATAAATTATCCTTTTTATAATTATTTTTACATTAGATGAAACTGATATTTCTGATTAATAATCAATTATTTATTTTAACCATATTAGATAAGTGGTTGTTTAATGTATTTTACCACCATTGTAGACATTTGTTGGTTTAGCGATTTCGCGAAAATTTCACATTTTCCCCAATTTTGGCTATATATTCTGAGTGGGCCAGAAGTGAAGCACTCATTTAAGTGCTTGTATTATTTAAAACTGGGTGCAAGTGAGAGAAAAATCATACTCAAAGGCAAATGAATCTGTTCTGTATGTTTACTTAACTTTATCACCTTTCCCCAAATCTTCCCTAGTGGATTAAAGTTCGAATTAATTGAGTACAATTCAGTAGATTGTTACCTTTGTAGGGGCGGTTGTTTTGGTAAGGCTTCTCTAAATAATATCTCTCTCTTCCCATCACCATTTTGCTTATAAGAACAGTGTCCCTGTAGTTAGATCCCACATTGACTTGAAGCACACATACAGAACTACAAACTGTTTAAAATTATAATACATAAGTAAAACCAAAACACACAAGAAACTGATGTTAAGAAACCTACGCTAAAATAAGCAGTAATATGGAACTGCAAATCAATAATGAGAGAAATATTTACTACTAAAATCTGGTATGCAACATTGATGTACCATTAGAAAAGAAATTGTCTAGATAACTGTAATATTCAACAGTAACTGTGCACTGATGGAAGGCACTTTTTTTTTTACAGTATCAGTTATGTTTATATTTTGTTTACCAATTCTGGGTTTTCACTCTTGAATAAGATTTCTCTTGATTCTATAAAGTTCTCACAGCTTCAAGATCCTCCTCCAAAAACATTTTTTCTTTATATTTAAGTCTTACACATATGTCTATCATAAATAAATTATGCATGCTTGCACTTTTATCTGTAAATATGTCCCCAGTTTTGGTTATGGCTGATCTTGTATATTTCTTTTCTTAACAGATTTGCAACGGTTGTTTTATCCAGTCTAAATGAGTAGTCATAGAAATAACCTTATTTTCATCATATTTTTATGATGAACACATAATTTCTTTGTGTAAAATACTTTTGTAACTTAAAGGTAATTTTTGGAAAGATTTATAATTCTGTTTTTCTTTTAGTTGTTCTTTAAAAAAATCATTGTGAAAACACATACCATAAATTTTACCATCTTACATCTATTTAACTGTACAGATTAGGGCCAGGCATGGTGTTGGCTCACATTTGTAATCCCAGGATATTGGGAGTCCAAGACAAGAGAATTGCTTGAACCGAGGATTTTGAGACCAGCCTGGGAAACATATGGAGACCCTGTCTCTACAAGTTTTTTTTTCTTTTGAGACAGAGTCTCACTCTATTGCCAGGCTGGAGTGCAATGACATGATCTTCGCTCACTGCAACCTCCACCTCCCGGGTCTAAGCGATTCTCCTGCCTCAGCCTCCCAAGTAGCGGGGACTATAGGCGTGTGCCACCATGCCCAGGTAATTTTTGCATTTTTTGTAGAGACAGGGTTTCACCATGTTGGCTAGGATGGTCTTGATCTCTTGACATGGTGATCTGCCTGCCTCAGCCTCCCAAAGTGGTGGGATTACAGGTGTCAGCCACCACACCCAGCCAAAATTTTTTTAAAATAGCCAGGCATGGTGGTGTGCACATGTGGTCCCAGCTACTTGGGAGACTGAGAAAAAAGAATCACTTGAGCTTGAAAGTTTGAGGCTGCAGTGAGCTGTGATTGTGCCACTGCATTCCAGCCTGGGTGACAAAGTGAAACCCTGTCTCAAAAACAATTGTATATCTCAGGCATGTTAAGTATATTCACATTATTATGCAAAAGACCTCTAGAAATTTTACATCTTGTAAAACTAAAACTCAATACCCTTAAGTGACAACAGCCCATTTTACTCTCTCTTCAACGCTTGCAAACACCTTCCTCCCACTTTCTGTTTCTATGTGTGTGACTACTTAAGACATCTCACATAAGTAGAATTATATTGTATCCATCATTTTGTTACTGGCTTATTTCCATTGACATAATATTCTCAAAGTTTATCTTAAAATGTGACAAGACTTCTTTTAAGGGTGAATAATATTTCATTGTACGTACATGTCAAATTTTTTGATGTGTTCATCAGTCAAGAAACATCTGGATTGTTTCAGCCTTTTGGCTTTTGTGAATATTGCTACAATAAAAAGGAGGTCAAAAAAAAAAAAAGACTGATGAACCCTAAAACTAATCAGCATTTTTCTCACTGATACACCCAGAAAGAAATTAGAACATCTGTGATGTCGATCTGTGATTTGAAAATAGTACATGAAAATCAAGCAAATAAAAATGCATAGATCTATCAGAATTGTTAATATTATGGTTACTTATGCTATAATCACCTCAATTGATGAAGAACCTAATCACTAAGGTCATTCAATTTTCACTTTCTAAAATTGTACTCTAAACACAGGACATATCCTAAGGATATGAAACAAAAATAATACATCTTTTAATAAACTTTAAGCCATTTTTCTCCAAGTGTAAAAATTAAATCAAAATCAAACTATTAATACTTAATTTTGTTTTTTCCAGAATATTACATGTGATTTAAAGGCCATTGTACAGCTATTTGCTGGCTCCGAAGGACCCTCACCAGATATCAAATCTGTTGGCACCTTGATCTTGGACTTCCTGGTCTCCAGAACTATGAGAAATACATTTCTGTTTTTTATAAATTACTAATTCTAAGGGATTTTGTTATAGCAGCTCAAATGGACTAAGACAATTAGTCTAAAATCTAAGCATATTTTACTTGACTAAACACTATAAATTTTATTGAAAAACATTATTGTAATTTAACTGTGGATTTGAACATTTTAAAATAAAAATAAGCATGTTTATGTTTGATGTTGAAATTCTCTGTTTCTGAAGTAGCGAATGTTTTAGAAAGAAATTCAAGGGGGATATTAGCATATGATAGTCTTGTTTACTTCCAATTAACACAGGAATACTTTTTTCTGACAAACACTAAAAATAGTTAAAAATTATGAATCGTTTTTACCAATGTGTATCTTTGTAAACTAGGAGTTAAGACACAACACATGTTTCCCCACTTTTCTCTTTTATAGTGTGACAGTGTGATTTTGTACTATGAATATTTATTATATGTTAAAGCCTACTTGCTTTTTAAAAATGGATTATGATCTTGATCTTTTACTAGATTGTAAGCATCATGTTCATTTTATTCACTAGCACAGGCCTGGCATCTGTCACAGAGCACGGCACATGCTAGCAAGCTCAATAAGTACTTCTTACATGAGCGATTGTTTAGATTTATGAGTGAATGATGATGACTCTTTTTCTCTCCCTATTCCATCCTCAGCTTCCTTCTTCCATATGTCTTTCACTTTACATGCTTCCTATTCTATTGTTTTGAACAATGTCTTGCTTGGTGTCCTTTTTTTTCTGTCACTGATGTGTCTTACTCCTTTTCTCTTTCAGGATATCTTTCTATACCCATCTTTGTGTTTCTTCCTTAAACTTACATTCCTGTTCTCTCCTCTGTTAAAAATATGATATGAAGTAAACATTTTTATCTGTTGTGTTATTAAATGAGTTTCGCCCTTTGCTGTTTAGAGAATAAGGTAATTGCAATATGTTTATACCTTTTTTCCTCTTAAAAAGATAAGAAATATGATTCCTATTGGAGTTTGGTTTTTATTTTTATTTTCTGTGGGATTTTTTGTTTTATGTGTGTTTCTGGAAGCCTAGATTTTTTTAAGTGCTAAGCTACAGAAATGTAGAATAATCTTACCCAATCAACCAAAAACAAATCCCCCAAAATTAAGTTCATCAATTAAATTTGTTTTCTAAACTGTTGGTGCTATAAAGATAAAACTTTATTCTGCATTATTTCTGTGTTTGTTTAAAATTATTATTGAGTTTAACTTAAATTTAGAAACTTTTTGACTAAGAATGTTTAGAGCACAATATTATTTACATATATATAACTGTAAATTAAGTTCAAAAATAAAATTCTTATTCTTACAGTCTTATCTCACTAATACAACCAAAATAACATTAGTTAACACAAAGAACATTAAAAACCAATATAAATCAAATTAAAGACATTTATTTTATGTATAAACCATCATTTAAATAAAACTATATTAAGTGTAGCATTTCATTTCATTTTTAATTATTTATTCTTTTTGTTTGGAGTAAAATGCCTTATATCTGTATATGTATATATGCATAAATATATACAAATATTGAAACTATAAATATTATTTGATATTTTTATATTTTAAAATTACTGCTCTTTTAAACAATGCACTTATTTTAACCACTAATACTACTACTACATTTAGCTAAATCCCCGTAAAATAAAATTGTATATGTGAATTATTTTAATACACACACATGCAAATGTTTTCTACTTAGTATTACTATAAAATTGTTTAACTTGGTAATAAAACCACACGCTGGTATACTTCGCTGAAATGTTGGTATTTTATAGATTATGATGTTAAATGTTTTTCTTATATTTTGTTTATAACTTACCTACCTTACTTTGAACAATCTCGCCTGTCAAAATGCTACCTTTTTTCTATATGTGAACTTTCATTTACACTATTTTTTATGGTATATTAGAATTTTCTTGAAACATAAAATGCAATGAATTCAAGATTCAGGTGTTCATATTTGGTTGTAAAGAGTTCATCTTGCTGATCCAAAATATGCTGTGATGTATTTATTTTTATTATGATAAAATTTAAAACACACACATAAATATTTGAAAGAGCTACTCAGTCATGGACACCTGAGTCATCTGAGAAATTTTATTATAGATACCTACATAATTTAGATAACTTAATATAGCCTTACCAAGTCAGTATTTATCATGTTCACTTTACAGTTATAGAAATTAAGGCTTTAAATAAATTGACAATATTATATACATATAATCAGCAATGCAAGTTGCAAATTCAATTCTGTCTGATTCAAAATCTATGTCATCTTAATATGATTTACTTACTCCTGTTATCTGTTATGTATCCAATAACTCTGTCTTTTTTTAATGTGTACATAATTATGCCTCATTATTATTATAAAGAAACCACCTGAAATTTGGAAAGATTATCTTCAAAGATAAAATATAGCATCCAAAAATGGGCCCACACAAATATAGTCAACTGATTTTTGACAAAGTATAGTGGTAATTCAGAGGACAGATACCTTTTCAACAAATGGTGATGGAACAATGGGATGTCCTTATGCAAAATAAAGATACTAGATGCAAATCTTACACTTCACACAAAAAATGAATAAATTTTATATCCTGAGGTATATCTACATCTCTCGTTATCTCATATTCAGTCTCACTCTCATTCTTGCTCTCACTCTCTCTCTCTCTCTCTCTCTGGGCACCCAATAACCTATCAATTGTAGGATACTAATGCTTGACCAAGTTGCCTCAAATTGAGACAAATTTGAGGGGTCATTCCAGTCTCACAGGATCAGTGGAAACTTGTATATTAACTCCCTCCCAGTCCAAAGTCTCCTCCTCTCTGCCTCCACCAGGATTTTATAGATGTTATTCCCAGGAGCACTCTTAAGTAGACATCCATCACTCAAAACCATCTCAAAATTTGCTTCTCAGGAAACACGATCTAGGAGAAACTGGAAAAAAGACCAAAAAATAATAATAAAATAAGAATAGGTCCTTGAAATTTATGCTATCTTACAGTTAGGCCATAAACAGTAAAACGGTAAAGTGGGAGAGAAGGAGAACAGTCTTCAATGGGGAAGAAAATGATTTCTTATCAAGAACATGTGATAATTAATTTCTTCATATTGGATTTTCTAAGCTAATTGCTGTCCTAATTCCTTTAGTTTCCAAGGGATCCAACAGGTTGTTCTTTGTGTTATTCACTTTCAATTAATCTGCAGTGACTTAATCCTCTCAACCCATTATTTAAAGCTAAATTAGCAGTGTTGTAACATGTGCTAAGATGTTGAATTGAGCAGGATATAGTAGAGATAGAAAAGATAGTGTTGAGATAGAAGATAATTATGAATGATTGTGATTCTTCACCTGAGTTTATTTATTATCAGTATAATCAATACATCATCTGGTTTTTCAATGAGTAATAATTAAATATATAATCCTCTTTTTTACTTTAAATTGAGCTATTATAATATTTTTCTTCTCAACAAATGGTGATGGAACAATGTGATGTCCTTATGCAAATTAAAGAAGCTAGACACAAGTCTTACACTTCACACAAAATATAAATAAACTTTATATCCTGAGGTTTATATCTGCATCTCTCGTTGTCTCATGTTCACTCTCACTCCCATTCTTGCTCTCACTCTCTCTCTCTGTGTCTCTCTCTGTGGGCACCCAATAACCTATCAATTGTAACTTAATTCATTTTTTTACCTTAATTCATTTTTTTTCTGGAACATTAATAATCTGTTAAACAAAAGACCACATTTTGTAAATATCACTGCATATTTTGGCACAAAATAATGTAGGTGGTTTTCCCCAAAAATCCCCCCTCTCTTTTCTATCCTGGAGTTTTAAAATAGTCTCTGGGTAAATTTTATGTTGCAAAAGTTCAGTATAATTTCAATTTTATTTCACCCTTTCCTCAAGGTTACAAAATCCGTTTCTTTTAAGTTAAGAGACACTGACTCATATTGAAATTAATTCTTACATTTGCTTGCAGGTTTTATATGAAATTTACTCTAAATATTATTAAGATAATTATCTGAATCAAATTACAATGGATGTATGAAATATACATGACAAATGAGCATAGTTCACTGGGTATTTCAGAAAAATTGAGAATTCCACAAAAATAGAAGGAGGTTATTGCACCTCCTTCTTTTAAGTAAAAGAAACCTAATTCATCTAATAGACAGCTGCTGGCTTATCTTGGAGTATGAAACTGCTATGAGAAAATTTGATTTCTTTCAAGGGTAGACCAAGACTCATGTCCTGAGTAGGTTCATGGAGTGAGTGGCACATGTCATGTGTGACACCATTGGTGTGATTATATAATAAGAGCAAAAATGAAGGTCAGTGGTCACTCCAGTCACTTATTTTTTTTTCCTTATTTTATTTTTTCTCTTTTTACTCTCACTGACATATAGTGCAGGCAACATTTTTGAGTTTTCATGATAGTTAACGGATAAATGGAGGAGAAAAGCAGAGACAGAACATTACAAATATTAGTCCCAAGGATTTTCATAAAGTGTTAATAGTATATTTCTCAGTGTGTTACTAGGGGAAATGAAAAGTCATGTTAAAACATAGGTTGAGTCTTTGTTGTGATTATCCTCTTAGGGTGAGGAGATGTTGAATTTTCTATCTACATTTTAGTTAATCCTGGTTTTTGCACATAGCAGGTACTCTTTCTCCAGAAATATTAACATTTGGCATTTTTCCTATGATTAAAAAAAATTTCTAAAAAATCTCTTATAAGAAATTCCAAGGGATAGAGTAGCGAAGTTCAGGTGTGTGTTTGCATACATGTGTAGTGTAGACACATGTTTTCAAATGTATCCATGAATTTAAGAAGAAACAGAATAGATTTCACTTTGGTCGTGCTTTACTCTTTAGAGTTTCTCCAAATTCTACATTTCACAAAGGGATATTCAAAATTCAATGCATGGAAATTTTCACAAAATTAAAAGCAAGTTATCAAAAATAATACCTATGACTATATATACATATATATGTATGTGTGTGTGTGTGTGTGTGTGTATAAATATATTTGTTGCCAAACAAATTTTATTCTTAGATAATACATGCTGATTTATTCACAGGTGTCTACAACTCAGAAATCCTTCAGAAGCTGTCATATTCAATATGCACCTTGTATACTAGTTTCAATGCCAATGTTTCTAATCCAGAAGGAAAAAATCAGCCCCACTTAAAGAGCCTCACTCTACACCATGTTCACTCACAACACACCCACACACATGGTTACCTTGTGTAAAACAAGAAAGTGTTATTCTGTTTTCCCCCATTTTATATAATATTTAGGATAGGTTTGACTGCTACAGTTACAAATATACCCTGAATAGAATCTAGCAAAAATTAATTCTCACTCATTCAAGTCCAGAGCTAGTTGGTAGCTCTCCAGAGCAATTTTATTCTTGTTGTGACCCAGGAATCTAGGCCACTTCTATTTTGCAGTAACTTTATCTCCACTTGTGGCCGCCATAATTGCAGTGGCAGTGGAACAATGGCATAGAGAACATCCACTTGTTTCTAACAGCCTCCTATCAAAAGGGATGCATTCCACTTCCTTTCTCAGCCAATAAGCCATCTAGTCATGTGGTTCCAATCTTTCTTTTTGGAAAGCTTGGAAGTCTTCCCAAATCCCAACAAAAGAGAGGAGAGCCCAATACAGTGAGCATAGCCACAGCCACCACACTATATATTAGCTATGTGATCATGAACACTCCCATAAACCTTTGCATATTATAGATTTTTCATCTTAAATTTAGGACATAAAACTGATCTCAGAAAGTTACTGTAAAGATTAAATAGGATAACTTACGTACCTCAAGTAACACATAGTGTAGAAAACAGGATATGTTAGTTCTTTCTTTTTTTAAAAAAAGACCCATAATAATCTAATGATGAGTTATCTCCCTTGGCTACCTGTTTAAATACATTTACTAAAGATTCTCAGGTTCCAATTTCACTTACTACTGTTTTTGCAAGTCTTTCAAATTAGGGAGGGAAGATCATTCAGGGACAATGAGAAATGTAACATGAAATGCAACGAGTCTTTCAGGAATATGCATTGACAAAAGAATTTTTAACTACCCGCTCATAATACATTTACTTGGAAAATGAACAGTAGGTGAGTAAAAACTCTCTCTCCCCTCTTAGAGTCCCAGCTGGGTCTGAGAATTGAATTGATCTAAGATAGATTAATAGGAAAAAAGCATACAAATTCAATATAAGTTTTACATGCCACAGGAGGTCTTATAGGGAAATGAAAACTCAAGCAATTGGCAAAACCTACATGCTTTTGTATTAGGTTGAACAAAAAGAGGCAATTGTGGAAAAGTAGCTGAATTATGTAGAGTCTAATGGGACATAAAAATAATTAAACAACATCTAATGGTACATATTCTCTCAGCTATGAGAGAATCAAAGAATTTTTCTTTTCTCCTGATACAGGGAGGACATCTTTTGTATGAGAGTTTTAATGTGTTTTCAAGACAGAAAAGGGAAGATTGCAATGACATTCTTTCATCCACTGTTTTTCAATTGCCTTTAGATGAAAGCAATCTTTATGGTAAAGTGGCATGTTTTGGGGTGTATATTCTGTCATCCTTCATAATTAATATAAATATGTATATAAAATTTTAAAATTAATAAGTTGGTTCCATTCTCTTGTAGAACACATATTTTCTTTTTAATTTTATTTTGTGTTAAGAAATTCTATATGCCTGAAATAGCTATCAAACTAGAACCATGCAATGTTATCAGGAGTGGAGCAGACAATTATTTGGAGTAAATAAATCAAATTAAACATGTATAATGAATACTAAAGGAAATATTAGAAAAGAAATGTTTTTACAACTGAAGGGAAAGTTACAGCTATTCTCAGGAACATTTAAAGTATGCATTCTCATTTTATAGGGTGTGGGGGCTTTCCTTATTCAAAATATTAGACATAACTTGTTTTTGCTTTCTGGATCAGAAAATATTGAGTGTGTTTTTATTTAACTGTCTAAAAGTTGTTTTGAAATAATATTTAATGTAACAGGGATGCCTGATTAATGTCTCTCATTGAATTGATAGTTCAACAGGTTGCGTTTGTTTTTTAATATGAATAGGCTAAAAAACAAAAACATTATACAATATATATTTTAAGTATATATATATTTATACTCTCTCTATACATATGTATATACCGCCTCTATTTTAGACTTTTATTTTCCAACTGTCCCATTTTTACCCTAACCCAACTGTTCCCCTCTACATGTGCTGCAAAAGGGTTTTCTTCCATAGTTTCATTTTCTTTTGTTCCCCTTTCACTGTGAAATGTACTTGCCTTACTAATAGTACTCAAACAGACATAATTGGTTTCAGTCTTGGTTTGGACATATGTGTGACAAGTTCCATATGTTCTACATTGTTAGTAAATAATTTCAACCACTTTTTTAAAAAGTTGTATTTATTTATTTATTTTGAGACGGAGTCTTGCTCTGTCACCCAGGCTGGAGTGCAGTGGTGTGATCTCGGCTCACTGCAACCTCCGCCTCCCAGGTTCAAGTGATTCTCCTGCCTCAGCCTCCTGAGTAGCTGGGATTACAGGCACACACCACCACGCCCGGCTAATCTTTGTATTTTTAGTAGAGACGGGGTTTCACCATGTTGGTCAGGCTGGTCTCGAATTCCTGACCTCGTGATCCACCCGCCTCGGCCTCAAGCATGAACACATAAACTGAGGACGAGGCAAGATAAAGAATAAGCAGTCTAAAGCAGAAAGATAGCCTTTCAATGTACTATTGCGCCTTTAGGGAATGGAAGTCGTCTGTAAGCACAGTGTATCTGCAGCAGATAGAAATCTCCTTTGATCAATGTTGCATCAGCAAAGAACATTCCTATGTAAAATTGATACAAACTTTATTTGAGTGCAAACATTGTGAAACCTGTGTTAGAGATCAGCAGGCATGCTGACATTGATCAGAGGAGATTTCTCCTGATCTCTAACACAGATTTCACAATGTTTGCGCTCAAATAAAGTTTGCATCAGTTTTACATAGGAATGATCTTTGCTGAAGCAATACATTTCCCAAGCTAGAATTGGAAATCTGAATTTAATAGCACCTATCGGATATAATTTTAATATGATGGATTTTTCGTTTTTAGAACGGAAAGCTTAATTCTCCTTATCTGAGTTAGATGTAAAAATTATCATCCTAGATGACAGTTTAGCTATTTTGTTTGTGGGTGTTTGCATATGTTTCCTGACTCTTTTAAGTCATTTTAGACTCCTAATTAGGCCAAATTCTTCTTCTGAATCACTGAGTATAAAAAACAGTCTTTAACAAGATTCACAGACATTCCATATCCTTTGCCAAGCTCACTAGTATTGCTATCATTTTTATGCTCCACTTAGGTAACATTAGGAAGCACTTTTGTTTAACTCACTATGAAAATTAAAGATGAAATGATGTGTAATTTGAAGTTTTCAATTTTTTTGGCAGGTAAGATTTTAAGACTGAAATAGTTGCTTGAAATCTATCTTTATTGATAGCAAATCAAGGAAGACATCAATAATTAAATAATAGAGAGAACATTATTTTATTTGAAAGGGGCATTGACAACTTCCAATGGAAAATTTTAGCTCAATATTGTATGGTATGGTTTGAATGTTTAACCTTTCTGAAATTCCTGTTGAAACTTAATCTCCAATGTGGAAATATTGAGAGGTAAGGCCTTTAAGGGGTGATTGAGTCATGAGGATAAATTGGGCCATTCCTGGATTAATAGATTATTGGGCTGATGAATTATTTGGTTATCTCAGGAGTGGTACTTGTGTCTTTATAAGAAGAGGAAGAGGGAATTGAGTTAGCATGTTCATCTCACCTCCCCACATTATTATGCCTTGTGCCGCCTCCGGGTTCTGCACAGAGTCCCCATCAGGAAGAAGGCCCTCACCAGATGTGGCCCCTGGACACTGGACTTCCCAGCTTCGAGAATTGTAAGAAATTTCGATTTTAAAAAACAAATTACCCTCTTGGGTGTTCAGTTATAGCAACAGAAAATGAACTAAAATATTATGTTTCAAATTTGTGTGGTATAGGTTTCCAGAAAAGAATTTCTTCATTAGCATTTAATCAAGACAATCCTGGGCTTTCTCTGTGTTTTCAGGAAGTGTCAAGGTACATTATTTAAATGATGAATAAGGTTATAAAGAAATAACATAGCCTTTTCATAGTCAGATAATGTCATATTTAAAATGGAGCATTAACCTGTATGCCCAGTCATTGTGGGGAGAAACATAATCCTGTCAAATTTCAATACCATTTTAAGACTCTTTTCAGAGTGGGAAATACAGGTAAAACAGTTGAGAAAAAATGCAACATTTAAACCAAATAATACAGGAAATACATAGAAGTAATAAATGCTGGTCAATTCATGGTATCAAACTATATAGAATTTTTAAATTAGTAAATAGAAACATAAGAACTTACAGTGTGGGTTTCAGACTAAACCCAGCTGTTTACCACCTCTCCTTTCCAAAGTCTCATTCTGTGTCAGAAATCCTGAAGTTCAATAGGATTTATGTTTGGTATACATTAAACTACGTTGTGTTTTACATCTCTCCTCTCTTTGTTTTCTGTTACGTCTTCATAGTTTCTGGCCTGGTCTACTGTAGTATCTCCCAATCACTGGCTCCTTGCCTCAAATCCATTTGTGTTATGTCTGGCCACCAGAGTGACCTATCTAAACATTATATTTCACCATGCATTTTCAGTGTTTTAAGCCTTTCTCTGGCTTTCCACCTTTTAGAATATATAAATTCACAATACAAATATCACAATATAAACATTAATATGATGGGACACTCCATATTATCAATTTCACAGGATTCTCCTCTTTCTTAGTCACTGTTCCCTTGTATTCCATGTTTCAACACCCCAATCACTTGCTATTTCCTGATTAAATCCAGACAACATACTGCTTTCTCCCTCATGCCTTTTATCTTTTTTTTTTTCACGGATTATCCCTCTGTTGCCCAGGCAGGAGTGCAGTGGCATGATGTTGGCTCACTGCAACCTCTGCCTCCCAGGTTAAAGCAATTCTACTGCCTCAGCCTTCCAAGTAGCTGGAATTACAGGTGCCTGCCACCACGCCTGACTGATTTTTATGCTTTTAGTAGAGATGGGGTTTCACCATGTTGGCCAGGCTGGTCTCGAACTCCTGATCTCAAGCGATCCATCCACCTCAGCCTCCCAAAGTGCTGGGATTACAGGTCTGAGCCGCCAAGCTTAGCTCCCCATGCCTTTCTTAATGCTGTCCTCCACTCTGCTGTGACATTCTACTTCCCCATTTGTTAGGTTTTTCACTTGACTCTTCCTTTAGTAATCAAGTGTTACCTAATTAACTTAGCTCCTCATGAGTAATGTTCTTCCAACCAGGTTAATTTGCACCTTCTAAATACTTCTATAAGGTCCTCCATATTTATTATTGCTTACTGCAATTGGCATTTGCCTTAAAATTATCTTTTTGTGATCTACTTTATGACCAGGTTGATAGTTCCTTGAGGTCAGCAACAATGCTTTAATTATCTCATTCTTAATTATCACATGCTGATGTCAATGGAAATACTAAACAGATCCTTAATAAGCTGGATCCTAACCTCTGACATCTTTAAAGAGATGTACTGAAACTTTCAACATCACTATTCATTTAAATGGACACTCTTTTTTATCACAATTACATATATGCTCAAAATATAGTTTCCTACATATTAAATATATAGGAAATAAATATTTATATGTATATCTATTAGAAACATTTACTGATATATTTAACACAGATGAAGCTAAATATGAAAGATTTTCTTCTCCCAGCGTAGCGCGTTAGTCTGTTTCTTTGAGCAGCTGCCCCAGGTGTCAGCGTTCAGGAAGTCATTTAAAACCAGGGACACCAGGGTAGTTTCCATGGAAGCAGAAATTAACCGTTAACAATCTCCTACACGGTTCACATCTGGTATAATTCCCATTGTAGAGAAAAATTGAGTCAAATTACTATTCTAAAAGACAAGTAGAAGTAAGAACAGTTGTCTTAGTAGTTATTGTATATTACTGCAAATGTTCCTTGGTGATATGTATCGTACGTTAATATAGAAAAGTAAAGAGCCACAATCTAATGACTTTTCCAAAACATATTTTTAAGTGACTATATGATAATAACCTTTGCTATTTTAGGTTGTTAAATATCTACCCTATCAAGTTTGGGCACAGTGGCTCATGCCTGTAATCCCAGCACTTTGGGAGGCTGAGGCGGGCGGATCACGAGGTCAAGAGATCAAGACCAGCTTGGTCAACATGGTGAAACACTGTCTCTGCTAAAAATACAAAAATTAGCCAGGCGTGGTGGCTCACGCCTGTAATCCCTGCTACTTGGGAGCCTGAGGCAGGAGAATCACTTGCATCTGTGAGGTGGAGGTTGCAGTGAGCCGAGATCGCGTCACTGCACTCCAGCCTGGTGACAGAGCCAGACTCCAACTAAAAATATATATATATATATAATATATATATATATATACACACATAAAATATATATATGCACATAAAAATATATATGCACATTAAAATATATATATATTATATATTTACCCTACCAAATATCTCCCCACCCTAAGTTTCCTTTGTCCATAGTTTCAGAAAAGACTTTATTGATTTGAAAAAAGAATGTTCACTTGGCACAGTGAAAATATTTCTTCATTATTTCTCTTAAAAAGATCTTGAAGTTTTGAGAGGCAAAGGGTTAGAGAAGCCCTCCAGTGGCATTATCACATGCAGGAGTTTTAGACTTGAAAATAGTGAAGGAAAAGATATTCCCCCACCTATAATTTGTCCTCACTTGACTCGAGTTGTACAGTGATCCAACCCTTTTTCAATCTCTATCACACAGGTAGTTTATGTTGCTTTGGAATATTTTTAGGGGACAAGGCAAATCGTGTTTTCTCAAATGCTTTTTGGAACTGACTCATTAAAGAGATTCAATTAAAGAATAAAAAGACTTAAAAAAGAACATTGTGCTATGACATCTAAATTCTATTTGAGGAAATATCAGATAAACATAAAATGCAGAACATTTCATTAAAATCAAAATTAATGTATTCTTCAAAAAATGCCAATGTCATAAATTACACAGAAAAGCTTAGGAATTGTTCCGTATTAAAGGAAACTTAAAAGACGTGACCAGTAAATATAATGTGTTATCCTAGACTGAATCCTGAACTAGGAGATAAAAGCCAAACTGCAAATGACTTTGACTTTACGAGGTCAACTGACAATATTTGAATATAGATCATAACATAGATAAAAGCATTGAATAAACATTTAGGTTATCTCAGTTCTTGACACTAGTATTTATAACATTATCCTTATTTTTAAAAAATTCACTGTGACATACTCAGCACTAAAAAACTATAAGTAAACAACTCTCAATTCATTAAAGTTGCTGTTTATATATGTATATACACAAACACAGGAATGTATATGAAATATATATTTTATATGCATATATTACCTATATAATACAATAATTTTGTGAAACACTTGATAATGTGTGTGTATTTACACACACAAAGAAACACAAATAGTAAAACAAATAAGGCTAAAATTTACAAAAGCTAAATATAAAGAAAATATGCATGATTTTTGTGCTGTTCTTGCAATGTTTCTATACGTTAAAATTATCACCCTTACACAGCACTAAATATATATGTTTTCTCAAAATTCATATTCTGTTAGCTGGGCATGATGGTGCATGCCTGCAGACCCAGCTACTTGGAAGGCTGAAGTGGAAGAATCTCTTGAGCCCAGGAGTTTGAGGTTGCAATGAGCTATGACCACACCACTGCAGTCCAGCCTGGGTGAGAGAGCAGGATCCTGTCTCAAACATAAATAAATAAAGAAAAAGACAAACAAAAGAAAAAGAAACAAAATTTATATTTTGAAATCCTAATCCCCAAGGTGATAGTTTTAGGAGCTGGGCTTTTGGGAGGTGATTCAATCAAGGGGGTGAAGACTTCATGATTGGCATTTAGTGCCCTTATAAAAGAGAGACCAGTGAGCTAGCTGGCCCCCCGCACAATGTGAGGTCATGGTGGGAATGCACCTTCTATGAACCAGAACTTGGGCCCTCCCTGAGCTGTGAATCTGCTGCCACCTTAATCTTTGATTTTTCAGCCTCAAAGAACTGTGAGAAATAAATGTCTATGGTTTATAAGCCACACAGTTCCTGATATTTTGTCATAGCAGCCAGAACAAATTCAGACTACCAGATAAACTCTCTTTTTACTTTTATTTTAGGTTCAGGGGTACATGTGCAGTTTTGTTACATAGGTAAATTACCTGTGATGGGTTTCGTTGTACAGATCATTTACTCTCCCAGGCAACAAGTGTAGTACCTGATAGGTAGTTTTTTGATCCTCTTCCTCCTCCCAACCTCCTTCCTCAAGTAAGTCCCAGGGTCTTTTGTTTCTTTCTTGTATTCCTTGTTCTCAATGTTTAGCTGCCATTTATAAGCAAGAATATGCAGAATTGGGTTTTCTGTTCCTCTGATAGTTTGCTTAGGATAATGGCCTCCAGCTCCATCCATGTTGCTGCAAAGGATACGATTTCATTCTTTTACATTGGCTGTATGGTATTCCATGATGTATATGTACTATGTTTTCCACTGTTTTCTTTATCCAGTCTACCATTGACAGGGATTTAGGCTGATTCCATGTCTTTGCTATTGTGAATAGTGCCGCAATGAACATCCACGTGCGTGCATGTGTCCTTATGGTAGAATGATTTATATTTATTTGTTTATAGACCAAGTAATGGGAGTGCTGGGTCAAATTATAATTCTGTTTTAAGTTCTCTGAGAAATCGCCACACCTGCTTTCCAAAATGGCTGAACTAATTCACATTCCCACCAGCAGTGTATAAGTGTTTCCTTTTCTCTGTAACCTCTCCAGCATCTTTTATGTTTTCACTATTTAATAGCCATTCTGAGTGGTGTTAGATGGTATCTCGTTGTTTCGATTTGCATTTTTCTAATGATTTGTGCTTTTGAGCATTTTTTCATATCCTTTTTGGTTGTGTGTATGTTTTCTTACGGGAAGTGTCTGTGCATGACCTTTGCCCACTTTTTAATGAGGTTTTTTCTTTTTAATTTGTTTAAGTTCCTTATAGATTTTGGATATTAGATATTTGTCAGATGCATAGTTTGCAAATATTTTCTCCCATACTGTAGCTTGTCTATTTACTGTGTTGATAGTTTGATTTTTGTATATGGTGTAACAAATGGATCCATTTTCAATCTTCTGCAAATGATGAGCCAGTTATCTCAGCAAGATTTATTGAATAAACGTTTTTCCATTTGTTTGTGTCATCTCTTAATTTTGAGTAACGCTCTGCTATTCTCACTGTAGAAATCTGTCCCCTCCCTGGTTAGTTGTATTCCTAGGTATTTTGCCCTTTTGGTGGCTATTGTGGATGGGATTGCATTCCTTTTTTGAGACAGAGTCTCGCTCAGCAGCCCAGGCTGGAGTGGAGTGGTGCAATCTTGGCTCACTGCAACCTCTGCCTCATGGGTTCAAGCTATTCTCTTGCCTCAGCCTCCCGAGTAGCTGGGATTACAGGCATGTGCCACCATGCCTGGCTGATTTTTGTGTATTTTTAGTAGAGACGGTGTTTCACCATGTTGGCCAGGATGGTTTCAATCTCCTGACCTCGTGATCCACCCAAATAGGCCTCCAAAAGTGATCGTAATCTTGATTTGGCTCTCAGCTTGGACATCACTGGTTTATAAAAATGCTACTGATTTTTGTTCATTGATTTTGTATCCTGAAACTTTGCTGATGTTGTTTATCAGCTGAAGGGGCTTTTGTCCAGATGCTATGTCCAGAGAATTATATCTGCAAACAGAGGTTGACTTCCTCTCTTTCTATTTGAATGCCTTACATTTCTTTCTCTTGATTGATTGCTTGGCTAGGGCTTCCAGTACTATGCTGAGTAAGAGTGGTGGGAGTGAGCATCCTTGTCTTGTTCTGGTTCTCACGGGAATGCTTCTAGGTTTTGCCCATTCAGTATGACATTGGCTGTGGGTTTGTCATAGATAGCCCTTATCATATTAAAGAATGTTCCTTCAATGCCTAGTTTGTCAAGGAGATGGAGGCATGTTGAATTTTATCAAAAGCCTTTTTGCATCTATCAAGATGACCGTGTTTGTTTTTAGTTCTGTTTACGTGATGAATCACATTTCTTGATTTCGAAATCATGCGTTCTTTGTTACCCGCTATGATACATTGTCGATGAAAATGGCCATAATTTTTCTCCTCCCTGGTTCTATCCCCCTTTACACCATGGTTTTAGTCTTGTCTTCTCAAGTAGTGGTGTCTATTTAAGCAACCCTAAATTCTGTGACTTTCACTGATCAGTTGGATGTGGTGGGAGGTTTGTGGTACCATCACCAAGCAGATTTATGCTTGGCTTCTTGGATCCGTGTGAACAAGATGAGGCTAGTTGGCTGATAGATGAGACAACAGGTGGGCCATAGGTTACTCTTCCCAGTTATTCTAGCCAAGCCACATTGGTTTGTTTCCCATTCATTAGTCATAAAGCAGTTATGATTTAAGTACATTTTATATAAATTGTTTTAACCATTGGAAAACCAGCACCTAGCTATAGTCAAGCAGACATAAGTATCATAAAATATTTGCAATAAAAACATACATAATGCCTAAAATGCAAGGTTTGTTTAAATGCTGTCAATGATCCAGTGAAAGATATGGAACAGGAATCATTAATCTCATTTTATACTGAAGGCAGCAGAATCACAAAGAATTAACTTCTTAAACTTTCTTAGGAGGCTAAGTGTCAGAAATTTGAACCTTGTTATTTTTATTTCAGAATCAATGTATTTTTATTATAGTAGACAACAAGTTTTAGAAGAAATACATTTGCTTTCTCTTTGTTTTAATGAAAATGTGTGTATTTTTTTTTCTTTTTATAGTTTTCTTTTATTTTTTGTTGCATCCCAGTATTTAACATCTGCTTGGAGTAATGACTATAAATGATAGCCAGGCAAGACTCATGAACAACATATACTTTCAGATTTCTAAGGAAGATGAAGAAAAGGAGTTTTAGACATGAGATGACTGCAGGCTTCTTGATACATATTTATTTTTCTCATCTACTGCTACCAATGAGTATTATTATATTATCTATAACAAAATTCTACCATCCATTTATGTAGTTGATACTTCCTGAGTTCCTGCTATTTGCCAGGCACTGTGCCACTACTGTCTATAGTGGGAAACAAAACAGAATCCCTAAGTTCCTGGCCTCATGGAGCTTATAGTCCAGTGTGAGAGAGAGATGACTAACAAGTAAATACACATACATTAATTTGGAAATGATAACTGCTACACTGGAAAAGAACCAGAAACCAGAGAGAAAACAAAAGGCTAGGGACTGGTGATTTAGTAGTGAAGTATGAGTGCTGCTCTGGGTGATAAGATGTGGAATCAAAACCTGGAAGCAAAGGCGAGCACAGTGGCTCATGCCTGTAATCCCAGCATTTTGGGATGTCAAGGTAGAGGGATCACTTGATCCCAGGAGTTTGAGACCAGCACATAGGGAAACCCCATCTCTATAAAAAATTGGAAAGTTAGCCAAGTGTGGTGATGCATGCCTGTAGTCTCAATTACTTGCAAGTCTGAGGTGGGAAGATCGCTTGAGCCCAGCAGATCAAGGCTGCAGTGGGCCATGATCGTGCCACAGTACTCCAGCCTGGGTGACAGAGTGAGACTCTGTCAAAAATCCCCAAAATACAAAAAAAAAAACCCCACAAAAAAACCTGGAAACAGAGCTGGGGTGGAGAAGCAAGCCCAAAAAACTGAACTTCGTGGGCAAAGGCTGTAAGATGAGCAAGAGTTTCAGACACCTGAGAAATTAAATAAGCCTCATTAAGTCTGAAGGAGAGGGAACGAAGCAGAGTGTGCCAAGAAATGAAGGTGGGAAAATAGGAGCCTTATAGGCCAAGGTATAGCATTCAATTATATCTCATTGAGGCATGCAGAAAAATAGAAGCAGAAGAATTATTAAACTTGTGATCTACCAGCGGAAGACTAAATTTGGGATCATGAAAATGGGAAAAAATATAGGGCATTGTTTAAATGGAATGACTTTTCCAGTGTAGATGAGTAGAAAGAAAACATTAAAAGTATTTTACAGATAAAATGAATATTTCAGGTGATGAATTAATGTGGGATTTTAGAAATAAGTTGATGTAAAGCATGAGTCCTAGATACGTGCCTTGATAATAAAAGTGTAACCTCTCTTACAGAATATTTTTTTCATAACTTGGAAAAGGTGAGCAGAAATCATGTGAAATATATTTAACTCTCCAATATTCTATGAAGTTTTTACCTAAGTGGATCCATAAAAACTGCTATGGACACTTAAGAGTATAGTTTATATAAATGTATTTGTAACGTACAAACTGAAAATAGAAATAGAATTATGGATTGTTGTTGTAATTGTATTTTGAGTTATATTCAGAAATTCATTATGAATATTTTGAATGCCCTGTTTATTGAACTTCTAGGAATTTTGTGTCCTTATTAAGGTCTAGAATTGTATTTGAACTCATTTAAATAACTTTCATCTGACTTGCTTTTTATACTAATAACTTCAATTCTAGCCATAAACTTTTATTGTCAATCATTCCCAGTTTTTATTTTCAGCTTTTTTTTTTTCTTGGTTTTTTGAGATAGAGTTTCACTTTTGTTGCCCAGGCTGGAGTGCAGTGGCATGATCTTGGGTTAATGCATCCTCTGCCTCCCGGGTTCAAGAGATTCTCCTGCCTCAGCCTCCTGAGTAGCTGGGATTACAGGCATGTGCCACATGCCTGGCTAATTTTGTATTTTTAATAGAGATGTGGTTTCTCCATGTTGGTCAGGCTGGTCTCGAACTCCTGACCTCAGGTGATCCGCCCACCTCGACCTCCCAAAGTGCTGGGATCACAAGTGAGAGCCACTGCGCCCGACCTTATATTCACTTTTTAAAAATATTATTATTAGACAACAAAGAGCCTTATCTTCATATGCCGGTGTGTTCCTTAAATCTATTTTCTAAAGTGAATCAAAATTTCGGAGAATTTATTTTCCTTGTGATTATCTGAATGTGCCAATTTCATATCAAGTAGGTATTCAAAAACTCCAGCAGCATGTAGGATTACAGTTATTATAATTGATAAACCAAATGGAACCTGAACTCTTTGGGTGTGGAGAACATCTCCATCTCCAGAGCCTGGAACAATGTCTTATACATAATAGGTTTACATATAATAGTTTACACACAATATTTTAGAAAACTGTTTACCTGATATAGTGGGCATGACTTGTCCTGCCCTTAAACTAGAAGAAAGAACTCAAATTTCCAGGCTTCCTTGCAACTAAAATTCAGGGATGTGGCCTAAGTTCTAAATGAAACTTTTATTTGAAAGTTGGTAACATAAGGGAACAATCTCTGCAAAAGATAGCTTTTACTAGAGGAGATAATGGCAGAGATACCTGGGAGGTTGTTACGAGGCTAACATAGAAGAGGGAATGGTAGTTGTTACGAGGCTGAGTGTTAGTGTTCATGGTGAACTTGGGTTCAGGACATGAAGTTCACGCCATAACTGTTACACAGGAGCAGTGGCATCTTCTCATGAGGCCATTTTTTTTTTAAATTTCTTTCTCTCTCTCTCTCTTTTTTTTTTTTGGCAAGCTTTTCTGATTTGAACTGCAAGACTGTATCTCTGGATTTTCCAATGATTGTGGATGCTATCAACCATTCCATTAATTTAATCATCAAATATTTTCTGAGCATCTACTATGAGCCAAGTTAATTGGCAACAGGATAAGCAAAGACTAGAAGTACGCAGTCTTTGTATTTACAGATTCTAATCATGGATGCACGTGACCAATAACAAGCAAAAAATTACAGTTTTCATGTGATAAGTGCTCCAAATAAATCCCCATACATGTCGATAGAAACATGCAAAAAGACAACTAATCTAGTCTTATGGGATCAAAGTAAGCTTCCTCAGAAAGGCAAATCTGAACTAATCTCAGAGCAGGGCTTGCCAAGCTGTGGTTGCAGACCATCTGCATCAGAAACTCCGGGGATATTTACAGTACAGAATTCTTTACCACCCTCTAGATTTACTGATTCAAAATTTATGAGATTTTACACAAGAATCTGCAATTGTATTAAACATCACACATACCAAAAAATAAAAATCTAACATAGCAAATGAAAATGGGTTGACTGAGAGAAGAGAATGGATCTAGAATTTAAGTATCAGGGGGAAAAAAAAAAGACTGTTTGAATGATTACTGTCCAATGATCGAAGCACTTGCAGGGATAGATACTATCAAGTGTCTGTATATTAACACATTTTTATACTGAGAGAAAAAGCCACAGTTTAGGGTCAAAGAGATATTGATTGAATCTTACATTTCCCACTTAACCCATTGGCTAATTTGTGTAGCTTTGAATCTCAATATCTTCATTCAAACATCAAGGAGTGATTATAATGTCATGAGAAGATAGCTAAGACTAAGTAAAACAAAGTTGTATAAAGGCAATAACCAGCAATAAATGTTGGTTTCCTTTTCTTTGTGCACACATTTTTTTAATCTAGAAGAGTTGCCTATGGATGGCATATGTTTAGTAGTTATGAGCGCTGATATTATCAACACATAAAAGAGTATCAAGGAAATCAGCTGTTAAGTAGAAACTTACCAATGGCTTTTACTAATTGCCTTAATATAAGCTCAATGGCATGTTTATAGTGCACATTACAGTTCACTTAGGAGCACATTATTTTTAGTTGAAATATATTATCGTATTGGATGAATAGACATAAGGGTATGTATTCCCTTATGATCAGATGTTGTCTCTGATCTAGCTTGCCAAAAATATGAATAGCAAAAGAAAACAAAAGGTCACATTTGGTCAAAACTCAAAGAAAGGTATTTTAAATTTATTAAGAGTATCTTATGAATTTTCTAATGTTTAGCATTATTTATAGTGAAATGTAATGTTGGCACAGTACTATCACTCAGATCTAAAGTCCTTTCTTCTAAGAGTGTAAAACAGTATTTTCTCTTTTTATTATTAGCATTTGCTGTCAATTTAACATAGAGATTATGGACCAAAAAATTATACTGGAAATTACTTCTTTTTGTGCGTTTTTAATTTCATGATACTCTTGATATGTTTTTGTTGTTTTGCTTTTCAATGCAATCAAATATTATGTTCTCATTATGGCAACTCAGTAACAGTTGAGCTGAATTTCCATGGTACTAAGGTTAGTAAACAAGGTATTCTTGATTCTAGCAGATGTGTCTGATTTGAAACCTCTGTTTTTAAGGTGGGGATACTCAAGCCAGACACATGACAACAAACCCAGGAACTACATGTTAAGAACTTAGTAGCCTCAGGATAGAAACATCTCTCTTAGCACTCTTCTTTTTCCATCAACCATGCTGATTATATGGTCATTTATACTGAAACAGTTTTCCCTTTCTTCTCTCTTATACATTAATGCATAATTCTTGATATGCAATACAGTTGCATTGTAATGTATATATATATATATATATCTTTATATGACAGGGCTCTAAAATTTTCAATGCAGTTCAACATCACAAAGTTCACCAGTTTGTACTTCCTCACATATTTACAGTAGTTTCTGTGGTCCAACATCCAAAAAAAAACCTACATGTTCTCACCAATATGTGTTAGAATCTGTATTTAGAGATGGATAGATAGATAGATAGATAGATAGATAGATAGATAGATAGATAGACAGACAGACAGATAGATAGATAGGTATAGATAGATGACAGAGAGGTGTAGATTTTAGAAAGATGGTAGATAGATGTAGATTTTAGAAAGCTGATAGAGGGATAGACTGATATTTTATATGATAGATAGATGGATAGATAGATACATAGATACATAGATGATGTAGATTTTTCTCTTCTCTGAGATTTTGGGGTTATGTTTTGGTGTTTTAGTTTTTTTTAAACTCATGCTTCCCAGAATAAAGTAATGATTTCCATACTATGCAAAGTGTTTCATATTTTGTTTCTTCTAATATTTTAAATTTATCTTATATTACACCCTTTTAATACACTGTACTCCAACTTAAGTTGTAAATCTAAAACACTAAAATGTCTCCTAGGACAAGACTTTACTTTCTTATGTTTTTAATTACTTTTTATTTTTTCCTGTTATATTCTGCTTTCATATTTCTAAAAGCCTAGACTTAAATAACATTTTAAATGCTTTCCCTTTTTGATCAATAGGTGGACAAGTACTGCTTTGTTTTAGCTTCTACAGAGATGTTCCCTTGGACATTGGTTTTTGTTTCTCATTGCTGCTGTAACAATTTTTCAGGGGGCTTAAGCAATCCAAATTTATTATTTTAGAATTCTGTAGGTGAGAAGTCCAACTGGGGTCTTACTGGACTAACATGAAGATGTTGGCAGTACTGTATTCCTTTCTACTCTAGGAAAGAATTGCCTCCTTAATGTTTTTGGGTTCTAGAGGTTTCTTTGGCTCCTGGGCCTATTCTCCTACTTCAAAGCTAGAAAAGGTGAGTTGAGTTTTTCTCACACTGCATCTCTGAGACCTTGCAGACATCATTATATCTTTCTCTGACTCTCCCCTAAATCTCTCTTCCACTCCCTCTTCCCTGTGATTACATTAAGGCTTACCTGGATAACCAGGACACCCTCTCCTTTGATAGTTTATTTTAAGCTAAGTGGTAAGTTTAAATATATACTATTCTTTGTTACAGCTTTTAGCTAAAATTAAATAGAAACTTTTAATTTTTAAGCTTTTAACATTTTAAAAATTACTATGATTATTTTTCTTTGTGACTCCTCTGTTATAAAAACACACACATGTAAACATACCCACAAAATACTTTCCTCCTGAGGCAGTTAATCTAACCCCACTAATCAGAAGAAAAATCACATGAACTATCTTAATAAAATATTTCTATAATTCTTATTAATTATTTAGTTACTTTTGCAGATGTTTTTACATCCTCATAAAGTTCTTTAGAGGAGGACATGTGTTTTAATCTTCTTTCTTTGCATTATAATTTTGAAAAAATAATTTGATGCGTGAATATATAAAAATAACATTTGAAACTCTTACTAATCTAGTCAAGGGAAAATACATCAACTGGAATTACAGAGCACTGTTTATTCTTTGAATCTTACATGGCTGTAAGATTCTAAAATCAATGTTGTATAAAAATTTCTTATTGTAAAACTATCCTTGAAAGACATCCAGTCTCCTGGAAAATGCAACACATTTGATCTCTCAGTAAATCTAGCATTTCTTTTAAAAGCTGAAGTATTGGACCAGATCAGTGTTCCATCTGCTGAATGTCAGTGAAGTAACTGGCTTGGATTTTGATGTCAGTGGCACAAACATAATGCAAGTTTTAACATCCCACTGAACCCAATGAGATGCTCACATGAGTGGATGCCTGAGGGCCTAAAAATAGCTTTTCAGACCTCCCCAAAATAAAATAATGCATCCTTAAGTCCATTATTTTTTTTCACTCCACATACTCTTCAGCAAGAAATCAAGTTGGATCTTTTAAAATACCGAATAGCCATAATCAAACCATGCCTTCTGCTCATTGCCTCTAGCCTGGTCTAACTCATCAGCATCATCTATTGTCTTAGCAGCAGTAGTCTTCTAACTGGTCTTTCTATCCCTTTACTTACACAGTCTGTTTTCAATCTGTTCTTTTAAAACTCTGAACAGATGATATCACTTTCTTTGCAGATTTCTTTCTTTTTTTTTTTTGTGACTATATTACTCTGTTTTCACAATGCTATAATGACAGATTGGGTAATTTATAAAGAAAAGAGGTTTAATTGACTCACATGGCCGGGGAGGCCTCAGTAAACTTATAATCCTGGTGGAAGGGGAAGCAGTCACATCTTACATGGCGGCAGGAGAGAGGGTTAGCAAGAGCAGGGAAAACTGCCTCATGAAACCATTAGATCTTGTGAGAACTCACTCACTATCATGAGAACAGCATGGGTGAAACCACCCATGTGATCCCATCACCTCCCTCCAATGACAGTGGGGATTACAGCTCCCTGCCTCAACACGTGAGGATTTGGAGATGAGATTTGGGGGTGGGCACAGAGCCAAACTGTATCAGTGACCCTCTGTTTTACCCAGAGTAAAAACAATATTCCTTTGGCCAATGATGCTGTTCACCTTGAAAATATAGTTGGTATCTTTGTTACTATTTATATTTGAAATGTGATATATGCATATTTCTATATTCTTAGATTTGAGTGGAAAATGTTTGCTTTTAGGTTTTCTGGATTTCAGAACTGTAGATAAGAATCAGAAGGTCTATCTTTTTGAATATGGCAAAAATGCTAGCCTATGGTTCCCTTTTTATGAATATTTCAGCCACCCTTTAGAATTACCTATGAGGAAAGAAAAAGAATCTCAGTAGCTGTAATCTTTAATAAAACTTATGTGCTATATAAAATATAGTAAAGAAGAGATGTCCTTCCCTGAGAATAGCACCTGTTCCATAGGTAGTTGGATTTGGTCCTGTCCCAGAAATTTACCCCCTGGCTTAAAACAAAATGGCTGGAAACGAGAATTTATATCATTGACTAGGCACACAATAGAATAAGTTTGCTGAGCTAAAGCACAGTATATCTGAGCAGGAAAAGCAGTGTGAAGGGCCAGCCTGTGTAATTTTACTCAGAACTCAATTTTGTAGCTGGGTTTCTTAAGTAGTTTTCAGCATGTGTGTTAAAGTAGTCTCCAGTTTAGGAGGGTCACAAAAATGTCACTATATTCAGAGTAACTAGAACCAGCAGTAAAACAGAATTCTGTAGAGACTACAAACTTAAAATGAAAACTTTTTCCCCCCAGCCCCATTTATACTACTGATAATTTAACAGCATGAAATGTGCTTAGTTCCCCTCTTCAGTGGTGAATGCATGCTAATGCTGCAGACAAGTTACGGGCCTTAGTTCCAAAACCTTTAAAATCATATTTTGTGGTTTTTACATTCTACTCATCATTTTCTTATTTAAAATATGAATAGAAGATATGTAAATAAATAGAAAGATAGAAACATATAATTTAATTTTTTGACATCTGAATGAAAGTAAAAATTTCCTTTATGGGCTATTTTGGAATGACCTTATTTTTTTTTTTTTTCAGATGGAGTTTCACTCTTGTTGCCCACGCAGGAGTGCAATGGCATAATCTTGGCTCACTGCAGCCTCTGCCTTCCAGGTTCAAACAATTCTCCTGCCTCAGTCACATGAGTATTTGAGATTACAGGCACTTGCTACCACACCCGGCTAATTTTTGTATTTTTAGTAGAGACAGGGGTTTCGCCATGTTGGCCAGGCTGGTCTCAAACTCCTGACCTCAGGTGATCCGCCTACCTCAGTCCCCCAAATGCTAGAATTACAGGTGTGAGCCACTGCACCTGGCCTGACTTTGAATTTGATAACATGTCTTATCCTTGTGGTTTAAGTTTTCTTTATTAATATTTATATTTGAAATTTAATATGCACATACTTATTTGCTCATAGGTTTGAGTTTGGTACTGAATGTAAACTATGAAAGAAGCCAAAATCTAACAGAAATTTAGTAAAATTTCCAGAGAAATTATTTTTGTTCCATAGACTTTCTTTAATTGTTTGGTCAAGGAGTTTTATGGAAACTTAAAAAATTATGATCTTCTTTCCATCCTTTTTGCTTTCTTTCTACTTTATGTAATTTATTGATCAATTGCTTTTAAAACTCAATGTACTGAAAACATTGTTATTCCAGGTTGCCTGCATTCAATTTCAAATTGAAAAATAAAATTAATGAAAATATTCATTTGTCAAAAATTTAAAAATACACTTTTTATGAAAATATGAACATTGTATACTACTTGTATTAAGATCTCGCTTGTATTCTTTCCAATCATTTGATCCAAACATATTAATAAATTAAAAGTTGCAGTCTATAGTAGGGTAAAGATTGAGTTTTTTTGTATTACTTAAATATTTTAAACATTTGAACTCATCAGCCATGCTGATGCTGCTTTATGAATTTAATTAATTTGTAAAAAAATACTTTCTAGGAGCTCTTCAAATGGATCTAGTATTGAAAAACATGTTATATAACAAAATTTGCTTTTCATTCTGTCATAAATGTATAATGAGATAAAATAATCTTGAGGATTCAATGCTATAGAAAATGAGTCATTCCAGATATCAAGAAAAATGAAGCATCTAATTTTTGAATCTCAAAAATAGCCTCTCAGAAAAGAGAGCAATATACAGAAGTGTTCTGATGATAAAGAGGAAAAATAAAGTTGTAAGAATTTTCTAGCAGTAGTGTTTTCCCAAGACATACAATTGAAATTATGAATAAAAAGCATTAATAGTTGTCATCCAGTGATCTAGTAGTTTTATTTAAACTTGAGGTTTTTTCTTAATTCTAAAAACTCTAAAAGACCATCATAGAAATTGAAATATTTCAGTCTGACACAGTTTCACATACACAGAATAATCAAATATCATTTAATTTCTACATAAAAGAAAACTAGAGGTAGTTAAAGTGGTAAAACTGGATTTTATTCAGGAACTATTGCAATGGGGAAAAGAGGCCTCTGTGTAAACCTGGCCTCAATTCTGAGTACAGCATAGACAAGTCAGGAATGTACAAGGAGTAGAGTAGGAGGGTCTGTGCATGTAAAATTACTAAGAGGAAACATCAGCCGTAAAGGGCAATTCAGGAAATCAATGTCATAAGAAAAGTAGCCGAGTGTTTGCAGTCCCAGATGTACTGGTTTCTTAGTAGGAATAACTCTGAACATTTTAAAATAAAATATAAAAATATTTGAATGATCAAATCAAACATTATTCTTATACAAGAATAACCAATACAATGTCAAGTGTTTTAAATACATATAATGAATGTGAACCATTAATACGATCAGTCTATCTTTTGAGTAACATAAATGAAGTGTTATTTGACCAATTAATTTAGACTTACAATTCTTAAGTTGATGGGAGACCAAGTTTATGAATACTGCTGCAATAGTCAGTGAACTTAAGTTTCACTATATTTGTAAATCTGCCGGATTTATGATAATTACTTAAGAAATTTTGAAAATGTATATGTATCTACATAAATGTATTAGGCAACAGGGGTATGATTTTGAACAGAACCTAGACTAGTAGCAGAGTGATTGTGTAAGTCAGGTTTGGAAAAGATGATGGGTAAGTGAGGAATGGTCAAGGGATGTCTTAATTAAGCTGATATTTATTTAAAATATTTGTTCTTTTCACCCCTCATTCATGCCTTGGTAGAAAAGAACATCATTTGTATTTCCAAACCAAAACTGACTCAGAAGTCTCATAACAGCCTAAATCAAGGGCCTCTTTTTATAGCCCAGGCTTATATGAGTTCTCTAATTTGTGTTGGAAACCTTTTCCTTCCTTGACCTCTGAAAAATGTCTTTGTGTTGGCCCTCTTCTTGCTTTCTGGGTGTCCATCTTTGGACTTCTGTTTTGATCCCTCTTACTTTCACAGTCCTTCACTGCTGCTCCTCAAGTTGGTCTTCGTTGGTTCTTCTCCACCATGGGCCCAGGTGACCTCATCCTAGAGTTTTAATCATAATCTTTTTGCTGATGATTCAAAAGTCTTTCCTAATATCTGAGTCTCTTAGCTTATTTGTTCACTCATTTAATAGTACTGATTTAACAATCAACAAGTAGATTCTGGATATTAGCCCTTTGTCAGATGAGTAGATTGCAAAAATTTTCTCCCATTCTGTAGGTTGCCTGTTCACTCTGACGGTAGTTTCTTTTGCTGTGCAGAAGCTCTTTAGTTTAATTAGATCAAACAAATTTACAAGAAAAAAACAAACAACCCCATCAACAAGTGGGCGAAGGATATGAACAGACAGGTCTCAAAAGAAGACATTTATCCAGCCAACAGACACATGAAAAAATGCTCATCATCACTGGCCATCAGAGAAATGCAACTCAAAACCACAATGAGATACCATCTCACACCAGTTAGAATGGCGATCATTTAAGTCAGGAAACAACAGGTGCTGGAGAGGATGTGGAGAAATAGGAACACTTTTACACTGGTGGTGGGACGGTAAACTAGTTCAACCATTGTGGAAGTCAGTGTGGAGATTCCTCAGGGATCTAGAACTAGAAATACCATTTGACCCAGCCATCCCATTACTGGGTATATACCCAAAGGATTATAAAACATGCTGCTATAAAGACACATGCACACGTATGTTTATTGCGGCACTATTCACAATAGCAAAGACTTGGAACCAACCCAAATGTCCAACAATGACAGACTGGACTAAGAAAATGTGGCACAAATACACCATGGAATACTATGCAGCCATAAAAATTGATGAGTTCATGTCCTTTACAGAGACATGGATGAAGCTGGAAACCATCATTCTCAGCAAACTATCGCAAGGACAAAAAACCAAACACCGCATGTTCTCACTCATAGGTGGGAATTGAACAATGAGAACACATGGACACAGGAAGGGGAACATCACACACCGGGGACTGTTGTGGGGTGGGGGGAGGGGGGAGGGATAGCATTAGGAGATATACCTAATGTAATGATGAGTTAATGGGTGCAGCACACCAACATGGCACATGTATACATATGTAACAAACCTGCACATTGTGCACATGTACCCTAGAACCTAAAGCATAATAAAAAAAAAATTTAAAAAAATCAACAAGTATTTTTTCAACTAGATCTCCTCAACATTTCTGCCTAGATCTTCCCCAAGAACTATACATTCAATTTGTTTCACAATGGCCCCACTTTTTACCAGTAATTACAGTTACCTTTATGTAATTATTATATTATTTTATGCATTGTTATCAGTGTCTCCCACTTATGTTTGAAATTTTTAGGGTTTTCCTGAGTTTCTTCCTTTTCTTCATACACTAAGTCCAATCAACTTCGATATTATTCAGGCTTCTACTTTGGAAAACTCATTAGTCCCTTTATTCACTAGCTCAAAAACCTGAACTTGTTTCAATAGTTACATCTGTTACATTTCATTAACAAATACTAAAAGTTACTTGATTAACAAGGCAGAAACAAGAGGAATTATGAATGTTATTGAACATGTGTGGAGTTCAAGGTTCAACATTTACTCTTAAATAGTAAGTTTACTAAATGTACAAGAAATTAATGAGGACTTTTCAGTATTCTAAAGCATAATTTGGAAGTTTCTATAGTATATCTAAGGATGACTAAGTACAAATGAAAAACTACCACAACAGCAAAAGCTACTATTTGAACTTTTTTTTTTTATTTCAATTTTGTTTTTTATTATTTAAGTTCTGGGGTACATGTGCAGAACATGCAGGTTTGTTACATACGTATACACCTGCCATGGTGGTTTGCTGCACCCATCAACCCATCATCTACATTAGGTATTTCTCCTAATGCTATCCCTACCCAGCCCACCACCCCCCCACCCCCCTACCCTCTACCACCCGACAGGCCCCAGTGTGTGATGTTCCCCTCCCTGTGTCCATGTGTTCTCATAGTTCAACTCCGACTTATGAGTGAAAACATGCGGTGTTTGTTTTTCTGTTCTTGTGTTAGCTTGCTGAGAATGATGGTAGAACTAGAATTGCCATTTGATCCAGCAATCCTATTACTGGGTATCTACCCAAAGGATTATAGATCATTCTACTATAAAGACATATGCACATGTGTGTTTATTGTGGCACTGTTCACCATAGCAAAGACTTGGAGCCAACTCAAATGCCCATCAATGATAGACTGGATAAAGAAAATGTGGCACATATACACCATGCAATACTGTGCAGCCATAAAAAAGGATGAGTTCATGCCTTTTGCAGGGACGTGAATGAAACTGGAAGCTGTTTGAACTTTGAATTCGTGTTTCAGAAAACCTTTCAGAGGTCCCATTATCTAATGTAAAGGGCCCTCAAAGTCAGATTTGTTGAAAGTGATAAGATTATACAAGAGATAGAACATTTATGACATCATATCACTGTCAAAGGACTTATTTTAAAACATCTCAAACGAATTGATTAATGAAGAATTTAAAATCTGATTGTGGCTAATCATGCCAGGCTACATGGCCTCTATCCTTGAACTTCTGAAAAAAGAGGTTACCTTTTATATAAAATCAACTGAGTTAGAAATCACATGCTTATTCAAATGCATGTATTTTATGATTTAATTATTTTTCATTTCTTAGACCGCTTAAGGAAAAATATAATGACTATGAGATATTAGGGCCTATGAAAACGTGGGATGTATTTTTCAAACATGCCAAACATATCTATGAGACTGTACCCTTTGCTTAAATTTCTCTATATCTAAAATTTCTGCTTAAATTGTGCATATCTCTTAGTAAGAAATGTATGTCACTCACTTTGTAAGCCTTATCCTGACATACTATCTAAACTTGATAACCCATTATTCCCTTATCTGTGTTTTCACAAAACTTTATTTGTACTTATTCTATTTATCAGTGTTAAAACAGTATACAATTAATTAAATATATATCTGCTAATCACTTTCAAAGCCCTCCCACCTATCTACTAAAGTGTGAGTTTTTAAAATCAAGGTACATTACCTCTCCAGATTTATATTATCTATTATCAAGTGGCATAATGCCTTAAATAAAATAACTATGCGGGAGTTATTTCTGTGCTTCATGATATTAGTTTTATGTTACACAATAATAGTTTAATTCTCAGAAATACTACCTTGGATTTTTGATTTAGAGTTTCAATCGGTCTTTGGTCTGTGCTCAGCCAAATTTTATACCTTGGTGTCATTCTACTTGTAAGACTAAAAAAATAATAATAAGAGAGAAAACAAGCCATTATATGTAAGTATATTCTGTTATTGTCATAAAACACCTACCTTATATATAATTGTTATTTATTATGATCATTTATTAACTACACCAGACAAAATCAACAAAAAATATGTAGAAATTACCTATGCAGAAGGAAGGGAAAACATGTTTTCATATAATCCTGCTATAGAGTTATTCTCCATACAAAACTCACTAGGCTTTTTCCTTTAATAACCAACATTCCATCCTTTTTCTATACAGAGAAGCCTTTAGGTTGATTAAAGTTCACATTGGCATAAATGTTTTCAACATAGTGAATGAATTCCAGGGAAAAAGCAGCTGCTATGTAAGTTATGTTAATGGCTGGGTTTTCCTTCACACAAAATTGTATACTGCTCCCCCTACCTCTGACACAGAAATCACCTCTTGTGGGCTGTAGTGCATTTTTTTTTTAGGTCTAGAAATTGGAAACATGGATATTTATTGCAGTTAAGGAACTAAGAATTTTAAAGAGGCAATTTCTGGAAGCTGGCTGAAAAATGACCTCATTCTCCTTCAAGTTTATTGTCCACACAGTGCTGTGCTGGCATTCCAAGATGCACGACGTGGTTAAAGTCTTTCTGCACAGGCTTCAGGGGCATGATTCTCAATAACAAATTGTGCCCGAATGCCTGATTTTACTTGTTTCCTAAAGAATGCTCATTTTATAATTCATTCCAGTAGGAAAACAACACTATAAACATTTCAAAATATTTATAATTTAAAATATTAAATAACATTTTCTATGCTTTGATAGTTTAGAATGAGTCAAACATTTTAACCTCTTAAAAGTGACAGATTGGAGTCTACTAGGTAAAAGTTCCACATTTTCAGTTTCCTGAATTACCAGTTTAAGATATCATTTGACCAGCTTGAAGTATGATCTATGGAATGATGATGATACATGAAATAATTATTATCAATTACAGACAAGATCACTATGAAAATCGAGATGAAGCATAGAATGTAAGAATTTCGGCAGATTAAGTTTATGTCTAATAAATCTAACAATTAAAAACATGATTTGTACTTGTAGTCCTCCTTTTTTATTTTTATTTTTATTTATTTTTATTTTTATATATACTTTGCTGAAGCTTAAGATTGGGACATATTAGGAAAAAATGATTTTTCACTATAGATAGTTTGAGAAGCATTGAATTCTAGAAAAGCAGTTTTCAAGATTTGTTTGAAATATTATGTAGAGGCTCCGTCCTTGAAACAGTAAATATGGAGCTTGTCTGTTTAAAGTATATACAGAGATGAAATGCAGCTCCACTTTCCCCACTGGGGCAGAAATAGGGAATCTCGGGGGCAGAGAAATTACATCAAGAACAAGAAGCACTTACTTGTATGCAACAAAACACAGCATGGAAAGTGGATAAAAACTTCAATGATGGTAAGTGATATTTGCATGATTATAGACAACAAAAATTATAAACATAACTTAAAATTTAAAAGATTAAATAAATGCTCAAACAATAACCTTGATCTAATGTGGCTTAATGTATGTACTGTTCTTAGTTATTTGACTTATAGAGAATAAAACAACCTCTGGCCCTCATGAAACTTATATTCTAGCAAGAACTGCAATTCTTAGTTTCATAAAACCAACATTTAAACATCTGAAAGCAGATAGAACATATTAATAAATCACGGTATAAGGTATTCCTGGTAAGAATAATTTTGAAAAAATTACCAATAACTAAAGGAGGGTATTAAGAATTAAAAACTTTTCATCAGTTAAAAATTAGAACAAAGCAAGTTGTATCTGTCTTGTAGCAGAAACATCAAATTAATCAGCTTATTTATGTTTCTTTAAAATGAACAATTTGGCTGTACATTACCTCTCTGTATTTAGTATTTATGCTAAGTTTTTCTCACAGTATCATAAAGTGATGGCAAAATTAACTACCTGTTTTAATAGAGATGCTGAATATTCTTTGAAATGATGGTGTGGGAGACCGGAATACACCACCCTAAGATATATTAATACTTCTTTGGCATAAGAATTGTTGACCTGAAGGTGATTAGAAAGAAGCAGATGCAGGAAAGTTCTCTGCCCTATCTCTATTTGCCCAAAAGCGAAACATAAATTTGCAAAAGCAAAAGATACTCCACTTCTCCTCTCTACCAGGAAGGCCAAAGGATAACCACTGAAGAAAACTTTAGACTGTGATCAGTCTGGAGACGGTATCTGTTGTGGTTTAAATGTTTGTGTCTCTTCCAAAATTCATGTGTTGAAACTGAATTTGCAAATATGATAGCAGTAAGAGGTTGTGCCCTTAGGAGGTAATTAAGTAATGGAGTGGAGCCCTAGTAAATGGGATTAAGGCCTGTATAAAAGACGTTTGACTATGTTCGACCCTCTTGCTCTTTCGCCTTCCCCCACGCCAGGACACAGAAACAAGACATCTTGGAATCAAACAGCAGCCCTCAGTAGACACCAATGCTAGTGGCTTAATCTTGGACTTCCCAGCCTCCAGAACATTAAAAAAAAATAAATTTCTGTTTTTTATAAATTACTCAGTCTGTTGTATTTTCTTCTATCAGCATGAAAAGACTAAGACAATACCAGAGGAATCCACATTAACAAACATTACTACATAACCTTTATCTGCTATTTATTTGCATTTCTTCAGGTTGCTGCCCCTAGAGGCTCAAAGCTCCTTTCCTTTATCTTGTCACTTCTCTAAAATTTTCTATTCTTTTTGATGATGTAATATAAGCTGAAATTCAAAACCACCTTTGTGAAAATTACTCATCTTCTATGTGTTTCTGGGTGAAATACACATATAAATCAATTTTTGGTTTTTCTCTTGTTAATCTGTCTTATGTATCAGGGGTCCATTTTAACCTCTGAGGCATGCTACAGCAGGGCTTTTGACCTACAGAACTAGGAGATAATATACAGGTGTTATTTCAATCCATTCAATCTAAAGTAAATTTTTACAGCAGCAATTAGAAATTAATATCATATTCTTTCCGAAAAGGAAGGCACTTGTATTGGATCATTGTGGATCTAACGCCTTCCCTGAAAACAAAACTAAAGTGCCTACTTTACTGGTTGGATAGTATTCTGGTTTCTGACCCTTGCTTAGCTCATGTATCACTTGTGAAATATTACAACTAGGCCAGGCGCAGTGGCTCACATCTGTAATCCGAGGAATTTGGGAGGCCAAGGCAGAAAGATTGCTTGAGCCAAGGAGCTCCAGATGAGCCTGGGCAACATAGTGAGACTTCATCACTACAAAACACAAAAATGAGTAGGATGCTGTGGCACATACCCGTAGTCCCAGCTACTCAGGAGGCTGAGGTGGGAGGATCACTTGAGCCAGGTGGTGGAGGCTGCAGTGGGCCATGATCACACCACTGCACTCCCGCTAGGGTGAGAGGGTGAGACTGCATTAAAAAAAAAAATCACTACTAGTTGGCAAACATAAGAAGTTTTGCATAAATACAATGCCCATAATTGTATCAATTTGAGTAATTTCATTTTTTTCAATTTTTACTGGATTTTTTTTGTTATTAAGAACTTATTTTGTATCAGGCTCTCTACCAAGCACTTTAGCTACCTCACCTCATTAAAGATGCTCTACATTTTTAATAGTACTGGAGGAAACTGGGGCTGGAAAACAACAGAAAATTAGACAAAAACTCTAGTCTACATAACTATTAAGATTGAATCTCATAACTTTAACCACTCTTTCTTTGACTGGGGATGTCTAGTTATATTCTCTGCAGTAAACTTTGTCTTTTAGTGGCAAAAAAATGGAGAGGATTGCAGAAACAAATAAATAAAAAGATTTCAGTTCCATTACCTTTTCTTCCTACAACTATTCAAAGAAAACAGTTTCCTTCCTCAGTTCCTGGGGCAGCTAAACTCACCAATTAAGTTATTCAGTAGAATCAATAAGCAGACAGATTTTGAATATTTAGATCTATTTTACTGAAAGATTTAACAAACATATCTTTGAAAGCAAAATGACAAGAGAGAGTAAAAATATCTATATTCACTAAAAATCCTTGCTATATTTATTCATTGAGAAATCTTTTTTTGAATTACAGGTGGTAACCTTTATGTGTATTTCATGTAGGTCAATAATCACAAAACTAATCCACCTAGTTGGTTTGGGATATTCTGGGCAGCTTCTTTTGTATTGAAGTAGCCTTTTTTTTTTTTTTTTTTACCCTGTTAAAATGAGGATTGAGCATCTCATAGAATCTTGGGGGCTGCAAGATAGAAATTCAAATTACTAGTGCTAGATTAAAAATTACCCCACAAGTTGCTGGCATGAGGTAACAACAACTGAATTTGCTTAGGGGTTCTCTGAATCAGAAACTTAGGTAAAGAATGGCAGGGATGGCATTTCTGAGCGCCACAGTGTCTTTGGCCAGAGCTGGAAGATTTGAGGCTGGATACTGGACTCATCAGAAGCTCACTCACCAACATGTACACCAGCTGATGTTGGCTGTTGGATGGAACACCTATGTGTGGCTTCTTCATGTGGTCTGAACTTCACTTCAACATGATGTTCTAGTTCAAAGGGCAAGCAACACAAGAAGAAAAATGAGTCAAGTGGAGGCTTTTCACCCTTTTTTGACCTAGACTTGAAGGTCATATAGCATCATTTCTTTCACAATCTGAGGGTTAAGGAAGTCACAGTTGTCTGTCCAGGTTCAAGAAGTATCAATATCACATTGATACAAAGAATGTCAATATCACTTTGTAAGAAGACCATGTGCAATGAGATATATATTTGAGCTGTCTTTTGAAAACACTGTCTGATGCAGTGAGGGAAATATATGCATAACAGATGTGTTGGAGACACAATGAAAAGGAGAAGGATTTTTAACAAATACACTATATTAGGTAATTTTTAAAAAAAACCAACACAAAAAAGCACCAGATACATTTATTAATATAAAATTCCATCATGAAATTATTCTCCCACACCTCTTTCTCATTGCAATGCTCAGTTTGCTATACTGACTTGGCTAGGTTTTACTCTCCAGTTATTCATCAAACACTAATCTAGTTACTTCAATAAACACATTGGTAGATATCATCAAAGTCCATAATCAGTTCTCATTCAGTTAAAAGGCTCTAAGTTTGGAACTGAGATTTAGATGAAGAAGAAGTTCTGTTTTGTCTCATGGCCAAGAATTCCAGCCTGTCCTTCTGACAGCCTGCCCTATGGATTTCACCTTTCCCAGCGAGAGCCCACAAAAGTGTAAGCCAGTTTCTTGTAATTAAGCTCTTAATACAGATCTAACACTGGTTTTCTTTCTCTGGTTGGTCCCTAAATGATAAAATCATCAAAAGCATTTATCTCCATTTAGGATATTTGACATTTATTCTAGAAACTGTAAGTTTAACAATGAATAATGTTGAGTTTCGGAAAATAATACCCCAAAATATGGTGCTTTGACATACTAAAATAAAGAAGTAGTCTTAAGGTTGCTGTGGTCTTACCCCACCCCTTCTGTCTCTCAACTCTCTATCTGTCCCAAAGCACAGAACACAGCTGTTCTCTGAAATTCTTTTATCTACCTAGAAACCAAACCTGCCAAAAAGGAACACAGTTGCCTTCAATCCGCTCCCTGAAATTTTATTAACCAGAGAAGATTAGAACTCATGTCACAGAGGAAGAGAATTACAATTAAATACTAAAACCTGGAGCCCCGACAAACTCTGTTCTCTAGTCCCATTTCATTTCCAAATAAAATTGTTTCTTAACCATAATCAGAGCACTGTCTCCATTCATCTGTCCAAAAACCTCTTTACTGTACCTAAAAAATAGTCACATTTCTCCCACTTCTCCTTCTCCTATAAGGAAGGGCTAATAACATCTGGACCTCATGAGTTATTGGGTAATCATTCTCACGTATCTCCCTCATGCTTGTTCATGTTCAAAAAATCCACGTGTCTTCCATTAATCTGTCCACTGTTAGTTCCTTTTCAGCAAATCTTTAAAGAGTAGAGGGGCTGCAACGGATTTGGTTTTACAAGTGGGACAAACCAAATCCACTCTGCTCTTCTGGAAACTGCTATAAAAGGAACCCAGAACCTGACCATGGCTGGGCATGGGGGGAGATTTCTTACTTGTTAGACTCCTGTGTGTCTCAGTGGAAACTGACAGAGGATATAATAAAAATTTGTTTTTCTTTTTTTTTTCCAAATTAAGATTGACAGGAGTTAAGTATTTCAACTCTCAGTATCCATAGAAAGATCAAATTTAAAGGGGGATACAAATGAAATATAGCAACTACCTAAACTACCCTTGAAGAGATTAAACATCAGAAATCAGATTTAAGACAAAGTTAAAATCATTTGATCTCTCCAACTGCCTGCCTTGGATGCTCTACAGGATTTGTTAAAAAGGTGCTCCAGACTGTGGTCTCCTGGCTGGGATCTAACACTTTCACCATTGTGACCCGGTTTTACTCTTATCTGTGGCACCAGTCACTTGGATAAGTAAATCTTTTGACTCAGGAGAAAACATTTCTAAAACTTATTTTAGTAAGTTTCTTTTGATTTAAACAAAAAGTTTGCTGCTTAACCTATACGAATACCTAATAATAAGATTTTTTAATACTTTAATTTTAAGTTCAGGGGTACATGTGTAGGTTTGTTACTTAGGTAAACTTGTGTCATGAGGATTTGTTGTACAGTTAATTTCATCACCCAGTTATTAAGCCTAGTATCCATTAGTTATTTTTCCTGATCCTCTCTCTCCTCTCACCCTCCATCCTCCCATGGGCCCCAGTATAAAAAAAAGAAGAGAGATTTGAAATAATTTTTTAACAGCTCTATGATCAAAAGTTGGAAACTTTTAATGAAAAACTAATATTCAAGCTACAGTTATAAGGGCTTCTCTATTTTTTATTTCTGTTGGATTTTTCTTCAGAAACATTTTAGTTAACTGAAACTTTTATTCTCCCAAATCTTTGCTAACTAAAACTTCACTGGTCTTTTTTAAAAAACAAATGACTTATTTCATAATTTTCTGTGATGCTATTTTGATCAAGAGTTTAAACTTTATTCTTGACAAAGTTCTAAAAAATCAGATTTAATATTTTCGAGCTCAAAGTAACTTTTTGATGTTTCAGAGGTTCCCTAAAGCATCCAACAGAGAAAGAATAAGCTAATCAAGCTTACTTCATGTTAATTTTATAGAGTACATTGTTAAATAAGAACTAATATTTAATCTTCTTTGAGCTATATTTGTATGAATGTTATTAATACTAACATATATTTGAAAATTATATAAGATTTCTAAAATTCTGACATGTCTTGGTATATGTTATCAGTTATAATTATTGCTATCATGTTAAATTCTTGTGGGCCACAGAAAATGATCAAATTTTCTTGTCAATTGCATCTTTATGCCCATTTTAAGCCTTTTTGTCCCGAGTTACTTGCTTTATTCTTATGCTTTTGTTTTGAAAGCTCCTTACAAATGCCAAAGTGTTGCATCTTCAAGAAAATTCATAGGAAAGACTGCAACAAGTACTCTTAAATACAAGCTTCTGGCAACTTTAAGACCAAACTATTAAATTGAGTATAAAAAAAATCTGAACTCATAAAATTTCTAACACAACATCAACCAGAATAAGAATTAATTATATAGAACTAAACTGATAAAGACAATTTTTTATTACTTTGGTTCAAAACATTGATGATTATTTTTATGTTTTGTTTTCCAGATTTAAGAATTCTTTTTCTTTTAAACTATTTATGGCTTGCAAGATTTTGGTAGAATATTCCGTGAGCAAAATTGAAGCATGTTTTCACTCTGCAACTGATCTTCCAGAATTGAGAAACTATTTGTGAGTATTGTTTTCTTATGGCAATATAGTTATTTCATAAGTCCAATAAGAAACTGTTTTATTCTGTAACAGGACACGATTGGAGATTCTGGTAATTGTATCAAGGCTCTGACTAGAATGTCATATTCTGACATGACAAGACAGTTTTGAAAGATTGACATTTACTTCTTTTTTCTTTATTTCTTCTTAAAAAAATAAAAGGATACACGTGCAGAACGTGCAGGTTTGTTACACAGGTATACATGTGCTATGGTGGTTTGCTGCACCTATTGTCCCATCCTCTAAGCTCCCTCCCCTCACCAGGCCCTGGTATGTGATATTCTCCTCTCTGCGTCCATGTATTCTCATTGTTCAGCTCCCACTTATGAGTGATAACGTGTGGTGTTTAGTTTTCTGTTCCTGTGTTAGTGAAGACATTTATGCTGCCAACAAACATATGAAAAAAAGCTCAACATCACTGATTATCAGAGAAATGAAAATTTAATCTACAATGAGATATTATCTCACACCAGTCAGAAAGGTGATTATTAAAAAGTCAGGAAACAATAGATGCTGGGGAGGCTGTGGAGAAATAGGAACACTTTTACGCTGTTGGTGGAAAAGTAAATTAGTTCAACCACTGTGGAAGACAGTATGGCGATTCCTCAAGGATCTGGAATGAGAAATACCATCAGACCCAGGAATCTCATTACCCGGTATATACCCAAAGGATTATAAATCATTCTACTATAAAGACACATGACATTGACTTTTATGAAAACAACAAAAATCCTCCTGGAAAAATTGACCTGATAACTCAAATACATGATTCCTGTGTTTGCCTTTAGAGGTGGATAGAGAATGTCACTTCTTGACAGGCTGAGAAACCTCAGGATATTTTGAGGACCTAAAGGAGAGAGGAACTCACCAAATTTGTTCTGATATTATAGACCTCCAAGGCCACAGCAGCTTTACAAATGCCTAATCTGATGTTTCTTACCAAAAGTTTCAACAAAGTCTACTTAAAAAGAACCTATGTAATCAATCACTATTCTTGCTGCACTTTATGCAAATAATCAGGCCAAGATAATGAGACTAAACTTATTTTGCAAAAAAATTAATTTTATCATAAGTAACTGTTGAAAATGGGGATGAATGTAAGGAAGAAAAATTATGTATCAGAAAAAAAAACTATAGTGCACCTGTTATTAGATTCTAGACCCGTCCACCAATTTTGAGATTTTTATTATCTGGACTAAATTCTGAAATTTAGTTCTCTCTAGTATTTGGCCATGACTCTCCAAACTGTTCCCAATTTTTTCTGCCAAATTTTTGATTTCAAATCACTAGAAATTAAAAGTTTTTTTTAAACTAAGGCCCTACAAGCTGAACCTAGTTAACTTGTCACTGAAGAAAAATCATTGCAACTGCTTATATTTGGACAAACCTTGTGACATACAACTACAGTCCAAGCAAATATGACAGATTGCCACTGTCTCTCTGGCTCCAACTTCGGTATTTCAGCTCATATGTGAAAATCTTTTTAATAGACTTCCCTCCAGACTCAGGGGCTAGGTTACAGACTACTTCCGACATTAACCTTTGCGTTTTTCTTCCTTTTTCATAGAAATGCCTCTTATTAAAGATCTGTTTCCCAAAGTGCTTGGATTATAGGTGTGAGCTGAGGTCAGGAGTTTAAGACCAGCCTGGCCAACATGGTGAAACCACGTCTCTACTAAAAATACAAAAATTAGCCAGGTGTGGTGGCATGTGCCTGTAGTCCCAGCTACTTGGGAGGCTGAGGCAGGAGAATCGCTTGAACCTGGGAGGCGGAGGTTGCAGTGAGCTGAGATCGTGCCACTGCACTCCAGCCTGGGCAACAGAGAGAGAGTCCATCTCAAAAAAAAAAAAAAAAAAAGATCTAAAGATCTGTTTGCCTACATCATCTATAGAGGCATAGCTTTGAGAACCCATCTGCCACACCATCTTCTGAAATGAGACACAACTAATTAATTGTACTGTCCCGTTTTCAGAAACGGGAGACTACTTTAGTAGAATCCTTTGGCACTCAGCTACTAACTTGAATTTTCTCTCCAGAGCCACCAACTCAGCTGTTAATGTGTATAACCTCTAGTAAAGTTTCAGACAGGGGAATGTTAGGGCTCAAAAAATGATACATCGAAATATGTCACTTTGAAATATTGAACTGAAGAAGCAGCCTCAAGATCTCTTACCTCTCACCTCTCCTCTCTCTCAACCCTCTGTCTCTCCCAAAGTACAGAAGAAGATGGCTTTTCTCTGAAATTCTCTTATCTCCCTAGAAACCAAATATGCCCAAGAGGAACACATTTGCTCTCGATCCCTCTCTAAAATTTCATTAACCTTAGAAGATGAAAACTCATAAAGGAAGAGAACGAAAAGTAAACACCACACCTGAAGCCCAGATGAACACTGTTCTCTGGTCCCATTCAATTCCCAAAGAAAACTTATTAATCAGTGTCTGCATATTGACTCCATTCATCTCTCCTAAAAATAATTGACTACCCTTCAAAAATCATCTTATTTCTCCCACCTCCCCTTCTCCAATGAAGAAAGGTATATGAACACCTGGATGTGACTGTGTTATTGTGTATTCATCCTCATGCAGTTCTCTCATACTTACGTATGTTAAATCAATCTGAATGCCCTTTCTTCTATGAATTCTATTGTCAGTTTATTTTCTGTAAACCTTCAGAGAACAGAGGAAAGGCTTTCCTTTGACCCCTGCAATAGCAATTTCATACCAATGTTTAGTAACTGGAACTACAGAGAATTAGTCAGTTTCCATCTGGTTTTACTCATTTAGCGAAAATGATTAATAGCACTTGCCTCCAATATTATAGGACTAAGTAAGCACTTTTTTGAGTGCCATCTATGAACAATGTGCTGTTGTTCAAATTAGTTGTGTACAAGAGAATAGAATAAATTAAAAGTTACATGTTGTCCTTTTATTCCATATTGTGGGATAGCATTGGCTTTTATAAAAAGTCCAATTTCACTAAATCTTTGAACTTTTTAGGTACCAAATATCAAGGATTTTGAGTAATAAGCACTCCTATTAAGACTTTAGAAACTTGTGTCTAAAACTTCGTTGCTATTTCTGAACTTGCAGCAATCCGAACGTGAAATCTGAATGAGCCTGTAAGAAAAAAAATGAAATATTCAAAGCTGTACATTAACCCTTGAAGTCCATAGCTGAATTTTTCAAAAAGAAATGAATAGAAGAAAATTAAACCTCAATTGAAACATGAGAGAATAGTGCTGTAACATAAACAGTATCTCTTTTTTGTGGCACCAGTTTTTCAGTGATTCAAAGGAAGAATGTTTCTAGCGAAAAAAAATGGTTGCTATGGAGTTAAGAGTTGAGTTAATACCAACAAGGCAGAAATGCTGTGGGTTAATAATTACATTTGAATAGATTAGCTTGATTCTTTGCAAGAATATTTTTATTGCTGTGTCCATATCTTTACTTATTTATATTAAATAAGTTATAACTTTTATCTTGTGAAGAAACTCACCATGGGTGCACTATAAAGCATTTATTAATTGCTTAAGAGATTTTATGCCATTTTAGTGATATTTGAGGCAGGAATTTTCTGTGGATTTTTACATATCTATACAATTACTGTATTTCATTAATTGATATAGCTGCTAATGTATCAAACACAGCAGGACTGAAAATACAGGGAAATGAAGTAAAGTTGCTGGCATAGTCTGATAAAGGTTTGTGCATCAGTAGATAATTTCTTTAAATGACATTATCTAGAATTTGTGAAAAGATAGTTTTTTTTTTTAAGACAGACATAAGTACAAAATGTCTGCTTCTCACAGGGCACGTTTGCTTTCAGTGCACAATAAAGCTCAAATTTAAATCTTCACTTACATTTACTGCAGCCACATTGCCTTTTTCTTGATTTCCAATGACTCTTTGTTAAAAAAATAATTTTGATGCCAATATTGTACGCATTCTGCATTCCATATATCACTTATTGCTTCTTTATTTCTGTTACTAACGACTGTGCTCCAACGTTTACCTCTTTACTCACATAATAAAAAGAAGGGGAAGCCAGGCACGGTATCTCACACCCATAATTGCAGCACTTTGGGAGGCTGAGGTGGGTGGATCATTTGAGGTTAGGAGTTCAAGACCAGTCTGCCTAACATGGTGAAACTCAGTCTCTACCAAAAATATAAAAAAATTGGCCAGGTGTGGTGGCACGTGCCTGTAATCCCAGCTACTTGGGAGGCTGAGGCAGGAGAATCTCTTGAACCTGTGAGGGGGAGGTTGCATTGAACCAAGATCATGCCATTGCACTCCAGCCTGGGCGACAGAGCGAAACGCTCTCTCAAAAAAAAAAAAAAAAAAAAAAAAAAGGAAGTGGGAAGTGGGGGTGTGGCTGTGAGGGATAGAGATCTCACCTATTTTTTTTTTATGGTTTTCTTACAGTTTCATCTGAAAACTCAGAGATATAGATCTCTACGATTAACAAATTCTTACATTTCATTCTATATAAAAGTTACTTCATTTTCAAATTCCCTAACTTCTTTTTAATCATAGAGGTATTAGTATCTATTTGCAACAATAACTAACATTGTCAGAGATCACTTTTTTCCCCTTTCAAGAATTTTGCCCATTTTTGCCCTCTTGGACGCTGACTAGCTAGCTCAGGCTTTAAGATGAAGAAAAGACCTAGTTCACATGATGTCAAGTGGCAGGAGTGATTGGGTCATTAACTTTTAAAATGTTTGTGTTTCTATCTGAGTATATTTCTGCAGGAATGCTACAAAACAGCTGTGTGATATTAAGTAGGACATTACAATGTAATGTATAAATATATGTATACTCCTGGAAAAGATTCTTTTCTTCACCATATTTTAGTTAGTTTTCTGAACCTTCTTCTAGGCCTCTCCGTGTACTATTTTGTAAAATCCAGTTTTAGCAAAGAACCCCGCTGTATTAATTTAACAGGAACCTACCTCTCCATCCTTGATATCTGATCCCCCTCAATATCTTGTTAGATTCTTCATTCTCTACCATCTTCTAGATGATGTCTGATTACCCTGGCCCATCTTCAGCAAGAATATTGCTAGGATGATTTAGTCAGAATCTCCTTTACCCCTGAATTTACTCTTAGAGATTTTCCATCCTGTGACACCCACCCTGCTCTTTGGCTATGAATACTCATTTGACCATGTTTTATTTGGAGTTGTGTCCAACCTCTTTTTCCCATTGAAAATCTCATTTCAGTGACTCATATACTGATCCCAACGGTCTTGAGTATAGGTATCCTTATTGTGCTTTAATTGAATAATTTTAATTGAATAATTTTTTGATACTATATTGTACAGTACAATAGGAAAATAAGAATAATTTTCTGGCTTTCTACTAAGATAATGTTGAGGATTAAATTAAGTAATACTTTAAAAAGTTGGCTAAAGATCAATAACTTAAATATTTGTAAAACATGAATTTGGAAGATGATAAGTAATTTCTTCTAAGTACAACATATAAGAATTTTTTGTCTCAATCCACTTAATGTTACAGATTCTATTTTAAAAATAATATAAGCAAGTGAAAAAAGTAACTAAAACCTGGTTTATTTAAATCCATTTACACCATAATTTGGATAATTATTACATCTTAGTTATTTGTAAAAGAACCATGCCAGGGAGATATGGCTGTAAGTCTTCTCTGTAATTGTGTGCCCAAACCTATTAATAAATTTAATGATTCTCAATTTTTCCATCTGAGAAATATAGAGAATGACCTTGTGGCATGTTCTAATAATTAGAAAAATAATTAGTAAAAAGGTATTTTGCGTTTAGTTAATGCTCAACAAACCATTATTTTCATTTAGGCTATAATTTCTTCCCTCCCTCTCTCTCTCTCTCTCTTTTTCTTTCTTTCTTTCTTTCTTTCTTTCTTTCTTTCTTTCTTTCTTTCTTACTTTCTTTCTTTCTTACTTTCTTCCTTCCTTCCCTTCCTTCCTTCCTTCCTCCCTCCCTCCCTCTCTCCTTTCTTTCTTTCTTTCTTTCTTTCTTTCTTTCTTTCTTTCTTTCTTTCTTTCTCTCTTTCTTTATTCTTTCTTTCACACAGTTTCACTCTGTCACCCAGGTTAGAGTGCAGTGGAGCAATCCCAGCTCACTACATCCTCTGCCTCCCAGTCCCAGGTTCAAGCGATTCTCATGTTTCAGCCTCCCAAGTAGCCTGGATTACAGGCGCCCACCACCACGCCTGGCTAATTTTTGTATTATTAGTAGAGATGGGATTTCACCATGTTTACCAGGCTGGTCTCGAACTCCCGACCTCAATTGATTCGCTGGCTTCAGCCTCCCAAAGTTCTGGGATTGCAGGTGTGAGCCACCATGTCTGGCCATTTATGCTATAATATTTCTTAAAATTAACTGAGCTTAAATTATGTTTATATTTTATTTTATAAAATTAAAAAAATGCTGACCAAATATTAGTGCTTTTATTCAACTAGTTATTACTTATTCTAACTTGATAATTTTCGCTAGCATTTTGTCATTAAGATCAGATTTGTAAAAATTACAATTTCTTTTCTTGCTATGCTTATTCACACTCTACTATGATTTATCTTTCCTAAGACCATTGTGGAGACGTTGAGTGGCATTTGAAGACACTCGTAACAGCATCTTTCAGAGACGTATAGCACTTAGCCTGTCAGAGTTAGCCTGTCAAATTTATTCTTAAAAGTAGACAAAAGTAGGATATCTTTAGACCTCAGGCCTTATGGTTGGTTAAATTTAAAGCATCTTATAAACTAGTTTCAGTTTCATTATACTAATGCCTACGTTAATGATTTACATCTTCTTAGCTCTGACAGGAGACAATAAAATAAATTAAGTGGTCATGTTGAGTCTAAAGTAACCTTTTATCAATTGACAGTAATTATTTGTTTGAACTTTTATTTCATTTAAACTTGCATGAACTTTTAAATAATTATCCATATAGTCTTTCTTGACAGATAAACTTTAAAAAATAAATAGCTAGAAAGTCTTACCTGGCTTTCTTGTGTGATTGACAGTTAAAATTTTAAAATGTAGCATTTACTTTACAGAAGGAAAATACTTAAAACTTTAATAATATCAATGTATAGTCTTTGCATTTGCTATAGTTTGAGTGTGTCCTCCATATTTCCTGTTGGAAACTTAATTCCCAATGTGGTAATGAAAGGTGGGGCCTTTAAGAGGTGATTTGATCATGAGCGCTCTGCTGTCATGAATAAATTAACCATAACTCAGCATAATAAATTAAATATAAACTCAGCATGATGGTTTTCAGGAATTTGGAATATTATGAACATGCTGGAATATGTATTTGTCAAGAGGTAGTAGAAGATATGGTAAGAATGTTGAGCTGGAAAAAGATCTGATGTCAACATACTTTCTGTAAAAGGCAAAAGAATAAATATTGAGGCATTTCAGGCCACACACTCTGTATCACAACTGCTCAACTTTGTTATATAAACAAATGGATGGGTTGTATTTAAATAAAACTTTATTTACACAAACAGGCTAGAGGCAGGATTAAGCTTGAGGCTATAGTTTTCTGATTCCAGTGCTAGGTAATTGCACATATGTATATACCACTGCAGATATTATTTTTGAATTGTATTTTACATTTTATTTCTATTTTTTTCTATTTCAGCCCTTGACCTAAATCACATATCTTATTGAATTAAAAAAAGTTTTAAGTTTAAAATTTTAAAATCATTTTTAAAACGTTCTACTTGAATTTTATGTTTCAATTGAACAAAAAACAAATAAAACATGCTAAGATGGCAATGGATGAGGACATAGTCTCTCAATTTGTATTTTTTCCACACCTAAAACATTCGAGTGTTTCAGGTAAAAATAAAAAAGTTTAGAAGTTCCTTAAGCCAGATTTTCAATTTATTTTATTTTATTTATGCTAAAGTTTTAAAAAATAATGTTACAAAACAACAGATAAAATTTGTGTTCCTTTTAACTCTTCCACAATATTTATTGTTTTTTATTGCCTTCTTCTCTTGGGTTTAATATATATTTCACGTCCAACATTTCTATTTTTAATATACGGGTCAACATTATGTATATATATCACGTGTTACATATATATATAAGTTACATATATATTACTTTATGATCAATGTATAGTATAGATATGTGAAGTTTGAGACATATAAATCTTACATTAATCTTTCTCTTTATTCCTTCAACTTCATATTTATGTTTATAGACAAATATTTTTTTCTCATTTATGATCTTATTTTATGTCTTAATAGTATATTTTCTTTTGTTTTCAACTTTAATTATCTTTAAATTATTTATTATTATTTTTTGAGACAAGGTGAAATGGTACGATCATGGCTCACTGCAGCCTCTACTTCCTGCCTCAAGGGATCCTCCCACTTCAGCCTCTGGAGTAGCTGGGACTAGAGGCATGCACCATTACGACCTGCTAATTTTTAATTTTTTTATTTTTACTTTTTATTTTGTGTAGCTACAGGGTCTCCCTTTGTTTCCCAGACTAATCTTGAACTCGAGGGCTCAGGCAATACTCTCCTCTCAGCCTCCCACGATGCTGGGATTACAAGCGTGAAAAAAAACACCTGGCTATTAATTTTTTATTTATTGTTTTCATTTTTTAGTGAAACTTTAGAAATTACACATTGGAATTCCACTTTTTATGTGAATATACTTTAAAAATATTTTATTACTCAACGTTATCTAAAATGTAGCAGTATATCTTTCATTTCAGCAATTCAAGTAATAAAATGTTAAGTATCTTAGAGTGTACTCAGTCTAGATAAAATCCATCTACTTTTCATTTTATTTATCTACAATTTCTACACATTTTTATCTCATTTTAACACCCTCCAAGTTTGTTGTCTACATCACTTCATCATGATTATTTTTATCAATTATTTTTATAATAAGTACATATTTAACACACCAAAATATTTAAAATTCCTTAGATAAACCTTAATACTTCTATATCATTTTTTCCTCAAAATCTTCCATTCTAAAATTGAAAAACCATTGATTTTTCAGTAAGAATCTGTGAAAAGTAACTCCGTTTTTATTTCCTACTCTATTTCATTGTCTTGAAAAGATTCTCTCTTATTAGGGATTTTTATATTGATAATATTTTTTTTTAGCGTTTGAAAGGCATTATTCCATTTCATCTTATTATATATTTTACAATAGTGGCCTGATTATTAGTCCTTTTTAAGAAAACTGTGTTTTTTTAATATATATTTTCTTAATTGTTATGGTCTGAATTATGCCCCTCACCACAAATTCCTGTGTTGAAGTTCTAACCCCAGGGTCTCAGAATCTGACTGTGTTTGGATATAGCGCCCATAAGAGGTAATTATGTTAAAATTAGGGCATTACGGTGGACCTTAATGCAATATGACTGGTGTCCTTATAAGAAGAAAAAATTCTGACATACAAAGAGACACCAGGGCTAAGTGTGTAGAGAGAAAAGACCATGGGAAAACACAGAGACAAGGAAGCCATCTGCAAGCCATAGAGAGAGGCTTCTGAATGAAATCAACCCTGTCCACACCTTGATCTTTCAGTTTCAGCCTTCACAACTGTGAGAAAATCAATTTCTGCTGCCTGTTGTACTTTGTTATGACAGCCCTAGCAATACAATAAATGTGACTGTTTTCCTCCAACTTCCGAAGGTCTACAACCATTTTATTGAGATGCCTCTAAGTGCAGTATTTTTATTAGATGTGTGAGGGGCTTCTTACCCTTTTCTGCATAGATTATAATTTGTCTCACACATATATCTCATGTATTATCTCTCTTCCACGGACTCTCTAAGGTTTTCTCATTTCCATCTTCTAATTGACTTGATTTTCGCTTTTGTATATGTATATTTAGTAACCAATATACTATTTAAACATGTCCTCTGAGTTTTATTTCGGTGGCTACATTTTGTCGTTTCTAGAATTGCTATTCTGGTTCTGTTTCAAATGTATTTTCTCTTTTTTTTTTCTTTTTTTTGAGATGAAGTCTCGCTCTGTCGCCTCGTCTGGAGTGCAGTGGTACAATCTCGGCTCACTACAACCTCTGCGTCCCAGGTTCAAGCGATTCTCCTGCGTCAGTCTCCAAATAGCTGGGATTACAGGTGCCTGCCACCACACCCAGCTAATTTTTGTATTTTTAGTAGAGACGGGGTTTCACCATGTTTGCCAGGCTGGTCTTGATGAACTCCAGGTGATCCACCCGGCTCGTGTTTTTTCCATGATATACTATTTGTACCCTATGGAGTACCTGTTTTTCTACTTAGTTTTGAGGACTAAGACTGAGTATTTAAAATTGCCATTCATATTACTCTATTGTGAGTTCTTGCAGTGCATAATCTGACATTCATTACATCTACTGACTCTCATAGCAATTAGCTTCTTTATGTATGTAAGTACGCATGTGTGTGTGTACTTTTCTCTGTGAGCTTTTCTTCAGAGGTGATTGTTTTCCTATAGGAGCCATAGCTACCTGAGGTAGAAATGTGTACTTATGAAGTGATGACTGTTGTGTACTATAGAAGATCAAAATAATTTTGTAATTAAAGAGCAGTTATGTTAACTTCTCAGCTCCAGGATGATCAACATCACAGATAACAAGACTTGGTACCTAACACTAACTTGGGACATGGGCATGGGGTTTGGGGTTTCATGGTAATTCCTTTTCTACCCACGACCCCAAGTGGATAGCTAACGATTCCTTTTCTACCCACTACCCCAAGTGGATAGCTAACTTACATAATGATTCCTTAGACTGGTGAACAGGATATTCAAATCCCCACTTCACAGATAGAATGAACTTCATGGATTATTCAAGGACATTCAATATTTTCACTGGGCTTGGGCACAAAATAATTCACTCTCATGTGGACATTAAAATGTCAGTAACCAGGCCCTAAGGGCTGTATCCAGTATGGCTGCCCCAAGGTTATGTGTCTTTGGTGTCCTCTACCGGCTTTGATTTGGAGGGTTCTCCTAATTCTGATACCTAAATATTACCTTTATTTTACTTTGTACTAACACTTGTTCTAGAATGCAAAATGCTATGCTTTGTGAATTTTTATATTTTTGAAGCTGAATTTCTCATATCGGCTCACCCTACCATAGGAATAAAAATTTTCTTTTTAAACTATCAGTGAGGAAATAGGTTTCAGACGAATTATACTTAATGGCAATTAAAAATCAGATTTTCTACTATGACTTAATAGGAAGTATTTTTCCAGAATAATAAGTTGAAGGAGACTTCCTTCTATAGTTTCTAAAAGTCATAGCTAATTGCTATTTATTAGTGAAGATCCTTATAATTGTAAACATTTCCTCCAAAAAGAAATTTGAAAATCATTTGGAAACTACTAATGAAATACCACAAAATTACAACAAAGAATGTTTCCTCTCGAACCACAAATTAAGGAGGAGGGAACAGAATACTGAGTCACAATGGAATATAGAGTAGAAATGCTACCTACAAATTTATATTAAGGAGAAAAAAATGAAGCCTTTCTCTCTTCATTGTTTTAATTTTCATATCCTTCTCTTGCCTCATTATTCTTGTATATATTTTTTATTGCTGTTGTTTTTGCTTTTTTTTTTTTTTTTTTTTTTTTGAGACAAGGCCTCACTCTGTTGCCCAGGCTGGAGTGCAGCGGCGTGGTCTTGGCTCACTGCAACCTCTGCCTCCCATGTTAAAGCGATTCTTCTACCTCAGCCTTCCAAATAGGTGGGATTACAGGTGTGCACCACCATGCCTGGCTATTTTTTGTATTTTTAATAGAGATGGGGTTATGCCATGTTGGTCAGGCTGCTCTTGAACTCCTATCTTCAGGTGATCTGCCTGTCTTGGCCTCCCAAAGTGCTGGGATTACAGGCATGAGCCACCGTGCCGGGTCTTCTTGTGTAAATTTTTAATTCAAGATTTTTTCACATTATATTGTGTTTGAAACTAAAACTATCAAAATACTCACTAAAGTGACATTTTAAAATAATAAAATTAGGGTAGATTTTAGTTTTCTAAAATGTCTATATTACTCTACTAATTTTGTAGTAAAAATAAAATTTATGAATTTAAATTCTGTATATCTTAGATTCTTATTTGACCTGAAAGGATAGCAAGGAATTAAAGAGGACTAAAATGTCAGACTGCCTCTCTAGAGAGAGTATGTCTTAAATGAGTTCATACACTGAATTGATATTAAAAATACAAAGAGAAGAAATAGAAAAAGGCTAATGACCGGCCACAGAGAACTTGCTATGAGATGATGAGCTTGGCTTTTTCAGCCTCACGTATAACTTTCTATTGCAAAGTTACTAAATGTACAGATATGACAAATATCAGAGAGAATTAATGTAATCTAGTCAGCTTAGTGTCACATGATATTAAAGACAGTATCAAAAACAGACATGAACCGAAAATTCATGCTTGTGTCAGAGGGCAAAACCAACCAACCAACAAACAAAAATAAATCTGTCCTTCACGGGTTTCTAAGAAGTTGGTAATTAAGGAAGTAATTTATTGGGTAAATTTTATTTCTTTCAAAAACAGATGTTTCTATCTATGATGGTTAATTTCATGTGTCCATTTGACTGAACCACAGCACCCAGACATTTGGTCAAACATTATTCTGAATTTTCTTTGTGGGAGTTTTTGAATGAAGGATACATTTAAATCAGTGGACTTTTGAGTAGAGCAGATTGCCCTTCCTATGTGAGTGGGCTTTCTTCCTTCAGTTGAAAGTCCAAATAGAACCAAAAGGCAGACCTCCTCTGAGCATGAGAGAATTAGGTTAACATATATACATATATATATATATACACGCACACACACATACACACACACACATATATATACACACACATATATACATATATATACATGTGTATATATATACACATATGTGTATGTGTATATATATGTGTGTGTATATATATGTGTGTATATATAAACATACACATATATACACATATATATACACACTATATATGTATATATACACATATGTATATATATTTGTATATATGTATATATAACCATATGTATATATATTTGTGTATATGTGTGTATATAAATATATATGTGTGTGTATATATATATTCTCCAGAGAAACAGAACCCATAGCATATATATACACATATATGTGTATATATATATGTGTGTGTGTATGTATATTCTCCAGAGAAACAGAACCCATAGCATATATACACACACACACACACACACACACACACATAATATATATTTTATATATATATATGCGCTATGGGTTCTGTTTCTCTGGAGAACCCTAACTAATACAGTTCTCACAGCTTCCTCACTTCTTATTTTCAGGGCTAAAATCTATGCTCGATCTCTCATTCCATTTATCTAAGACTGTAAAGGGTAAAATGCTATGAATTTTTGCACAGTCCAGTTAAATTAAAAAAAGACGAAAACAAAAATGATAGTCCATAAACAACGTTATGTTAAGAGTAGTGTTTTCACAGTCATATTTTCATTTTTTAGATAACATATTTTTGGATCTAACAGATTTATGTTTTAATTATTTTGAAATTACATCTATTCTAAAATACACATTCATTCCCAACTTTAATGTATTTTGCATTTTTTAAGTTGTTTGGTTGAAATTTTGGAAACATAATCCAAAACTAAGATGTTTAATATAATAAAATTCCCAAATGAGAAATGTCAGTTCAAATGCCAAATTAAAAATCTTTTAAAGTTGTATTTTTCTGTTCATATAGATTTTTAAAAAATTTTCCAAACTGTCCCTTTGTATTTTCAAATATGTGTTATCTGTAATAGTCTTTCAACAAATATTCATCACCCAACAATCGTGTGTATGGCTCTGGGAATATAGATGGGAAAATGGAATAAAAAATAAATTTCTACTTAGACCTTAATATTATTTATTAAGAACAACGGGCTCTGGTGTCAAGCAAGCACGAGCTCGAATAACATGTGTTCGTTATATGGCTGCGGGCCTGGTGCTTCATCTAATAAACTTCAATTTCCACATTGCAAACCAGAGATGATAATGATATATACATACAGAGCCTCTAGGAAAATTAATAACGACAATGTGCTTAGTGTGCTCAGCCTGGCATCTGGCAAAGTATGCCTGCATCAGTGTTAACAATTATAAGTATGTTTCCTGTCTCTAAAGCTGGTGCTCATTGCACCATCCAATAAATGACTCGATTTTATCTACTACCTGGCTTTGTCCATGCTGTTGTCATTTCTACTTTGTATAAATATCTATTCTGGAGATTACTGAGTTTTTAACAGCTTGTCAAAATCAATATTAAAATAATAGCTTCCATATTTTATGAAGATTAGGGATAAATGGAAGACAATCTACTTTATCCTCAGTTAGACAGGATTTTACTTAAGTCCCTCAAAGAAAAAAATCAATTTTAATCTTTATCTCTGTAGTGTCTCCTGCTAATATTTTATCAACTCTTAGAAATCCCTACCAGATCTTGTCTACATTTATATGTTACTCATCACTCTTCATTCTGCATGATTGGGCTTAGTGGAGGCCACCGGGTTATCATCAGTGACAAAGGAGCTGTTATGTATTATATAATACAATTTGTCTTCTCAATATTGTCACACCCAGAATATTCCTTTTTTCATTGCATTTCTTTATCACTAATTTTAAAACGAATTCCATTGCTTTCTCCAGAACTCTCTTTACATTTCCCAAAGAAGCACTGATTTTGATTAGGAAAACAAGTCAAGGCACAACTGAATACAACATAAGAATTACCTCATGGTTTCTCAGTGCCTGTCTCCTATTTAGAAATTCAGCACTGTGTTTGCTTTCTCCAGAGCTGTATCACTCATGGCTAGATTCTTATCTACTATGACACTTAGCTATTCTTTGGCCATATTTGCATTTCTCATATTTTTGCATTGAAAATTTATGTTTCTCTTCAAACATACTACCCTCATCTTATCTTGATTGCATTTCTTCCATGTATTTTTTCATTTTCCAAGTTCACGTTAAAGGTGGTGATTTTATCTTCTGCATTTGTAGCCACCTTCTTGTCCTCTCTTGTTTTTTAATGTTATCTTTGGCGTTAATGAGTACAGAGAATATTCCATCACCCTGTTTTCATAATGTATTCTGTTAAATAATTCATGGATTAACATTAACCACACATTTCTACTAAGAACTTTATTAATGCAATGGTTATTTCAATTAACTTTAATTGACTAAACTGAGCATGAATCCTAAGCTCTTGGTTTTGACATCCTTCCAGTGATGATTACTTTGCATTAACTCTCCACTTACTAAAAAATCTGTGTTTAATTATACACCCTAATTTTCAGCACTGTCTGTTACTTGATTCTAACGTGATTTGAATGTTATCTTCCTTTATTTTTAGAAAGTATAAATATTATGTATAAGAATGAAGACACAACTGTGGTTGGCTGGTGGGGAAATGGAGTAAAAACGGTAGGAGCAGCAACAGAAACATGTCACATTACTTATTTGCTACCGTCTGAATGTTTGTGTTCCCCCAAAGTGTAAATGTTGAAATCTAACCCCCGGTATAACGATATCAGAAGGTGGAGCCTTTGGGAGGTGGTAAGGCCATGAGGGCAGAGCACTAATGAAGGAGCTTAGCGGCCTTATAAACTCCTGAGGACAGCCATTTATAAATTAAAAAGTGGGCTCTTTTCGTACACTGTTGGCACCTTGGTCTTCCCAGTCTTCACGACTTTGAGAAATAAATGATTGTTGGTTTACGCACAACATGTCTATAGTACATTTTTATTAGTCCCAGTAAACTAAGACAATATTATTTTATTCTTTCAGGCTTATTAATACATTGTACAATGGATTGGAGATTCAAAGGTAAACAATGTAGGAGAGACTATGGGGTTGTAAAGATTTTATTTGAGAGATAAATTATTAGCAATGCAAATAAATAAAGATGTGATATGCTCACTCATGGGGGCATGGGTTCAGAAGAGCCCATACAAATGGCTTCTATTACAGAAAAGTATGGAGAGAGCATTCAGGAAAACTTGACCTGGGAACTGATGAATGAATAGAATTGAGTCTCTCGTGTGTGTGTGTGTGTGTGTGTGTGTGTGTGTGTGTGTCTGTCTGGAGCAAGGGGCCAAGAAAAGGTGGTGTTAGGCAGAGGAGAAACTTGGAGAAAGAACTGCTGACCAAACAAATGTGAATCTTACAAAAAAGGACAGAATTAAATTTTGTGTAGATGCTGGGGCATGGCTTGGGGTGTTGTTTGAAAGGGAGACAGGTGTAAGCTCTTGAAATGCCTTGTAAGCTGGGTTGAACAGTACCAATAGTGTCCTAATTTTGGACAATTTTGCCATCTACTGAGATCAGAAATCAATAACAGGTGCTTTGGTGAGCAATATGATAGTTCATTCGGTTTTGGGCAAGCTGAAATGGAGAAACATATTGTAGTTTCAACAAGAGACATCAAGTATATAGTAGGTTTTAGAAATTTAAAATTTGAGAGAGGAATTGAAGAATTCAGCCTGAAACTATCAATGTGCAATTTGTCAAAAAAGGTGGTGGATGAAGCCATGATAGCATCCAGCTCATCTAAAAATGAGCCTACAACAGAGATTGTCATGAGCAGTAGCAGTGTAAGAGCATGGTAAAGAATATGAAACAAAACATGTATTTTTATAATGGAAAGAGTGCTCAGTTCTGTTCAGTGTGTTGATATTGCAAAAGTGTCTACTCTGCTATCGGGGGATGTTGGTATGAGACTTGGGAAAGCGCAGTTTAAGTACAGAAGTGGCATCATAAATCCAAATAGAATCAATAGAAGAATAAATAGTGAAATATTAATAATAGAGACACTGAGTAAAGACAGTTATTTCAGTAAGTTTGATCTTCAGAAAATGGAAAAATCTCAAAGTCAAAATATCCTTGAGATGTAAGAAGAATTTTATATTGTCAAGTACAGGATGATGAATCCTATTTAAATGCTGAAATGAAGTAAGCTATTGCTACGGTTTGAACATTTATGCACCTATCAACATTTATGTTGAAACATAATTCCCACTGTGGTGGTATCAAGAGGCAGGGCCTTCTGGGACATGATTAATTCATGGGGGCTCTGCCCTTAAGAATGGATTAGTGCCTTATAAAACGGCCAGTAGGAAATAATGTAGGAACTTTTTTGTCTTTCCCCCCTTCTGTGACCGGAATTGGTGGGTTCTTGGTCTCTCTGACTTCACCAATGAAGCCGCAGACCCTCGCGTGAGTGTTACAGTTCTTAAGGCGGCACGTCTGGAGATGTTCTTCCTGCCAGTGGGTTTATGGTCTCGCTGGCCTCAGGAGTGAAGCTGCACACCTTCTTATAAAGTCAGCGTGGACCCAAAGAGCAAGCATCAGCAAGATTTATTGCAAAGAGGAAAAGAACAAACCCTCCACGATACAGAAGGGAACCTGAGCCAGTTGCCTTTGCTGGCTCAGGCAGCCTGCTTTTATTCCCTTATCTGACCCCACCCACATCCTGCTGATTGGTCCATTTTACAGAGAGCTGATTGGCTCATTTTACAGAGAGCTGAGTGGTCCGTTTTGACAGGGTGCTGATTGGTGCATTTAGGGACCTTGAGCTAGACACAAAAGTTCTTCAAGTCCCCACTAGATTAGCTAGACACAGAGCACTGATAGGTGCGTGTATAAACCTTGAGGTAGACACAGGGTGCTGATTGGTACATTTACAATCCTTTAGCTAGACACAAAAGTTCTCCAAGTCCCCACTAGATTAGCTAGATACAGAGTGCTGATTGGTGCATCCACAAACCCCGAGCTAGACACAGAGTGCTGATTGGTGCATATACAATCCTCTAGCTAGACATGAAAGTTCTCCAAGTCCCCACCCTACTCAGGAGCCCAGCTGGCTTCTTCCCCTAGTGGATCTTCCGCCGGTCCATGGGCGGAGCTGCCCGCCAGTCCTGCACTGCAGCGCCGGCAGTCCTTAGCCCTTGGGCGGTGGAAGGGACCAGGCCCCGCGGAGCAGGGGAGGCTTGGGCCGCGAGGGAGCCCACGGCGGGGTTGGGGGAGGGCTCGGGCATGGGGGGCTGCAGGTCCCGAGCCCTGCCCCACAGGAAGGCGGCTGAGCCTCGGAGAGAATTTCAGCACGACGCGGGAGGACTGGCAGTGCTGGAGGACACGGCCCACCCTCCGCAGCTGCTGGCCCGGGTGCTAAGTCCCCTCACTGCGCAGGGCCAGCGGTGCAAGCCGGCCGCTTGCAGTGCGGGACCCGCTGAGCCCGCGCCCACCCGGAACTCGCGCTGTCCCGCCAGCGCAGCGCGCAGCCCGGGTTCCCACCCGCGCCTGTCCCTCTACACCTCCCCGCAAGCGAGGGAGCCGGCCCCAGCCTCGCCAGCCCAGAGAGGGGCCCCACAGCTCAGTGGCGGGCTGAAGGCCTCCTCGAGCATGGCCAGAGTGGACACCGAGGCCGAGGAGACGCGGAGAGCCAGCGAGGGCTGCTATTGTCACCTCTCATTTCCATCAGGTAAGGCCGTAGCGTTTCCACCTTTTGTCATGTGAGGATGTAGCAGGAAGGTCCTCAACAGATACCAAATGCTAGTGCCTTGGTTTTAGACTGCTCAGCCTCTAAAACTACAAGAAGTAAATTTAAGGTTTTTTTGTTCTTTTGTTTGTTTGTTTTGAGACGGAGTATCGTTCTGTGCCCAGGCTGGAGTGCAGTGGCGTGATCTCAGCCCACTGCAAGCTCTGCCTCCCGGGTTCACACCATTCTCCTGCGTCAGCCTCCCGAGTAGCTGGGGCTACAGGCGCCTGCCACCACGCCTGACTAATTTTTTGTATTTTTGGTAGAGACGGTTTTTCACCATGTTAGCCAGGATGGTCTCCATCTCCTGACCTCGTGATCCGCCCGCCTCAGCCTCCCAATATGTTTTCTAATAAAATACGGAGGCTCGGGTATTTTCTTATAGTCGTACAAATGGACTAAGACAATTGTGATGAGTTAGAATTTAAAGAGAAGAAATAAAAAGAGCAAAAACCTCTGAAAAGGCAAGATGTCCTGAAATACAGAGATTATTTCAAAAAGACATGATACACCTTATCTTCATAAGAAGAGAGAATTGGGGGAGAAAAGAGAAATCAGTACAAGTAGGCCTGTGTATTCGACAGCAGGAAGTTGAAATATTTCCTTCCTTTTATTTTGTTGACAAAATAACAACATGTCAATCTGTAAGACAGAAGTAAGTGCAAAAAGGTTTGGATACTGAATTGGTATGAGAAGCTCTGAAAAACGTACAGTGAGGAATGGGAGAGAACACTGATTAAGGAACAATAGAATGATTGCTGCATAAACTTGGTGCCTCCATTAAATAAATGAGAGAGGAAACCAATTACTCTATGTAGATGGACACTTCATAGACAAGAGTACAATAGTTTTCAAGGAAACAGCAGCAATTGCAAACGTTTTTAAATTATATAGTATTTATCTTTGGGTTCGGGGAGTAGTGTGTTCCTGGGGGTTCCAGTATGTTTAAGAAAGACTTTTAGAATGAACAAGAGATTGACAAGATTATTAAGTCCCAAGAGGAAATACGGATTAGACAAGCATCCTAACCTCCGTGAACTGCTCCAGGCCTGACAGGAAGAAGAATAACTGTAATGTACTAACAATCACAAATATAGTAGCTAAGATATATATGTCATACGTTGTCATGACAAATTGTCTATGCAAATTATCTCATATCATCATCTCTGCAAAGTTATACAATAAAATTATCATTTTCTCCATTATGCAGATAAAACAAAACAAAACAGAAGCAATGGCAGAAACACAGGATAAGGCCTCCAAGTCAGGGCATTCTGGGATGTTTTAGTTTATTGGATATAACGATGATATTTGTATTAACGTAAGCTTAGGGGCATTAAGTTTGCTGACTGTATCTTGCTTACCATACATAAAACCCAATCATCTCCTCCTCAAGGGAGATAGCACAAATTGACCTAAGCAGTTAGTTTTCCAGCTTAAAATTCAAAATTGGTTTTCATATTAGGTTTACATAATCTCCTTGTAAACTGACAACCAATCAACTAAAATTGAAGTTACCCTAGGACATCAAATATACGACACGGGAAAAAGAACTAAAAGCCAAAACTAAAACTTTAATTTGGAAAAGAAAGATTAAGACACCTACTGTATTTATTGACCCAAGGAAATTATCAAATCTCCCAGGTGGAAGGAGTGAAAACTCTCTCCTCCGGCTGTAAGGTTAATTTCTTAACTAGTCCATCTGCTATAGTCTTATTCTATGCTGGTATGACTCTTTTGTCCAATGTGCTTTATGGTCCCTAACTTTGTTCCCTGGAGGACTTTTGCTTATATATTTCATTGGTAAACTAGAGTAAAAGGAAGCTTGGGAAAAACTTAAGAGATTGTACTCATCTAGGGATGATGGTGATAGCAAGTGTCAAAATGAAGAGATTGATTTCTCTGACAAAAATATTAATTGACAAATTGTGAGGTTCTGTTGGAAATTACTGTCAAAGGAGCACAATATTTTAAAAATTACTTCTAAGATTTAAACAAACCATGTAGTAGAATAGCAATGACACCAAAAGTAACAGAGCTTTTTTACCTCTCCTCTGAAGAAATTAGTCTGTCCAGCAGCACAATGTGAGAAAACAATGGTACTCCAGAAATAAATTTGAACTTAGATTATTAACTGTGATTAATATACTTAAGTAATCAAAACTACTATGATCTAAATGTAAAACACAAAACTGTAAAACTCCTAGAAGTTACCACAGGAGAAAATCTAGATGACCTAGGGTTTGGTGAAGACTTTTTAGGTACAACACTACAGGCACAATCTATGAAAGAAATAATTGAAAAGCTGTACTTCATTAAAATTAACAGTTTCTGCTATACAAAAGACAATGAGAAGAGAATAAAAATAGAATCTACAGACTAGGAGATAATATTTGCAAAAGACATATTTGAAAAATAACTGTTTCCCAAAATACACAACATTTAAAACTCAACAGTAAGGAAACAAACTACCCAATTAAAAAATGGGCTAAAGTTCTTAACAGATATGTCAGCAAGGAAGATAGACATATGGCAAATAAATGTAGTAATTGATTATCCACATTATGCCTCATCAATGTAATGGAAAAATAATAAAACAAAGAAATATGATTACACACCTGTTAGAATATCTAAAATCCACAGCACTGACAACATCAAATGCTTGTGAGGATGTCGAGCAACAGGAACTCTCCTCCATTGCTGATAGAAATAGAAAGTGATATAGCCACTTTGGAAGACAGTTGGCATTTCTTACATAATTCAACTTACTCTTCCCATAAGATCCAACGATCGCTCTTGTTGGTATTTACCCAAAGGAGTTGAAAATTTATATCAACAAGAAAACTTACATACAGATATTTGTAATGGCTTTATTCATAACTGCCAAAACTTGAAAGCAACCAAGATATCCTTCAGTAGGTAAAAGGATAAACTGTGCTAAATGCAGCCTATGAAATGTTATTCAAACCTAACAAGAAATGAATTACAGAGTCATGAGAAGACATGGAACAAAACTTAATGAACATTTTTAAGTGAAAGAAACCAGTCTTAAAGGCTACGTACTTCATGATTCCAGCTATATGACAGTCTGGAAAAGGCACAACTATGAAGACAGTAAAAAGATCAGTGGTTGCTGGGGTGTTGGTGTGGGGAGGGAAAGATGATCGGCAGAGCACAAGGAATTTTTAGGGAAGTGAAGCAACTCTGTGTGATACTACAACGATGGATACATGGCATTATAAATTTGCCCAATTCTATACAGTGTACAAGACCAAGAGTGAAGCCTTATATTAACTATATCCTTGGATAATAATTTATTAATATTGATTGTTCCTTTGCAACAAATGCAGCACTCTGGTGGGGGATGTTGATAATAGGGGAGGCTACAGATGTGTGGAGGCAGGGGGTATATGAGAAATCTGTGTACCTTCTGCTCAATTTTGCTGTGAACCTAAAACTTCTTTAAAAAAATGAAGTCTTTTACAATGTTGGTGAGAGTGTAAGTTAGTTCAACCATTGTGGAAGACAGTGTGGCGATTCCTCAAGGTTCTAGAACTAGAAATACCATTTGACCCAGCCATCCCATTACTGGGCATATACCCAAAGGATTATAAACCATTCTACTATAAAGACACATGCACACATATATTTATTGTGGCACTGCTCGAAATAGCAAAGACTTAGAACCAACCCAAATGCCCATCAGTGATAGACTCGATAAAGAAAATATGACACATATACACCATGAAACACTATGCAGCCATAAAAACGATTGATTGAGTTCATGTCCTTGGCAGGGAAATGGATGATACAGGAAATCATCATTCTCAGCAAATTAACACAAGAACAGAAAACCAAACACTGCATGTTCTCACTCATAAGTGGGAGCTGATCAATGAGAACACCTGGACACAGGGAGGGGAACATCACACACTGGGGCCTGTCGGGGGATGGGGGACTAGGGGAGGGATAGCATTAGGAGAAATACCTAATGTAGATTACGTGTTGATAGGTGCAGCAAACCACCATGGCACGTGTGTACCTGTATAAAAAACCTGCATGTTCTGTACATATAGCCCAGAACTTAAAGTATAAAAAAATTAAAAACATGAAGTATATTAAGCATGTAAAAAATGCTACTATAATCTTAAATATGTTACAATAACGTGTCTATAAAATATGAGCCGAGCACACTTCCACAGTGTAACTCTTCTAGCTCATATGAATAAAGTATGTGTATGTGTGCATGCATTCACATGCAACTTGCAAAGCCAACAAATGAATTCTGAAATTAAGACTTTGGCTGATGGTGTCTTGAATGTTATTTCTCAAATGACTATGCAATACTTACCAATTTAAACTCCATTTATAATTTTTCCTAATTCTTTGTCAACAAACAATATTATTGATTCTCTTTTATTTGTGCATACTGTAATGTCCCTTTCTGATATATTTGTGAGATCTATTCATTAGCACTGGGAATAACTATGCCCCTCCTTGTTTTCTGTGCTAGTACACTCTACGTTATTTGTTTCCCTATTCAATTACAGATGTTAGACATTTGTATACTTTATGGTCCGGTTAACTCAATTAAGTTTCCAGCTGGTTGGTTTACCTATCCCTTCGTATCATGAAACTTTTATAACTATATTTGGATTCCCATCACAGAGTGACATTACCTGCTTGAATAAACTTAAGAACGTGATTAAATCATTGCAATTGTATGGATTGTTGATTCTGTTTGTAAGTAAGGTTACGTATTTTTCCCTTTTCTCTCAATATTTCTCTCTCTTTTCTATTATGCATTTAGGCCTACTGTGTTCTGTGATCACTGGTTCTGGGAATGGGTGTGACTCTGAAGAAAGCAGGAAAGAACCATTAATAACCTTATAGAGATTTTCATGCCCCAGAGTTATAAATAATACACCCAATGTCGCTCATGCCCTGAAGCCTGACATGGGAATAACAGTTATTCTCCTGTGAAAAATAGCCATCATGCAAAAGGATCAGATTAGTGGCAGCCCACACCGATGAGTGAGGAAGTCTCAGAGGGCTCCCATGTGCACAAGCTATTTGAAGGAGAAATGGAACTATGACATTGCAGTCATGTTCCAGACTATTGATAACTGGGGCGGGGGTGGGGGGGAAGAAAGGAATCCTGTTGTTTAATTTGAGTGTGATCACCCTAGAAGAATGGGGGTTCAAATTATAGTTTAACTTGAGTTATGAAAAATGTATATATTTAAAATATTTAAGTTTAAGGTTTCTCATCTGTTGTGAAATAAAAAACAAAAGAAAGGGAGGGAGGAAGGAAGGAAGGAAAGGGGGAGGGAGGGACTGAGGGAAAGAGATAAAGAGAAAGAAAGAGAAGGAGGGAGAGAGAAAGAGAAAGGGAGGGAGGGAGGAAGTAAGAAAGGAAAGAAGGAAGGGAGGAAGGAGAGAAGAAGCAAGGAAAGAAAAGAGAGAAGGGGGAGGGAGGGAAGAAAGGAAGGGAAAGAAGAGGCCCTCAGTTATTAGTCTTATCCTCATTCTCATATTTTAGCTGTTATATATTTGACTTGTTGATTCACTATTCATTGAAATAATCTAGCAATAATAGTATTCAACTGTGTACATGAGCTTAATAGGTGATGCAAATAAGTGAGGCTAGCAGGCCATGAAGAATTACTTTTTAATTTTATTTTTATTGTTTTCAATCCTGCTTCTTCTGTAGAGAATTTTAAGTGACAGCAATGCTGGAAGGGACGGGAGGAGGGCAAAGATTGAAAATCCCTTTTAATGGAGACTATAGTTTCTTTGTTCTAGCTAGTTATTGCATTATGAAAATGCAAGCCATATATAACTAGGTGTTTTTTCAGAATAAGCTGGAAATGCTCTTTCTTTATTCCTAAATTGACAATATTGAAAACACTGTACAAGAAAAAACATACCGTGTCTATAGTTTTCATCCTGCTTTTGTATCCCATTTTGTGTTCTCTGCCTTTAGAGTATTTATTTTCCAACTTACATACAGCATGGAAAATCTGTCATATATATTACGAGGTTGCCAAATAAATAGAATAACCAGGAATCTTCTGGTTGAAGTGCTGAAAGGGAAGTGAGTGTTCCCACGTCCCACACCTTTCTTTCCACCATGGGTGCCTTCAAAGAACAGAAATTCAAGGTCACAGGCCAAAAGAATTCCATGTTGTTGTTTCTAGAAAAGCCAAATGAATAAACTATTAGAGTAAACAGCTCTCAAATCAAGAGATTAAAAAAGCATTTATGTAGAAACTTGGGCATCCAGTAGCTTCAATGCTACTAGTGAACTTTCAAATACTTTAAGCTATTTAATAGACAAACATACTTTAAAAAATATTGGGACTGTGGAATCCTATCAAAATTCTTAAAAATCACTGTGCAAAGCAGTGTAGAAGTGATATTTTGCTTTATTTTGACACTTAAGTAAGTCCCTTCATTATTTTTAGAAGACCTTGCCCTGTATTTTATAGTTTACCTTTTCTAACATGTGTTATTCCCTTTTCCAATTTAATCATCACCACATCCTGAGGGGTAAGACAAAAATCCTTACTGACACTTCATTTTTAGCATTCTTTTTTCTCATTTGCCTTTGTCCAGGGGCACTAGAAACTTCACAATTCCCTGCACTCAATGAGAAGCTCATAGTTCCTTTTTTACTCAGCATTCACATTCAAAAAGTCTGTGCAGTTTCTATGAACTGGAAAATTGGCTATCCTTGATTTCACTATCTTAGAACCGAATATATTAATTACATATTAAATAGCATGTTAACTCTTAACTGAATTTATTAATTACATATTAAATAGCATATTAACTCTTACAAATAAATTACTGTGATTTTAGAAGCTACTGCTTATCATATTGTCTCTGCAGCCTTTTAGAGGCAATGATACTACAATCTATGTATTAGTAACACCAATGGCAAGGATTTCAAGATGTGGCCAGCTAGAGGGCATATTGCTTAAAAGTCCAGGATTTTAGCTTACTTCAGACAGTGCTACGTAGATGACACACAGTCAGTATAACCTGATCTTAGCTCTGAACTCCAGACAACTCCATGGAAAAGAAGCTAATGTCCTTGCTGTAACAGATCAAAAACTGCGATCTCTGAAGGATGTCTAAACCGTCACAGCAAGTCATAGGGGGAATATTCTCTTGGGTCTGTTAGCTGTTTTAATTTTAATAATTCAAGTAAATGTTAAGATTTACAGGATTGAGCTAAAACAGTTTGCTTACTGTAGCTTCTAGTGTTTCCGAATATGGAAAATATATTGTCAAAATATATTTCTTTCTTTCACATTGTAAATTATATGGATGGCTCACCATACCATAATTTATTTGCAAACCTAATTAGTTTTTAGAATTTACATCAAATATACATTGCTTAAAAACATGGCTAGTGGATCTAACTATTTCACATAGATATTATGCCAGAAGGCATATTATAAAAAACATTTAAACACTCCAATCTGGATAACAGTGAAAAGTTTTCTACTTAAAATTTATCTTATAATATCCTTAAATTATCTAATCTTCCATCATAAGAATGGCTTAGCTTTACTAGTTCAAGGGCTATGTAAGATAATATAAGAGGCAAGCTTCATCTTTAGTTTATATTCTTCTTCATTTGTCATTAAACATCTTATAAGCCTGCCATTTTTATCTGGCTTTAAACAGTAAGTGGAGATGTCAGAAAATACGAATAATATATACAATTTCAGATTCAAATATTGAAAACAGAATGTCATTTTTTTCTTTTTCTCCTGTGGAATTATTATTCAGAAAACACTTCAGGTATTAGGCAATCATCCATTAATTACTTAGTGGTTATTATTAACAAAATGCCGTTTTTTTTCCTAAAGAAACTATTGATTTTGTGAAAGCATGTTAAACGTTTAACACATCCTTTCATTCCTGGATTCAAAAGTATTTATTGAGTGTTCACTATATGCCAATCACTGACTATTGTCAAACCATGTCCGTATGAGGAGGAATGAATCACCATCCCTAACCTCAAGAAAATTATTCCCTGGTGAAGGAGACAAATATATGCACATTATAGCACAGCATTCTTGGTGCCAAAAGGAGTATGAGTGTAGTGGTATGGTTGCTCTATGAGAAAAAAATGCTGACATTTGCCTTGGGAATTACTGTTAATAATAGAATAGAAATCGGCCAGTGGGCAAAGTGGTGAAAAGCATTCCATATAGATTAAAGACACAAAACAATTAAAGATCATTGAGAATTCAGAGAACTGTGAGCACTTAAGTATTCCTCAGGTGCAGCATGTAAGGCTAGAAAGCTAAGTGGAGTTATATTTTAATAGCCTTGTGAGTCAAGCCACATTTTATGTTGTAGGTAATAGCAGGCCATTACACTAGTGACTCCTAATCTAGAGTGTGCATTTATTTACCTTCTAAGTTGAGAGAGAGAGAGAGATAAAACACCTAAATTGAGATTCTACTTTAGTAAGGCTGGAATAGTAGTGTTTGGGAACCAGTATTGATCATTATCATTATTATTTTAATAACCTTCATCAGGGGTCCTGACTTGGGCTGCTGGCTAAAACTCACATCATTTAAGGGTTTTATGACAAGGGAGTAGCATAATTAGATGCTTATTTTATAAAGCTTATTTTGGTATCTGTATCAACAATGTATCATAGGGGAAGTAAGCATAAAGACCAAAAGACCAAATAGAAAGCTATTGTACCTGTACAGGTGAGAAGTTATAAGTATCAATCAAAGTCTATGAACAGGAATTGGAGGATGGGTGTGGTGGCTCAGGCCTGTAATCCCAGCACTTTGGGAGGCAGAGGCAGGCAGATCACGTGAGGTCGGGAGTTTGAGACCAGCCTGAAAAACATGGTGAAACCCCGTCTCTACTAAAAATACAAAAGTTAGCCGGGCATGGTGGTGCACGCCTGTAATTCCAGCTACTTTGGAAGCTGAGTCAGGAGAATCGCTTGAATCTGGGAAGCGGAGGTTGCAGGAGAACCGCTTGAACCTGGGGACTGGAGGTTGCAGTGAGCCAAGATTGCACCATTGCACTCCAGCCTTGGCAACAAGAGCAAACTCCATCTCAAAAAAAAAAAAAAAAAAAGAATTGAAAATTAAGGAGGCTCACAAAGATAGTACCTATTTTTTATACATATATATATTCCCATTTATAAATATATATAATATATATTTATATATTTATTTTCTGACACACATATATTACATATATGTAATTTCTGACGCATATATATTATATATAGTATATATTATATATATAATATGTGTAAATATATATATTTACAAATGGGAATGTGTGAGAGTGCTTATTTAAGGCAATTCTAAATTTCTGATAGAGACAGCTGGAAAATTAAGTGTACAATAAATTTAACTTGGAAATCATTCATTAATTAGAAGTTGGCATTTTAAAAGACCTCGTTTCTGTTATATACTACATGTGTGTGTTTGACACCAGTTATAAATAGAAATTATTAACTAGAGGTTTTATTTGAAAAATAAAAGGAGTCTGAAGTCCCAAAACAATTAATAATTATCTGATATTCAATTATATTGTTTATTTGGTGAAATCTAGATTCTTCTATCAGCATGACTCACTGTATTGGACAGTCATTTGATTGAGTACAGGATCTGATACCAGGTTAGAGAACACGGAGGAAAACAGAACTGTTAGTAATAGCATCTGTCCTAACTACTTAATGGGAAAAGACACAGATTCGCAGCCTGTTTATTAATGACATACATGTAGTCTATCTTCAAGAACTCAAGAACTGAGGGTCAGATGTGGTGGTCTGCACCTGCAGTCCTAGCTGCTAGGGATGCTGAGGCAGGAGGATGGCTTGTGCCCAGGAGATGGAGGCTACAGTGAGTTGTGATTGTGCCACTGACTGAAGCCTGAGTGACAGAGCAAGGTTCTGTCTCTTACGACAACAACAACAATAAAGAACTAAGAAATTGTAATCTGGTGAGGTAGCCATTTCCGTTTGAGGAAGGGAGTGCTTGGGAATCCCATCATCCACAGCCAGTATTACCTAATATAACTCTTTTCACAATAACTCTTCTAGATAATCTCTGGGCAGTGGCTTGCTCATCAAGAGCCAGCATTCTTGCCATGGCTGATGTTTCTCCAATCTCTACCAAAGGCTTTTCCATTATTTTACTGTTCTTAAATCTATATTTTACTTCAGTAAGCTAAGGCTTTTCAAATACGAATCTAATTGGCTAAATAATTGCCTCCCTAGTCAATTCTTACTTGTTCTATCCCAAGGAGATAAATGTGATTTAAAATATCATAGAGTGCAAATACTAAGAAATACATTTCAGAATAATTCCATATAGTCTCTTTGCCTTTTGTAACACTTTTTTTCACTCTCCTAGGAAACTTCTTTTTTTACAAATAAGAGGCATACTTCTTTTTCCTTTTTCTACTGTGGTGTTAAATATAATGGGGTTGGATGCAAAATATATAAATAAAATATTTTTTCCTGTTATTATTGCTTCATAAAATTCTAATATGTTATTATACCTAAAAGTCAGTTTTCTAATGGTAGTATGTTATGTAGTTTAGATATGCTGAATGAAAACTTAAGATGATATATACATTATTCAGTGTATGGGATTTAAAAACATGCCATGTCTAAATAATTTAGAAGCCTCATTCTTGTAGCGTTTTGAATTAAAATATAAGAAACATCCCCAACATAATTTAATAGTGCATTTTTAAATTCAAGATCTAAATTCAACAAAAGTTAGAAAAATATAAAAAAGATTTCTATTAAAAAGTAGACTAACCAGTTAATAATCCAGAAGGGTAATTCTAACATCAATCAATTAAAAATAGTATTCTCCATGAATCATATCTAGGTCATTTTCCTCCAAAAATTTCATATATATATGTATTTGTGTGTATATATATAATAAATTTGTGTATATATATAATATATTTGTGTATTGTATATGTTTTTATATACACCAAACTTTGCATAGCAAAAATTTTAAAATATGCAGTGTGTACACATTTTTCCTAATGCCTGAAGGCACTGAGATAGAAACCTCACATTACCCATAGATTTATCTTTCTATGATGAATTATTGACTATCACAGATTTGCGTTAAACATGGGAAAATCTAAAACAAGATTCATAACAATGCCACATACTTACTGCATTTTTGCTACAGTAAGTTTAATGAATGAATCTCAGACTCTCTGCAGGAGGCAAGTGTTTCAACTCCTCCATGTCTTTCTGAGAATGGCTTAATCTCAATAAAAGAACCAAATTGCAGGCAGGCACATCTGGCATGAAACAACACATGCACTACAGCCCTCAGTACAGTAAATCACTTCACACTGGGCACTGGCATGAGTCAGGTGTTGACAAGAGTTCTTGCAAAGCGTATACTAATACAATGAACAGTTATTATCAGAGTTAGATAATCTTCAGACATATAAGCAGTATGCACGAGAAGTATTACTGCTAACTTTCATTGATGTTGCAATGTCTACAAAAACTGTAATCAAGTTAAAGCTGTTCACACCCTCCCCTAAAAGTGTATCTTTTAAGTCTTCTTTACAATTGTTGTGTTGTATTCCAGGATTCTAGATCTCACGTCTAATTTTGGACAGATTTTAGTTCATTATACAAAGCATTAATGTGAATTGCTTCTGTGTTCCCTTGATTTATAATACATGGCTTTATATTAACAGATGTAGAGAACTCTGAAAATCAAACAAGGCAAAAATAATATATGGAACTTGGTGGATTTAGTTGGGGAAAAGTACGTATGTTTCTGTTTTTTATTTGCAATATACACATAATGTTTCTAACTTACCTGTATCAGTTGACTCTAGTTGTCTTCCAGCCTGCCCATCTCAACAATTGTATTATATATATTCTTATCCTAAAGTAATTATATTCTATTTTTATCCTAAAATATATTCTATATCGAATACATTCTTTATCTCTATCTAAAATATATTCTTATCCTAAAATAATTAACACATAGTGTAAACAAAATGTTTACAGTGCTGTAAAAATGTGAGAATCAGAAGTGTTTTAAAATTATGTTCAATGTTTTATCAATATGCCACTATTTTAAAAGTATCATTTATATTTGTATTATATTTTATATGTATTTACAAGACCACACAAAGTGAAGAGTGTTTTGAATGGATCCCAAATAATTATTTTAAAACTTTTGTTTTTATGCTTAAATAGACAAATCAGAACACATGTTATTTGGTCAAATATATAATAGGACACATGTAATTACTAAAGTAAACAGGGCTTTAGAAATCTTATTTTTTTTTTCCTTTTGTAGCTAATGCCTGGATTCAGTATTTCAAAACTTTGGGAAAATTGTTTAATTTTACATAATATACTTGGAAATACTTGTAATATAATAGTAAATACCTGTAAGAGCTAGTTTCCTGTTTTTGTATTCATGACAATCGCTGCTTAGTATCATAGTTGTTATGAAAAATGCAACACATTTTTGTTTCTTCTTTATTATTAATGTATTTAACACTATAGAGTTTTGAGTTGAACACAAACCAGTAACTTTGAAAGAATGTAAATATAACAGAACAACAAAATGCCTTAAACATAAGCTTTATAAAGTCAAACTGGTGATAACATTCTGTATTTGTTTTTTACCCACATCACCTTCTAAGGAAAACCATTCATTATTCTCTCCCCTATTCTACATGGGCAGCATCCTCAATGGCCAATTTTATATCATTTAATCCATATCTTCTCTTTTATGGTCATAATGATCAGACCAGAAAGTGGATACATTACTAAGTTTATGGACATATTGAAAATGTATTGAAAATGCTGTCATCATTAGATAAAAGATACCATGTATGTGGATTTTCGTACTTAACGATTTATACTAAGAACATGTGAGGAATTTGCCTCCCAGTGGTGCAGAATCTTCTGCAGAGTCATGAGTTAGAAAAATAAAGACAATTATGGAGCATATGTCCCTGCAGGGTGGGAAACCACCTTGCCACCTGTTTGGTTTCTGAGTGGCGTTGGCATTTTGAGGTCAGGGATGTCAAATGAGGGTAGGTTGAACAGAGCGGCTTCAAAGAGAAATTTTTCTGGTACAATCAGTGAAACAACTGCTGCCTAGATAAACTCTATTCCTTATGAGTGATCTAATGCTATAAAGATTGATACAGTCACATCCAGTTAAATTTGATGATCATTAGTTTGCGCTGAAGTAAATCCAAAGTGACCCACTGCTCATCAGACCAACTTAAGGTCTCAGAACAAAAAATGCCAGCCTCAGGTATAAGTGAAATTCTATGGAGAAGCATCGTCTTACAGAGTAGCTCTCCGGCAGGCAGAATCCTAAAAAATCAGATGTGTTATCTAAAGAACTTAATATACTGTAACACACACACACACACACCAAAAACAAATGAATAAACAAAATGGAAGAAAACAAGAGAGGGAGGAAGGAAGGAAAAAGAGAGAAAGCCCATGTAACTGACTGCTTTACTACATACTTTATCTTGACAGATGGTTATTTTAGAGAGACGGCCAGAGCTTTGTGCTGTAAGCTGTCCTTTATCTCCTTCCCTAAAAAGGAACTGCTTCTGCAGTCTTGCTGCTCTTTTCTAATTATTTCATATGGTAGTGTTATTGGTGTTAACATTCGCTATTTATTTCATAGGCTGCCAATAATTAGAAAAGATGTCTAAATATAACTCATGTGAGCTACGAAACTATGAACTATGAAAATGGTGAATATGACTTGAACTTCTGGGGCTCTAAAATTTAAAACACTTCAAATGGCTGTGACACTTTATATCCGTATATATTCCTCACTTTTTCTTGAAAAAGGGATATGTATGTCTTTGGTGGTATGCATGGCGGTGAGATCAACATTTAGGTAGAAGTATATTGGTAATTAGAAAATAAAAGTGTACATAATAATGATTAAAAGTTAAAATGTTTTGAATTAATCTCAACCTCATTCATACACCTCCCTAATGTAAAGTTTTTGAGCCCCTACTCCTTTAACTAGATAGTCACAGTTTTAAACATGTCATCCTAGCACCAGAATAAACAATAAAGGGCAATCAATCTGAAGACTACCCAATCATATATATGGACTCTGTCACCTTTCTTACAAAATGATATAGCTTAATTATTCACAATGTTTTTTCCAAACTAAGAAACAGATATATTATGGCAGTGTGTTGCTGGAGTTATAGCAAACAGACTATGAGGATGCAGTGAAAGCAGAATGCCCTGATGAGCCAGGTGCAAATTAAAGCAATGTGGGGAAAGTGTTGTGCAGTGAGGCACAAAAGCTGAAAGTGAACTAAGTTGTGAAAAGAAAAAAGAGCATGCGGGTTATAGCTGGGTCATGCAGACCAAGAAAAACGGAATTTCATGGGTTCTGGTTGTCCAGTTGCTATAGTTGCTTTGAAAACCAGAAGTAGCTGCACTGTTAATCTCTATGAGGCCAGGCTCACTATGAGTAATGTTCTGGAATAGGCATAAGAGCTGCCTCTTCCTTATTTAGCATTATGCAATCCAAACAACAAAACCTGTTAGTCACTATTTCTTGAAACTAAAAAATAATAGTAATAAGTAAATAAAAGCAAATTGAGGCAAGTATGCTGTAGAGTGAATTCACAACTGATTTATGATTATTAGTAGGTAGGAAACAAATCAATGAGACAGTGATATTTGAGATGAGTCAAGTAAAGATGGTAGAGATAGTCAAGGCAAAGAAAACAGTCCAAGTAAATTTATATAGCATTCTGAAGTTTAGGGAATTAAAATTACTTTAGTGTAGCTGAGGTACAAAGTTCTAGATACAGCTATTTGAAAGATGTGCTTAGAGATAGAACCAGGGGTCAGATGATGGAGGGGATTATATTCCATTCTCTGGAGTTTGTATTTGATGTCTAAAGTAGGGATTATTCACATCTCATACAGGCAAGTGATCTGTCTAAATATGCACTGGAGAAAGACACTTTGAAGAGCCCAGTGAAAAATCCAGAAAGGTCACTCTATTCTCTTATAGTACTCCAGGTTATAGATGGATATATTAGGTAGGTGCAAAAGTAATTGCAGTTTTTTGCCATTAAATGTAATGGCAAAAGAAGTTAGAATTAGCAGACTGAGTAACTGGCTAGATGTGAGAAGTAGAGTAAATAGCGGGCCTAGAATGATATTCAGGTTTTGCAGTTGACTGAATAGAGCGGCTGTGCTCAAAGATTGCGAGTAGAGAAAATTTGTTTGGGAGGGAACCAGGTCAAGCAGTAACAGGTATGAGTTTGGCCATGTTCCAGTTGTGGTGCAATACACTTAATTCCAAGTGGAATTAAGCTCAGTTACAGCAAACGTTCTGCTTGGCATTTCCACTGAGATATCTGATACACATCACCATACCCTGTTCACAGCTGAATCCTCATTCTGCTTATTTTCTCATTACCCTAAATGGATATAATATCCATGCAAATAAGGGCTGCATTTGCTTTGTGGACCACTCTATTATCTGCCAAGCATTGTACCAAAGCCCCAAATATCCATATAATAAATCTTTAAATGATAAGTGCATAAAAGAGATAAAGGCTGAAATTAGAAAGTTGATTGTCACCAGGCTAGAGATGGAAGCTAAAACTTTAGGTGTAAATGAGATTGTTCAGGAATTAAGAATAGTGTGTTCTGTCTATGTAAAAAATAATATTGTTACATTTCTTTTCCTCCTAGAATACCTGGAATGTAAATCCTAAAGTTAAGGATTCATGAGAATAGGATATTGAAACATGTATCTAATGAGCATCAGACAGTGTGCTAGCCACTTTACATATATATGACCCTCACATAAGGTCTCCAAGAGCCTCATCATGTTTTCTTTGATTAATTCATACAAATTTTAGAAAAAAATCAGTATTAAAACTTGAATGTATTAATATAAATTTTCTTACAGGACAATGGAAATATATCACATGCAAGTATACAATCTGCACCTGATTCAAAAAATAGCTACATCTATTTCAGCAAAAGAGTAAAATAATTTGTTTTGGGAAAGGTTTTGTTTTTAAGTACATTAAGCACTAAAATTTACATCATGTTAAATTTACATGTTTTGCATAAGCCTGGGTTTGACTAGCAATAAAAAACAAAATCCTGCTGTTACAATATCTGAAAAACAATTGTCATAAGAAAATTTGTAACTGATATTCATGCTTCCATTGCAAAGACATCACTAACAGAATGCAAAGCTGATAGCATAGCTGTATCTCGTATTCAGTTTTGTTCTTGTGATATATGATGCTACCTTGCTATGAATCATACTGTGACTCAG